>NC_000008.11:69677265-70302265 GCF_000001405.40 Homo sapiens | reverse complement strand
ATTAAGTCTTCTGCAGTGAAACTTTGGAATTTTACTATTTTATTAAAATTCACATGAAGGCTATATATTAGGACACATTTGCATTACAAATATATGTAATATATTTGTATAATAACAATATCATGTTCAATAATCTGAAATAGTTTTCAAAGGTAAGTCGTGAAAGTATGACTTTCTTCTTGGGGTTATATCCTGTGGTGACTTAAAGGTGTTTTTTGTGTTTGAGAGTTTGTGCTTTTAAGCAAAAAAAAGGGAAAAATAAATTTTGTATTAATCATATATTATGAGTGTACACTATGGGTATAAATTCACATGTGCTTGGCTGGAACTATTGAAAAATCTTAAGTAATTTGAGCAGTTCTTCCTTAGCTTTTTCTTCTGTTCCCTGTGCGTTCTCTTTTTTCCTGCCAGTCTGTCTGGCTGGCTTGATTAAGGTGGTGCTGGCTGGCCTGAAACATGAAGTGTGATAGTTGTTGGGCTGCCCTTTTGTTTAGTCATCTCTTTCCAACAGCCTGTTTGTTCCATGTTTTCAGTTGTCCATGAAAAAATTGACTTGGTTGTTTTGAGTTGACAAACATATCTTTCTTTTTTTTTTTTTTTTTTTTTTTTTGAGAAAGGGTCTCACTCTGTCACCTAGGCTGGAATGCAGTGGCGTGATCACGACTCACTGCAGCCTTGACATCCGTAGGCTCAAGTGATCCTCCCATCCCAGCCTCATGAGTATCTGAGACTACAGACATGCGCCACCATGCCTAGCTAATTTTTTTGTATTTTTTGGAGACGGGGTTTTACCTTGTTGCCCCAAGCTGGTTTCGAACTCCTGGGCTCAAGTGATATGCCTGCTCAAGCCTCCCAAAGTGTTGGGAGTACAGGCGGGAGCCACCATGCCCTGCAACAGACATATCTTTATTTACATCCAGCTCTATTAGTGATTGCATCCTTTGATTGGTAGCAGCTTTGAGAAAATTGTGAGGCCTACATTTGGGCTGAGAAAATAATAATGCCAAGATTTAATAATAGTGTCTGCCAAAGGTGCAAGATATAGGGAATACCTTTTGCTGGTCTTGTTAGTACTATACCAAAAACCTCAAGAAGGCAGTTTTCAGGTTGGTCACATTTCTGCCATTTGCTTTTTCAAATCAAGTTGGCAAAAATAGCATTATCAAAACAGTGACCTTCTGTAACAGCCTACTGGGTAAGATCATGTATGAACTCCAGAGTCAGACTCTTGTGGGTTAGAACCCAGACTTTTGCTAGTTCATCAGCTCTCTGGCTTTAGAGAGAGCTCTTCACTCCCCAGTTAGGTTTCTGTATCTATAAGGTGGACATGATAGTAGCAGGGCCTACCCTCATAGGATTGTTATGAAGGTTAAATTAGGTAACACACAAAAAGTTCTCTACTCAGTGCTCTCACAGAATAAGCATTCAATAAATGCTATTGATGCTATTGTTACATTGTTGTTAAGCCAAAAAAAGTATGGCACATCTCTTATTATAGTAGTTATAAATTAAAATGTTCTTTTAGCCAGTATTACAGCTGTCATTTCATTTTCTTCCCAGTTTCCATTGCTTCCTCTGGGTCTGTTTCTATCCATTCACTTAAAAAATAAATAAAATGAAATATTGAGCATATCTTCTTCAGTTCTCTCTCACGCCCTGCCATTAACCTACACAGTTCTAATGCTGCCAGCTGTCTTATTTATGTGTGGTGTAGATTCAGTCCTGACTGCTTTTTGCCTCAGACTCGTGAGGTGTTACTCCACCTGCTAGTTGATGCTCTACTTGGCAGGTGTTCACACCACCATATGCAGCTAGAACTACCTTTACCCTTAGATCCCTACTCACGCGGAAACTGTAGCTATCACACAAGAAAGAGCAAGGACACACAGGTGCATTTGTGAAAAATCACTAAAATATTTTTTAACATTAAAATTTTTTTTTGCATTTTAAAAATTTAAGTATAATTTGCAGACCATAAAATGCACCCATTTTAAGTAGCAGGAGTTTCAGTACATTTTTGCAGTCATATATCTTGTGTCTGTTATTCATCTTCTTTAGGACACAATTCAGTTTTAGAACAATTCTATCACCCCACAAAGTTATCTTGTGTCCATTTTTAGTCAGTTTCCATTTCCATATCCTGACACTGGAAACCATCAGCCTGTTTTCTGTCTTTATAGTTTTACTTTTTCTAGAAATTTCAAATAAATGGAATCATACAATACAGTGTGTGTTGTATTTGTGTCAGTCTTCTTTCATTTAGCATAATGTTTTTGAGGTTCATCTGTGTTGTTCACATATTGATAATTCATTCCCCTTTATTGAGTGGTATTCCACTGTATGGATGTACAGCATTTAAGAAAATCCCTTGATAAACATTTGTATTGTTTACAATTTTTGGCTATTGTGGACAATAACTGCTGTGAACATTTCCATTCAGCTCTTTGTATGGATATCTCTTCCCCAAGAGAAATGAAAACATCAGGGATAAAATTGCATTGTGTAGTGAGAAACTTCCAAACTGTTTTCCCAAATGACTGTACTATTGCATTTTCTACCAGCAGTGGATTAAAAGGGGTTCTGATTTCTTCATATCCTTGTCAACACTTCAGATAATTTTACTGGTTGTGTAGAATATTTCATTGTGGTTTCAATTTCCATTTTCCTAATAACTAATGATGTTGAGTATTTTTTCATGTACTTTTCCTTATTGTATATCTCATGGTGAGTTGCAGAATATGTTGCCCATTTAAAAATAATTGAATTATTTGTCCTATTATTAAGTTGTAAGAGATCTTTATATATTCTAGATACATGCCCTTTATCAAATAATTTAGCTCCTTATATAATATATTCTAGATATGTGTCCTTTATCAGATAATTATTTTGCAGATATCCCCAAAATTATCCCTACTCCTTCCCTTGAAACACATTCTTAGAGGGGCTTTGTGAAAACTCTCGGGACAGAGCAGTAACGAGATGCTTCTTTATTATAGAGCTTTTATTACCTCCACTTTTGCTTTAAATGACTACTAGTTTCTCTTAGTAACTTATAAAAAAGTTTGTAATTCTGTTTTTATGGAAGTATTTTATTCTTTTTGTTTAAAATGTTACACCAAGGTATCTAGATGTTTGGAAATTTTAGTATCTTTATATCTCCTAAACATCTTTCTGGTTTTTTTTGTTTGTTTGTTTGTTTGTTTTTTGAGTTGGAGTCTCCCTCTGTCGCCCAGGCTGGAGTATAGTGGCGCGATCTCGGCTCACTGCAAGCTCTGCCTCCTGGGTTCACGCCATTCTCCTGCCTCAGCCTCCGAGTAGCTGGAACTACAGGCGCCTGCCACCACGGCCGGCTAATTTTTTAGTATTTTAGTAGAGACGGGGTTTCACCGTGTTAGCCGGGATGGTCTTGATCTCCTGACTTCATGATCCACCCGCCTCAGCCTCCCAGAGTGCTGGGATTACAGGTGTGAACCACCGCGCCCGGCTAACATCTTTCTTTAGCATGGGTGCATTGACACTTTTGCCTCATGTTATGGTAGCTTATTAATAAAAGCTTACTGAATAGTATAGAGCCAACAGTAATCATTTAATATAATTCCTACTAATATCACAAGTTTCAGCTCCTGATTGTTGCATAATATGATGTCCTTGAGCAAATTAGTTGTTGGTATAGAATTATAACGGGCTTAAGTAGGCCAGCATAATGAATACATTTATCCCAGTAGTGTTAGAAAGAGTTGATGACTCCTATTACTTAAGTTTATTGCACACTATTCACTGACTGCCACTTGAGTGGAATCCATTCATTTTATTTACTGTGATAACTTCTTATTTGCATATAGATTCTTTTTGTTTGTTTTTCATGAAGTATCTCTGACTAATACACTAGCTGCATTTCATTATATATGATGAGTTCAAGACTGGCCAGGTCTTGGTAAAAATCAAAATGCCATCTTTTTCTGTTTCTCTCCCCTGTAGACCTTTTAGATTATGAAATCAGATGTTTCTAGTGTCCAAGAAAAATAGTAATTTTGATATTAAATTGATGTTAACTTGTTTGTGCTATTGGATTCTATTTACTGTTTTAACGAGTAAAGGGCTCTTAAAGGAATTAGTAATGTTTTAAGTTTTGATAATCCAAATTGTAAATTCTTACTGATGGATGTCATTTGAAGGAAGAAAAATCTAGTAGCTTAGTTATAAAAACATTCCTTGGAGCTGATTAAATCTAGTAGTGTTTAATGTTTTTTAAAAATTATTCTTAAAAAGAGATACATTTTCAGTATCGTTACTAGTAGCAATCAAGCCACTTTTCTTGAGTCCATAAAATATACAAAAGCAGTAAATATTAATATACATAAAATGCCGTAAGCACATACTTCTTGTTTTCATATTCCTCATTGTGTTTCTTGGGAACAAACTTAATTGGTGCAGTGGAAGGATCAGACGAAAAGCTGCAGGCTCATTTACAGCGAAGCACTTTGTTCACAAAGACACAGACTCTGAAGAAACATTGCAAACAGTTGCCCTCATTATTGAAAATATTCAGTTCTTCCTTTTCTTATTCACCTTTTCTCTTGCAAATTATCTTGGTTATTATAACATCATTTTTACTGCCATAAAGGCTGTCCTTGGCTGGGCATGGTGGTTCACACCTGTAATCCTGGCATTTTGGAAGGCCAAGGCAGGAAGGTCACTTGAGGCTAGGAGTTCGAGACCAGCCCAGGCAACTTAGCAAGACCCTACCACTACAAAAAATAAAAGATTAGCTGGGTGTGGTGGCGCATGCCTGTAGTCCTGGCTACTTGGGAGGCTGGGGCGGGAGGATCACCTGAGCCTACGAGTTTGAGGTTGCAGTGAGCTGTGATAGTGCCACTGCATTCCAGCCTGGGTAGCAGAACGAAATTTTGTCTCTGAAGGGGGGAAAATAAAAGATAATTCTTGAGATAAGAAATTATTTAGTCATTCAGGCCTTTTGGTTCCATATAGGTAAACTGTAAATCATGGTAAATTAAGATTAGCATGGGAACTTTCTTTATTTATTCAGCACACATTTTCTGCCTGTTACAATGTGCTGGGCACAGCCCTAGGAATGCAGTGTGGGAGTAGGTCACTAGGGCCTCCTGCTTTTACTCAGCTTTTTGTCTCATAGGGAAGGCTGGTGGTTAGACAAGCAGTTAAAGTATAAGGACGGCCACTCAGAATTTGTAGGCACTTCATAATTCACAATGAAATGCAGCCTTATATATTTTACATTACCTTGTACAAATAAAAGTAATGCAGCAAGTCTACTTCTTGATTTACCATGCGATTTAATAAGAGATGTTATTAATGCATATTACTTGTGTATTGATGGCAATTAACAAGTATTACTTTGAAAATCGGTTATAAAAATCACATCTGCTCTAAGGAATCTTAGGATTCTGCAGATTTTATTCACGTTTATTTGTTTGTTTATATTACAGATTTCTCTTGGATTTGGCTACACACTTATAGATCTTCTGCACTGTTTACAGGCACAGGTGAGTTAACGTTGAATTCTTCATATTGGATACTTTGATATTTAATTAAAATTTTAAAATTCTTTATATAGTTTAGGAAAATATGTAAATAAGATGATTTTAAATAAAAACAATAAACTGTATATTTGTCTATATTTCATTTTTATTATGAAAGTTCCTTACAAATGTATTGGAAATAACATTTAAAGGTAAAATGCTCATATCTGTTTATCAGTGGTTACTATATCTATTTGGGATGAGTTTACATTATACCCATTGGATGAGTTGATTACAGTTTATTCTAATTTCATAGCCTGACAAAATGTTTATTATATTTATTTTTATATGTAAAAATTTGAGTGGTGGTATTTCTCATTTCTTAGCAAACTAGCATAAAAGAGGAGAAAAGAAAAGTTACTACAGATTTTAGCAGCAAATCTCAGACTTACAGGGGTAGATGTTATAAAATGCAATGAGCCAACCTTTCTTGTCCAACCTGTGTAAAATAGCTTCTCAAGCACTCCGTATCACACAGCTGAAATTGATTTTTATCACAATATTTATGATCATGTGATATATTTTTACTTACTCTTTACAACTTTCCCTGCTAGCTTCATGAACATCGGGACCATTTCTATCTTGTTCAAAACAGCATCCCTAACACTTAGGATGGTGCCTGGTATACAGTAAAGACTAAATAAACGTTTGTTAAAGTAATTATCGGGTAATAAACATTAAGAATATATTTATATTCAGAGACACTGAACTTTGTAAATACAAATAGAAATAGTTTATTAAGCTTATTTCATTTTTTGTTTTTGAGATGGAATCTCGCTCTTTCACCCAGTCTGGAGTGCAGTGGTGCAATCTTGGCTCACTGCAACCTCCGCCTCATGGGTTCAAGCGATTCTCCTGCCTCAGCCTCATGAGTAGCTGGGATTACAGGTGTCCACCAGCATGCACCACTAATTTTTTTTGTATTTTTAATAGAGACGGGGTTTCACCATATTGGCCAGGCTGGTCTTGAGCTCCTGACCTCAAGTGATCTGCCTGCCTCGGCCTCCCAAAGTGCTTGGATTACAGACGTGAGCCACTGCGCCCAGACTCTTAAGCTTATTTCTAGATATGAAATTAATTTATACCGTGAACTTAAGGTATATAGCTCTTAAATGTTATGAAAAATTAGTTGTATTAGATATTTTGTGTATCCAAATATGCTTAATCAGGGTAGAATTAAGAAGATAACTCTTCCAATTCCACATTTATTTTGTCACTGTCCCAGAAGGTTCTTACAATCAAGTAAAGAACAAACCTGAAGGAAGTGTGGCAGCTTCTCGTCTCCATACTGGATCATATTAACATATTAGATGTGTTTTGTGGTATATTTATAGAGAGCAAAGTAGATTTGAAAGTTGTCCAGTTTATATCGCTGCAAACCAAATAAATTAATATTTTCCCACTACCTGCCACTTGATACAAAATGTAACTTATTTCGTTTTTTGTTTCTAGGTTGGGGAAATGTTTTGGTCATTTTCCTGCCCTATATATTGATGTGTTTGAACTCATTATCAAAGGTAGCGGTAGGCATAATTTTATAAGCTGACTACTTATTTCCTTTCCTTGTGTCCATGACAGTTTTCTTTGTGCTTCAGGATGTCAGTTGTTATTGGGTTCTTGTCTCGTTTTATTTTTTTGTTCTTTCTTACCTTTTTCAGACATTTGCTTCTCTTTCTGCCATCAGGATTTTTCATTTATAGAAGGAATTAAGTCTGACCTTTAAGAATTATTGAAAGTAAAATTTTAGGGATTATACAGCTGTTTCTGATTCACATCTATTTTACAAGTGCAATTTGCAGAGATTCTACTGATAATACTAATAACAACTATTACTTATTGCTCTTTTACTGTATGCTAGGCATTATGTAAGTGCCTTTTGGTTGTCTTCAAAATAACAGATAAGGAAGTTGAAGCTCAGAGAGGTTAAATGACTTTTCCAAGGTCATATCAAGTAAGAGGCAGTTTGCCACTCCAAAGACCTTGACCTTAACCACTGAGCTCCATTTTCTGCCTAAATACCCCTAGTACAAGAATATTTGTGACAACAATTGTAGTACATGAAAATCATATTCATATTTGAAGACTTCAAAATTAATTTAAAAGCCAAACATTATTTCACTTATATTTCATTAGGAGACCTTAACTTGTAATTGTTATTCCAAACTGAAACATGACGACTCATTTGAAATGTAATGATTACCTAAACTATTTAAGTTCTACTCTGAGACTTTGATTTTATACTCACAGATTATGGGTAGGGGCATGGGGGACAGCTATTCTAATTCCTTTTTCTGTTGTAAACATGATATGCTATTAATATGAATCAGCATTCTTTCTCTCATGCAATATTAGAAATTTTAGATTGTAAGTGGCATCTGTGGTTCATTGGATAAATCACTTTTCTTGCAAAGAACAGATTGTTTGAAATATAGTGACTATAGAATTACTTAGAACCTTTATCTTGAAAAATTTGATAGTTTGTATCTCTGGGAAAAATACTTTAACTATTGAAGAAATGAAGTTTAGTATATAGCCTTGCAGTATATCAGGAGTTGGTTCAGATAGAACTTTAGCTTCTCTTACTTAGTTTATTTTCAAAGCTGAGTAGGACATACTATGTAAAAATATAATTATTATATTTTGGGTCTTAAATTTATAAAGTGGACAAAATGTTCTGAAGGACAACTTTGTTGAATATACCTTAAGATTTTGATTTGAAAATATTATTATTTATATACTTCCTTAGACTTTCCAAAAGAGTTGTATCTATGAGTGTAAATGCAAATTCCAGATTTGAGTATATGAAAAATGGAATTCTGTAGTTTGAGTTAAAAAGACAAAACTTATTGAACAGACTGAACTATGATTTTTAATGTACAGCTAGGTCAGTATTTCCGTTCTAGTCTCACATTTTAAGCATTTTTAAAGTTAGCCAATAAAATTTACTTGGCATTGATAATCAAAACAGGAGCAAGAGTTATATAAATCTATTTGGCAATATAGCTTTGAAATGTAATTTTCCTTTCACTACAGAAAGTTGAACTCACTGTGGATTTATATAGACCTTGGATTTATTTATAAGTTTTCTCTGTGTTGGAAGATTTGGGTGGGAGGATAGGGTGAAGGTAGGTTGGTGAATTGTTCACACATGCTAAGTACAGCCCAACTCTTAAATACCAACATGGGGGAGAAGTTCTCCACTGTACAATAAAACACAATATATACTTCATGTAGTACCAGTTTACTTTGTTGTTGTGTACTAAGTGCTATATACTAAAAATTAAGCATATCAAGGCCTAAGAGAAACTTTGACCATATTGGATATGACATGGTTGAAATACATTTCAAATGAATATTTGTTGGAGTTTTTAATCCCTCCTTTGTTCATAGATGTGAGAAGATTTGTGATTAGATATCTGATTTAACTGGATGTATATGTATCCATGAAGATATGGGCACTTTGATTTGAGGTACAGGTATCAGGCTTTGGGCACTATCTACTGAAAATCAGTATTAATCTAAACTAAAATTGAGAATACTGAAATATATATCTTTTGCTTTAGGCAAAATCTGCCCATATTTATTTATATCACTATTTTTGTGGTATTTTCTTCAAATGACAGCATGGTAGGCACTGTCATCTGTAGAATTAAAAAAAAAATTTAAGTTGACAAAATGCCCTCAGTCATTTAACTGTTCAGAGTAGAATCACGATCCTGGTCTCACAGGGTAGACTCCTCTGCACTTAATACGCAGAACGGACTACTGAACTCAGGATGATGTAGGCTCACATTGAAATGATCTTCTGATGGGTGTTGTTGACACAAAGCCAGCAGTTGGAAACTGACAGGCAGTTTACTCTTTTCTTGTTGTTTTCTTCCTTTTATGTGCACACATTAGTGTGAACCGGTTAGCTTAGTTTTCCTCATTAAACTAAATCATTCAGCACCATTAACTCTCCTTTCTCTCTTCCTGACTTCCTTTTACCCTTAGGCCATCCCTAGCCTAGGCTAAGTGCTATAGGAAATACAAAGAATGGTTGCCAAAAATTATTAAATTAAAAAGGATTATCTATCCATGCAAGTTTAACTCCATGTTTCCTTGTTCGATATTTTTACATTGTGTTTAGGTTTTCTGATTCTTTTTTTTTTTTTTTTTCCTGAGATGGAGTCTTTGTTGCCCAGGCTGGAGTGCAGTGGCAAGATCACAGCTCACTGCAGCCTCTGCCTCCTGGATTTAAGCGATTCTCCTGCCTCAGGGCTGGGTGCGGTGGCTCACACCTGTAATCCCAGCTCTTTGGGATTCCCAGGCGGCAGATCACGAGGTCAAGAGATCGAGACCATCCTGGCCAACATGGTGAAACCCCATCTCTACTAAAAATACAAAAATTAGCTGGGCATGGTGGCGTGTGCCTGTAGTCCCAGCTACTTGGGAGGCTGAGGTGGGAGAATCGCTTGAACCCAGGAGGTGGAGGTTGCAGTGAGCCGAGATCACGCCACCGCACTGCAACCTGGCCACTGCACGCCAGCCTGGCGACAGAGCAGGACTTCCTCTCAAAAACAAACAAACAAAAAACAGGGCACTGATTTCTGAATTATATGTCTCCCTATTCAAAGTCTTTTTTTTTTTTTTTGAGACGGCGTCTCGCTCTGTTGCCCAGGCTGGAGTGCAGTGGGTGGATCTCAGCTCACTGCAAGCTCCGCCTCCCAGGTTCATGCCATTCTCCTGCCTCAGCCCCCGAGTAGCTGGGACTACAGGCGCCCGCCACCGCACCCGGCTACGGGGTTTCACCGTGTTAGCCAGGATGGTCTCAATCTACTGACCTTGTGATCCGCCCGCCTCGGCCTCCCAAAGTGCTGGGATTACAGGCGTGAGCCACTGCGCCCGCCCGGCCAACTTATTCAAAGTCTTAATCTGTCCATGTGAATCGAGGTTAAAGCAGTAGCAACAACAACAAAATGCTATCATTAGTAAATGTTTTGTTTATTACTTAGTGTTAACAGAGCTCTCAGAGTGTGCTCTTAGGAAGACACGCACCTCTTAAGGTAGGTGTGTCTTGCTTAGTGAGGTTGAACAAATCACAGTCCAGGCAATCTTCATTCTGCATGATGGCATTGCTGTCTTCATATGGACAGACAAGTAGAATGATGTTGGAAATCATGTATTTAGAATTAGACAGTAATTTAATTTTTTTTTCAGAATGCACAAGGATGTTGTTTCTTGGAGTATAAGAGAATTGAATTTTAGCTTAGAGCCACTTTACTGTGGGAGCAACTTTTTTTAAATTGAAAATTTCTAAGTGTGACCTCTGTTGGCATAGCTGGTATTCTTTGAAAGTAATTAAAATGAAAAGTATTACCAGTCCATATCTTGTGTAAATCTTTTGAGTTAGCATGTTTAGAGGAGGTAGGACTGGTGTCAGAATATTCTGAGAAAGTTAGGGTGGGCCATAATTTCTCAGCTATGCTTTCTGTACTAGAAAACAGGAGAGATTTATGCATAGGAGTGGGATAAGTGGTTTAATAGATTGTTAATAAAATACATATCTGTTTGTTGTTTTTGTTGTTGGTCCTTAGGGTTCAATTCAAACTTGAATATTCCACTTGTCTGGGTGGTACAGTTGTTAGCTTCAGGGAGAAGGTCTGTGACAAGTAGAATTTCACATAAATGCCACCACAGTAACTTTTGAAATACTTGGCATTAGATTTGGGTCAGTTAGTAGGATTTTTAGCTAGGCTGTTCACTTTCACTTTGGAAGGCAAATGCCAGATGTATGTTATTTTCTAGGCAGGTGCTGAATTTGAGTCAGCTAACTTTGCCAGAATCCCCTTAAAGATAAAATAGCAAGTAAAGTCAGGCTGTTTCCATCAAACACCTTATAGTTTTGTTTTTTTTTTAAGCTGAAATTCATACATGTTATTTTGAACCATTTATAACATCTAGATACAAGGGTCTAAATTAAGCATTTATAAAATTATCCATAGCCATGCAATTAAGTTTTTTTTATTTTACTGTGATTCTTTAGCATTAGGATATAGGTATTTCTATTTATTTTGACTTGTATTGCTAGCTTGAGACTCAGTATAATGGGAGAAAACCAGAGAAATTAACAGTAAGCTTTGCAAATTATGATTTTTATCTTAATTCCATGCATTAGGTTGTCTAAGCCTTGTTTGCTATTTCATGAATGATTCATGGATGTCTATAATCAATGGAAATAGGCCGGGCGCGTTGGCTCACACCTGTAATCCCAGCACTTTGAGAGGCCGAGGCAGGCGGATCACGAGGTTAGGAGATCGAGACCATCCTGGCTAACATGGTGAAACCCCGTGTCTACTAAAAATACAAAAAATTAGCCGGGTGTGGTGGCAGGCGCCTGTAGTCCCAGCTATTTGGGAGGCTGAGGCAGGAGAATGGTGTGAACCCAGGAGGCGGAGCTGGTAGTGAGCCGAGAAATCGCGCCACTGCACTCTAGCCTGGGCAACAGAGCGAGACTCCATCTCAAAAAAAAAAAAAAAAAAAATCAATGGAAATGTATTTTTTGGCCTAGGCACCATTATATTTTGCCTTCTCATCTACAAAGATTAAAGAGAAAGTAAGAAGTATACGTAGGGGTAGCATTTAGCTGAGGCCTAGGCACCATTATATTTTGCCTTCTCATCTACAAAGATTAAAGAGAAAGTAAGAAGTATACGTAGGGGTAGCATTTAGCTGAGCACAGTGGCGTGTTCTGTAGTCCCAGCTACTCAGGAGCCTTGAGGCAGGAGGATTGCTTGAGCCCAAGAGTTGGAGGCTGTAGTGTGTCCTGATTACCTGTGAATAGCCACTGCACCCCAGCTTGGGCGACATAGCAAGATCCAGTCTCTTAAAGAAAAAAAAAAGTGTGTAGCACTTAATAATGGCCAAGTAGGGAGTCAACATACAGTTTAAATCAATGTAGTCCAATTTTGAGGAGGATCTTTTAACTGCATGCTTCCATGCAAGGTTGCTTTTGTGGTGCCACTGTGTATGGAATTGTTTGTTTTCACTACTTTTTAAAAAGTAGAATTAAGGACTTCCTTTTTTTAAACCAACAGTTTTGGCTTTTTTGGTGCCAGTTACATAAATTTTACAAGCAGAAGTCACACATTAGTGTCAACCTAATGGTCTGGAAATTTGTTAACTATCAGTATGACAGAACCCCAGCATGGTTTTATCATGTTTCCCTGAGAAGTGAAAAGAACTGGGAAAGCAAGGATGTGATAGGCCAGAGTTTCAGTGGAAGGATGAATGGGGAAATTTTTAAGATACCTACCAGTGTTGGATATGAGTACTGAGACTTTTAAATCTTTACCTAGACTATAAAAGACTATCTTTAAAAGAAACAGCTGTGTCATAATTATTGAATTGGTAGCTTATTCTAGAATATAGAGAGTAGTGGCCAGTGAAAACAGTTCATCTCTCAACTTTTCAATTCTTTGTCATTAAAAAGGCTATTTGATCTAGATTACTAATTCTTCCTTTTAAGTGGCGGTTTTATTACAGTCCAGAAAACACTTCTGTTTCCTGGGTTATAAGACAGAGTATGAAAATAGAAGATAGTTTTGAACTCATGTATTTTGAAACTGTATCATGATTACTTACGCTATTATATTTGAATAGAATAGAAATATAAAATTCTTTGACTTAAACATCTATTGGACAAATTGGTTTGATGAGTTTCTTATTAATATAAAACAGTAGATTTTATTTTATTAACTGAGTAGAATTTAGATTTTTTTGTAACTAGATGCTTTGGGAACAGTTAAATTTTTTCTCTAATATAGAGGTTAGATGTTTAATTGTTGCTGCTGCTTCAAAATATTCACAAAATTTCATAAAATCTTTATTGTCTGACACATAAACTATTTGCACTTGTGCGCTGACATATTGCGTATCAAAGTCAGGTTCAAATTTCCTCTTTAAAGTATCTTTTGGAAATAGGAAATGATAGCCTTTTGTAAAATATTGCTGTTATCTTTTAAATGTATTTTTAACATATCCTAAATGCAGAAGCATGTTCCTTTAAACCGTAATGTGTGTGCCCTGTGTTTATCTATTTCCAATATTGTAATTTATTTCTTCCTTTTTTTTTTTTGTTTTTGTTTTGAGACAGGGTTTCGCTCTGTTGCCCAGGCTAGAGTGCAGTGGCGCAATCTCCGCTCACTGCAACCTCTGCCTTCTGGGTTCAAGCGATTCTCCTGCCTCAGCTTCCCCGAGTAGCTGTGACTAAAGGTGCGCACCACCATGCTGGCTAATTTTTTTTGTATTTTTAGTAGAGATGGGGTTTCGCCATTTGGCCAGGCTGGTCTTGAACTCCTAACCTCAGGGGATCTGCCCACCTTGGCCTCCCAAAGTGCTGAGATTACAGGCATGAGCCACACACCGGCCTATTTCCTCCATATTTTTAAAAGGAAAAAAAATAACCCTTCCTCTTTCACATCATAGTGAATAAAAAATTCTTGGAACTGAAAGATCATTTATAATAGCTAGCATGCCTATTGTGCTTATCATGTGCCAAGTAGTGTTCTAAGCCTTTCTCATAGTAATTCACATAATCCTCAAACCTATGATGTAGCTGCTATTATGATCCTATTTTAAAGACGGGTAGACAAAGGCACTGAGAAGTTAAATAACTTGCCCAGTGATTTGCACCTAATTAGCCAGTTAGAGGCCAAATTGGGAATCCAGCCCAATCTGGCATTTGCAGTTTTTGGCTTGTGAAACTTGGTTCTCTTAAAACAAACAAACAAACAAGCAAAAGACGGAGAAAGCCAAAAAAGAATTAACTAGTAATTTTCAAAATAAAGTTTCAGGCTGACTTTGTCATTATAGGTAAGGCTGTGACAAGGCTTAATGCTGTGTATGCCATTTTCTCTACAGTGAGGGTCTGCAGGCTCATATCATTGTGGCTACTAGCTAGACTGAAGTCCATGAAGTTGATAAATTGCCTATTTTATCAGACATGATAATCTGCCATTAATTAACAAAGGAAATGCAGGTTACAGAAATGATATTATGCTGTTTCGTGGCTTCAAATGAGGTTACACAGATAATGCTTTCAATAGGATGTGTGTTTAGCTTTTCTATTAACATGGTTATTTTGTTTTGAAAGATGGAAAAACAGGGCCCAGCCCTACTCCCTTTGATTCGTCTCTTTAAAAATGACTTCACAAGTTTTATTCAGTAAAAAAATTCTTAAAAAGTAATTTAGAATTCCCATAATCAGAAGCCTATATAGGACCTTTTTACGCAAAGTTGAAGAAAGTTTTCAATTCTAAAGCAAATTTCAGCTTTGATTTAGAAAAGAGTACATTCTTTTGTTCCAGCAGTGAAAAGAAAAAAATTTAAAAAAGAGAAAATACTACATTCTAAGAGTGACTAGAGAATCCTTTCAATTACTTTTAAAAACCTAATTAATTAATTAATTAATTAATATATTTTTTGAGACAGGATCTTGCTCTTTCACCCAGGCCGAAGTGCAGTGGTGCAGTCATAGCTCACTGCAGCCTCGACCTCCCGAGCTAGATTGATCCTCCTGCCTCAGTGTCCTGATTAGCTGAGATTACAGGTGTATACCACCACATCCGGCTAATTTTTGTATTTTTTTGTAGAGACAGGATTTAAGCATGTTGGCCAGGCTAGTCTCTAACTCCCGGGCTCAAGTGATCCGCCCATCTCTGCCTCCCTAAATGCTGGGTTTACAAGCATGAGCCACCACACCTGGCCAAAAAACCCTTAATTTATATTGGACAGTTTTTGTTTCATTTTGACTATATTTCAGATTATCATACCTTAACAGACATGGCCTTTTTATTTTATAAAATGTTAAGAAAAATAGGCCATCCTTTCTCTCAGATTTCCCCGGGTTTTGTTTTGTTTTAAATATATATAGGGGAAATTACAGCTGCTCTTTACAATCAATACACAGGGTTTTTGGTTGCTTATGAGTATCTGTGATATAATTAACAGTATTTACCATGAACACAAAAAGAGGTTTTAATTGCTTACTACCTAGAATTTACTTTATTCACAACTGCCGTTTTCTTTTTCTCTTGTCTTTTAAAGCAATTTCTAAGCATACATAGTAAAGATAATTTAATTAATAATGTGAAATATGTTTTTAGTGTTTGAGCAATTCATGCTGTTTCTTAAATCACTGGTTAAATCCACCTTTAAAATTTTATCTTTGAGTATTTATATTGTAGCTCACGGTTAAGTCTCTTGAAAAGTTTGTTTCATTTACTTTCTAGCAAGGGTTTGACCACATCTTTTTAAAACAGAGATGGAAATATATATGTATATTTCCTTTTCCTTTTTCTTGCTCTGTCACCAGACTGGAGTGCAGTGGCACAATCATAGCTCACTGCAACCTTGAACTCCTGGGCAGAGGTGATCCTCCTCCCTCAGTCAACATGCCCAGCTAATTTTTTATTTTTTTGTAGAGACAAGTCTCGTTATGTTGCCCAGGCTGATCTTGAACTCCTGGGCTCAAGTGATCCTCCCACCTCAGCCTCCCAAAGCACTGGGATTACAGGCATGAGCCACTGTACACAGCCTGGAAATATTTTTTATACATTAGAATATAAAGAAGTGCAAATTTAAGAAGGAAACTTTTCTTGCATACCTACATTCTGCTAGGCATAATATGCTTTTTATTTCATCAAATTCTTACCAGTAGCTTGGGAGAGAGAACTTACCCCATTTTTAGCTGAAAACACTAAGGTATAGAGAGATGAATTAAATCATATTGTCAGGTAGGTAGTTCTGGAATTTGAACCTGAAACTATATATTTCCAAAAATCTCTTTCTGATATGACATAGAGCCTCCTCTAGTGATACAAATGGAACTTGTTGATTACATGAAAGCCCTGATTTGTTTTTCATTCCCCATCCAACCGGTAGCATTTTTCAATTTAGTCTGTACTCATTTCTGGAGCAATGATAGTGCATGCAGTAAAGTAGTCATGTTTTAGGTATACAGAAGCAATATATATAGTCCTACCCACATCTTACGGTGTAGTAAGAGAAATGGCAAACATTAAGTTACGTGAATGGGATTACAAAGCAGTGTATCAACAAATGTACAATAATGTAGTAGGCATAGAGTGCAGGAAGGGCAGTGGGCACTGTGCCCATGGCTGTCTGTCTCTCAGTGTTCTTCGCCATGTGCGTATCTTGCTATGAAGGCTACAACCTGCCATCTATTTTAGATCATCACAACAGGAGTAGTTAGAAATGAAACACAGAAATAAGGGGAATCTTGATTAATGGGACTCAAGTGCCAAAAGGTAGGAAAATGACTCTTGGTTATCATCTTAGCTGAAGTATGTGAGCACTTAATGGTGGATGCTGTGTTCTAAACCTTGTCTAACTACATAGTAAATTTATTTGCTAAATGATAGGAACTCATAACACTTGGGTATCTACAGGACTCTAAGTAAATTCTTGTTGATTTTTAATTTTCTTACTAGACCTTAATAAATTGTATCTGATATATTTTCTATTTGAAGAATACCTCTAGTTGAAGAAGTATAAAACATGGTTAAGCATGAGGCTCTCAAAAGCTATCATGAATATAAGGATATTATAAGACCATGTCCTTTTTATAGGTAGTCACCTGTAGCTACATCAGATGGAAAGTGTAGAGCAGGTCTGGTTTTATTGAGCATATAATGTAAAGCCTACCTTGAGGGTCCTTTATTCTTGATACCAACTTGAGTCTAATCTGTTCTCCCCGTATAGATTCTACTTCCCTGCTCCGTGGGACATCTGTTCTTTTTCTAGTATGTGGTTTTTGTGTTGAGATAATTCTCTCCCCGTCTCCCCTCTCCCTTCTCCCTTCTCCCTCTCTCCTGTCTCCTCTCTCCATATTGTGCCTTAAAAGTCTTCACTTATGCTGCCAGAGGGTAGAGGCAAAGCTTCTTTCCTAACAATCTCATGATACGTTGAAATCCCCTTCAGTAATACACACTCTCTTCCGTACACCACACCCACACACACAACACACACACGTTCTCCCTCATTTGTATATACCATCCCTTAAGAATGGATGCTCATTAAGTTAGCCACAGATTATCTGAAGTTACCTGATAGGCAGTTTGTAACAAAGGGGGATGGGAGAAGGTGGCTGAGAGGGTTAAAGTCCCTCCCTATTATAGTCTTCCCTTTCTAGCTTTTTAGGAACAAATGAGTATCATGAGAGCTAAAGACCTTCAGAAAGTGAGGATAAACAACTACAAAATTTATTTTCTAGGACATTGCTCTCTTGAAAATCACTGAGTATTTCTACTAATTTTCTTTTAATACATGTTTTCTTTGTGACTACTTCCTTGCCTCCATCTACTTCCACCCTGTCAGGCCTCCTTTTAGAGGGAGAATAGGAGTGAAAGAGAAAGAGGAGGACATTTATTTTTCAAATTTGTATCCAAGGAGGGCTTCACACAAATTCTCACTTGAAAGCACCGTCCAGAGATTCTGAGGATGAGAATCTAAAAAGAGTTATAAAAGTGGTGAAGCATGTTACCTGTGGACCCCAGCAGATGATCATTTGTGTTCTTCAGCCTCTCTCATCCCATTTCTAGTGCACCTTGCTGTTTTCAAGGGGTGTTGTCATTCTTGGCAGTCATCTAGTGAGGAGAGGGGGCTGTTTCTAACATGGAGGGGAATGTTGCTTATTTATTCAAGAGGAATACTTCTAAACATTGTTATTGCTAAATATGTTATTGTAAACCTGGAGAAAAGGGGAAGAAAAATCATTCAATTAGACAAATAAATGTAGATTGAGCATCCCATATCTGAAATCCTCCAAAATCTCAACTTTTTGAGCACCAACATGACACTCAAAAGGAAATGCTCACTGGAACGTACAGGATTTCAGATTTTTGGATTTGGAATGCCAACTAGCGAGTGCAATGCAAATATTCCAAAATCTGAAAAAAACCAGAAATCTGAAATACTTCTGGTCTCAAGCATTTTGGGTAAGGGACACTTATCTTGTATTATTTTGACATATTATCAGAAAATACTGTATAATGGTAGGTAGACAACATAAAGACTTTTAATACCTCTTTACTGATTGTTCTACCAATTACTATAGCAAATAAAAGTTAAGGCTGGGCTCTTTGATCTTTGTGTCTTACATCAGAAAAAGGTGTAAGTGAACCAAACATGCATAAGAGTCAGTGAGTCGGTAATTCACCCACTTGTTCCCAGGTGGTAGCTGTGAGATCTTGTGCAAATTGTATTTGTTGCCTGGACTCAATACTGAAAGCAGTCTGAAAGATTGCTTCTAGAAATCTGTTGTGACTCTGCACTTAAAAACTCATCAATGACCATTTTAAATGCATCATTTTGGTATTACGAATACACATCTCCACTTTGAGAGTGAAGGAAAAAAATGATACAATTTAACTAATGTCCCTAAGAACAACTAGTCGCACCTATCGATGGCAAAGTTTAAATTCCCCATTAGTTTTCTGATTTTTGCCTAGAATATCTGTTGGAAGCCTCTCTTCAATTTCGTGGATAAACCAAGGAAGATACCAGTGTTAGCACTGAATTACAGAATGTGTTCACTAGAAGATAAACTAGTAGATCCTGAGTTAAGTCAGCATGAACCAGAGTCCTGGGGCCAAGCTCTGTCTGTACTGAATTTTATTCTCAGTGTTTAGCCCTGCTTGTGGGTGGCCTTCTGGATGTTTACTAAAATGAAAATTCAGTTTTTGTGAACAGACACACTCATTCATATGTGTGCTCACATGCACACACACTGTGAGTACATTAGTATTTTAGAAAATGGGGACACTGAGATCACTCTGGAGCGTCATTGCACATCAGATGTGGGTCCTGTCACTTGGGTTTAATATTACACCAACCCTAGTAGTATCCAGCTGACTCTCTTATTAGCAATATTGAACGAATCATGGAATTTTTGACAGGAAAATTTTATGATTGGGAAGAAACAAGTCCAGGAGCCTGGCTACTTTTTTTTTTTTTTTTTTGAGGCAGTTTTGCTCTTTTTGCCCAGGCTGGAGTACAATGGCACGATCTCAGCTCACTGCAACCTCCGCCTTCCGGGTTCAAGCGATTCTCCTGCCTCAGCCTCCCGAGTAGCTGGGATTACAGGCGTGCGCCACAATGCCTGGCTAATTTTTTTGTATTTTTGGTAGAGATGGGGTTTCACCATGTTGACCAGGCTGGTCTTGAACTCCTGACCTCCAGTAATCCACCTGTCTCGGCCTCCCAAAGTGTTGGGATTAAAGGCATGAGCCTCCGTGCCCGGCCTTATGGCCTGGCTGATTTCATGTAATTAATTAGTAGAAAAGACGGGACCCATAATAAGGTTATCCTGTTGCCTGCACAGTCTTTTTGTTGGCAGTTGTTTTTGTAGTCCTTGATATATGCATGATCATATATCTTTATTAATCTTTATAATCAATCTGTATACATCTAGTTGGATATAATGAACTTGGATTAACATGAACCCCATATTGAGATGCTCAAATAAATAGCATTTTAATCTCTTACATTGCTGTTAAATTGAATCTCAGGAAATTAGAAATCAGCATATATATGTACACACTAATTTGTTGGGGTTAGTAGACATTTGGTCTTATCTCTCACCTCTTAGGTTTCATTATTTTGTGTTGGTATCAAATATTCAGAATGATATTCCTACAGACTATAAGATCTTAAGTTGTAGAGAAAGATAAAATTATATTTTGAATGTTATATTTTACTAAAATAGGAAATTATATCATACACTTTTAGGAAGGCTTTGAATAATAAATAATGATGAACCACATTTGGTGGTGATAGTGGGGTAACGTAACTTATCTCATGAGTATTCTGATTAATAGTGGCTTTGTTGTAGAATCTCCATTTTGCAGGTGTAAAGATCTGAAATTCTAAAGCTTAGTGTGTTTTCAAAACTGGTACTGTGAGCAGCTCTTGAGCATTGACCCTTGGCCACGGACTGCTGCATGGTGTTCAGGCAGGATATGTGGAAGAGAAGGCTATGTTTCTCTTTTCCTGGAAGCCTCTGATTCTGTTGAGTGTTGTTACTTTTGCTGCTACTATCCAAGAAAACAAAGAGGTGGGGGGTGATGAGTTTCCTAGTTTAGAGGCTTTTCTGGGAATGCTCCCTAGCCACTTGTACTTAATTCACCTTTTCCCTTGATCTACAAGAGGCCACAGCATAATCTTTTCTGTATCACCAGCTGCTTATGCTCCCTAAGTGGAAGAGAGATTTAAGTTAATGCAACTGCAGAGTCTTTCATACCTGGAATTTCTAATGTATTTTTTCCTTTTTTTTTTTTTTTTTTTTTTTTTTGAGACAGGGTCTCGCTCTGTCACCCAGGCTGGAATACAGTGGCACTATCTTGGCTCACTACAACCTCCGCCTCCCATGTTCAAGGTTGATTTTCCTGCCTCAGCCTCCCAAATAGCTGGGACTACAGGTGTGTGCCACCATGCCCAGCTAATTTTTGTATTTTTAGTAGAGACGGGATTTCACCATGTTGGCTAGGCTGGTCTCGAACTCCTGACTTCAAGTGATCCACCCACCTCGGCCTCCCTAAGTGCTGGGATTACAGGCATGAGCCACCATGCCCAGCCTATTTTTTCCTAAATTTTAATAACTGGTTCCCAGTGCTTAATTCACATTAGAAGCTTCCATAGCCAGGATGCAGATGTGTACACCACATCTTCCCAGCCCTCTGCCTTCCCCTGCAGATGCCCATTATCTCGTGTGACATGCTCTCCACAGAGCTCACACTGGCCTCCCATTCTTAAGATCGTGTATGAGTGGGAAGCCCTCAACGATGTTATGCAAAGTCATTCTTTTGGAAAAAGAGCCTGGAAGTAAGGGGTAGAATGGATTTCTATGAGGCATAACTAACTAGTAGGAAAAAGCCCCAAAGCTGCTTGGTGTAGATCCTATGCTTGACTCCAATTTTCTGATTATTCTTGGTCATATCGTTCTTTCTACTGTACTATACCAGTCACTGAGGACACAGATGATGTCTCAATTTCAGTATCTTCTCCTGTCACCAAGAAATCTAGTTTAGATTAACACTCAATTTTGTAACATTTCATGAACACTATATTCAGAAAAACTGGTTCTATCCTATTTACTCCACCCATAGGGAAGTAGTTGGTATATTGTGTATGGGTCAGTATTTCTATATCTTACATGAAATTTGGAAGAATTCTATACAACCAAACCTGACCCTTCAATTTCAGCAAATTGATTTCTGAGAAAACAGATGAATTTTGATTTATCTTACGTCTCTAAGGATGAAAGCAACAGAATTGCGATCGCCCCTCAGTTGGTCCAATTCTGTGCTGTCTTTTATCATTTTCCCCATTATAGGTTGAAAGCTTCAGATGTCACAATTTCCCAGGGTCTTAGGATTCTACCCTGGCTCTGGCAGCCTACCTTCATTGTTTTACCCACCAAAGGAAATGGTAGAAACTCAGCTCTGAGGCAAGGGGTTATGGCTTCTACTAAGGTATCCCTAAGAATAGGGCATATGCTTTGTCTGAGCTTTAAACTATATAAATGGTGATGCAGAATGGCAGATGCTTGAAAGGTAGGTATAGTCTCTTAATGCCTAAGGTAGACTAACACAAGAAGATAGATTCTTGATGTGTGTAGTCATGGACTCCTTGGCTGCAAGTGTAGAAATGCAACTCAAACCAGTATAAGCAAACCTGGAACTTATTACCTTTTGTAAGTGGGAAGTCCAAAGCTACAACTGGCTCAGGGCAAGTCTGGATGGAAGGAATTAAGTGATGTCATCAGGACCTTCTCTTTTTCTCTACTTTCTTGTGTTGGCTTTTTTCAATTAGGACCTTACGTCATGGCAGAGAAGGTCATTAGCAGCTCTGCCTTATGTCATTTTAACAGTCAACAATCCCCTCTCAAAAGGATCTTTCCTGATAGCTCTAAAAAAAAATTACAGGAATGACTCTCACTGGTCCATGTTGGATTACCTGCCTGTTCCTGAGCCAATCTTGCCAGGGGGCTGAAATTAAGGCACAGCATTTTGGCTAGTCCTGGTCACTCTAGAGGCTGTGAGGAAGTAGGGATATTAGTCTCATCATGAACCATGTGACCTGACAGGGGAGGGTTGCTTGCATGTGTTGTAGAGGGGTAAGCCAAGGTTAAGGTTTGTGTTTTGTATTTCCTTACCAGCTTTTTATCAACCCCAGAGCCTAGGAAAGTCCTTCTTACTCAGGAATTATTCAGGTATACTAATAAGCATAGCATTTCCTCATGAGAGCCACAAATAGTGTTGAAAATCCACTCTATGCCATTGATTGTACTAGATCCGCTGGTAATGAGAAAAGACACATTTCACTCACTTGGAGTGTATGTCATTGTGGAGGTGATGGCATATTGAAAAAAAGGTAGGAAATAAACAGTTCCATCATAAGGGGAAGCACCTACTGCGGGTAATTCCAGGCAGAGAGGGCAGCATGTACAAAGGTTCAGTGGTGAGAAGAGGGAGCAAGGCCTTTGGAATAATGAACTCCAGTTGTTCCTCATAGGTGCAGCAGAAATAGCGAGAGGTCAGGATTATGGAGATTGGTAAGGCGAGATCATCCAAGGGCCTTTTGCTTGGTAAGCCATTTTACTTTAATCTTGAGTGCCATAGGGATTCATTGACGGATTGATACAGGGAAATGAAATGATTTTTTTTTTTTTTTGGTTGGGGGAGACAAGAGTCTTGCTCTGTTGCCCAGGCTGGAGTGCAGTGGCACAACGTCGGTTCACTGCAGTGTCTGCCTCCCAGGTTCAAGCAATTCTCATGCCTCAGCCTACCTTGTAGCTGGGATTACAGGTGCACACCACCACACCCAGCTATTTTTTATATTTTTGGTAGAGACGGGGTTTTGCCATTTGTCCAGCCTGGTCTCGAACTCCTGGCCTCAAGTGATCTGCCCACCTCAGCCTCCCAAAATGCTGGGATCACAGGCATGAGCCACCGTCCCAAGCCAATTCATTCATTTTAGAATGAATGCCCTGTCCTGGGGTGAATGGACTAGAGGAGGGCAATACTGGAGGCTGAGGCGGGTTTAGCCTGTGGAAGTGATCCAGATGAGATGTGAACTGAGGGGTAGTGGCAGAGGGGATGAAGATAAGCGGATTCTAGGAAGTGACTGACTTCTAAGGGAAGGAGGAGTCACCCCAGGTCTTACAAAAGACCTGGTTTGGTCTCCTGTGGATATCCAGGCTCCCTATGATCCACATCATCCCATTACCATAAACTAGTTAGTAGACTTTCTATATTGATGGAACGTGAATATGAGAATGTTCATAGCAGCATTAGTCATAATAGTCCCAAAATAAAAACAGTCCAAACATCCATCAGCTGATGAATGGATAAGTAAAACTTGCTATATACTTCAGTGGAATATTATTTGGCAATAAAAAGAAGTGAAATACTGATACATGCTACAAAATGGATGAGCCCTGAAAGCATTAAATTTAGTGAAAGAAGCCAGTCATAAAGGCCATATATTGTATGATTCCATTTATATGAAATGTCCAGAATAGGCAATGCTGTAGAGATAGAAGGTAGATTAATGGTTGCCTAGGGCTGGGATTGGAGAGTGGGAGAAAATGGGAGTGAGTGCTAATGGATATAGGGTTTCTTTTTATAGTGTTAATAATGTTCTAAAATTGATTGTGGTATTGGTTGCACAACTCTGAATATACTAAAAACTATTGTACATTTTATTTAAATTGATGAATTGTATGGCATGTAAATTATATATCATTAAAGCTATTATAAAGATATGAATATGGGAGTAAAGTCTAGAAAACAGAAAACTGGCTGGTAGAATCAGGCATATGGAATACATCAAAAACGACAGTGGGGAAATAGCAAAAAACTGGAAAAAATTTAAATGTCTAACAGAAGGATGGATAAATTGTAGTGTATTCATTTTTTAAAAAATGACAGTGAGTACCCTGATAATTAAGAAATTCACATAAAAGTATGAATAGTGTATAAACGTGACCTAAAAATAGCATTTGTGGGAACATTTAGTTTAGAAGTAATTTTTTTTTACTCAACTGTCTGGCCCTTAATACTGCTATTAACATTACCAAAGAACACCATTTAGGAAGGTAAAGAAACCATGTACTTTAGCAAAGATTTTATTTTAAAATGTAGGGATTTTATTTTTAAAAAAGTTTCAGGATTAGTTTCATTTAACCGAAAGATATAGCTACATCTTTAGAACATCTTTACAGAAGAACCAGTAAATATTTTCTCATCTGAATTGTGAGTTTCTTAAGGTTAGGGTAAATAGAGAAAAGAAGAGATTATTACTTGGAAAAACAGAAAAGGCAAGAGATAGTAGTAATGTATAGTAAAGTTTCAGAAGGAAATTGGACAGTTAAGGATCACTCAAGCTTTAGTGACTTCTGTCATTTGTGCTTTATTGCAGAAATGTTATACAGACCATTTTTGGGCATTTGTCTCATTTTGTTTTTGCGTAATCACTGAAGCAATTAGGAAAAAAAACAAAAACGCCTGCTTTAGATGAAGAACCCGAGGGAAAAAAAATTAAAGAGCTTGCCCATGGTTGGGACTGGGGAATGAAGGATAAAACACAAGGTGGAGAAATCTAGGTTCTGCTTAAATGGGGTCTTAGAAATTGTTTTTTAAGAGAAAGTATTTGTGCTTTAGTATACTTACACTTTATTATGTTATTCATTCTGAAATTATTTTACTTAGACAATGAGACAGCAGAATGAAAGTGGCTAGTAAAGAATGAAAATATCAGAAAATTTAGAATGCCATGTAGATGATGTCTGTTTTTTAAAGGTCTGTATATCAGAATTTGAGAGAATTGTTTTGAGACTAACGGGTGTATATATTAGTCCTCACGCTGCTATGAAGAAATACCCGAGACTGGGTAATTTATAAAGGAAAGAGGTTTAATTGACTCACAGTTTCACATGGTTAGGAAGGCCTCAGGAAACTTAACAGTCATGGCAGAAGGGGAAGAAAATATGTCTTCCTTCACAAGGCAGCAGGCGAGAGAAGAATGAGAACTGAGTGAAGGGAGAAGCCCCTTATAAAACCATCAGATCTCAGTGATAACGTACTATCACAAAAATAGGATGGGGGAAACCACCTCCCAATTCAATTACCTCCCACAGGGACCCTCCTAGACACCTGGGGATTATGGGAACTACAATTCATGATGAGATTTGGGTGGGGACACAACCAAACTATATCAGTGTACTTAAAATTTGGCATTCAGAAGTTTTTGCTGCCATATTTTGAATTTACTTCTTAAATCGCCTCAATTTGCTATTCTTTAATGTTAATCTTTTTTTCCCCCTAAGAGCAAGTTTCTCATCTTGGAATCTGGAGGATTTATTTGTCTTTCCTGAGAATTTCCTTTCCTTATCTTTTTAATTGCAGTGCTGTTATGGGTCCTGTCCCAAATTTCTTCCTTAATTTCTTTTTCTCTTTTCATTTAATTTAGGCATATTCATTTTACATTAATGATCTGTGCCTCCTTTTATCTTGGAGGAAGAAATTGGTATTCTTTGAGTGTATTGTGAAATTCTTCCATTAAAATTAACAGCAAATATTGAAATATGTCTCTGATAATTAGGGAATCATTCATAGAAAGAGGAACAATTCTAGATGTTTTCAAAGGTCATCTCAGTCAATATTTTACCTTACAGCTAAGTGGACAAAAACTTTGCAAAGTTTAGTATTTTTTGGCCAAACTATTTCTGCTATACTACCAGCTACATAGCCTTTATAGTTGTTGAAAGTGTTTAAGCATAAGAACCATCGTCTATCTATATATCTATGACACAAGATTTTCAGTGCACTTTTAAAAATTAACACATATTCTACTGTTGGTTGCATCTGTTCCATCCTAGTTCTCTAGAAGAACTGCCAATTAGAGTCTAGTTCTTTGTGTTGGTGTTCTAATTAATCAGGAAAGCAAAATTTGCTTTTATGTCTTTGTGAAAGCCCTTGCTAATTAGAAACATTAATTCAAAATTTTTTTCATATTTTCTCCGCTAAGCTTGTTCTTCTTTGGTTAGCTGTTTGTTTTTTTAATTAGAGTAATACTACATAGACAACCTGTTTTAAGGTATCAGATTCCTACATATAAAATAATTTAAGTAGGAGTTGATCATTTGTATTGCTAAAGATTATTCAGTTTTAAAAAAGAACTCAGCAGGTTTCCTTTTAAATATTAAATTTCCTTCACATATTGAAAATAAAATTCAAATTTACATGATTTATATAGTATTTTTAAGAATACAATTCTTTAATAAGCTGAACAACTATATATAAGTACTTATTTCTTTTTAAGGACTATATTCTACTCTTAGATGATTTCTCATTATACCTACTGAATTTATGGTGATGATTTCAGTTTACTGGAAATTTCCTGTGGTTAATTAAGAATACAGTTTTGCAAGTAAAGTTTGATAACTCTAAATGAGAGAAATAAAACTTGAGAATTAGAGAATTTTAGAAGATGGCATATTTGTACTTATTTTGATTTTTGGAATATCTGCTCATTTAAAATAATCAGAACTACAGATGAACCTACTGGCTGGGTAAAGATGCCTTTTGATTAGGTATATATGAGTTTTTTATGTGCAGAAATTTTAATATATTTAATTGTAGTGTAAATCTGTTAGGTCTGGAAATGGTATAACTTACTGTGCCACTTCTCTAGCCGAAATCTTAATTACGGGAGATGATGCCTCAGTGTTTCTGTTGTGGACACTAAGAGGTGAGACAGTGGAGTGAGCGAGCATCTTCAGTGGTAACAGAGTTCACGAGTAGCGATGAGATTGAGGTCCTGATTATGAATACTTTTCAGTTCATATTTTATGGGATTGTTGCGTTGCAGGCCACCAGTGATTTTGTAAAGGAGTCTTAGAATAATTGCTGTGTTCTATAAGCAGTATCTTTCGGAGTTATTTTGGAAGAAAATCATTTTGCTAAATATGAGAATAAATATTTGCTTGATCATTAAAGACTGTATTTGTAATATGAATGTAAAACAGATTTGTGGATAGAGCTAATGTTGAGCAAATTTATGATGGGATATTACCAAAATTATTCAGAGAATTTTTCAAGGATGACATAAAGCAAAAGAATTTTGTGATTGGTAATTAGTTTAAAAAAATAACTGTAAATTTTTGACCCTACTTAAAAAGCCCTGGAGTTGTGTAAAGCACTTACAGATGGCAAGATTGAGCACATGGTAGGTTCTCGCCCTTCACAGCAATTACAATTAGCTGAAGCTCTGTAGGCTTTGGAAACTTCAGTATCCTAATGGAGTAGATATGGATCTGAATTATTTTTCAGGTGCTCATATGTATCAGAGAACCACCAAGCACTTTTAACCAAAAAACAAGTTTTTCTTGTTGCTTTAGTTAAATGTGTCCCTGATGTAAGGTTTTTTTTTTTTTTTTTCCAAACATGAGAACTTTATACCACCTGTGTTACACTACACTGTGATTTACTGTGTACAGATCGGTGTCAATGAAATAAAGAATAAAACTGTATACTAGGCAAAGAACTTCGTTAACCTTTGTTTCAAACTTTATTCACAGACTTCTTCGGCTTAATTAGCTGCAAAGAATGAATTGCGTATAAGCAAAAACTGAAAAGAGCTGTAGTGTCCAAGGGACTTGAGCTTAAAAATATTAGAGATCTAGATTTTATCAGACCCATAAACAAAAATTTCTTAAAAAGCAGTCATAATATAAAATAGCAGCTCCCAGTAACTTCTTCAAGTTTTGTCTTCAGAAGTTGAGTCACTGAAGTTGACTCACTTCAGTTTGCCTCATTCTTGGAAGCCTCATCCAAATTCTCCACAAGATCTGGAACTTCATCATCATCATTCTCTCCAGTAGTAAGTGGTGCTTTTCCACCCACAGATTGTTTGGACAGTGCTTCAGCCAGTCCTTAAACTAGTCAGACTGCCTGCACCAAGCTGGTTTAAGATTCTGGGTAGCATTTCTGTCAGCTGCTTTGTCTCAGTATAGCCTGTAATGGTGAAAGTGTTCACTGCCAGAGATGTCTGGGCTTTAGGGTTGTTAAAGTGGATCACTGTTGCTTGGTTTGTAAACATATTCACCTCTTCAATGCCAGAGATTTCTAACTTCTTTAAGGAGAACTGACGTTTTTTATCATTTGCTGTGGCTGTTCTGTGAACCACCTTCTTTCTGTGAGCAGTTCCACCAATGGGCACTTTTGCCTGCAGTTTGGCGAGTTTTTCCTGGTTCATGATTGTTTCTTTCATCTTGTCGCAGCGGATAAGGGGCTGCGCGGGGGACTAGGGTTGGTGCTCAGGGGGTCTCGGGGGAACCAGCTGAGATTAGGTGCACACACACGGGGATGCAAGATGGCAGCTCCCTGTTCTAAGTTTTTTGGCATCATGTTGCAAGTTAAAACCACTTACACTGAAATTTCTGAGATGTCTGCTCACTGCTTTAGGCTACTCTTATCATCATTTAAAAAATTATAGGTGTGCCTTGGCAGCATATAAATAGGTACTGATTCATTGTTTCATCCATTGAAATAATTTTGGCAGATTTATATACACAATCATTAAATCAATTCACAGATAAGTTTTTAAAATAGGAAATATCAAAGATAAAGTTATTTTCTTAGTAAAATACCTAAGTAGCTACATACAATGTATAATTTGGCTTGTAATTAATGTATTTCACTGTTAATATTTCTGATAGTATTAGAGATTACTTTAAAAATGAAGATGAAAGTTAGTTTTCTTCACTGTAAATATTAAATTATTACTTTATAAGTGTTTAATAAATCTCTACATATTGAATAATAAAGGGATTATTATTTTACATCTTTAAAGAGAATTTTTATTTAGGAAATTAACATTCAGCCTAATGTTATATCTAACATGGTGTCCTTTTGTACAATTGTATCAAATAAAGAATAGAAACTATATTATGGTTTCTAGTGATGCCCTAACCACTAGTGTTTCATTTTTCTGGTGTTCCCTCTTACGTGCACACCCCTTGCTCCCCTTTGGGTTGACTTATAATCTGACTTTTGTGACAGATGTTAGGAGGTGGAGCAAAGGAATTTCAGACCAATCAGTTAAGAGACTGCTGTGGGGTAAGAAAAAAAAATTAGCCTCTTAAAATTACTCTTATCAAAGGAAAAAAAGTTGGAAGCACATGATAGTATAACCAGAAACATGACACAGAAGAATTAAGGGAAGAGTAGAGGAGACACGTAGATAAGTTAGATAGTTACTGCTGAGAAGGTTTTTTAGGTGGGGGTAGGGGTTTCATGTTGAAGCCTGTGCTTTGCTTTGAGTGAATCTGGCTTAATTTCTGTAAACATCCCTCCTTCTAGGATGAATCAATGCATTTTAGCCATGTCTATACCTGTAGCAGAATACTGGTGATGAAAGTTTACAGGCAGTTTAAAAAAAGAAGAAGAAAAAGTGAAAAACCTTGATGTTTCAAGGATCCCACAGTTTCTGCCAAGTTTGAACACATTCCAAAATCCTAAAAAAGTGTGTACTTTTGAAGCTTTATTTTTCAAGTGTTTGTATGTACATTTCTGTAAGTTGGAAATCAGTCAACAATAAATACGTACTTTAAAATATTTCTTTTACTTTGGTAATTACACATGTGTGAAGAATTCCTACAATTTTTCAATCTCTTTATTCAATTTACTGGGATATCTGTACAGTTTTTCCTATGGAAAGTAATTTCAGTGGAGAGATTTAGCTAGGAACTTCATTAGGCAGCCTGTGTGATTCAGGAGCAAAGGAATAGCCTGTTAGTTTAATGTGTAGAAGGTTGTGTTTGCAAACATGTGGGTTGAGGGCAAGTATGTAGGCACAAGCTGTCAGAAGCAAATGATGGATCTGGTGGCTCTGGTTTGCTAAGGCGTTTCTGTCTATCTCAGTCGTGCAGGACCTGGCCATCCTGTACTGTTGCTGACTGAAGGCCAAAGCTTCGCAGAGCAGAGTGCTGACATGTTTCTCATTGTACATTTGATGTTGAAAGCACTAACATGTAAGCTCTGGAAAGCATTTAATCACTGTAGTTTCTAAATAGTCAAGTCTAGTGAGAGCAACTTTCAGTAATTTACAACTTAAAAAGTTGAGTGTTTTTTCCCCTAAAAATCTTACTTTATTAAGGCATTTAATTTTAAAGGAGGAAGAACTTCTTAGTTTTCCCATTAGAGATTACAAAAGAGCATAATGACTGCTTATTACACAGTCTTCACATAAACATAGCAGTTTAAATTTACAGTCAGGGTACCCTTTATAGCTACATTTAGTCAGTTGAAATATGTAAAAATTAATACTAATAATCTCAGTGTGTTCCACAGTACTCTGGTGCTTACCTTGTTTTTTATTTTTTGTTAACTCAAAGACATAGCAAATCTGTCATTTACTATACTGTATCTTGCTTAGAATCAGGACCAGAAATGAATGTTTATTTGAAAGATGGCAAACAAAGATCTCCTTCTTGGTTTAAAAAGATGTTTGAAAAGAGCATATGCCTGTGTTGCGTTTTTAATGAGCCAAGATGTATTTTCAACATATATCTTCCCCTCTATTGCATATTACAAACAAACAAAAAATTAACAAAGTTAGCATTCTAAAGTATGTTCATAGAATTTCAATGCTAATTTAATGTGCTTTGAAAATTCATATAATTCATCATCTTTTTCTTTATATTTAGACTAATTGCTCATAGGTATGTGTTCAAAATAAATGAATTTAAGCATGATTTTATATGGTGTTTTTAAAATAACTATGCAAACATATTTATTTCAACAGACAATATTAATGTCTGTTGATTAGGCAGATTTCAAAATCGTTTTCCTTGTGTACCAGGAAAGTAAATGGAAGTTTCTTTAATGAGAGCAACTCAAATATTTAATTTCAATCTGGTTGTTGTTATTGTTAAAGGGATAGGGAACCAAGGTAGCAGAAAAGACTAAAGCAGAATTTTTTTATGGTTTTTTACTTTTAAAGAAAACAATACATTTATATAACAAATAATGGGATTATAGTGGCCACTGTGCCTACCTGCTATCCCCCCACCCCCGCCAGCCACCCCGACTACAGCACACACTGTCTGGGACACTGCTGAACAAAATTACAGGTTTAGGATTTGATGTACATCAATAAGTCGCCTGTCCCGTGGCCGTCAGTTGCATGCCAGATAATGGTAGCATTATCATCTTTATTTCTTAGCATCTTTACTTTAGAGCTGGAAGAGACAGTAGGAATCACATCATTGAAGGACTACACTTTAAAGTTAGGACCTAGAGTTAGTAAACAATTTTTCGGCTGTTGCATAGTTGAGGGCCATGCTGGGACATGAATCCAAGTTTTTGCCTTCCAAGTTCAGTGACTCTTTTCATCAAATCATGCTGCTTCCCTAATGTTCTCTTTTCTTTTTTCTTCTTTTTTTTTTTCTCCCTGTTTTTTGAGACAAGGTCTCACTGTGTCACCCAGGCTGGAGTGCAGTGGTGAGATCACTGCTCACTGCAGCCTCGACCTCCCTGGCTCAAGTGATTCTCCCACCGCAGCCTCCCCAGTAGCTGGGACTACAGGCATGCGCCAGGATAAAATTTAAAAATGAGCCTGGCTAATTTTTAACAGTTGAGGTCTATGTTGCCCAAGCTGGTAATTTTTTAAATAAATGAAACATTTTTACTGGTTGCCGTTAGTCAATTAAAGTAGTATGTGTTGAATCTGGCAAAATTCATAATTAGGTTTCAGTAAATGTGTGTTATATGTATTTTTAAAATCTCTGATAACCTAAAGTATCCTTAAGCTACCAGATGGAAAATTTAAGTTTCAACATAGGCACATCTATGAATTTTTCTTACTGTTGATGAATTTAGGTTGACTTGCCTTAAGTCGGAATGCAAACATGTATATTTTGTATATTGATTGAAGTTGTTAGTTTGTCTTAGTGAAAAATTGGAAGTGCTCCTTAATGAAAATTAACATTTAAGTTGAAGCCACAACTTTGTTCCATATTTTTTCTTCCTGTATTTATTAGCTTAGTGCTACCATCATTGTTTTGACTATACTAAGCACTAGAAAGATGCCAGTGTGTGTGCTGTAGAAAAAAGTTTGCACTCCCATGACTGTGGATCCCGACTGACATTCTTTTTTCTTTTTTTAATTTAAATTAAATTTTTTTTAGAGATAGAGTCTCACCGTGTTGCCCAGGCTGGTCTTGAACTCCTGGTCCTTATCCCAGATTTGAACCCCTGAACTCTTAGCCTCCCAAAGCAGTGGGATTATAGGTGTGAGCCACTGCACCTAGGCCCTCCATCACTATTCTTTTATGGCAAGTATGCTTGCAGTTGTCACAAGAAGGTCCTGCCCACGTTTGCTTTAGAATATGTGAATTCAACTTGAAATATTATGCTGCTATTAAAAATTATATTGTCAAAGGCTGAACCAACAAGGAAAAATACTTCCATGGTACTGGTAGGTAGAAATGGTAGGATTTAATTTTATATAACTGATTTTAAAAAATTACATTTTTGATATAAAATTCTTGGAAGTAAATATATCACATAGTGTATATAGTGGAAATATGCATGTCCTCCCCCCCTTCACTTTTCCTTACTTTCCACGCTTTTTCTAGTAACCACTTTCTGTATTAAAATAATAAATTTGAGGGAGAAAAATCTATAAATATTTATCTTTACAGACTAGCTGCGGAGACAACTGGGAAAGTTGTGTTTATAATTTTTCAAGCTCAAAAGAGCCTACTAACCAAAATGATACTTGCTCAGTCTTATTAAGCATTGAAAGTATATTTATAGCTTATTACTCCAGTAACTAGTGTTACTGTTACTCCATGTTAAAAATGCAGGATTTGTACAGAATTCATGTTAGGTGCTTTTCTGTTTTACTTGTACTAACTCATTTAATATTAATAAAAACCCGTGAAGCAGTAGTGATGGTTTTTGCTCTTGGGGCCTAAAAATATTAGTAATTTTTTTAAGTTAACATAGCTAATAACCAGTGCAGCCCAGATTTGAACTAGTGTCACACAAGAGCCTATAATCTTAAGCATTATATAGTAATTACCTAAATTTTATGTTATGGTATAGAAAAGGTGACTTAGAAAGAAAAATAAAGGGAAAAATAGTCAAATAAAAATAGTCAAACTGTACCTAATGTAAGATTTTGCCTGTAAACTGAATGGTAAATGTTCAAATTTCTGTTTGTTGCCATGTCATGTAAAAATGGCTAGATTGAGTATCATTAAATTTAGAGGGTACATGAGGAGCCCTATAATGTAAGCTAGATGGTCTACTTGAAATTATCTTTCTGGGGTGGATGTCAAAGATGGGCAGTGGACTTCTCAAGTAGCTGAAACAGAGAGATAATGAGAGATTTCGAGCCACTGTGGATTAAGAGAGATGAGCCTTGTATATAAAGACAATGAGGATAGAGACCAAATTGTGGTTTAAAAAATGAGCTCCAAATGAAGGTCCCAAGGGTAGGCTCCAAATTGTAGTCAATCTAAAGTTGATTTTAAAAGCAGCTGCTTCTCTTGTGGGCAACTGCATCCAGCAGGAGCAGCAGGGATTCCTAACAGAGGTTGATAATTCTTCTGAAAAACCAGGTAGGCTAGCTAGTTGATCAATAATGAATTCCCACATATCCTGCTTCAAATAGGAAGTCAAATATGAAAAACGATTTTGTGAAAGAGGAATTCAAAGTTTTCTTGATCATATTTATTATAATTAGCAATTTTGTTAATTTCTCTATTCTTTTCCAAATCCCATTTTCATTGGTGCTTTTAGCAAGGTTATAAATACCTAACGTTTGTGCCTTATGTGATAAATAGAATAAAGACATTTTAAAAATAGAATTTTATGGCCTTGAGATTATTTAATATGTAATTCAAATATTTTAATTGAATATTTGAATATTTCTGTAGGTATTCCTTTCTTTCACTTACTAGTCAAAGACAGCATTTCCATCACCTAGCAGAAAGGAAATGGATCTTCCAACCTGGGTAACATGGCGAAACCCCATCTCTACAAAAAAATAAAAAATAAAAAATAAAAAATTAGCCGGGCATGGTGACGTATGCCAGTAGTCCCAGCTTCTTGGGAGGCTGAGGCAGGAGGATCACCTGAGTCTGGGAGATTGAGGCCTGCGGTGAGCTGTGATTGTCACTGTACTCCGCCTGGGTGACAGAGCGAGGCCCTATCTCAAAGGAAAAAAAAAAAAAAAAAAAACAGAAAGGAAACAGATCTTTATTAGCTCTTCTGGTGGGAAATGAGGATATTGGCATCTGTTGAAAATAACCTAGTAAAAGTTTGTTGGATTCATGAATGAGTGCGAGGCATGCTTCTAGCACAATAAAATACGTCTTTTTCTAATTTACTTATGCCTCATAGTCATGAACATCTTCACAGGTAGGTGTAAATATTCTCATTTTATGGAGATTAATGTACAGAGAAAGTAATATGGCCAGAGGTGGTGCACAGTGGAGCCCAGGTTTCACACAGACCTTCTGACTCCAAGTCCATTGTTCTTGTATAGATGTATATATACATCACAAGAAAATGCTGTAATTGTTCAAAGTTCCAAGGATAGGCATTGATTATTTTGGGTCAAAAAATTAGAAGATTATAACTTATTTCAAAATTCATTTAGCCAGAGAATGTTGAACCCTAAACACAAAGTACTACGTTATTGCCCTGTGGAATAAATGAACTCCTTGTCTTTAAGAAGCACATAATGTAGTTGAGGTTGACATATACATTAACAAAAAGAGCAAAACAGTATTTAATTCATGCGTAGTATATATATAGGCATTCTGTGAGTGCCCCTAGAACTGTGTCTCCTGTCACATGCTAGGCATCCAATAAATATTGATTGATTGAATGAATGAGTCTAAATTAGAGTGTATTGGTTAGGGAGGCATTTATGGATTAGATAAGACTTGTGTGGCAAGGTCTTAGAAGACAACTAAAATTTAGATACTGTGAGAAAGGTGGTGTTAGAGAGGATGGCATTCCAAACAGGAGACACAGGATGACCAAAGAAGAGGTGAGAAGGAGCAAAGCCCATGCAGGGCTTTGAATAGAGCAGTTTGGCTAGAGGGAGCCATTTATATAGAGTAATGGAAGGTACAGTTAGAAATAACCGCTTTGAGCCAGGCTTAAAGACCTTTACATGCTAGATTAAGGAGTTTTCATTGTATTGTTCAGCAATGGCTGCTGTCAAAGAGTTAAATTCCAGGAGCTAACAAGTGACATTACCAAAGTAACATTTTATGTAGATTGATTTGCCCTTGAAGCTGGGCATGGTGGCCTGCACCTGTAGTCCCGCCTACTCAGGTGGCTAAGGTAGGAGGATCACTTGAGCCCAGGAGTTTGAGGCTGCAATAAACTGTGATCGTGCCACTGTACTCCCACCTCGGTGACAGAACAAGACTCCATCTCTTTTTGTTTGTTTGTTTTTGTTTTTGTTTTTGAGACGGAGTCTCACTCTGTCACCCAGGCTGGAGTGCAGTAGCGCGATTTCGGCTCACTGCAACCTCTGCCTCCTGGGTTCAAGCAATTCTCCTGCCTCAGCCTCCTGAGCAGCTGGGCCTACAGGCATGCACCACCACGCCCAGCTAATTTTTGTATTTTTAGAGATTTTTGTATTAGAGACGGGGTTACACCATATTGGCCAGGCTGGTCTCAAATTCTTGATCTCGTGATCCCTCAGCCTCCCAAAGTGCTGGGATTACAGGCGTGAGCCACCACGCCCAGCCGACTCTGTCTCTTTAAAAAAACAAACAAAACAACAACAACAACAACAACAAAAAACTGAAGTTTCTGGTTTGCTCTTGGTACACAGGGTGAATTTGGAAATTGGAGAGAAAATAGATCAGAGGTGAAAAGACTAGTGAGAGAGGCTATGCGTTGGTTCAGAACAGTAGGGATGGCATTCCAAATGGACTGAGTGTCTCTGACATCAAAAAGATTTGTCAGAACCTGATTACTGATTGTTTTGAAGAAGAGGAAGTCAGTATTTTTTTAAAAAATAGAATTATATATAGGATAATAGTCTTAAAGTTGTTCTCTGAGAACTAGTGTCTTATTAGTGTGTTCTAATTGAGAACTGCCATGCTATGTCATTCACTTAATCTGGATTTTAGTTTTTTGTTATGTTTTACCTGTTGAAAAATATAACACTTAACTGTTTCAGCTCGTGCTGTCATAACAAAATACCATAGACTAGGTGACTGAAACAACAGACATTCATTTCTCACAGTTCCGGAGGCAGGGAGTCTAAGATCATGGTGCCAGCATGGATCCCAGTGAGAGCTCTCTTCCTGTCTTACACATGGTGGCCTTCTTGCTGCATCCTCACATGGCAGGGAGAGAAAGAAAGAGAGAAGGGGAAGTCTCTGGTCTCTTACATGGACACTAATTCCATCATAAGGATCCCATTCTCATGACCTCCTCTAAACATAATTACTCCCTAAAGACCTCACCTCCAAATACTATCACATTAGGGGTCAGGACTTCAATTTATGAATATTGTGCCCCATAGACGTTGAGTCCATACATGTAATTTTAAGCCCTTTTTGGATTATTTATATCATTCTCTTCTTTTCTTAGAGGTAAGTGCTATCCAGAATTTATTGTGTATTATACCCATTTAAAAAAAAGTTTACTCTTTGTGTATTTGTTTATAATATTTAGTATTTTTTTAGGTTTTAAAGCTCAGTTAAATAGTATACTATTCATATTATTCTGCAACTTCTTTTTTTCCTATAACATTATGGGTTTTTTTTTGGTGATAATATCTATGTAGTTGCAAGTCAGTCAAATGTTGTGCAGTATTCCATTTTGTGAACATATACAATTTATCAGTTTTTCTCTTGATCTGCATTTAGGTTGTTTCTAATTTTTTCCAATTTCAAGTATTCCGGCAGTGAACATTTTTGTTCATGATACCTTACATAGATATGACAGTTTCTTTAGAGTATTACCTATGAGGGTAATATCCCTAGACTGGGTTGTATGTGATTTTTAGCTTCATTAAATATTTTCAATTTATTCCAATTTACATTGGAGCCTGAAGTATATAGGTTGACATTTGGTATAAGACTTTGTTGTTGTTGTTGTTGTTAAGAGATGGAGTCTCATTCTGTTGCCCAGGCTGGAATGCAGTGGCACTATCACACCTCTCTGCAGCCTCTAACTCCTGGGATCAGGGGATCCACCCACCTCAGCCTCCCAAGGAGCTGATTCTACAGGTGTGTACTACCATGTTCAGCTAATTATTTTATTATATTGCCCAGACTGGTCTGAAACTCTTGGCCTCAGGCGATCCTCCTGCCTCAGCCTCCCAAAGTGGCGGGGTTAGAAGCATGAGCCACTGCACTCAGTCAATCCCCCTTTTTTTTTTTTGAGACAGAGTTTCACTCTTGTTGCCCAGGCTGGATGAGTGCAATGGCGTGATCTCGGCTCACCGCATCCTCTGCCTCCCGGGTTCAAGTGATTCTCCTGCCTCAGCCTCCCAAGTAGCTGGGATTACAGGCAGAAGCCACCACGTCTGGCTAATTTTGTATTTTTAGTAGAGAAGAGATTTCTCCATGTTGGTCGGGCTGGTCTCAAACTCCCAATCTCAAGTGATATGCCCGCCTTGGCTTCCCAAAGTGCTGGGATTATAGGCATGAGCCACCACGCCTGGCCCACTGTTTTTTTTAAGACTTAATTTTTAATAACATGAGGGGTATGAAATGGTATTTCACTATTCAGTTTCATTATGCGTTTTCTGATTACTGTTGAGATTACACAGTGCACAGTGGCCATTCTGATTCCTTCTTCTGAATTGCCTGTTAATATATTTTGCCCATTTAACTGTAGGGTGATTTTGTTTGTTTGTTTTTTTTTTGAGATGGAGTCTCACTCTGCCGCCCAGGCTGGAGTGCAGTGGCGCGATCTCGGCTCACTGCAAGCTCCGCCTCCCGGGTTCACGCCATTCTCCTGCCTCAGCTTCCCGGTGATGTTTTTTATATTGACTTACAGATATTGATGTGTATTCCAAATACTTCAGGTGGAATTTTTAACCCTTGGTTAACTAGCTCTGTTAATATGATAGAACTCTATATCAGATCAACTTTGGTGAAAAAGATGACCTTTTTTGGAAAAAGGATCATACCACTTACATGAAACGGAGTAATCTGTTTGGTCACTACAGTTGTGCACCCTTATACGTGGTTTCAGTTATCTGCGGTCAACTGTGGCCCAAATTTATTGCATGGAATATTCCAGAAATAATCCATGAGTTTTAAATTGCATACGGTTCTGGGCATTGTGATGAAATTTCCCGCCATCCTGTTCTGTCCTGCCCAGGAGGGGAATCCTCCCTTTGTCCCTCATCTCCACACTCTATGTGCCACCCACCCATCAGTCATCTAGTAGCCGGCTTGGTTATCAGGTCCACTGTCTAGGTATCGCAGTGCTAGTGTTCCAGTGACCCTTATTTGACTTAATAATGGCCCCAAGGCACAAGAGTATTGATGCTGGCAATTTGGATACTCTGAAGAGAAGCTGTAAAGTGCTTCCTTTAAGTGAAAAAGTGAAAGTTATTGACAAAAACAATCATAGGCTGAGGTTGCCAAAATCTGTAGTAATAATGAATTTTCTATCTGAAATTGTAAACAGTATATTGTTATAATTCTATTTTATTATTAACTATTGTTGTTAATCTCTTACTGTGTCTAATTTATAAGTTAAACTTTATAGGTATCTGTGCATAGGAAAAACCGGTGTATATACAGTTCAGTAGTATCTGTGGTTTCAGGCATCCACTCGAGGATGAGGGGGACTACTGTACTTCACTTCCCTAAAGATAAAAGAAATACAATCTCTATTGCATCAAGGCTGAAATTATAGCAGCCTTCTCAGGCCTTCTTGCCTCCTCCCACATTGACTGCCACTGTTTTTTTAGCATTTGTGTCCACTGGCCCCATTGTCCTTCCTCTATTAAATGTCCAACCTGTTTAAAAGTTGGTATTCCACTTGTTGAGAGACCTGGCCTTGCCTGGCAGCATGGGTGCTTGATTTTGCCTTTGAATCTTTCCCGCAGCAGTACCAGCCAAGCTCGTATTTGGGCTATGATTCAAGGAACTGCAATTAAGAGTAACCCTGATTCAACTTTCCCATCTTCTCTCCTCTTTGTAAAGGTACTTTAAGGTGTGTAAGTTTTAAAAATCCATATGGTAACTCCTGTAGGACCAGAGGACTGGACATGTTGATTATCCTGTGCATGTGCTTAATCATTAAAATTATATGAAAGTTAGTACAGTAAATATGATAACAGTTAAAAGAACCAAGTGAGACTCTGGGTTTGAAATCAAGCTCTGACAGTTACTATAAAATGGGGGATACTATAAATATCTGCTTCATAGGGATGTTGTTAAAGGAGATATATATAAAGTGTTTACCATTAGGCTTAGCACTTAATAAGCACTCAATAAATATTCGCTGGTCTCAAAATTAATTTGAAGCTTTGATATTGAGATGGTATTAGAGTGTGAGGTGCTTGCTAATTTTTTATATTATAATTATTTTATAATATCTTCTATATATACTGAAGTTTTAAATTTTTAACTTATTTTACATGTTTTCCTAAATGAAGACTTAGATTTATCTGCAGTGGTTGGCCATCATATTCGCTGTTTGCTGTATCCACTTTTCCCCCCTCATCTGGAGCATGCCTACCATTTTGTACTTTTTAAAATTTTTTTCTATAAAAGCATATCGTCATATAAGCAAGGGAGAGGGTTAGCTTTGAAGAGTCACCTTTTATGTAATACGCTGTTTTATCTTTACTATCACCTATAATAGGGGCTCGGGTGGTGTGGCATTTCCCAGTAAAATGTCTGCTTTGTTCACTCACTAGTTTATGTTTCAGTAATTATTGTGATTATTCCCTTTTTTGGTAAGCGTTTTGTAAATGTTTTAGTTGTTAATCATTTTTTAGCTAGAAACTTTTACTTGACAGTCCATTTATTATTATTATTATTATTATACTTTAAGTTTTAGGGTACATGTGCGCAATGTGCAGGTTACTTACATATGTATACATGTGCCATGCTGGTGTGCTGCACCCATTAACTCGTCATTTAGCATTAGGTATATCTCCTAATGCTATCCCTCCCGCCTCCCCCCACCCCACAGAGTGTGATGTTCCCCTTCCTGTGTCCATGTGTTCTCATTGTTCAATTCCCACCTGTGAGTGAGAATATGCGGTGTTTGGCCTTTTGTTCCTGCGATAGTTTACTGAGAATGATGATTTCCAATTTCATCCATGTCCCTACAAAGGACATGAACTCATCATTTTTATGGCTGCATAGTATTCCATGGTGTATATGTGCCACATTTTCTTAATCCAATCTATCATTGTTGGACATTTGGGTTGGTTCCAAGTCTTTGCTATTGAGAATAGTGCCGCAATAAACATATGTGTACATGTGTCTTTATAGCAGCATGATTTATAATCCTTTGGGTATATGCCCAGTAATGGGATGGCTGGGTCAAATGGTATTTCCTGTTCTAGATCCCTGAGGAATCGCCACACTGACTTCCACAATGGTTGAACTAGTTTACAGTCCCAGCAACAGTGTGAAAGTGTTCCTATTTCTCCACATCCTCTCCAGCACCTGTTGTTTCCTGACTTTTTAATGATTGCCATTCTAACTGGTGTGAGATGGTATCTCATTGTGGTTTTGATTTGCATTTCTCTGATGGCCAGTGATGGTGAGCATTTTTTCATGTGTTTTTTGGCTGCATAAATGTCTTCTTTTGAGAAGTGTCTGTTCAGACAGTCCATTTTTTAAGGAATAGATTCCCTTTAAAATAAGTGTTACTGTTCCTGCTTTTAAGGAAAACAAATTGACAGCCTTAGTATCTTTAAGAGTAGAACATGGATGTTAGTGTACTATTCAGTAATTTTAAATTGACTGTATAATTGTGCTTGTGATAGTTAACACTAGAAGTTGAACAGTTAATTTGTTCATTATAATGTTTAAAGCAAATGGTTAGGTATGTGCCTACCTTAGCCCCACATGTAGATAGACCCTTCATCCTCATTAGACTCTACCTTGTTGGTTTAGAGTTAAAATTCATTTGGAAGTTTCAGGCCAAGAAATAATACATTTGAGATGTTAAAGACTCATTTCCAGCCAGACGTGGTGCCTCATGCCATGGTGCCTCCCAGCACTTTGGGAGGCTGAGGCGGGTGGATTGCTTGAGGCCAGGAGATCGAGATTAGCTTGGGCAACGTGGTGAAACCTTGTCTCTACAAAAAATTTAAAAATTAGCTGGGTTGGGAGATCACTTGAACCCAGGAGGTCGAGGCTGCGGTGAGCTGTGATAACACCACTGTTCTCCAGCCTGGGCGACAGACCGAGACCCTGTCTCAAAAAAACAAAGCAAAACACAGAAACTCACTTCCATTGTCTAAGCATATATTCATACATTGACAGCATCTAAGCTACTGGAAAATGGATCTTTATTTGATTTTGCTTTAACTTTGTTAAGGAGGGTTATGGTTGTAACTTTGTTTCCTGGTAGTGGTGTTGACCAGGAAGGGATGAGTTAGAGGAGTTGTCTTGTTGTCAGATTTTCTTTACACTTTGTATTTGACTCATCCTGCTGGCTAATAACCCTTGTGTTTAACACCGAATCAGGGACTCAGTACAGTGAATTTGTTCTTTATTCAGCCATTTTAATTTCTGTTTACATATGGCATAGTGATTCCCAGTTATAAGACTTTTATGTGCGAGAGCTCTCTTAATAACAAAACACAGAAGTTTGTAATAACATTTAGTATAAGGATTGAGGTTTTATTGAGTGATTCTTATTTTTATTTAATCATTGCTTTGATAATATTTTTTCAACTGAAGTTTGAGGTTAAGTGTCTAAGACTCTAAATTCTATTTCTAGTTTTATATATTTAAATCATGGTAAAGTTTTACGTACATAATTGCTCTATATATATTTCTTCATCTAACATTTTACAAATAATAGTAATTTCTCTTCCATGTCTTTTAGTAATAATTATTTTTCTCTATGAAACCCTTTATGATTCTCTGGAATAAAATGTTATTGAAGTATAACAAAATAATTGTGACTACCATCAAATTTAAGTTTACATTATGTACCAAGGTATCATAATAAGTCCTGTAGGGAATACGAAGATGAGTAATAGAATCACTATGCTGGTCTATTTCATGTTTATAATATACTTAGGGCAAAATAAGTACATAGACAGTAATAACCATGATATAACATGAATAGTTTTCTACTTTTTTGTCCTTATTTCCTGATACAGGCACATATTTATAGACTGACCAAAAGGCTCTGTCAGCGTAGTCCATTGGTTTCAGGGGATTGAGAGAGAGGGGAAGGTCTCACTTGTATGAAGCACTTAAGAAAGGCCTTCTGAGGCAGCAGCTATTGAGATAATAAACCTTTGAGGGTCAGTAAGACTTAGGCGGAAGATGGAAGGAAAGGTCACTCAAAATGTAAGGATGGAAAGCATGAGCAGTGATCTGTCTGCATAAAAATGCCAGGCCAAGTCAAAGAATACTGCACACAGTATGAGTTTGGTTGGAACGTGCACCATACAGCTAGGGGAATATTTGATGGACAGAGCTAGGGAACTGGGTAGATTGCAGAGGCCCCTGAATGCCAGGTCACTGTTTTGATTTCACAGAGAGTAAGAAAAAGAGAAGTGACATTTATTGAGTTCCTACTATATGTTAAGAACTATGTTAGATGGTTAATATAATCATGTTTAATCCTCAAATCAGTACTGTACAGTAATTTCTATCTCCATGTTACACATGAGGGAATTGTAACCTAATAACTTGGTGCTAATTATAGGATAGATTGAGTAAGGGAGAGACCTGGCATGAGAAGAAGTTATTGGTGGTGGGGTTACTGAAGAGAAAGAAATCTTGATAATTGTAGAGGGATTGGAAAGAAGGTGATGTGATGAAGAGAAACTGCAAAAGTAGAATCTAAAGGTCTTGGAAATTGATTGGATTTGAAGATTGAGAGAAAAAAGGAGTTAAAAATATTTGCTGGTGACTTATGAAAAGTAGCAGATACAGATTTCCTATCTCCCCTCTCCTGGGGAAAAAAAAATAGCAGATAAAGAAAAACTTCCTCAGAAAGGTGAGGAGTTCAATTTTGGGTACATTTAGGGAGATACGTTTATGAGAGCTTGAAAGTTGGGCACGGTAGTAGCTAAGGTGATATCCTGAAGCTACAAATGAAAATTGGGTCTCATTTACATGAATATGATCTTTGATACTGCATCAGCAGACAAGATTTCAAGGAGCAGCTTTGTAGTGAGAAGAAAGGGCAAGGATGTTATTCAAGAAATGCCCATTGGGCATTACAGGTGGTTCACACCTGTAATCCCAGCACTTTGGGAGGCCGAGGCTGGCGGATCACTTGAGCTCATGAGTTAAAGACCAGCCTGGGCAACATGATGAAATCCTATCTGTACAAAAAATATAAAAAATTAGCCGAGCATGGTGGTGTGCCTCTGATCCCAGCTACTGGGGAGACTGAGGTGGGAGGGTCACTTGAGCCTAGAAGGCGGAGGTTACAGTGAGCTGAAATTGTGCCACTGTACTCCAGCCTGGGTGACAGAGCGAGACAGAGTCTCAAAAAAAGAAAAAAGAAAAGAAAAAAGACATGCTCATCTTTCTTTTTTTTTTTTTGCTGTTGTTGCGGAGGTGGGGCTCAGTGACAGGGAGACGCAGATCCAAGACAGATCAGGGAGGTAGGAAGGGAGAAGCAAGATACTGCCAGTGTCATTGAAGCCAAGGGACAACAGGGAAAAAGTTTTCTGGTAGAGGCCAAGTTGTACAAGACTTCAGAGAATGGCAGGAAACTATAGTCTCTGTGTGGTTCTCAAGGGCCAGTGACCCTATGGCATTTGGAAAGGGGCGGGGGTGGTTTTGGCAGTAGCGATGTGAGGCGTGCTGCCTTAGTTTAGCAAAGCACAGGGGAGGCCCCGACGGCCCCATCTCAGATGTCCACCTCCTGCCCTCTTCTCTAATCCTCCTGCCTGCTGCTCTTTCTCCTTAGTGCTTATCATCATCTTACATACTATGTCTTTTCCTTATTTATCTTGTTTATTGTCTGTCTCTAGATTGTTAGGTCAGGAGGGCAAAGATACTTATCTGATTGGTTTGCTGCTATATGCAGTGCCTAGAACAGTGCCCTACATTTAGGAAGGACCCCAAGGAATGGTTCCTGAATAAATGTATGGCAATTATAGTGATTTGAATAACTGACCTTTCTCCTTCAATATACTGTAAGCTTCTTAAATGGAACTGAATCATCTTTGTAACCCTATGTATTGTAACTGATATATGAAGTTTTATTTATAGCAGCATCAGAAGGGAAAAACCAAGGATTTGGGACTCAACTGGTGTGAGTTTAAATTTCTTCTGTTCTTACTAATTTGGCCCCAATTAAACTACCAGACCTCTCTCTGAGCCCTATTTTCTTCAGCTGTAAAGTGGACTAAACTAGTACCTCTGTCATAGGGCTGTTGAGGATTAGAAGATGACGCCTATCAGAGTGGCTGGCACATTGTTTGTGCCCAGTAAATAACTGGTGTTTTGCAGTCTTTCTACTCTGTAACCTTGAGTAATTTACTTCACTTCACTGTTTTTTCATCTCTAAAAGGGGAGGATGAAACCAATCTCATGAGATTTGGAGGAACCAATGAGACAGTAGGCACAGGTGCCCTCTGTTTTTGTATTGTGATTGAGAGCACAGACTCTGGAACCAGACTGCATGAATTCCAATCCTAACCCATTTACTTTAGCTTTACTTGACTTTTCTGTGCCACAGTTTCCTCATGTGTAAATTGGGAGACATAACAGTACCAGCTCCATGGTACTCTGAAAAAAATGGATGTGAATATTAATAAAAAGCTTAGACCAATATTTGGCATATGGTAAGCACTAAAAGTGTTTGATTTAAAAAATAATAAAATAGTATGCCTTTATTGCTTTTTTCTTTCTCTTCAGTCTGTCAAATGGTATAAAGAATGGGGCACCTTTACAATGAAGTCGGCCATGTTTATGTTGGAAAATATAATGAAACAACAAAAACAATACTACTGCTTCTTCATGGTTTGACCTGACTGGGTAAGGCAGCTGTGGTCCCAAATCTTCCATGCAGCAGCACTGTAAAATCTGTCCTTTAGTCCCTGTTCTTGTCAAGATTCACTTACTACTAGCAATGGCAGCCTGGTTGAGAGCTTGTCTCTGAAAAATGTTTTTGTCACTTGCAAATCTGCCTCCATTTCCTTGCCTCCCGTTCTGTCAGCTGGTCTCTAGGAATGGTTAGGAATGTAGTTTGAGTAGAAACCTGGGAGGAAGCAGCAAAATGAGAGGGACAGGTGGTGAGTGGCTGGCCAATCTGGAAACCTTCCCCTCTTGCTAGGGAAGGTTTTCTGTAGTAGCAGTAACAAAACTATAAGAACATATCCTTAAATGTGTCTCTCAGTTCGTTAATTCTGTCAAGGGTAAAAGGTTTCTGTATGTAAAGAACCACAGAGCTTATTACATCACTGAGGACTTGGCTGAATCTTTATTCACATCCAAAACAGACTTAGGAAGGAAAGGTAGCAGCTTCAAGTCAGCAGATTCAGCTTCCATTCATGTAGCAAGCTGCTGTTGGAAAAGCTGTTGTGTGTAGATCTTCTTTCCATTAGCAGAGGTTCTACTGGATCTTCTTTGTGTGTGATTCATCGTTATGCCTAATCTGCCCCCGACTCTCACCTTGGTGCTGGGGTGGCAAGCATGCTTCAATCTCTGGTGCCAGTTCCTATTGATTATAGTGATTGTGTGGAGTGCTGTGTTGAGGAGAATTGAGAGGCCACATACAGGCTTAAAAGTGATTTAATTGGCAATGTCTGCTGTGTGAGGGGAGAGGAGGTAACCACAGCATATGTGTTGTGTATGTGCCGAACGTGATAGATTCCACGATAGGGCTCACCCTTGAGAGATTCAAAGTCACATTTTGTGTCTGTGTATTTTTGTCTTTGAATTGGTATGTACATATTACTGTATTACACAGTAAAATATAAATAAACTGGGAATTATCGGTTAGCTTGGGTTATATAGAATTACCTATGTATGCTTTTCATGGCTTGCTTAAAGCGTGGATCTAAATTATTATTCTTTCATTTCTGAAATAAAATTACCTATACTTTTCTACACTTTTTGTGAGTTTCTCTTGTTTAGTTGATACATGATTCTGATCTCCTGTTTTTTAAGTTTGGCAAAAAATACTTTTAAATTCTTGGGTAATTTCACTTACCAAACTACTGACAAATTAACATGAGTTGCTTGAAACCTTGGGCACACAACAGGTGGTTGTGACAGACTCGGGGGTTCCAATCATTGTAGAACAGACCAGAGATCTCTTTCCTTAAGGAATGGTCATGTGTCTGTTGCCACTTGGCTTCTCTCCTTATGGGTCAGAGGTAATCCTCAGTTTAACCATTGAGGTATAAAAGTATTTTTTAAATTTTATTTTGTTTTCCTTCTTGTGAATCAAAGTCTTTCCTAATTTGGCAGCTGACAAAGAATACTCTTTCATTGAGTTAGAATGTTGAAAGTATAAGCAAAAATTTGAGAGGCACTTTTTACATTTGCTAAGTAAAGAAATATTTATATTAGACTTTTCAAAAAAGTATGATAAAATATACATAAAATTGACCCTTTTAACCATTCTTAAATGTATAGTTCTGTGGCATTAAGTGTATTCACACTGTTATACAGCTATCAACAACATCCATCTTCACAATTTTTTCATCTTCCTTTACCCGTTAAACACTCTACCCATTAAACTCTTAACTCCCCATTCCTACCTGCCCCCACCCCCGCCCGCCCCTGGTAACCACCATTCTAATTGCTGTAGCTACTTAAAGATTTGACTACCTCATGTAAGAGGAATCATACAATCTTTGTCTTTTTGTGACTGGCTTATTTCACTTAGCATAATCTTCAAGGTTCGTTTATGTTGTAGCTGGTGTTAAAATTTCTTTTTCATGGCTGAATAATACTGTATTGTGTACCACATTTTGTTTATTCGTCTGTCAATGGACACTTGAGTTGCTTTCACCTTTTGGCTATTGTGAATAATGCGGCTATGAACATGTGTTCTTACATCTATTCAAGTCCCTGCTTTCAGTTCTTTTGGATACATACCCAGAAGTGGAATTGCAGGATCATGTTTTTTGAAAAATTTTTGTTTTCCACAGTGGCTGTGCCATTTTACATGCCATCAGTAATGCACAAGGGTTCTAGTTTTTCTGCATCCTCACCAACACTTATTATTTTCTATATTTTTGATAGTAGCGATCCTTATGGGTGTGAGGTAGTATCTTATTGTGCTTCTTATTTGCATTTCCCTAATGATTAGTGATGTTGAGCATATTTCCATGTGCTTATTTGCCCATTTGTGTGTCGTCTTTGGAGAAATGTGTATTCAAGTCCTTTGCCAGTTTTTAAATCAGATTCCTTGTTTTTTGCTATTGAGTTGTAGGAGTTCTTCATATATTCTGGATGTCAATCCCTTATCAAATATACGGTTTGCAGTTTTTTTGCCTGTCCATGGGTTGCCTTTTCACTGTGTTGATAGTGCCTTTTGATGCCCGAAAATTTTTAATTTTGATGAAATCCAAGTTATTTTTCTTTTATTGCCCATGCTTTTGGTATCATATATAAGAAATACCAAATCCTGTGTCATGAAGTTTTTCCCCTGTGTTTTCTTCTAAGTATTGTTTAACTTTTTCTCTCTTACATTTAGATCTTGTAATCATTTTGAGTTAATTTTTGTATGCGTAAGGTAAGGCTCCAGCATTATTCTTTTTCATGAGGATATCCAATTTTCCCAATACTATTTGTTGAAAAGACTATCCTTTCCCCATTGAATGGTCTTGGTGCCCTTGTCAAAAATCATTTGACCATATATGTGAGAGGTTTTTTTGTTTTGTTTTGTTTTGTTTTTTTCTGGGCGGTATTTGACATTTTAAGGTTAAGTTCAGAGTTTCATCATTTCTCAGTGATATTGCACACTTCCTAACTATTGTCCCTAATTCAAGTATCATTTTTGATACATTTCTACTCTGGCATTCTGATTATGTTTTCTAGGTTTTGCCTGCTCTTCTATTTTCCCTCTTTGATTATGAGTCCCTGGAGGGCAGGGATTTTGTTCTGGAGACCTAGTGCCTTATGCGTCATTGGTACTGAATATGTGTTTGTTGGATGAAATTAACTTAGAGCTAAAAAAAGAAAGAACTAGAAGACATCAAGTTAGGTATAAAAAGTACTTTTTCATTATTATAAACTATTACTATGGCTTATGAGCCTTTAAGGAAATATGTCTTTTTTCTGCTAATGGTATTTTCCCTCTTTTCCCATGCTTGCCACTGTGACTGCAGTTATCACCCTCTTCCTTACAAGGATAAATAATCTTCACAAAAATTTGAGAGGAAGACAAGAATAAGTAGAAAACAGAAGAAAGGAAAGGAAAGGTGAAAGAAATAAACCTCATTCAAAAGCATTTAACAGTACACTTGAAGTTGAGTCAGAACAGGCTGAAGGTGCTAAGAAGCAGTGATATGCTGTGAGAGATGCAGTCTTGCAGACAAAACTTAAAACACATGTTCCCTAGCACCTTTTGTCACAAGTGTCTATTGTGCCTGTTGAAATTTGGAATAGATGAATAATTAATTATTTGCCTCAGAATATAACATCTCTACAAAGAGTAGCCTTTTGTCTTCGACAATTCTATTTGTATGGTCAAATCTGCGAATAAATGAAAACATTAATTAGTCTAATCTTCATCAAAGTAGGCTGTCCAAAAAAAGACATAAAAACCTTAATACCAATGACCTGTGTAATACTTGATGCATTGAGGAGCCAGGTTTCTTCAGGGCCCTAACGTATGTGATTGTCACTTTCTTTTGACTCTATTTGGGAAAAGTTAATACATAGGAGAACCAGAGAATGGTAGAGTCAGAAGAGCAAATCTGGTTAACCCACCAGAGTTAAGGATGGGAAGAAGTTATGTAGGGCCATTAAGCCATCATGGTCAGAGCATATGTTGTACCCTGAAAGTTCCATTCCCTCTAACGTTTTATTTTGTTTTATTTTTTAAAAATAGATACAGTGTCTCACTATGTTGCCCAGGCTGGTCTTGAACTCCTGGGCTCGAGCGATCCTCTGACCTCAGCCTCCCAAAATGCTGGGATTACAGGCGTTAGCCACTGCAGCCAGCCACTAACTACCACTACTTAAGTAGTATGATCTTCTCTCTGCTTTCAGTTACTTATTGACTTAATAACAGTTTGGGAGATTCTCCTTACTTAGTACGTAAATGATTCTAAAGCTAGGCACATTCAGCCCTCCATGTTTGCAGGTTTCACATCTTTGAATTCAACTAACCATGGATCAAAAATATTTTTAAAAACCAATAAAAATAGTACAAATTTTAAAAACACAATATAACAATTATTTACATAGCACCTTGTATAGGCATTATAAGTAATCTATAAATGATTTAAAGTCTGTGTGTAGGTTATAAGCAAATATCATTTTATATCAGGAACTTGAGCATCTGAGGATTTGAGTATCCATGGGAGGTCCTGGAACCAATACCCTGTGGATATAGGGAATGACAGTACTGGAAAAGTCTAACCAGAGACAATGGTTATCCAAGTCTGAGAATTTGAAACGGATGACTTTGAGATTCCCAGGCCTAGATGGCTCTCACATTCTTTTTAGCCCCTTTTAAAGTTCTAGTTGTTCATTAAAACTGTCAGAGACTTATTTGGGAGTAATACTGATCTCAAAGAGCTGGATTAATACTGAATCAAATTCTTGGGATCTTTCTCTGAGCCTTTGGCATTTTTGGAAGCCCAAGGTTTATAAGGTATAACCTGGATAGACCATTAGGGTTCTCATTAACTCTGGTTAACAGATGACTTAAGAATTTCAGTTTTAACCTAGTGATACTCCACTGACTTCAAGGAGTAAATACATTTTTAAAGGCGACTTACTTTAGAGTGGTTTACAGTGTGCTAATTAGGAAGAATTTAACTCAGTCATTTCAAGCCTCTGAAATCCTTGGATGAAGTACAAATGCTGAGATGGAAATGTAGTATGCTATTTGTATATTATTCCATTTCATGAAGTGGTAACTTGGCAGAGTCGTATTTAGAAGTGATTGCACTCTATAGTCCTTCTCCTCAGCCCTCTTTTGTGTGGGTATAATCTACTGCAGTAGTATCATAGACATTTATGCACTGCTGTTTGCATAAGCTTTTTATTGGAAATAACCCAACAAAATAGCAGTCCCTGCTAGCTTAGCACAGTTGGGCCTTTTCTAAGGCTCATTTTCCTACACATCAAGAAAAAAAACTCTCTAGTTAATGTTAGTGGGATGATACCCACAAGCAGGAGATTCAAAGATGGCCCTTTTCTTTATCCCTGGCTCACCTGAGGAAGGAGGTCAGAGGCCCAAGTGACTTAATTCTATGCAGATCTATGCCTAATGGAAACAATAAATTCAAATGGGCAGTATTACTTTTTCCCTTACTATCTTACTATTTATGAAATGTATTTCTCACTGCATTTAAAAATGTATTTAACATATAAATTATTTCATGATATTTTATCAGGTTTTAAAAATCTGATATTTAGCTGTAGTATGGAATTACAATGCTAATGGGTTTACAAATTAATATTACAAATGACTGAAAAGTTCACACTCTGCAACTTGTTAAACATGTCACCTTCAGAGCTTATCTCATTTTTAATTAATAAATATGTGGTCATAGTGTGTAAAGAAGAAATCTTTATAGATTAAAGATTTGTCACCTTTTGGAACAGTGGACTCTGTTTTTTAACATTTGTATTATAGAAATTTAGAATAGTATAGTAAACTTCCATGTACCCTTCATACCCAGCTTCAGAAGTTATATAAACATTTTTGCCTTCTTTTTGAAATGGGGTCTCGCCGATGCCCAGGCTGGAGTGCAGTGGCACAATCTCAGCTCACTGCATCCTCTGCCTCCTGGGCTCAAATGATCCTCTTGCCTCAGCCTCCTGAACAGCTGGGACCACAGGCGTGCCACCACGCTCGGCTGACTTTTTTTTTTTTTTTTTTTTTTTTTTTTTGAGACAGGGTCTCACTCTGTCAACCAGGCTGGAGTGTAGTGGCACAATCATGGCTCACTGCAGACCTTGGCCTTCCAGGTTCAGATGATCCTCCCACCTCAGCCTCCTGAGTAGCTGGAGCTACAAGTGTGTGCCACCACACCTGCCTAATTTTTGTATTTTTTTGTAGAGATGGGTTTCACCATGTTGCCCAGGCTGGTCTCAAACTCCTGAGCTCAAGTGATCCACCTGCCTCTGCCTCCCAAAGTGCTGGGATTACAGGGCATGAGCCACCGTGCCTGGTCTTTGCCATGTTTTTAAATGATGAAAACGACATTACTAAAAGTTTGGAAATTAGGATGAAAATGACCTCTGGTCTCACCCAGTTTAACTCTCATCATCATTTTTTGGTCTTCTTCTTCTTCTTCTTCTTCTTTTTTTTTTTTTTTTGGAGGCAGATTCTCTCTCTGTTGCCTAGGCTGGAGTGCAATGTTCTGATCTCGGCTCACTGCAACCTCTGCCTCCCAGGTTCAAGCGATTCTCCTGCCTTAGCCTCCGAGTAGCTGGGACTACAGGCACACACCACCACGCCCATCTAATTTTTCATATTTTTAGTTGAGGCAGAGTTTCACCATGTTAGCCAGGCTGGTCTCAAACTCCTGACCTCAGGTGATCTGCCCGCCTCGGCCTCCCAAAGTGCTGGGATTACAGACATGAGCCACTGCACCCGGCCTACAGTTTTGATATACAGATACTGTTTCTTCTTTTTGCTGAACATGATATCAAACTAAGAGCTAATGGTGGCTACCATCAATTGATGTCTTCCTATGCTATGCACTGGGCCAGTTGCTTTACATATAATTCATAGACTCTTCACAATAACAATACAGTAGTATAAACATCCTCTCTACCCCAGAGACACACATTTATAGATAAGGAACCTAAGACAGGGAGGTTAAGTAACTTGCTCAGGCACTGCATATCTGGCATATGTATTCGGGCAAAAGTCTAACTCTGAGTGCATGCTCTTTCCTCCCTCTAAAGTGGCCTCTTCAAAAGCATTTTTTCATATTGCAACGTAATCACCTTTTTAAGGAAAAAGAAATATCAGTATGTAAATTTTGACCGTGTATCATATAGAAGCAGCACTAGGACAGATGCTGCTGTGGGTTAGAGGGATAAAAGGTATGGTGTCTGCTCTTCAATGTCAGTGCTCTAATGCTGAGGAGCCTGCCCCATCGGGTACACTAACAAAGAAAATGCATGGTTAGCTCAGGCCCACCCTGGTTATCTTTCTTTCTTAGAGCCAGTTGTGCCATGTAACATAAACTAATCATAGAGGTAAAAACATCTGTCATATTTACAGTCCTAGGAAATGTGCAGGACATGTCCATCCGGGGGGTGGAGAATCTTGCAGAACCACGTCAGAATTCTGTTCATCACAAGCTCCCAATTGGAAACAACTTAAATGTCTACCAATAGGAGAATGGATAAACTGTGGTATATTCATACAATATCCTAAGCAGTGAAAAGGGACAAATTGTTACTATACAGTCACCCTCTGTATTGGTGGGTTCTGCACACTAGATTCGGCCAACCTCAGAAAATACTCGGGAGAAAAAAATTTTGTCTGTACTGAACATGTGCAGACTTTTTTCCCCTGTCATTATTCCCGAAACAATACAGTATAACAACTATTTGCATAGCACTTACATTTTATTAGGTATCATAAGTAATCTAGAGATGATTTCGTGTATATGAGAGGATATGCGTAGATTATATGCAGATTCTATACCTTTTATATCCAGGACTTGAGCATCCATGGATTTTGGTATCCAGGGGGAGCTCCTGGAAGCAATCCCCCAAGACCATGCAGTAATATGGATGCGTCTCGAAAGCTTGGTACTGAAAGGAGCCAGGACATAGAGTACTTACTGTATGATTTCATTTATTTAAAGTTCTAGACAAAGCAAAACTAATCTGTGGTAACAGAAAATCAGAGTATCGTGGTTGTTGGCAGGGATGAGGAGATGTGGAGTTTGCCTGAGAACAGGCACAAGAGAACTTTGCAGAGTGATGGAAGTGTTCTACATTTTGATAGGAGCCTGGATTACAGAGATGCTTTCATTTGTCTCAACTATTGAACTTTACTCTTCTCTTTAGATCTGTATATGGCACTGAATGTAAATTGTACCTCAATTTAAAAATGAAAACATTACTCTATTGAATCCTTGTTTTACTTCTCACCAGACTCTTGGATTAAGAAATGAACCACCATTATATACAACCACCATCATAAAATGTTAAAGCTAAAAACAACTTGACAAATTATCTAGTCTAATTCCCTTGTAAACACTACTGCCTTGGTGAAGAAAAAAGTTTAAAATTGCTAATGATAAAATCTGCTGTTGCTATCTTCTGCACTCAGGAGGAGAGTTAGGCAATTTTACCAATTCGTGTATGCCAGCAGAAAATATGAGAGAGGGACAGATTTGCTAACAGCAATACATCTTGAAGTGTAAGCACAGAATCTGGATCAAGACATTTTACTTAGATTTGTTTGGCAGAAGGCATTATCTTAGCTGCGATTGATCTGGTCAGGGAATGCACAGCATTTTGCTGCTGCCCATGATCTGGCTGAGAAATAATTTGTAAAAGCGCCGTTGTAGTTAATAAAGGACACATGGTGTTAATGTTAGCGTGTCTGTGACCTCACGCTCTCTCTATGGAAGTGATCTATAAGATTGCCAAAGGTTTCATGACCTTGTGAGCAGAAAAAGAACACATTTGGGTAGACGGATTTCACAAACCACCCCCTGCAGTTTTTTGCTAGTCTTTTAAAACTGCAGTCATTGCATTGATTTTATATGTTGCCTTGGCTGATTATTGATTTTAGTCATTGCATTGCATTGCATTGATTGTATATGTTGCCTTGGCTGATTATTGATTTTAGATTTTAAGTCCATAATGAAAATATTTAGGTGGTGGTAAAAATCATTATAACTTTTAAAGGTTCTTTAGCAATTAAAACATTATCTTAAAAATTCTGAATTGTGCTTTTTTGTGTTTTCATTATGAGGTGTTGGCATAGGCTGGTATTTTAAATTTTTTATGTTTATTTTCTTCATCTCTGAAATTACTTTATTTCCTAATTGAATTTCTTTGCTCAGGTCTTTATGGAAACTTATGTTCCCTGACACCTCACTAATCATTTCAGGCTCTGTTAGTTGTTAGTGTTGTCTTCCAGAGTGGCCATGGTTCCCTTCAGTGACTTAAAGAGAATTAGTAAACACTCATTCTATCCTATTTATTTCTATGTTGAGTGGTTAATTAGAGTAAACTAGGAGTTTTGGAATTGGAGTTGTTAAATTCTTTGAGTTCTGAGAACTTAGAGAATTTTTTGTATAGATAACTTTTATATGATAATAATCCCTTCTGGTATCTGTAATAATTCTTGGTTTTTCTGTATTAAAGAATATAAGTTTGGCTTGGTTTACTTATGAATAATGCAGTTTATGTAAAATGATTTTGTGAAATGAAAACTCTCTGTCTTGATCTGGTATTAAAATAATCCATGAAGTATCTACACACAAAAGAAAATTAATGTATGATTCCACTTATATGAGGTATCTACAGTACTCAAACTCATAGAAACAGAAAGTAGAGTGGTGGTTGCCAGGGGCTAGGGGAGGAGGAAATAGGAGTTGTTAAATGGGTGTAGAGTTTCGGTTTTGCAAGATGAAAAAGTTCAGGAGATCTGTTGCATAACAGTATGAATGTGCTTAACCCTATTGAACTGTACACTTACAAATGGTTAAGATGATAAATTTTGTGTTATGTATATTTTACCACAGTTAAAAGTAAAATATATATATTAAAAATATGTTTTGCATTTATGAGATGAGGAAGCCAGTTACAACCAAGAAATGTAAAATATAGTTTAAATTTCTGTTGACTTCAGATTAACAGAATCTGTCATTCTTTTAGTCTCCTCGTGTACAGCATTCTTCACTTTGCACATTGCACTTGAGCGTAGTTCCTTACACCATCTTTTTCCCCACTTTCAACTACCCAGCACTCTCACATTTAAACTTCTTCCTCAAATTGCTTGCTTCATGGATTAAGAACAATTTTTAATGTGAAACAAACCATAACCAAAGATAAAGTAGGAATATAATGTGATCAGCTGCTTTCTTTTGATCTGGTGCTTCTACTTGTTACTAAGGACATTTAAAAAAAACATGGAGCAGCCTCTGTGTGTCAGGTACTGTGCTGGTGTTTCCAGATATGTGTTTTCAGAGTTGATTATTTATCAGAAATGGACAAAGGTAACCAGCCTTAAAGGAACTTCTGATTATTATTTTTTAAGATGCTTTGGCCATGGGAATATTTTTCTTCTTGGGACAAATTATAAATTACTTAATAAGGATATATTCTTAACAAGACTACATTTTGATGTTAAAAAGTATGTTTACATGTGTTTTACTAATACAGGGAATTAATTCTCAGTATGTGGATAGCTATAATGTCTCCAAAGTGTTCATTATGCCAGATTTGTCAGATTTATATCATTGAGGGCAAAGCTCAAGAGAGTATATATTTGCTTTTAACTGCCCCTCACTGTTCATGGCCAGTGTAGTACATCCTAGTGAAAGGAAGACCATGCATCAGAATGTTTGTTTTGAGCATTTATTTTTAGCAGCAGATCTAGAAATTATATTTTCATTTTAGGGTATATATTTTTTATTTATTATGAACATTCCAAGACTAAATAATTTTAGACATGCGTATGTGAGTGCATGTGTACATTGCATGCACGTGTGTATGTGTATGTGAGAGAGTGAGAGACTGAGTCTGAGACTGTGTGTGAGAGAGAAGGAGAGGGAGAGAGAGGGAGAGAAAAGAAAAAGACATTCCCTTAATAGCAGGAGGGGTAGAGGCTTACTCAGTCTATTATCATAAAGCTCTGCTAATGTAGCTTCTGAGTCATGTGACTGCAGAAAAGGCTATTATCTCAATGAAAAGGAAACCGGGTTTTAGAGCAAGCAATAGAATAGAAGCAGGAAGAATTTTCGAGTGTTCCACCATGCTGGATTGTCAAAGGGGGATCTGTCTGATCAGCAGCTAAAAAAGGATTTGTGTGGCTAGTTTGTCAGCTATCGTTAGAAACAAATGATAGAGGAGATAAGCGGCGGGGTGCTCAGCATGTGCTTAGGTTTACATCAAGATGTAATGTTGGTTTGGGTTAACAGAGGAGATTTATCTCTGAGGCAATAAATTTATTGCTAATTGTGGGGGTTTTTGTTTTGATGAGTGATGTATGGTATTTGTATTTACATCACTGGTGAAGATAAAGAGAAGCTGCTGAGCTCTAATATGAACTGCAGAAGCTGTGGACAGTTACAAGGTGTGTTTCAGAAGTGCTCTGACTTAATATTTGGTAATGTTCTTGGAATTCTGTGTGCTTGTGGATTGGATGTGCGGTGCGTTGTAGAAGGGAGAACTGAGCGTGACAACCAGGCAGTGATAATGTTCTCAGGAACACATAGATACAGTGTGACCCAAATTGATTCCGTGGTCCTTATTTCTTTTGTGTTTGTGTAGTGTTTTTAAAATATTCCTTGTAGTTTCTTTATGTAGCCAAATACAGTGTCACGCTTGTTTGTAGGAAATATTTTGGTAAGCATTTTCTAAAATTCAGGAGGAGAATCTTAATTTTTTAGATGCAAATCTTAATTATTAAGGAATAAATATAACTATAAGCTTTATCTTTCTACCTTTATACTTTTTATCCTTTTCTAATTTCAAGCTTAAAGGGGAGCTTTGTGATAAATTTGAAATTATTTAATTTTTGATTACATGATAAGTACAGCTTTTATTTTTGGTGGAGGCCTTGATTCAGTGATTTTTTTGTTGTTGTTATATATAGTACCTAACTTTCTCAGATTGATCTTATGCTACTGTATGCAGAGAGCTAAATAACATACAGTTAATCTTCAGACTGTACTTGTCTGCTTTTGCTCATGTTAATGCTATTAATTCTCATAGCAGTCTGTACCTGTCTCTTAACCTTGGAAAATGTAGCACTTGAAAGTCTGAGATTGGTGAAAGATAATCAGAAGCATTATCTGAAAAGGGTTAACAATTACACAACATATATTCGGAGAATGATTTTGCTAATGTTTTTCATTTAACTTCTAGAGCAGATGGGCTGAAGTGTATGTATGTTTCCAAATCACATATGATTTTGAAACTAAACTATACTGTATACAGTTCCCTTTTGAAATTGAGGTTGGAAGAGGTAAGGAATGTATCAGGCAATTTCTAAGGTGTATAGACAGTTTAACAATTAATTCTCGCTGTCTTTTCTAATAAAAGATGAGAGCAACTCAAACATAATTTTTAATTATACTAAGTGCAGGAGATTCTTCTTTATATCTACAAGCCATATCTTAGCACAGTATAGTTTAATAAATCATTAATTTTATTAAATGGGATTTTCTTTTAAAAAGCAGACAACACTGGCACTTTACATAGAAAAACAACTTGGTTCAAATAAGCAGTTAATTTGGGATTTTTTTTAACTATCGTATTCTCCCACATTCTTTTTTTTTTTTTTTTTCCATTTTTTATTTTCACTGCTCTTTCAGTAACTCTCATGTTCTTGTAAGTAGTCTGTGAGACAGGGTTACATACCATTTTCAGGGTTACATACCATTTTCCGCCCAGAAAGCACTAGCACCATATGTTAAATATTTTGAATAATAAAAGTTTCAAAGTTGTATTATTTGAGCTTTCTTTGTTTTTCTTTATTTTTAAATCTTATTTTGTTACCTTATCTAAGCCTTTGAATGAGCCAAGACTTTTGTAATAATTAAAAGGTATTTTTATTGAGCACCTATTATTATTACAAGCCACTGTATGAAACAATATGGGAACATGAAGACAAATAAGATATTTAATCCAATAAGTTAACTTATAACTGGCGTTGGAATCCAGCCTCAGTAAATGTAATTATCCTGTATCTTATAGGAATTTAAAATGGCTAAAAGGAATAAAACTTATCTGACTGTTGAGAGAGTACTTCTCTGATTTTGTGAATGACGTTTCATATGAGCAGATTTGGATGGTAGTTTTAACTGGTCTGCATCCATGCCATTTCATTTTCCTTTGTTTCAGAACAGAAATACTTTTTGTTTTTTAAATAATCTTCTACAGCTAGAGTAGTTTTTATTCCTGATGGTTTTGTTTTTCCCCTAGGACATAAAATATCAGTCCTTTGCAAATTTAAAGTATTTTCATAAACAGATTAACATATTGAGTTATCTAAACAAACAGTATTTACTTTTAGAGGTTGGGGAGTGAGGAAGCACCCCAGTATTATTATCAGAGTTAAGAGGTGCAGGTGTTGAAGTCCAGGTAGCGTGTAAACAAGCCAGATGTCTAGCTTGCAAATCCTGCTACACTTCAGAATTCCAACCACAGTAATTAACCACAAATATTATAATCGGGTCTGATCTTGTCAGGCTGAGGGGGTTTGTTTCTTGGAACGAATTTTAATTTGTAGAATAGATAGGGTAAGAAAAAGTAGAATTAAGTGTGATCTTAGTATTCAGTGTTGTAAAACTCAGTGAAATGTGTTCATAGGACCTTTTTGTTTTTTGAGAAGGTAAAAGTTTGGGAAGATTTAGGCAGGATTAAAGTACGGGGCTATATTTTAGAGACATTTGAATTCTGTGGAAGCCAAGGGAATATAAGATTCAGGAAGTGGAAAAGCCTGTGTAACAGCCAGCAAATTTTCCCACGGTACCTCTTATAGGATTTGCTCTAAAAATTATCATTCAGAAATGCAGAAAAAGGTTTAGAATCAGTTGGCTTATCCATTTCTCTCACAGGTGCTTTGGTCCTTGTCATTAAAAAGGTAAGACTTTGCATTTTTTAGCATGCGTTTTAGTAGTGATGGCTCTTTTCACCAGGTTCACAGTTAACATGCAGGGTTATGGCTTGTAGTAATCACTAATATAGTACAACATAAACATACATTTGCATTATTTTAATGTTAAAGATAACATGGTTATTGCTATGTATGTTTTATTAAAGATTTTATAAGAAACACCAAACACTATAATCTTGACATTGAATGATTGTTTCTTCTTTAAAAGTCAGTCAAGATTAAGAAGTATGTTGAGATAGAAGCTAGATGTTTGGTTTCATCATTTTAGATGTCAAATCCAATTACAATAGTAAATTGATTGGCTAGAATAGTCATAAAAGCATACTATGAGGCTTATGTTTAAGTTACCTGTTTTGTTTCTATAAGTCCTTAGACTGTAGTCAAAATGAATGATAAATAAACATAGTATTGAAACCGTAATAGCCTTTTTATTTTTAGTTCTACATTAATTGGTTTTTCCAAATTTTGCTTTCATGTTTTAATGTGAAAATGTCCATTTTTATATGTCATTTTTACATATGCTTATTAAAAATAAAATTTTAAAGGCTTTGTTTTTACTTTTTCTTTTGATGAGGAAAATGACTTTTGCAAAACAATTAACGGTAGTTTTAAAGCTTATCTTTTATGTAGAACTTACATGCCAGGTCCTGTTCTATGGACCTTACATATATTAATTCAATTCCTGTTTCACAGTTGGGAGATGGAGACATGGAGAGGTAAAGTCACTGGTCCAAGCTCACACAGCTAATGAGTCAGTGGTGCAGGATTTCAGCCCAGGTAGTTTGCCTTGAGAGTCTACACTCTAAATTACTATGTATATTGAGTTCAGATGATGCTGGGTTCAGTTAGATTTGCTGATTTATTCTAGAATGAGGACAGGATGAACATAATGGACAAGGAGGGAACTATTACAGTTGAAGTGATTTTTTGTTTTTTAATGTTTGTACTTTAGTGAACTTCTGTTTCATTTCAAGTATGTTAAGAGTAAGACATTATTTAAAGAGTATTCGGTCCGCATTGAAAAGAAACATATTCATGAACATTAACTCCCAGCTAATTCAGAAATCTGCTTTAGAGGAAGGAGAATGAAGGAGAGCATTAAAATTGGGATAGCAGAGATTGTTAAAACAGAGTGACTATGAATTGCCATGAGATTAACTGGGTGGGGAGAAGCTTTGTAGTTCTGGGATCTGAAAGAAGTGTGTTGCATATTTTCTTACTTAGTTTCTTTTCCTTTTTCTTGGCAAATGGAGAACTTGCTGCTTCCAAGGTCCTTTACTCACTGCATTGCTATGATGGAGCATTCAGGTATAAAAACCACAGAGAATCCAAATAAAGATCCTTGTTTACAGATACCAGGGATTCCATAAAGAGGAGGAAGGTATACAGACCCTTCCCAAGCCCATAGTCTTTGAATCAGTAACTACATGTTAGAAGCAATTAGAAGTCCACCTTCCTTGGTAGGACATAAGAGCCTCTTTCACTATCTGGACCTGCCCCTCCCACTTGGAGATTCTCACCTAGTCCCATATTCTACCTTTAATGTAATAGCATTGATTCTCCTGATTTCACAGGAGTTATGTTTTATAAAGTTGTGGGAAACATTGAACTGGCGAATTCTGAGGCATGGCTCCTAGTGGAAAATTGAGGGCTAGGTTCCTGCAGGCCTCTGGTCACATCATCTTAGTCATCTGATCAATACATAACCTTATGTGTATTTCTGTTTAAAGACAACTTATTTAATATGTAAGTTACATAATATTGTTGATTCATTAAGATTGCACTCACAGTCAACAGCAATGTAACTCCTGCCTTAACAAAGCTTGTCTAACATTCATATTTTCTCATAAGGCACATCACAGCCTTCTGGCACTTCGGAACCCTCTATAGCGTTCCAACATCACGCTTGGGGGCCATTTTCAACATCAGAAGAACAAAAATGCAAAAAATGTGGCCCTAAAGAGACTGAAGAAAGATAATTGCTTTACAGTATGAGATCTGAAACAAGACAGAGCATCTCCTGTTTGAATAGGGAGTGTTATTTGTGGAGTACCTACAATGGGCCAAGTGTTTCAGATAATAATGACAATAATAGTGAAGGCAGCTTATTTTTATGAGGGTGTTTCTGTATACCAGGCCATGTACTTTTCTGCTTTATCTCATTTAATTTTCATTCAAACTTGTGAAGTAAATGTTATCTGCAAATATTACAGACATGGAAACAGCTTTGAAAGGTTAAGAACCTTTCCTAAGGTTGTGCAGCTAGTAAATGGTGGAAGCAAGAAATGACACTGAAGCTTGTTATTATCTGGAGGTTCAAGGCCGTGTTAGGAGATGCAGTCAAATAGGGCTGCCCTTCTCAACAGAGCTTCTTTGTTGGAAAGGGGTAGAGGGCCACATTTCCCCAAAGCCTTTGTGTCTGTGTGATAGTCTAGATATGGAAATCTGGAAGGATTGGGCACAAGAGATTATTTCCTGTGTGGAGAGGTTGGAGAATCATGAACTTGTTGACTGTAGTAGCAAAGGTGGTCTCTCAGTCTGCTTCTGCTCTGCCTGTCATGCCAGCTAACCAACCTGTTCACACTCTCACTGTGTATCTTTTCTCTGCCTTGTAACTTTGGCTCATTCATTTCTTCTTGTAACTTTATTATCTTGTGGTTTCTTCCTATGTGTCTTTTTAGCTGTTGTTTTCTCTTCTCACTGAACAATTCTCTCTCTTAATTATCCCAAAGACTGAGAGAACCTGATTGAGCCAACCAATCACCATTGTCTTTGTCTGGATAGAACTTTTGTGCCAAGCCATCCCTCTAGACCCTGGCAACCTGTAGATTGGATACCTGAATCAAGTGCTGGGGGGCGGGCAGTGTCTCATGGTGTTGTCAGGGTGTCTTCTGTGTAAGGAGATGGAGAAAAGCTGCCTTATATCAGCAGGTTGTGGGTCCTTAGGAAGAGCTGTGGGAATGGATTGTTTGGTCCAGAATAGAGTGCAGTGGAGTCTTGTACTACATGACATTTACCAAGAAGATCAACAAAGACTGTAGGTCTTGTGTTTCTTCATGCCTAAAATTTGAAGACCAATTTAAATTCTCTGGTTTTTCTGCTTGGTGGTTGGTAGAGGTTAGTCTTTCATTTAGATGATAAGTTGTTGTATATGTTTATCAGAATGAACCATTGTTCAAATATATTCAGTTGCCATTGCAAGGCCGAAACAGAATTCCTGTAATGACCTGTTTGAGGCCCCTTCTGTCCTACCCGGTTTGATCTCCCATCACCTCCAGATATTTCAATTCCCAGGTAAACTCAAGGCAGTTGAAATTATATTCTGGAACACAGTCTTCTAAAGTTGATTAGAAATGTTATCAGAGTACCTAGGATTCAGTAGGAAAAGGCAAGGTAGTGGATGTAAACAGAAGGTGGTTTCTTATACAGAGGTTAATGTGAGCAGAACACACCAAAGTAAGAGAAATCAACCCAACTACTGTGAGACACAAAAATCTATTGTTTCTCTAGAATAGTGGGTCAAGATTGCAGATATGGAGGGAAATGGGGACACAGTTGAGCTTATGGGGGCCTGAATCTGTCCTGAATGTCTAAACCACCTAAGTTCTGTATAATTTTGTGGTTTGGTCAAGTAATGTACCATATTTGCTGTTGGTTATGGTCAGCACCTGGAGCTGCTGAGAACGGTTTGGGTGCTAGAAATGAACAGAAGCACAAGTCACCATACTCCAGTGACATAACTCAAGGAAGATTTGGGTAAAGGGAAAATTCATACTTCCTTGGTCTCCAGGGACAGACAGTCCACAGACTTTGAGGATGACATGTTCGTCTTTTCAAATATGTTTTACCTAGATCATTTCCTTGTGTTGTTGGCAATTCTCCTGTTACGTATTTCTAGATAGTTATTTAATGGCATTTCTTAGACAATGGGAAGAATTGTGCAGAGCATGGCATTTGCAGTCAGAGCTTGGTTTCAAGCCTTGTCCTGTGATGTAAGAGCTTTGAGACCTTGGAGAGGTCGGTCATGTAACTTCTCTGAATCTGTTTTCTCCTCTGTAAAATAGGAACAATATTTACATTGTGGAGCTCTGAGAATCAAATAATGTCATGCATAATACATTCTTCAACACTATACTAATTACTAAGCACCTAATATATTGTTATTTTGTTTGTTTTTTAAACTGCATATTTTGTCAGTGTGGCATCTCTTGTCTGTGAAATATTCCTTTAACACATGTGGTGTATTTTCTCACCTACGTATGTTTCCTCTTCCTAAGTAGTTTAAAACACACACACGCGCGCGCGCGCGTGTGCACATGCTTATTCATTGACTAAGTTATCCATGAACCTGTCATTTCTGTCTTCTGGAGCAACATGGAATCTCATATTTCTATCTTAATCACATATGTTTAATTTTGCCTTTGTTTTGTGGTCTGTGGGTACATTTGTTATTTTTAGTATCAAGTCATTTGGCTAAATCATATTAAATTGCAATCACCTAAAATCCCCTGGTTATTTTGACTTAAATGACTGTCATCTTTGGTTTCCCTTACTTAGAACGTCACACAGTTAATTTTTTTTTTCAACCTAATGGCAAGTGTGTGTGTGTGTTCTTGGAGTAGTTCTGCTGGCTATGAAGAGTATGTAGTAATATGCTAAAGCTTTGTAAACTCTTCTTTTGTTGTTTTGGAAGATGGAGTGTTGCTCTGTTGCCCAGGCTGGAGTGCAGTGATGTGATTTTGGCTCACTAGAGTCTCCACCTTCTGGGCTCAAGCAGTCCTCTCACCTCAGCCTCCCTGGTTTGTGGAACTACAGGGGCATGCCAGCATGCCCGGATAATTTTTGTATTTTTTTTCTTTTGTAGATACAGAGTCTCACTATGTTGCCCAGGCTAGTCTCAAACTCCTGAGCTCAAGCAGTCCTCCTGCCTCAGCTTCCTGAAGTGTTGGGATTACAGGCATGAGCCATTGCACCTGGCCCTAAATTTTAACAGATACAAAACTATAAGTTTATACTTAAAAAAAAAAAAAAAAGGAAAATACTGGATGGAATTATTTACTTGAGATGAGACATGCACAGTAAGAAGTTGAGAGAGTAGCAGTGCATCAAATAATGAGGCAGTGTCCTAGAGGTAAAGAGTACAGGCTTAGAGTCAGACAGCGCGGGTTCAAATCCTGCTTCTGCCAGCTGTTGGCTGTGTTTGACCTTAGTCATGTTACTTGGATTTTCATTCAGGGAATAATAATAATTACTTCATACAGTTAATTGTGAGGATCAAATAAGATAATACAAGTATACTACTATACCATAGTAAATATTCAACGATGCTACCTATTTTGGTGAAGTAGCTTCAAACTCGATAGCAGTTTGTAAAGCAATTTATTCCATGAATATTAAGTACTTGTGCATCAGGCATTCTAATAAGGGCCTAGGATTTTTTTACAATGAGAAATACTTCCTTTCTGTCTTTCAAAGAGCTTAAAATATGGTAGGGAAAAGGCATAAATAAGATAGTTATGATATACATGATTAATGGTAGAGTTATATGCAACTGTTCTTCAGTATTACAGGGGATTGGTTCTAGAAACCCAGTGGAGACCCAAGTCCACCAATGCTCAAGTCCCTTATATGAAATGGCATAGTAATTGCATATAATGCGCATCCTCCCATATACTTTAAATCATCTCTAGATTACTTACAATACCTAATACATTGCAAATGCTATGCACATAGTTGTTATATTGTACTGCTTTTTTATTTGTATTACTTTTATTGTTGTTTTTTTCTTTTAAGTTTCCAATTTGAGATTGGCTGAATCTGCGAATACAGAACCACAGATACGGAGAGGGCCAGCTGTATAGGCGTTTAGAAGACAGAAGAGGGGAATTTAATCTTGGGAGGAAGAGTCAATGTGAGCTAGGTCTTAAAGATGAGTGGGAGTTACCCAAAAGGACAAGATATATGGCTTATTGCATATATGACAAGCAAAAGAACTTAGGTAAGAGCTGGTATGTAGTAAGTGAGGAACCATGTGCATTTATAGTTCCCGGGCAAACAGAAAAGGTCAAGAAATGAACCTGGAGACAGAGGTATGGGCTAGATCATAAGGCACCTTGTATTACGTTTGAGAAAGCACAGACTTCGTCTTGGAGGGAGCGAAGACTATTGAAGGATTTTAATCAAGGAAGTTATCTGGAAATAAGGAGACTTATTTTGGATAATCCAGGTGAGAGGTGATAAAGACCTAAAATAGAAGTAGTAGTGATTAGCAAAGTGATAAGAGGAGAGACTTGAGGATATTGGAGAGGCACAGATATCTTATTGATGATTTGACAAGAATACAGAAGTATAAGGAGGATGTTCAGTGGATTGACATCTTACACATGGGGCATTTTGGGGGCGGGGAATAAAAATGGATGTGTTTAATTTTCTGAGTAGTCACTTAGCAGGCGGCATGATTTTTAAGGTGAAAGCTTTGAGAGGTGAAGGCTGGAAAGATGTGGGAAACCCGTAGGGATAACTGATACCACCAAAGATACTATAAAGCAGCAGTTCTTAATCCTAGTTGAACATCAGAATTATCTGGAAAATTTTTAAGAAAAAAAATTTGTTTTTTGAGACAAGGTCTCACTCTATTGTCCAGGCTGGAGCATAGTGGTGCGATCATAGTTCACTGCAGCCTTGATCTCCTGGGCTCAAGAAATCCTCCTGCCTCAGCCTCCCGAGTAGCTGACACTACAGGTGTGCACCACGATGCCCAGCTAATTTTTGATCTTTTTGTAGAGACAAGGTCTTGTCTTGTTGCCCAGGCTGGTCTCTAACTCCTGGGCTTGAGTGATCCTCCTGCCTTGGCCTCCTAAAGTTCTGGGATCACAAGTGTGAGCCACCGCGCCTGGCCTAAGAGAAGTATTGATGGTCATACCACACCTCTAAAATTTCTGATCTGATGGGTCTGGAGTGGTACCTGGTTATCTTGGATGTTTTTAAATATTTTTTTAAATTTTTTATTATGGTAAAATATCCATACAATTTGCCATTGTAACTATTTTAAGTACACATTTCAGGAATGTTAAATACATGAACAGTATTGTGCAACCATCACCATTATTCATTTCTAGAACTTTTTCATCATCCCAAATAGAAACCATTAATAACTCCATTCCCTCCCACTCCCCAGCCCCTGATAATCTATGTTCCTCTTTCTGTCTCATAAATTTGACCAGTCTAAGTACCTCATATTAGTGAAATCATTCTTTCATTTAGGGTATTCTCAAGGTTCATCCATGTTTTAACATGTATCAGTACGATACTCCTCTTTAAGGCTGAATAATATTCTATTATATGTGTGTGCACCTTTTGTTTATTCATATGTTGATGGACATTTGGGTTGTTTTCACCTTTAGCAAAGCCTATTCACCTATTATGCTGCTTAGAGCATGGATGTACATATGTCTGAGTCGCACATAAAGTTCACATCTTTTGGGTGTGGAGGTAGAATTGATGGATTGTATGGCAATGGAAAATGAAAATCAGATGGTTTTTATCTATGCAGCCATGGTTGGGAACCTATGGTATAGAACAGGGGTTCTTAATCTGGAGGATCCATAAATGGTCTTAGTGAGTTAGTGACATTTTGGAAAAGTTGTATGTCATATTCTGTATGTGTGTGCTTTTACTTTTTGGCCTTGGTCAGGTACTCAGAGAGGTTCATAACCCCAAAAGCTGTTAAGAATCACTGACCAGAGAACCTAATTTTAGGGACAGGCAAAGGATTTGAGTAGGCACCTCTCCAAAGAAGATATGCAAATAGCCAAATAAACACAAGTAAAGATGCTCAATATTGTTATTAGGGAAGGGCAAATCAAACCCACAATGAGATATACTGCTTAATATCCAGTAGGATGGCTATAACTTAAAAAGAAAACAAAAAGAACAAGGTTTGGGGAAGATTTGAAAAAAAAAGTGGAATCCTTGTTTATTACTGGTAGGAATGTAAAATGGTGTAGCAAGTTTGGGAAGTAGTTTCGCATTTCTTCAAAAAGTTAAACATAGAGTTACCATATGACTCACCGATTCCATTCCTAGCTATATATCCAAGAGAATGGAAAGCATACATCTGTGTAAAAACTTGTACACAAATGTCCATGATAGCATTATTCATAATAGCCAAAAAGTAGAAACAACCCAAATGTCCATTCACTGAGTAATGGGTAAACAAAATTTGGTATAGCTATACAATGGAATATTTGGCCATAAAAAGAAATGAAGTACTGATACATGCAGCAGTGTTGCTGAGCCTTGAAAACATTATGCTAATTGAAACAAGTGAGACATAGAAGGTCACATATTATTTGATTCTGTTTATATGAAATGTTCATATTAGGTAAATCCATAGAGATAGAGAGTAGATCAGTGGCTGTGAGGGGCTGGGAGAGGAGAGAATGGGGATTAATTGTATGAGTTTGGGGTTTCCTCTTGGGGTGATGACAATGCTTTGGAATTACATATGGTGATGGTTTCACAACCCTGTATATACACTAAAACTACTTTTTAATGTATATATTAAATTGCTGCATTTTACGACATGTGACCTCAGTAAAGCTGTTAAAAATAATTTTTAAAATAGAGATGAATGAGGAGAGAACTAGCCAGATGGAAACCTGGATAACTTCAAAAAGGAAGAAGATCCCATAAAAGAGATTGAAAAAGAATAATTATGTAAGAGGAGGACCTATAGATTGTTGTGTCATGAAAGCCACAAAATGGAGAGGTTAAAGGAGGAACCACGGAAGGGGTGTGATTTTTAACTGTGGTAAACACAGCAGAAAGTTTGGTAACAACATACAGTATGCCCAAATTGCTGTAGGTTGGCATTTGAATGTCATGGAAGACTAGGGAGGGCAGATTTAATGGGGTAATATGGGAAGAGATACAATATCTTTGGGTCATAGAGTGAGTGGAAGGGAATAGGAGAATAATCTACATGCCTGTATTCCCTTATTTGAATCTCAAAATTCAGCACACTGAAAATGGAAAGGTGTTTTGTAATTCATTTGGCAGTAAAACCTGACCTGAATGGATGTGAGATGATTTATAATCATTTGTTTCATTTAGTGTGAATATTCATACATTTCACTGCAGAAATAATACTGAATTTGATTATAGAATGCTTCTGTAGACCCTTCTGGGGTTATAATGAAATATGGTATATGACACGTATTATCTTTTTTTTTTTAAACGGAGTCTCACTCTGTCACCCAGGCTGGAGTGTAGTGGTGCGATCTCAGCTCACTGCAACCTCCGCCTCCTGGGTTCAAGCGATTCTCCTGCCTCAGCCTCCTGAGTAGCTTGGGAGTACAGGCGGACACCACCATGCCCAGCTAATTTTTGTATTTTTAGTAGAGATGGGATTTCACCATGTTGGCCAGGATGGTCTTGATCTCTTGACCTTGTGATCTGCCCGCCTTGGCCTCCCAAAGTGCTGGGATTACAGGCATGAGCTACCGCGCCTGGCCGACATGTATTATCTTTCTAGAATGAAATATATATATATGTATATCTACGCACGTGTGTGTGTGTGTGTGTGTGTAAATTCTAAATCATATGGTCCCCAGTGTTTGGGGATAAAGGAATCCCAGACCTTTGTATTCTTTAGACAGGTCTGGATGTGAAGGAAGATTTGAGATTGAATGGTAGTTGGAGAGGAATTTAAGCTCATCCTTGAAACATTTTTATTTTAAAGGATGGAAATGACCTGAGTATGCATTAAGTAGAGAGGAAGAGGTTGAAATATTGCAGCAGGGTCTCCCAAGGTGAGGAGGGGAATAGAAATGGGGTTGGAGTAGTTAGTGTTTACAGGCAGAAGGATCACACATTCTCTGAGACACCAGAAGTGATGTTGAAGATGGAGTTGGCTATCTTTCTAAGCAGGAAGAAGGGAAGTTGAGGAAAATCAAATTGAACGGGTATTTACTGAAGTGGCAAAAGCTGGAAATAATTGTTGAGGTCAATAGAACAAGCTGAGAACAAAGTAAAGGATTGACAGGCAGGACTAAGGGCCTGGGCAATTTTAGAAACCCTGAAATCTTTGGGGCCCCTCTGCCCCTTGTTGCTTGATATTCTCCATCAGTGCTCAGCTTCCCCTTATGGTGGAAAGACTTGGGAATGAAGTTTTGCAGAAAGAATTCTATGAGAGGGTGGTGTGAAAGAGAACTGAGGTGGCTGCAGGTGGGGAGGTGGCTCTAGCTTGAGAATGACGGAAAGGGGCAGGGGCTGGCATACACTGAAGACTGTTGGGGAGGAAGACAGTATGAAAGCTAGTGTGCTAGGAGTTTGTGGACCAAAAAAATGGTGTTCAAATGGAAACAGTACTGCGTAATAACAAGGTTCAGGGCATGATTATAGAAGGCAGCGGCCGAAGTGGAGGGGAGGTGAACTTCGTTGGAGTTGACAGACAAGGACCTGCGGGATACTCATTAGTTCATCCACACAGTCTTTGAAATTACTCAGAATGATGACCAGATTTGAGCTAGAGAGGAAGCGCTAGTCTGATGGCAGAATGCTTCAGTAACTGTGGGGGATTAAGCTGCATGTTGGTGAACTTAGGAAGATAGATAGAGGCGTTCTATGGTACTGGTAGAGAGAGGGTTTTTTCAGAGGAGGAAAGATTCTATATAAGGGCATCTTTGTAATGGAGTGAGGAGAGGGTGACCCCACCTACTATCCCCACTACACGTGTAATGAGAGGACAGCAGCTTCTACTGGAGTGGACTGCAGGGAAGTGGTGGCCTGTCAGGAGAACCAGACAGGATTAATATCCTATTAACACCCAGCAGGTTATTCCACCAGCCTTAACTCAGTTTTCCATTGTCATCTAGCCCAGTAGGTTTCAGCTGATCTCCTAGGGTCTTTCCTCAAGGGATTCTGCTTTAGTTGGTCTGGGGCGGAGCCAGGAAAACTATGGTTTCAAAAGCTCCTTGGGTGATTGATTAGTGGCCAAAGATGAAGACCACCAGTGGAACCCACATTTTGCTTTCATCTGCACAACAGCATTACATCACATGCCTAGCTGACCTCAACATATTGCACCTATGGCATACCTGACTCGGCATTCTTTCATCAGAGTAGAAATGAAGTGCTAAAACAATTCAAAGATATTCAATTACTAGGAATCAGTTTAAATTGTGAAACAGTGTCACACCATAATCTTTAAATTAGCAAAGCATTTTTAAAACATCTTAATACTCGTTGTGAATTGTGAGAAGGGAACTCGCATACTCTGCTAAGGGGATTGTAAATTAATACAGTCTTCTTGGAAAACAGTTTGACAGTACATAAATAGGATTAAATATGGTCAGACCCTTTGATCTAATAATTACATTTCTAAGACTATTGTAGGTATATAATCAGAAATGTGGATCAAGACATATTTAAGATATTAATCAGTGTTACTTATAGTCACAAAAATGGAAACAAATGGTTAAATATGGTATATTCATATGATGGGATATCACAGAGCCATTGAAAATTATAAAGACATTTAATGACATGGTGGATAACATTAAGAAAACAAAGACCCAGCTATAAAATTATATATACACTTTGTGCTTGATTGTATACACACTTACATTTTAAAATACTGAGCAGGAAATTTTTTAAGTTATTGATTGTTCTCTGGGTGGTAGGAATATGTGCTATTCTATTCTTTTGTGTTTTTGTATTTTTCTAAATTGTATACTAGGAGCATGTTTATTAAGCAAAAAGTAAGCTTTAAAAAATTAAAATTCTTACTCTAATCTCTTTAGCAAAAAGAATAAGGAAAACTCATTTGGGATGAATGTTGCTAGAGAAGTCCTTGCTCATAGTAATCCCCAGTGTGTTTTCTAAATACTTGCAAACTATCTATTTATCTGTTGCACAGTGTTGCCAGGTTAAGCCTGTTGGTTTTGTTCTTTTTGTTTCATATGATAGCTTTCTTGAGATATAATTCACATAAAATTCAGCCTTTTTAAAGTGTACAATTCAGGAGTATTCAGTTTATTTGCAAGTTGTGCAGCCATCACCATGATCTAATTTCAGAACAGTTTTATCAACCCCAAAAGAAACCCTGTACTCAACAGTTACTCCCCATTTCCCCTTCCCTCCAGCCCTTGGCAGCCACCAATCTCCTTTCTGTTTCTACGGATCTGCTTATTTTGGACATTTCATATAAATGCAGCCATACAATATGTGGCCTTTTGCAGTATCCTATTAATGAGTCTCCAGTATCTCCTCCCTACACTGCTGGAAACGTCATTTAGACCGCTACCATGCTAATCTTTCTAGCGTAACTGTGACTTTACCATCTTCAGCTCAAAAGTTTTCATTGTACTCACAGTTTATTAAATTGACAAGAGCTATTCCTTATTCTGGGGGTTAAGGTTTTCAGACTCTACAAAGTAAGTGCCTAACTAAATACCTGGTAAATAAATGAACTAAATGAATTAAATATACTCTACCTTATCTCTTCTTTTCCTTCTCCCTCAGAGAGGAAGATAACACTATGTGTTAGTCAGATTTCAGGTCACCCATAGAGCAAGACAATTTCTTTCTAAAGTTTAGGGCAGCGGTTCTTACATCTCAGCAAGCATCAGAATCATGGGGAAGGCTTGGCAAGCTGATGCTGTGCTTCACCTCCGAAGTCTCCTTTCAGCAGGTCTGGTCAGAGCCAGAGAGTGCATTTCTGACAGTTCTCAGGTGACCCTTTGATAAGCATGGTTCTGGGGTCGTGCTGGCTCAGGTAGGATGCAGTCAGCACTCAGTCCAGGGCCTGGCAGTAACCTGGGGGAAAGAGGAAAGTGAGGAGGGGAAGGACCCACACTCCCAAATCCCCGGATCCCATGGTCATCCCAGCATGCAGGCTCCCCACAACAACTCTAGCATTGTCTCACTCTTTAGTAACTGTACCACTTTGGTGCCCTGAAGTTCTCTTATACATGCTCACCCATCTCCCCTTCACTTTGGAAAATTATACCCATTCTTCAAAACCTAGCTCAGGCATTCATAAAACCTTTGCCTACTCTTCCAAATGAAGGAAGTAATTTTTCCTTCGTTAGCACTTTGTATTTTTTATGTATATTGTCTTGTATGTTAATTAATTCCATACTTGTATCTTCTTCCTAAGTCTTGCATTTCATGAGATCAAATTCTGTTATTTACTCAGTGACTGTATTGCAGTGTCCATAGAGCAAAGCATTTTGCCCTTAGCAGCTACTCAATAATTATCAGTACAGTTGAATTCAATATCAGAAGAAAATAAATGCAAATAGATTTTTAAGTTAAAAGCCTGTAATTTAGGCTGTATTTTAATACCAAAAGAGACCTGTTTTAATTAGAAACTTAACCATATATAACATTAGATTGTTCAAATATATTTTTGCCCTAAATATAATAGTCACTGCTCTTGGTTCAGAAACATTGACTTGAAAGAAAATACCAACTAAAGAAATCATATATTTGTGCTATGAACACGTATATACTGTGTCGTGGTGTCTCTGAGAGCTAGCTTAGTTTTCTCCACGTCATTCTATCCCAACTAGAACCAGGGTTTAAATTTCAGCTTGATGGATTATTATCAATTTCATTTTAGTATCAGGCAGAAGGAATATAATATAGCTAGCTGTCTCTGAGGCGTCAAGCAATTATCTCAATTTCTTTCAAGTTTCATTCCATGCTTATTACTTGCTAGTTATAGCTAAATAGGGTGCAGCAATCTTAGAGATCTTTATCCATAGGTGTAGCTTTTATAAACAATTGTTCTTTATTCTCTCAGTGGAAAAACGTCTTAGGACTATTTAAAAGAAACAGGTAGAGAGCAACATAAAAAATAGAAGGAATTTTCCTTAATCTTTTTAATGCCTACTGTAGACCACCCTTATTAACTACTCAAGGGATAACTAGAAGCTACCTTTCTTGAATCCAATTACATATTTAGTTCCACAAAGCGTAATAATTCTCCATCTGGGGCTATAAAGGGGAGAAAACCCTCCACTGGCAGCTTGCCAAGGCTATTCTGTGCTCTTCACAAAGTTTGTCTGCCAAAACTAGAGGGTCCCCCCAGTCTCTGACACTGAGGTCAGAGAATTGGACTCCACTGTACAATCCCAATGATAGCAATATGCTTATGCTTTTGCTGACAGCTACTTGCCTGTGTCTCAAGTTTGAAACTTAAAATAGCTAAAATATAAATCGTGATCTTACAGAATGGCTGGTTTTGATGATTACCAAAATCCATCATTTGAGGGAGAAAAAATTGTTAAATTAAGGGTTTTGATTCACATTTTTAGGTGCCAAGGTAATTTTCAAATTCCGTTTGTAAAAAAGACTTTCTAAGTTCTAGTAATTCTCAGTAAACATTCTGTAGGGATGTGTTATTTGCAAATAAAAATGCTTAATTTGGCTTTTTTTTTTTTTTTTTGAGATGGAGTCTCACTCTGTCGCCCAGGCTGGAGTGCAATGGCTCACTGCGACCTCCACCTCCCAGGTTCAAGTGATTCTCCTGCCTCAGCCTCCCAAGTAGCTAGGATTACAAGTGCGTGCAATCATGCCCGGCTAATTTTTTTGTGTTTTTGTAGAGATGGGGTTTCACCATGTTGGCCAGCCTGGTCTCAAACTCCTGACCTCCGGTGATCCACCCCACTCTGCCTCCCATAGTGCTGGGATTACAGGTGTGAGCCACTGCACCCGGCCTAATTTGGTTTATTTTTATGAGATAAAATTGGTATCTTTTTGGAGCAGGGGAGCTTCTGTTAATCTAGAGCTGCCATTTTCATTATTAATGTCAACCATTGCCTCATAGCAAGTAGTGTTCAGAATAATTGTAATGATCTGACGAAGAGTAAGTTTTTAGGAATTTGTATGGTAAGAAAATGATTCAGAGGTCCCCCCAAACTAGATTTTTCCTTCTTGTTATTTTTTACCACTGTAGAAGTGTGGTGGAAAACAGAGAAAAGAGCATAAAAAGGTATTTCAGAAGAATACTTCTTACACACTCACCCTAGAAAGGAAGCATTATTTACACTGCCAAAACAGCCTATAACTGTGTCCCTTATTTCTTATCAAACCACAAGCCTTTATTAAATTTGGGTCCTGTACTTTTTTCATGCAACATGCTTGAAAGTTTTGCAGAGGCAAAACTGTGCTTTTCTGTTTGATTGAGGTAAAGAACCCACAGGAAAGTTTGGAGTTAAATGAGTGACAGTGGACAAAAGGGAAGAAGGAGTGAGTTTCTTAAGGCCCATCCCTGACAGAGACACTCGAGTGGGAGGCAGCAGCATGAGCCTGCCTGGAGCCCACAAAGGGCTGCCTCATGGTGACAGTGGGTGCCAACAAAACCGTGGACCCTCTCCTGGGAAAGAGGCAGCTGATCAGGAGGCATTTAAAAAAGTGTTACTTTCACTTTAACATACCATGGGCTTGGAAAAAGTAAAAGGGAACCTTTAATTCTTCCTGGTGGAATCTGTGAAGCCTGCGTAAAGGGAGTATGCTTTGAGCTGCTTTGGAAGGATAGACCAGATTTTTCTGAGATAGAAGGGCAATTTTAGTAACCTTTACTGGAAAGCTCTTGTGATTTAGATATATTTCTTGCTCTGAAAGAGTTGGTAGAAGAAAAAACATGAGAAGTCCATATAGTTAAAGAACATATGATATGCTAATGACTCTAAAATATCTAAGTATCTGTCTATATTATACAGAAGAACTTAGGATAAATATAAGTTTACCCTAAGTTTTAAGTATAGTTTTATATATATATATATATATAAATAATTAAAACATAAGTTTTAAGTATAGTTATACAGATTTAGTAGGTTGGAAATTGTTATAGAATTATCCTTTGGTTTACCAAAGAAAATAATTTTTACTTGAAATTTCATTGCTAATACCAGTAAAATGAGATTTGATTTCTCATTTCATTCATTGTAGGCAGTCTTTGTGCCACTTAGTACAGTATAGGTTTCCCTCAGTTGTTGCAAGATTTTTTCTGAAAATAAGCATGTAAACAATTCATACACTTACAGTTTATATTCCAAAGAGCAGGTTACTTTAAAAATTCCGTTTGGTTTGCCTAGGTTTTAGTTTGTTTGTTTTTCCCAGCAGCACAGTCAGCTTTATTTCATTCCTTTTCTTCTTTCTTTCTTTCCTCTCTCCCTCCTGTTCTTTCCCTCTTCCTTCTTATTATAAACTCACAAAAGTCTGATGTGTTAATGAAAGGGAATTTGGAAAATACAAAAATTAAATTACATCCGTAATGCCCATTGAAATAATTTAACTGCTAATATTTTGATAACTTTTCTGTTTTAAATTAATTTTTAATTTTTTAATTTTCTTTTTAAATTAATTTTTCTTTCCAAATTCACCATCAATTTAGATTATTTTATAAACATTTATAGTCTATTAAATTCAGATAACAGTTTATGTTTATTAAATAAGCCCTTACTATATGCCAGCTGCTCTTCTGTGCCCTTAACATTTCATGCTCTCAGCAAGCCTATAAAGGTATGTATTATTGCTCCAGTTTTACAAATGAAGAAACAAAGCTCCAAAGAGGTTAATTAAATAACTTGCCACGGGTCAAATATGTAGTGTTCTAGGGATTTCCAGCCAGAGTTGACACCAGAGAATGTGATCTAGGCCACAACATTGTACCGCTTTTCATATGATTAATGGTTGTATATTAAAGAAATTATATTATGAATCTTAGAGATCTGTTAGAAAGCTCTCAGATAACACTCATCTGAGAGGACTTTGCTGGCTACCTATGTAAAATAGTATCCCTCACCCCATCTACATTATACTCTCTTAATCTTACTGCCTTGTTTTTCTTCTCTTTTTCTTTTTCTTTTCTTTTCTTTCTTTTCTTTTCTTTTTTTTTTTGAGACAGAGTCTCACTCTGTCGCCCAGGCTGGAGTGCAATGGCACAATCTTGGCTCACTGCAACCTCTGCCTGGGGGGTTCAAGCGATTCTCCTGCCTCAGCCTCCTGAGTAGCTGGGATTACAGGCATGCGCCAACACACCCGGCTAATTTTTGTATTTTTTTAGTAGAGGCGGGTTTCACCATGTTGGTCATGTTGGTCTCGAACGTCTGACTTCATGGTCCACCTGCACCGGCTCCCAAAATGCTGGGATTACAGGCGTGAGCCACTGCGCCTGGCCCTACCTTGTTTTTCTTTATACCTCTAATCACTATCTGATGTGGTAAATATTTTGTTTGTTTTACTATTCCCCACCCTCTCCCTACTTTCCTGTTAGAATATAAGAGTCAGTGACTTGGTCTATTGGGTTTATTGCTATATTCTCCAATAACTAGAACCTTGCTTGGTGCATAATAGGTATTCACTAATATTTGTTGTGATCTGCATTCCCCCTTAATAGATCATGTCCTCTTGCTGCCGCTGTCTGAGAGTCTCGGGATGATGGGCAACTTAAGTACTCCAGTGGAGACTGAGACTCTGGACAGGAGAGGAGAGGGGTAGGGGAACAGAGGAGCAGGAGGACAGGGAGGAGCGGGGCAGGGAGTGGGGCACTCTGCGCCTAGCCATGATATTGTATGCCTACCAAGAGCCAGATTCTTGTTTCCTGGACAGTTTTTGCCAGTTGTACTTCTTATTATAATGACATAATTTAATTAATATATATGTAATATAATAAATTAATTAAATATATGTAACGTATCAAGTGTGAGTTTGAAAAGATACATTTGTTTCTGTGAAAACTAAGACTCAAAGTGAAATGAAGAAACATTGCTGCCAAATGGGTGTATAGGACACATAACACATGTCTAATAGACTGGGAAAAAATCATACAAATCTGCACCTTATAAGCACTTTTAAGAAATCTAAGTGTCTATAAGTTCTAGGTCTGTTTTAAATAAACAGAAATTGGAGAGTAGACACTGTTTTTATTGCCCACTATTTAGATGATAAATTATAGGTATAGGTATGATTTATGCAAGAAGGACACTGTGAAACTCCAGTGGAGACTGAGACTCAAAGTTACATTTATATGTTTAAAATTAAAAGGAAATTATTAAGGTGTAGTATGTATCATTTTTACAATTACCCTTCATAACTGACTTTTTAAATTAACCAATTACCATTTCTGAAACAGAAGAAAAGGCTTTTACTGTTTTAAGTGAAACTGAGCATTCTTGGTATGCCAGATAAAATTTCTAGTTGGTGTCTTATTTAATAGCTTCATAATAAATTCAGTAATAACAAAAATATTTGCTTATCTTCGGGGAATAATTGTGCATGAGCTGAGCATGACATCTTTTCTGCACTGGAATGTGAGCTGCAGGAGGACAGGGACTGTTAGCTGTTTTGTCATGACTTTCTCTCCAGTGTCTGCAGCAGTGCCTGGAGCATTAGTTATATATTGAATAAATGGATACATGATTCTAACATATGCACTGTTTAACAGAAAGAAGTGTTTTACATTTCACAGTGATACTGTTTTTAAGAAAAAGAAAAGTGCTTTCAAATTACATAGTCACTGTTGACTAAGTTAAAATATAGTGCTTCCTGTAATACATACTAGTTTATAAATTTCTCTCTTCAGTGAAAGTGTCAAAGTATAGGACCCTTTAATGCCCACATTACAGTGGTTAAGAATTGAGGAACTGTTTGGATTCATGAGCTCCAAGACTTCCTGTGTGGCCTTGTTCAAGTTACTTTATTTCTCGTGTACCTCAATTTCCTCATCTATACAATGGTGATAATCAGGCTGTTACAGGAACTAAAGGAGTGTATACAGGTAAAGTACGTAGAAAACGCCAACCAATGTAGAAACACTCCATGGATGATGGTTATTATCATTACACCCGTGATCTGTGTGACCTGTTAGGAAACAGGTCGGAGAGGTTAGATAATCTATAAGATGTATATATACATACATATCAAATTGTGGCTTTTAAGCAAGGAAATATGTGCTAAGTAACCTAACTCATAATAAGTCTTCAATAAATGTTAGCAAAAAAACCAAACAACATATTATGCTGTGAGAGAGAACTCTCATTTATTTAAGAACTGTTGACAACTCAAATGATAAAAACACTCTTTGTATAGGTACAGACTGTCTTGACCTTGCCAGTTAACTTTCTCAGGAATTAGAAAGTCATTTTTTAATCTCATAACAAAATTTAAAATGGGTTTCAGAATGAAGAAAGATAATTGAATTTTAGTCTGGACAAGTTATGAAACTCAAACACAAGTGCTACATTGTAGTCCTTGATTTGATGACTTCTTTCCAGAATGCTAAGCCTTTGGTGAAAACTGGTTTTCAGAATAATAAAAAGACACTGAGTACACTCTGCTTGAAGGGGAGAGAAAATGCTTACGTTATGCAAGGAATGCAGCTTCTTCCTGCGATGTTTTCTCATCTGAGGCCTCATTAAAACCTAGTCTTGCTATTCCTGGCCATATTCGCACCAGCTGACGTCGATATATAAGCAGTCCAGTAACTGGCTATGTTAAGGAACTTGGCCTATGAGAATTTAGAAAGTAGAAGCCATCATGTGCCACTGATGTCAGACTAGACATTTTCGCCCATGTTGGTAATGATAGTTTAGAACAGCTCCCTGCTACTTATGTATTCTGGCCTGAATTCTGCTAAGATAAGACTTTGAAGGAGGTTTTCCCCTTCTTTAGGACAGATGCAGATGATGGATATGTTGCAGCAAAATATTTGTGTAACCAGTGAACATGAATGTAGCCATTTATTTGATTATTGCAGCATGTGTTAAAGAGCTGCTACTGCCCATTTGCAGCCTAATGTGTTTATTACAGTCTTCCCAATGGCATCTTGAAGTGTCTTTCAGCTAAAAAATTCATGAGTATTATTGGCTTTCAGTCAGAAAATGGAATATGTCTTCTAGTTACTGTCTAATATACCACTTTAAGGCCATTATACAAAAGTAATCTAAGAGCAGACGATACTGAGAGGAAGGAATTTTTAGCTTAAACATTTGTTTATATACTGTTATTACTGTTCCTGGACTAAGACACAGCATAAGAGAAGGTAGGTGCTAAAGCCAGTTTACCTAGAGACTAGTTGTGGTTGCAGGATATGTTATTTTCTTTAATCCTCTACCTAACAATAAATGGCTAGTGTTTTAGTATTGAAAAATCATATCCTAATAATAGTGGTTTGTGTCTATCTTATTGTTATTTTTAAAAGGCAAATGTACAGTAAACTGCTCTAAACTAGTAAAGTTGAACTTATTTGAAAACAAATTCTAGATTTTTCTGGATTTATTTGAAGTGAGTCCTCTAAAACTTTGTAACTTAACTGTTGTTACTATATGAATTAATGTACAGTTTTTTGATTCTGTACATTAATCTGTAGATACAGACTATAGTATGTGAGGCAAATTAAAATTTTACTGTATGAAAACCAAGAAGCACTACAGTATTACGTAAAGATGACGTTAAAAGAGCCCTTATGATCTAGTAAAAAAGAGTAATGACACTTGGGAGGAAATAATACATAATTTTACTAGGTAAAAATTTTAAAAATATTGTGTCATGTCCTCTATCACTGTTGAATGCATTACTTGTTTGCCAATGGGAAGCAACGTTTGATTTTCTGTGCGCTGTCATCCCAGCATTTAGTAAATCCACATAGTTCTACTTCTGTTTTATTTGTCTGTGTGATGATTCTTTGTATGAATCAACATTATATCCTTGAGTAGTCTGTATATTTCCTGCATAGAATATTTATTCAACTGTTGCCAGAAGTTGGGATCTTGCCAAAATAATGTCTGCTTTGGGTAATTTCGACCAATTAACCCTATTTGAAAAGAGGTATTTCCCTTCCTCTAGCAACTGGATGTCTTCTGTATCATCTTACTGACTTCCCAAGTTTGGCCTACTTTCTTTTCTTTCTCAGGCATCTACATCCAAAAAGCACATTTTGTTTATTGAAGCATTAGATACTATGTTTTTTAGACTTATCAGAGCCTGGCCCAGAAATTTTGCTTTTATCCTTATAAAGGGATCGCTCTTGGAACACAGTGTACTTTGAAGGAGAAACTGTTACCAGTTTAGAATGAGCAAATGTTTTCATTTGTGATAAAGCAATAGTGGATGCAGCTTTAGCTGTTGAGGTGGGATTCTGAGAAACAGTGGGCTCTAAAAGATTATCCTTCTGTAGTTTAGTTAAATAGAAATGGAAGGGTATTTAAGTGAGGTTTTATGTATACTTTTAATATTGCTTGAGCATTTCTTGGTTTTAAAAGTTTGTAAAGGGTTAGACTACATATTACACAATTTCATATGTCTATCGTAAAGAGAGCTCAGAAGGAACCTCGGAAATCTCTAAGTCTTTCTGTTCTCATAACAAGAGCTAGATGATTTATCAGGCAGGTCCTCTTCAAGTAGACATTCATAAGAGAAGTGGTTTCAGTAGCTCTTTCTGTGTCGTTTCTAACTTGGGGAATTTCAGAGAAGGCCTAACTTTAAGAACATTTATTGGAGCTAGCAGTCAGGATCAGATGTTCGATCACTTTATTATGTTTGGAGTTCAGCAGCAGTAGTATCCTTATTCTTTAACTGAATTTGTTCTGTATATAATGCATCTGGCAGTTTTACAAGCCTTGTTTGGAAGATAGGCTGTCTTGATAAAAGATAAAATGCATATTATCGTTTACATAAATTATGGATGATTAACAAGCTTTAATGGTATGAGGTTGTATTGAGAGCAACAGCTTTGTTACCTTATAAATTATATTGGTGAATTCCATGAAAGTACATTTTTGAATTGTGTTGAGGTTTAACATTTTATTTTGCTTTCTGTCATTATGCTAAGGATTCAACTGGCTTTGTTCACCCCTCCCAGAATATTGTTACTTTTTAGAGATAAAACTTACTAATCGTAAGGCTATAACTCTTCCCTACCGTCTAGCTCATCCAAGCTGATATCAAGGGATGTAAGGGAGGATGTATGGTCACTGTGAAAACAGGGCTATTGTGTTGTTACAGATAACAAGAATGGATGATTTGAAACTTTTTTTTTCAGACTTGTCCTTTCACAACCCCCAACATCTGGTAGAAACTGGTTTGCTCTCAATGACTGTAATTACCATCAAATACAGCCTGAGAGTTTACTTGTGTCATTTTCAGTTTTTGTGATTTACGTTAAACAGTTTCAGCATTGAGAGTGAGATGCTTAAGAATTTTAATTTCATGTGAGTGTGCAGAAATTATAAGAAACTATTAATTTAGAGCTGGTCACCAAATGAAATTTTAGAACCTTCAGTGCTGCTCTTTAGTATTTTCCATCTCCTACCTTTACACTGGAAATGAATTTTTTAACTTCGATCTACAAAAGTGCATAAAAATTCCTCTGTCCATAGAGTTTATTTTAGATATTTCTCTATGAGTGACTATACACTAGAATGTACATTTGTATAGAAAAAGTAATTTATATAACTTAGAAGAAAGTCGTTTTTATAACTTATCTATCTCTCTCTGGTTTTTATTTGTGTCACTTCTGCATTGCCCAGTATTTTGAGTTGGGGGAAAAATGAACTCACCTGGCCCCACCTCCTGTTCCAGTGTGAAATACTGACACTTGCTGCCAGCCCAGCCTCCTCACATAAGCATTAGAAATATCAGACAGTCCACTAGGTTAGAGCACCTCATTCATGAGGTTCTGTTATTTATTCGGCTCTCCCACTAAAATGCAGGGCATAAATTTATGTGTCTGCTCTAAGACTGCAGCTGTCTGCCCCCCCTCCACCCTCCTCCTGCCCTTCCTGTGTCAGTGTTACATTCGCTCCCCCCACTTTTGGTCTCAGGTCTGTCTCCTTTTTGTTTTTATGGGTGATTTGCAGTGATTCAGACAGGGCATCCTTGCATGTTGGCACTTCCTGGAGGTTACCAGGAGGCAGCCATCCTTCCTTGGCTTGGCCAGGCATCCCCGACTCCACCCCACTTTCCCCTTGGTGGTGGAAAGGTGGGTTGGAGGTGTGTACTGGGGCACATAGCCCAGGAATGTTGCTCTGAGAAGAGGACATGTGCAGTAGACACAAAAATATAAGGAAGCAATTATGTTCATCAAGCCGAAAGTTGCAGATTTTGAGGAAATGTGTTTAAGATACCACTACATAATAAAAGGGAAAACCACTTGGCATTTAAATAACTTACTTCAAGAGGAAATTATGATATTTTCAGTCTACAAATAGAGTGGTTTTTAAGCCAACCTTGAGTAGGTACAAGCAAATTATAAACAGTCTGCTCAAATGATTTTACTATACTTAGACTAGAAAATGGCTCCTCTTCTCTCTCCCTCTGGTCCCTATGTCCCAGTGCTGTCCCTCATATGTTACAATTGTTCGTGTATGTATTTTAGAATATTCACAGGTAAATGATGCAAATAATATATATATAATGTTAAATCATCCTCAAACTGGGTGTATATGACTTTAGGTAAAACAGTTCCTTACTTTAATTGTCTGTTGAAAGCTTTCTGATCTTTCTGATAATACTATACATTTTAGTATATGTGGCATTGCTTTTGAGGGGGGGAATAGCCATTTTAACAAAAAAACTTGTCACCTATACCTACTATATAGGGCATTTTGCTATGCTGTATATTGAAGGCTATATTGTAATGATAGAAACTTTCTTAAGTTTGTATGACTTCTAGAAAGCTGCTTTCAGAGTGAAAATCTCCTAGGTCATTTGTTGAAAGGTTACTTAGACTGGATGTGTAATGTTTTTTCTTACATCTCATGATTGAAACCATGGGAATTGTGATTCAGAGAGAAGTACTGAAAGTGAATGTCTATAAGGTATCATCTGAGAAGGGTTCTGGAATTTAGGGTTTTGTTGTTGTTACAGAGATGGGATCTTGATACGTTGTTCAGGCTGGTCTCCAACTCCTGGTCTCAAGTGAGCCTCGCATAGCTAAAAGTGGTGAAGCTTGGACATGAATACTGGCCCTTCACTTCTCTGCTATCCTGCCTCTCATAGTCTGCCTCTCTCATAGTAAATAAATACAGATTATACTTATTATCAGGCCAAAATTGTGACCACAGTGTGGGACATTGGGACTTGGTTGCATTGCTCTAACCAGCAAGAAGCTTGGGTATCAGCTTTGAGAATTATTCCCTTCTGTGTCACCTCTTGAATCAAATGTGTACCAGTGGTGCAGCCTCCCTAAACGGATACAGTATTTCTTCATTCTGCTTACATATGACTCTTTAAAAAAAAAAAAAAAAAAACTAACTCCACTGCGCTATTGTATCAGAAGTGGCGAGAAGAAATTATTGTAGTACAGCTGAGACTGGGCAGCCCAGATTACAGGGAAGAAGTGGCCTGGCGGTTTGACTGGTACGCGTTATGTTCCTTAGCCCTCCTTGCTCTTTGTCCTTACTCTTGATTGTCCTCTGTCATCTTCCTTAAGTTCTCTGTCTTCTAATGCACTTTACCTTCCCTTTGATTTTTTTTTTTTTCTATCCAGAAAAGAAAAGAAGCCACTACAAAAAGTAAAGGAGGGGCAAAGGTGATTTAGAAGTCTGGGGGCCAGAAGGAAGGGGAAGTAGTATCGAATAGGAGCTCTAGGAAAGACTTTAAATGCAGATTTCAGCTTGTCCTGCTGCATTGTTTTTTCTTTTGGTAAGCAGTTATTGAACACCTTGAGTAGCAGTCTTTTATGGTTTCCTCACAGTCTTTGTAAGTCTCTTTGTTTAGCTCTTTCAGTACGTAAACCTCTGTCACTGGCTTGTTCTTGCTTACCTAAATATTATTTTGATTATGTTAGTGATGACGAGCACACTGATTTTCTTACATTTTTTTTTATTTTCTTACTGAGAGGAATTCAGCAAGCAGGAGCTGATCATGGTTCTTCCCACTTGGGGGTCAGTAAAGTTCCCCTGACTTCTGGGGCATATCTTAAGACCTTTGGCGTTAGCAGCCAGAACCAGCTGAGGGAAGGAAAGTTTGGAGGCGGCAGGATGTGAGAGAGGAAGTGACCATGCTGTGTGCAGGGAGGCGAGCTGCCACAGAGAGAGGGCACCGATGGAGGAGCAGCCAGGCAGCTGCTGCAGGAGAGCCAGGCACAGGAGCTTCCCGAGGGGCCAGGAAGATCCCCCACTAGGGGGCATTGATTAAGAGGCCTTGTGCAGGAACTCGGGGCTACAGGGGTGTCAGATGTACCTAGTTAAATTTGAAAACCTTCAATTTCGTGTCCTGGCACTGGCTCTTCCCCGGGCTGTCTGTTGTGGGTGAGCTGTTGCAGCATAGACTTCACATTGGCTAACCCAAAACAGAGACTGGGAGGAGCCCCTTACAACACCTGTAGTTTCCACATGGTGCAAGATCACTCTTGAAACTGGAGGCTGGCAGCCCAAACCCAGAGCTGGTAGATTGTAGTTCATGGTGCTGTTGAAATACAACTCGTGTTTAAAGAATTTGGGCCCAATGAGGTAGGCTTGTTTGTTTCTTAAATGTTAACCTTTACATTTGCTTAATCTTAAAAGATTTTTTTAAAGAGACGGCTTTTATATTAGAAATTATACATGCACATAAAACAATGTTAATTACTGGTCTCAAATTTCTGATTGGAGTCAAAATTCTTTTATTGTTGGTAAAATGATCAGACACTTCATCATCAGCTCTCTTCATTTTTTTCTTCCTCTTCTCTGTTTTCTGTTTTAGTTGCTGATATGTGTTCAAGATGAGTGGGATGGGAGAAAATACCTCTGACCCCTCCAGGGCAGAGACAAGAAAGCGCAAGGAATGTCCTGACCAACTTGGACCCAGGTTAGATTCTTGCTGAGAAAAGGAATCAGTATTGTCTGTTAAAGCCACATGAGTGCTTCTTTGTTATTTTAGCATTGATTTTACTGCTGATTCAAATATTGAGTTGGTTTTTCTCCTTAACAGTTAAATCTCTGAATATGTACTTGCTTACATTTTGAATATGCAAATCAGTTACAGATTGTATTCTTTACAAAAAGAGGAAAGCTGTAAACTTCTGATATCTTTTGACTCTTAGAATCAATTTATTTAATAATATTGAGTTTGATTACACAATATTATAACAAGAAGATCCTATAGTAAAAAGGATTTGCCGTTAATTTTATAATGGGTTTTATTTTTGTTGTTTTATTTTTAAAGACATAAAATGTTAAACCCATGTACTTCTGAGTTGAGAACAAAGATTGTGGCTCTTTAGTGAATAAAACAAAGAATTTTAAAGCAAATTTCATCTCATATATTATGGGTGGAAGTATGAGTTGTTATAATGCCCATGTAGGGTAATTTGGCAGTATCAAAATTATAAATGCATATCCTGTTTGAACTAGCCATTCCACTTTTAGGAATTTTCCTATTATATACTTTAACACATGCAAAATGACGTGTATATGAGGTTACTCAAATTGCAAAAGATTCGGAAAAACCTAAATGTCTGTTAAACAGCTGTGGTACATCTAGAACCTGGAACACAGTTCAGCTAGGATAAAGATGAGGATGCTCTTTATGGGTTAATATGAAAAAAAAATCTCTTAAGAATATTGTTACAGACAAAAAGCAAGGTTTAGAAAATGTTTTTGGAATATTGCCATCTGTATAAACAAGGAAGAAAAAAGAATGTGTATTGTTTTAGGATAATCAAGAAACAATAATTGTTGCTACCTGTTTCGGTGGATGAGAACTGGGCAAATAGTTACCAAAAGTAGAAGAGAGACTTTTCACTTTTTCAATGTTTTAAATCATATAAATAATTTTAAGAATTAAATAAAAACAACACCTTCTACCTAATGGACAGTAAAAGCATCAGACATGAAATAGTAGGGAAGAGGGCTAGGAAAAGTCATCAAGAGAGGCAGAGCAGGAGAAAGGGCAAAACACCAGTATTTTATATTCCCTTTTCCCCTTCTAGTTGCCAAGCAAAACATCAAGCCCAATAAATCTCCACTCTCTACATCCCAGCCCCCAGCTCCTCTAGGTTCCCTACTACTTCCTGGTAAACCACAAACTTCTGTCTGTCAGACTGCCTTTAATAGTCAGGAGCCCTACCTGGGGAGGCAGTGGGAGAAAGTGGGAACTGTTTCAGCTGTGGGCTGTAGTGGCAGGTCTCTGAGCCCTCCCTCTGGGGCGCTCAGGGGTCTTTTGAACACAACTCCCCTTTCTCACCTATTTGTCATTTATTTCTTACCTTGTGAGAGGGTGAGAGGGCATGGGTGGAGGGTGGTGGAGGGGGTCAGAATGGGAACTGGGCTATTCTAAGCATTCCAGCCACTCTTTACCTTTTGCTGTAAAAACAGAAGCTACGGGTAAAAATGAGACTTAGAAAAAAAACCAAATTCTGAATTACTGTGCCAGTAATTCGTGGGGTGATCCTGGACAAATTGTATAAACACTATAAAATAGAGACATTGTATTATAGTATGTATTTATGAAAATCAAACATATTTAGAGATGCATATATGAAAGTCTATTGTGAATCCAGAAATTTTAAAATTAGTATTATATACAAATAATTATATATAAAAATACAGAAAGCTGCTACATTAAGCAACTTGCTTTTCTTCCTTATTGTATTGTTTTGAATGTCATTTAATGGGCCCCCCTTTGCACTTGAGAAAATAATTGTATGCTGTTATTATGAAAAGGAACTTTTCAGTTTACTATTTTGTCACATTCTAATGGAAGATTTTGCCTCTTTTGATATTTTTCCATTCCATTAACTTTTTAAACTTTAGTTGAAATTGGACTGTTTGTTTATATTTTGCATGTCATTCAGCTTGGACAGTTAACAAATTTCCTGGGTCAGTTTCGCTTTTGTTTCTAGCTGTATTGTGACTTTTTGCATTACCTAAAAAGGCTGTTTGGTTTGCTTACTAACATTCTGAAGAAGTCTATAAAATTATAAATATCTGGTTTTATTTTTTATGTTTTACCAAAAATTATTGAAATTTATTCCTGTTATTAACTGGGTTAACTTCTCTTCTTTTACTAATCTTAAATAAATTTTAAAATATAACCTCCTTTACCTTTTTGAAACATTCTTTTATTTGTCAACTAATTTGGTGCCCACTTGTTTCAAGTACTGCACTAAGCACAGTGGTGAGCACAGTCCAGGTCACTGTGAAGTGGACAGTCCAGTGGGAGACGCCAAACACATTGAACAGATAGTTTCATTACAAACTAGGCTTAGGTTGATTTTTTTAAAAAAACATGGAACACTTTTGGAAAATTGTGTTTTTCCCCCAAAAGTATTTCTGTGTTTATATAGGTAGCTTTTGTTTGCTATCTTTGTATTAAACTTGTTTAACACGTTCATTTTTTTCACAATAGCTCTTTTTCAAATACATCATAAAAATGTGTTTCTTCTTTTAAGCCCCAAAAGGAACACTGAAAAACGTAATCGTGAACAGGAAAATAAATATATAGAAGAACTTGCAGAGTTGATTTTTGCAAATTTTAATGATATAGACAACTTTAACTTCAAACCTGACAAATGTGCAATCTTAAAAGAAACTGTGAAGCAAATTCGTCAGATCAAAGAACAAGGTAAGAGGACTGAATTAGTATTTTGAAGAGTTGAATTGGTTTCTGTTTTTCCCTGTGTGAGAAGTCCCTTCAGAGTCCCTTTAATCCATTTCTTATGCTTAAATTATTGATGAGGAAATGATGTCACAGTGTAAGATGAATGCAAGTATCACTTGCAGTGGTTTATAAATAGGCTTTGTATAAAATTCAGCCATACCCTAAAGACAGAGAAGACTGAGGTGAGTCAGGGTGATGGAACTTTTCATCTAGTAAACTCAGTTAGGTGCCCACAATTCTCCTCCCCACACTGTGGCATTTTCAAGGCATACACAGCAAGTGACCATCAAAAGTTGCAAGTAGCAGCCAGATTGAGATGTAAACCAGAAGTAAGGAAGTGAAGCACCTCCTATTTCAGCTAGTCAGCATATTTGATTAATCTGAGCCTCAACTGGCCATGACACTAGATTAGAATTTCATATCCTGAATGACAAGAGATTTGAAAGTCTCTAACCTCCAGTAAGAAATCCATCTGTGAACTTGAAACATAGAACATGACAGCTCTCTTCCTATGGTTTTCTTTTTTTCTGAGATAATTTTATGATTCTTTTCTTTGATATTTATGCCTACAGAAAAATATCAAGAAAATAATGTTTTTAAGAACACATTTGACTTTGTGGTGCCAAAAATAAATCTTTATTCGGCATGTATGAACAACGTTTTGGTGCCCAGGGCCAATATATGCTCTTGAAGTATCTGTGTACTGCTTTTCTTTAGGCCTGGGGAGATTATTATCTTTTGTAATCTGGTGTGGTTTTTTTTTTTTTTTTTTGGTGTTTTTTTTGAGACAGTCTCACTCTATCGCCCAGGCTGGGGTGCAGTGGTGTGATCCTCAACTCACTGCAACCTCTGCCTCCTCGGTTCAAGCGATTCTCCTGCCTCAGCCTCCCGAGTAGCTGGGATTACAGGTGCCTGCCACCATGCCCTGCTAATTTTTTAGTATTTTTAGTAAAAACAGGGTTTCACCGTGTTTGCCAGGCTGGTCTGGAACTCCTGACCTCAAGCAACCCTCCTGCCTCGGCCTCCCAAAGGGCTGGGATTACAGGCGTGAGCCACCGTGCCTGACCTGTAATCTGTTTTTGAATGCATCCTCTTAGAGTTCAAATTTTTAAAATCTGCCTTTTATATAATATTCAAAAAAGGCATATTTCATAAAAATAATATCTTTGTCTTTATAATACATGAGCCTGAAACTGTCTGCTCTTATCTGTCACAAATCCTAGCTACCTATTAGCATATCATCTTAGCGTTTTCCATTTCATACCTATACTGTTGAGCTAAATTCTGTATAAAATAGTTTTACAAGTATAGTTCTGTCTTCTAAGAACATAAAAATATACATATAGCATTCACAACACAGTTTCTAACACCAGCCCACTCTGCAAATCAGTCTTTATTTCCTGATTTCTCCATGACCTTTAACATCCAGTGGGTTTCTTCTCCCAGTGCCCATTTCAGTCCCCTTCATCACTCGTCTTTCTTTTCCCTTTGGGGTTCACTAGTTATCAAAAACTCAGTTTAAACCTCAATTTTGTATCTTCATATTTTAGTGTCAGCAAAGGGATAAAATAATATTCCTAGAACTCTTAGGAGAAATAATTGGTTAAAGTTATTAACCAGTGCCTTGAAGTTGCTGTGTTTCTAGTTGCTGATGTCATTACAGTAAAGAAATCATTAAGCTTCTTGTTTTAGGTTTCTAAGGATTATGAATGATTCAGTTTTGAGAACACTGCATGTTTAGGTAGTACTTCTACATTTCAAAACAAATATATATATATATATATATATATATATATATATGCGCCACAAAGAAGGTCTTGCACAAGTTTTTAAAGTTTGCAAAACCTTGGTAATTCCCCCTTCAAACCATAAAACATGTTCAGATGTGTCATGCTGGGACTGCGCCATACCTTAACCATAGTTTTAATCATAGGGCTGCATACCACAACCACCCAAGAAGCAGCAATATATACCCTGTCACGTCTTATTCTTCTAATAATGTTCCTGCTAATTTGAAAAGCAACGTGTTTTGTAAAGGGAAGCAAAACTTAAATACCAAATGAAAAAACGAAAAGCATAAATGTATTTTTAAGTTCTCAACTACTCTGATATTTTCCGAATAGTCTTTGTTTAATAATTTGTTTTTTAAAAAGAGCAGAATTGAATCAGACAGGAGCTAGGTATGAATCCTGGTCCATTTAGGAGCTTTTTGAACCTGGGCAAATTATCTTATCTCTGAGACTCAGTTGCCTCATATAGAGTTTAGTGCTAACAATACCTAGGTTACATAGCTGTTGAAGATATCATGAGCCATGTAAATTCAGTAAACACCTGTCATAGTAGATGTTCAGTAGTTTTCATTCCTACTTAAGCAGAAAGATGCTGTTTTTTCTTTTTTTTTCTTTTTTTTTTTGGAGTCTTGCTCTGTTGCCCAGGCTGGAGTGCAGTGGCGCGATCTCAGCTCACTGCAACCTCCACCTTCTGGGTTCAAGCGATTCTCCTGCCTCAGCCTCCCGAGTAGCTGGGATTACAGGCATGCGCCACCACGTCCAGCTAATTTTTGTATTTTTAATAGAGAAGGGGTTTCACCATGTTGGCCAGGCTGGTCTCGAACTCCTGACCTCATGATCTGCCTGCCTCGGCCTCCCAAAGTGCTGGGATTACAGGCATGAGCCACTGTGCCTGACCTATTTGTAGAAAGTAAAAGAATTTTCTGGTGCCAGAAAATCTGTGCAACCCATGCGTACCACTCCATCAGCAGCTCTGTTTGGGCCAGTTTGATTTTTCTCAGCATCTGACAGCCAGTAAGAACAACACATAAGTCAGGCCAAAGCCTTTCTCTCTAACTCTGTCTTCCCCCAACCCCAACTGATCCCCTGACCAATCAGCATAAATAAAATCCAACTACCATCTTTACACCATTATCCAGACTTAATTTGTATTTCAGTCATAGTTGTCAGCGTGAATAAAATGCATTTGGGAGCTCAGGAGAACATGCCCATTATGTAATAAACCTGCCTATTTATCCTAGAGAAGTTAAACTGGGTTGCATGAGGGGCCATACTAAAGAATACACAATGAGGAAAGCTGGGCTCATCTTTATGGAACCCTGCTCCAGTGTCAGAAGCTATGACGTGTCAGCCAGGCATGGAGGGCTCTTTCCCTCAAGTCTGTGCTCTGTCAGTTACTTCTCAACTTTTATATGCTTTATAAATAAAGGGAGAGAAGAAAAGGATTTTTAAATGGCCTAAAGGATGGAAATTTGGAGGGGAAATTACCAGCTAGTTAAATTAATAAGCATTCTGTTGTACGTAGCGCTTTATGAGACCCGTGTTTCATAAACGCTAGCCCTCCAAGAGCATTAACTGTGGAATGGACTTTGTAGAAACAGAGCAAGTACACACAAGAGTTTGATGCTAATAGTGTGACTGCCATCAAATAGAGAATTCCGTACATGTTGGTGGGGTTTTTTTTGGCCGACATTCATAATCCTTAGTTATTAGCTAAGTTAGTTACTTAGTAATTAAGTTAGATCTTCTGTTGGCTAAATAATCTTGGAGAATTTTTAATACTAGCTAAGACTAAATAGTTCTTACTGTGTGTCAGGCAGTTTTTAAAGTGCTCAGATTTGATAACCTATTTCGTACTCAAAACAAACCATGGAATAGGCGTATTGTTTTCCCCCTTGGCAGGAGGGGAACCTGAGACACAGAGTGGTTAAGTAGCCTGGCAAAGTCACACAGCCATTAAGCGAAAGAATAGGGCAGTCTGGGTCTGGAATCTGCACTGTCATCACAGCTTTCTGATACTGAAGTAGGATATTTCTTTATATTTGGTATGATAGTCATAAATGTTTAGAACTTCTCTCTTCTATAACTTAGAAACAGGAGTCATGGAAACAGATAGCAAATAACCATTTTCCCTAACTGGGAGGCTAATATTGCTTCTATTCCACAGAAAAATAGTAAGCACAGGCATACCTCAGAGATACTGCAGGTTCAGTTCCAGATCCGCACCATAAAGCGAATATAAAATAAAGCAAGTGACATGAATTTTTTGTTTTTCCAGGGTGTATAAAAGTTATACTTCACTGTACTGTAGTCTATTAAGCGTACAATGGTATTACTTCTTTAAAAAATTAATACATTTTAACTTAAAAATACCTTAATGCTAGAAAGTGCTATAACAAGCATATGAGCCTCGTCAACAAGTTCTAATCTCTTTGCTGGTGGGAGGGTCTTGCCTCAATGTTGATGGCTGCTGACTGATCAGGGTGGGAGTTGCTAAAGGCTGGGGTGGCTATAACGATTTCTTAAAGTAAGATAACAGTGAAGTTTGTCATACTGATGGACTCTTACTTTCATGAAAGATTTCTCTGTACCATGCAATGCTGTTTGATGGCATTATACCCACAGTAGAACTTTCAAAATTGGAATCAGTCCTCTCAAACCCTGTTCCTGCCTTATCAACTAAGTTTATGGAATATTCTAAATCCTTTGTTGTCATTTCAACAGTGTTCACAGCATCTTTACCAGGAGTTGATTCCATCTCAAGAAACCATTTTCTTTGTTTATCCGCAAAAAGCAACTCCTCGTTTGTTCAAGTTTGATCATGAGATTGCAGCAATTCAGTCACATCTTGGACTTCACTTCTAATTCCAGTTCTCTTGTTATTTCCACTGCATCTAGAGTTACTTCCTCCACTGAAGTCAGGAATCCCTCCAAGTCATCCATGAGGGTTAGAATCAGCTTCTTCCAAATTCCTGTTAATGTTGATATTTTGACCTCCTCCCATGGAATCATGAATGTTCTTCATGGCATCTAGAATGGTGATTCCTTTCCAGAATATTTTTCTTTGTACTTTGCCCAGATCTATCAGAAGAATCACTGCCTGTGGCAGATACACCCTTACAAAGTGTATTTCTTAAGTACACCTTGAAACATGGCTATAGCATAGATACTGTGTTAGTTAGCAGGCATGAAAACAAACATTTTTGGCCTTGTACATCTTCATCACAGCTCTTGGGTGACTGGGTCCATTGCCAATGAGCAGTAATATTTTGAAAGGAATCTTTTTCTAAGCAGTACATCTCAACAATGGGCTTAAAATAGTCAGTAAACCATACTATAAACAAATGTGCTGACATTCAGTCTTTGTTATTTCAGGGCACAGGCAGAGTAGATTTAGCATTATTCTTATGAAGAGCCCTAGAATTTTCAGAATGGGAAGTGAACATTTACTTCAAGTCACCAGCTGCATCAGCCCCTTAACAGAAGAGTCAGTTTGTCCTTTCAAGCTTCGAAATGAGGCGTTGACTTCTCTCCTCTAGCTATGAAAGTCCTAGATGGCTGCTTCTTCCAACAGAAGGTTTTTTTGTCTACATTGAAAATCTATTGCTTAGTGTAACCACCTTCATTAATGATCTTAGCCAGACCTTCTGGATAACTTGCTACAGCTTCTCCATCAGCACATGCTGCTTCACCTTATATTTTTATATTATGGAGGATTTTTTTCCTTAAACTTTATGAACTCACCTTTGCTAGCTTTAAACTTTTCTTCTGCATCTTCTCATAGAATTGAAAATATCTTCTGCATCTTCTCATAGAATTTTCTTCTGCATCTTCTCATAGAATTGAGAGGGCCTTGCTCTCAATTAGGCTCTCATTTAAGGGAATCTTGTGGCTGGCTTGATCTTCTGTCCAGACAACTGAAACTTTGTGCATATCAGCAAAAAGGCTATTTCACTTTCTTATATTTATTTTATTTTATTTTTTTATTTTCAGAGATGGGATCTCACTAGGTGGCCCAGGCTGGTCTCGAACTCTTAAGCTCAAGAGATCCTCCCACTTGGCCTCCCAAAGTGCTGTGATTATAGGCATGAGTCACCACGTCCAGCTGTTTCACTTTTTTATTGTTGATGCATTCGCTGAAGTAGCACTATTCATTTTCAATTGCTTTTCTTTTCTTCTTCTTCTTCTTCTTTTTTTTTTTTTTTTTTTTTTTTGAGGTGGAGTCAGGCTCTGTCACCCAGGCTGGAGTTCAGTGGCGCCATCTCAGTTCACTGCAACCTCTGCCTCCCAGGTTCAAGCAGTTCTTCTGCCTCAGCCTCCCGAGTAGCTGGGATTACAGTGCCCACCACCATGCCTGGCTAATTTTTGTATTTTTAGTAGAGACAGGGTTTCACCATGTTGGTCAGGCTGGTCTCAAACTCCTAACCTAAGGTGATCCACCCGCCTTGGCCTCCCAGAGTGCTGGGATTACAGGCATGAGCCACCACACCCCACCAATACTGCAGTTTTTAATGAAGATTAACTATTTTTCCACTGAACTACATATAATTCATTTTCGCACATTTTCATGTGGCTTAATGGCTTATATGGCTAATGAAATCCTTAAAATTAGTGAGCAGGGATGGAATTTCTATTCTCATTTCCTCCTAGGATCCCCTTATTTTATTTCTTAAGTACATGGAAGTTTTTTGTTTAACAGCTTTCAGATAAAGAGGATTTAAATAATTGAATGTGTTATAATGCTTTAGGATTTATGATGTGAGCTCTCACTTCAAGACCCAAGCCGGCTATCACACTCTGATAGAAAGTAGACATCCCTTGTTTTCTTGATCACCTTGTACTTGTATGAAAAGAAATTAATTCTGTCATTAATGTATGACACTAATCATACATCAATACTGTATGTATTGCTTTCATTCAAGAGTAAATATTCATTCAATAAATTTTGTATTGAGTATATACTATATATAAAACGTATGGTTATTTGCCAGGGGAAATCCAGCAATCAGTAAGTACATGATTCTTTTTCTTGGAGCTTTCACTCATTTGGGGGAAAATCAGCTTTCAGACAACTAGCTGTGGAACTGTAGGGAACAATGGAAAGGAATGTGATTATTAAAGAAGCCTGTTGATTATTAAAGAAGCTGGCACAGGCTTCGAGGAGGACAATAAACTTGAACTGGGTCTTGCTGTAAAAGTAAGATTTTAATAGGTAAAAAAGTCGGGGCTGGGCGTGAGGAGAGGCACTCCACACAGGAAATAGAGGAGCCTGAGTGCTCAGTGGCATGTGGTGTGTGCCGGGTCAGACTGTAGAATAAGATGTATGGGAGCACTTGGTTGGATTTGAGGCTGAAAAGGGCAAGTCAGAGCTAGATAGGAGAGTAGTAAGCCCAGTACAGTAAGCAATATTGGAATTTGGAGAGGGTAACATTAAATGAGAGACCTCTAACCATCTTCAGCAGAGCTGGCTTGAAGTCATCTACCATCCTCTCCAGATTCTAGAGATACTCTATATTTGGAATGGGAGATAATTTGGATTTTTAAAAATTCTAAATCTAGAGGGGGAGAGGTGCATAACTAATGAAACAACAAGAAAAAATGAAGTTAAAACAAATGCTGGAAAACTATAAAATTTCTCATTCATCAATAAGAAATAAATTTTGTTTTATAAATAAGCTTTCATTTATTTTTATAATTTAAATAGACTTAGAAGGAGCAGGAGGAAATGAAGAGGGGGAAATGACAGAGGTGAAAGACAGTGAGAGAGACTCACAATGACAGAGCTGGACACAGAGAGAGGAATATGGAAAGTACACTCAGAAGTACCCACTTGCAGGTTCAAACACCAAGATAGAGAAATTCTTAAATATCTTAGTTTATAGTTCCTTATGACATTGTCACTAATGACTTAATGCAGAGTCATATTGTGACACTGCGGGCACATTTGTAGATAAGAGCCCTTGGGCTGAGCCCACTAGCTGCCAGTCCTTACCTTCTGTCCTACTCCCACCCCAGCTTTAGTGAAGAGTGCCCACATGTTTCCTGGCTGCTCAGCCCTCTCTTGTACTTGTCAGAGGGTGGGGGAGGTGAATCAGTATGCTACCTGCTCCTGCCACTTTGATTGCTGGGGCATAGTATCTGCCATTGTGCCCAGGGGAGTAATACTTGGCCATTCCTATACAAGAATCTGCTAAAGGTACTCCTTAAGATCCTCCTTGAGGGAGCCAGGTTGATCATTTGCCCCGACTTCGTGACTACTAGCGGAGTCTATGACAAAGTCCAAAAGAAGAACCCTCACCATAGAAGACTAGTACCCCTGTGATTTGTCTCCAGTCCTGCCATTCTCCCTTGCTCCAACCGACAACCTCCTTTGCACTTGCATCTCTTCCCCATGACATACACTGGCTCAGGCTCTCACGTTGTGGTTTCCTCCTTCTGGGTCTTCTGTTTGGGAATGCCTCTTTTTTTTTCCCCTCTCAGCTGGTTGACATCTGCTCACCTTTAGTAGGCCATCCTGATGGAGTATCACAGCTATTCTGCGTTTGTAGTGTATAGTGACAGGGAATCTGGGTGGATGATAGTAGAAGGTCCAGTGGCAAGGGGGCTTCACCAAGACCTCGGGTCTGACCAGTTTGGCCTACTACTGTATTCTTGTGGCTCATTTCATCAGTACGTATACCCAAAGCCCATTACCCTAGACTACTTATTATTGCTGACACATACTTCACATACTTGTGCTTTTTCACTTTGGTGTGATTATTTGTATTCTTTCCTCCCTATCCAAAATACTGCTTTTCCTGTTTCTGTCTATTCCCATTACATTCCTACTGTTCATTCTTCAAGGCCTATCTCAAACACTGCTTTTTTTTTCACAAAACACTTTCTAATCTCCAAACAAATATGAATTCATCTCCTTTGACATCTCTGGTACTGTCTGATCTTACTCTGTTTAGTGTTTGTTTAGTGTTTTAGGTACTTCACTTTCTCTTCACCCACTGAATGACAGATTTCTTGATGGCAGAGGTTGTATTATCTACCTAACCCTTGGACCTGCAGCACTTCTTTTTTTGAGACAAGGTCTTGCTCTGTCTTCCGGGCCAGAGTGCAATGGTACGATCTCCGCTCACTGCAACCTCTGCCTCCCGGGTTCAAGCGATTCTTGTGCCTCATCCTCCTGAGTAGCTGGGATTATAGGTGTGCACCACTACAGTCATGCACCACCATGCCTGGCTAATTTTTGTATTTTTAGTAGAGACAGGGTTTCGCCATGTTGCCCAGGCTGGTCTTGAACTCCTGAGCTCAGGTGATCTGCCCTCCTTGTCCTCCCTAAGTGCTGGGATTACAGGCGTGAGCCACCGCACCCAGCCACCTGCAGCGGTTTTGAGTATCATGTTTGTTCTTAGTTTATGTAAAATAAATATTTGTTGGATTTTTCTGATTCCTGGCCTTTATTCAGCCTTGTGTAATGGTTTTATATCAGGAGAAAATACTGCCCTAAATTTAAGAACATAACATTTGTATTATAGTAACTGAGTGAATACATTCCCATCCTTGCACAAGGATTACAGATTACAACCTATCTTGTGACAAATATTATTTACAATATTTTTGTTTGCCTCCTGATAGTGCATTAACATCTTTATAAAACAAGTGGTGGTGAACTGTTAACTCTCTTAGATTCTGATAAGCATAGCTGGAGCCCTGTTTGTTTTTGTAAGGATGAAGAATCCTCACAGCTTGTCGACTAGAATATATTTTGAAATCCTATTCGCCGGTCATGGTGGCTTATGCCTGTAATCCCAGCACTTTGGGAGGCTGAGGCAGGCGGATCACTTGAGGTCAGGAGTTCGAGACTATCCTGGCCAACATGGTGAAACCCCGTCTCTACTAAAAATACAAAAATTAGCCTGGCATGGTGGCACACGCCTGTAATCCCAGCTACTCAGGAGGCTGAGGCAGAAGAATCGCTTGAACCCGGGAAGCAGAGGTTGCGGTGAGCCAAGATTGCACCACTGCACTCATGGGTGATAGAGCGAGACCTCATCTTAAAAAAAAAAAAGAATCCTATGAAAAGAAGTATTTTATAATTTTTTATTAGGAACTTTAATTACCATGGAATATTTTCTCTAATGTTTTAAATAGACATATTGTTTTAGACTAGAATATATAATATAGAACGCACATTCACATTTTATGTTAGTGCTGCGCAGATATTAGATATATTGGTTTTGAAATAACTCATGTAAGAATTTGCCGAGTACATTTAAATTTCTGTGAGCTGATGTTTACATTTAATTCATTCTTTTAGTTTGAAGAATGATGCCAATTTTTGAGAAATGAATTAAATATTTGTGCTGTGGTAGGGAGAAGAGTTTAAACATAGAAATAAACAAAAGATATAAGAGCACAAATACCACTGTTTATTATTGTCATTCACTGGTTAGCTTAGGTTTAAAGTAGGTTTTTCTGTTTCTTTCTTTCTTATTTCTTTTTTTTTTCAGTTGAGGTCTTGCAATGTTGCCCAGGTTTGATTCAAACTTCTGAGTTCAAGTGATCCTCCCACCTCAGCCTCTTAAGTAGCTGGGATTATAGTAAAGTACATTTTTCATGGGTGTTTGTTTTGGGTTTGTTTTTTTAAAAACAAATCAATAAGAACGATCCTATTTTAAAAATCTGTTGTACTGGTAGAAGAAGGGAGAGGGAACTGTGACTAATTTTATGGACTTTAGACTTACGTATTTTCAGACTGATATGGATTATACAGTAATAAATTACACATGCAACTATTTCCTCTTTCTTTTTTCTTTTTTTTTTTGAGACAGAGTCTTGTTCTATCACCAGCCTGGAGTGCAGTGGTGCGATCTCGGCTCACTGCAACCTCTGCCTCCCAGGTTCAAGTGATTCTTCTGCGTCAGCCTCCTGATTAGCTGGGACTACAGGCACATGCCATCATGCCCAGCTAATTTTTATATTTTTAGTTGAGACGGGGTTTCACCGTGTTGGCCAGAATGGTCTCGATCTTTTGACCTCGTGATCCACCTGCCTCAGCCTCCCAAAGTGCTGGGATTACAGGCATGAGCCACCACTTGATCTCTTGACCTCGTGATCCGGCCACCTCAGCCTCCCAAAGTCCTGGGATTATAGGCATAAGCTACCGCGCCCAGCCCTTGCAACTATTTTCATTGGTCCTTCCAAGGAGACTTTTTTTTGGTTGGTGAATTTGTGGGTGGGGTAGTAAATAAGCACATAAAGTAAATTGACTCTCTTACCAATTTTTAGGTGTAAATTACAATATTGTTAACTATATGCACATTGTTGTACAGTGGATCTCTAGAATTTCATCTTGCATGAGTAAAACTCTGTTCCCAGTAAACAGCAACTCTGTTTCCCTGCCCCTGACAATCACCATTCTAGTTTCTAGTTCTGCTAGTTTGACTACTTCGGATACCTTATATGAATAAAACAAGGCAGTATTTGTCTTTTTGTGATTGGGGTTCTTTCACATGGCTTAATGTCCTCAAGGTTCATCCATTTTGTGGCATGTGACTGGATTTCCTTCTTTTTTTAAGCCTGAATAAGATTCTACTGTGTTATATACCACATTTTCTTTATTCATTTATCCATTGATGTACATATAGATTGCTTCCATATCTTGGCTGTTATGAATAAAATACTGCAATTAACATGGGGATGCAAATATCTCTTTGAGATCCTGTTTTCAATTCTTTTGGGTATATACCCAGAAGTGAGATTACTGGCTTATACATGGTAATTCTGCATTTAAATTTTCAGGGAACCTCCATAGTGTCTTCTATAGTGGATGCATCATTTTACAATTCCACCACCAGTGTGCAAGACTTTCCATTTTCCCATACTCTCACCAACACTTACTCTCTGGGGGTGGTTTTGATAGTGGCTGTCCTTAATAGGTGTGAGGTGATATCTCATTGTGGTTTTCATTTGCATTTTCCTGCTGAATAGTGATGTTGAACATCTTTTCCAAGGAGATATTTTGAAAAGAATAATTATCTAATACTATATTGCATCACAGAATGCCTTCTATAGTCAAGTATCATAATATTTATCACTGAATAATCTAGGGCACTAAACATGATCATAGGCCAAGAAAATGGGAGCGGGGAGATTCTAAGGTACAGGAAGGAGGATTCTTTGAGGCAGATTAGAAGTCAATAGGAGAATGAGAGAAAACCACCATGGCATTGACATCTCCTTTCTGGACATTTTGCCTCATTTCAGTCGTTTCTCATGTCCCCCTAAAGAGTATTTCTTGCGCTGAAGCTTTTTGCTACGTTAGACTTCCTATACAGGTTACAGGGAAAGAAGAAGTGTAATGGCTGTCCTTCTATCTGTAGTTTGGGCATGGGCAGAATAGAGGCACTCACTTCCAGTTCTTTCCTCCTCTTATTACTGCTGCTCACTCTGAAATATTTTAGTTCATTTCTTCTTACAAAATGTTCACCTTTTGTTAATTACTGAGTCATTTATCCCTGGTAATCAGTGTAGGAGCTTGTGTTTTTATCCTCTTATCATCCCCATCCCTGAGATTTGTAAGGTAATAACTCCGGGGCAACAGTAATAGTGTTCTTCACCTCAGCTTTATAGGTAAGAAATGGAGCCTCTTACAGCTTAGGTGTTGTCATGAGTGCAAAGTCTGCTAAAAAGTTGACCTGCAGTTCTGGACTTGGAGATTATGATTGCTAGTCCAGCTTTTACTCCAGAGGTGTGTTTATCAGCATGTCAGATTCTGGTTCATATTTTGTTAAGAGATTTTCTGTGAATGTGACTGTAGAGGATACTTCACAAAATTACAAGAATTGCAGTTCTGCTTGTAATACTTATTGATTTAAAGACTCTAAATACCAATTATCCTTTAACCTGAGAATTGATTTTAATTTGACCTTTTTTGTTGTGGTAAATATTCATAATATAAAATTTACCATCTTTAAATGTGCAGTTCAGTGGCATTAAGTAAATTCACTTTACTTTTTTTTTTTTTTTTTTTTTTTGAGACACAGTCTCACCCTGTTACCCAGGCTGGAGTGCAGTAGTGTAATCGTGGCTCACCGCAGCCCCTTGACTTCCTGGGCTCAAGTGATTCTCCCACCTCAGCCTCCCAAGTAGCTAGGACCACAGGTGTACAACACCACATTTGACTTTTTTGGTAGTGTTGAGTTCTCGCTATGTTGCACAGGTTGGCCTTGAACTCCTGAGCTGAAGCAGTCCTCCCACCTCGACCTCCCAAAGTGCTGGGATGATTACAGGCATGCACCACCACACCTGGCCTTACATTCACATTTTTGTGTAACCATCACTACTGTTCATCTTCTATGAATTTGACTATTATAGTTACCTTGTGTAAGTAGAATCATGTAATATTTGCCCTTCTGTGACTGGCTCATTTCACTTAGTGTAATGTCCTTAAGCTTTATCCATGTTGTAGCAATTATTGTTCCTTCAATTGTGTCACCTGACTAGGGATAGGTAGTGGCGAGTCAGAATTACACAATGATTTTGTCAGTCAGGAAACCCTTAATGAATGCCTTCTTCATGGAGCTGGAGTTGAGCAGTAGGAGAGACAGGCCACAGATCAGTAAATTACAGTGCAAAATCCATCCCTAGAGTAAGGCAGTAATGCTGTATGCCTTAGGAAGTGATCTTGCTTGGGCTTCATGGAAGGTGGTTGGTCTCTTGCCTTTCAGCTAGAAATGAATAGATAAACCAGGACCCATAATATTGAACTCCAATAATATTTGATGTTCATTCTAACAGAGGTACATACGTGTACCTTATAAATAAATATACATATTTTATGCAGTCACCCCTCTGAATCCATGGGGGATTGGTTCCAGGACCCCCATGGATACCAAAATCCTTGGATGCTTATGTCCCTGATATAAAGTGGTATAGTATTTGTGTATAACCTATGCACATCCTCCTGTTTACTTTAAATCATCTGTAGATTACTTATTATATAATATGTAAAACAATATAAATGCTATATACATAGTTGTTATAGTGTATTGTTTAGGGAATAATGACAAGGGGGGAAAAAGAAAAGCTTGTTCATGTTTGGTACAGACCATCCATCTTTTCCTGAATATTTTCAATCTGTGGTTGGTTGAATCCACCAATGCAGAACCCATGGATACAGAAGGCTGACTGTATACATTATATAGAGGTACGAAAAATCCTGATAGCGTGAGTATTAAAGATGTTTCTTTTAGCAAATTCTGGCCTAGTTGGCTGTCAATGGATGTAATTAGCCTACAGCTAACAGAGGAGTGAATAGGGAGATGGCAGGATGTGGCCTGGGACCAAGAAAGATCTGAGTTCTGCCTCCTTATGATGGTTTTCTTGTCACCATACTGTTTGCTCGTTCTTCTTCTCTTTATTGCCAAATTTCTTACAAAATGAAGGAAGTTACACTCCTGTTTACTGTTCAGCAGCTAAACTCTGGCCTGTGTGCCCCTCACTGCTCCCTGGACTGTCTGCAGCGACTCCCGTTGATCAGAGGTGGCAGCTCTTCTTCCCATCTGCCTGCCTAGCTTCTCTGGTAGCTGTCTCTGTTGACCATCCCTCTCTACTTTTTTTTTTTTTTTTTTTTGAGATGGAGTCTCACTCTGACAACCCAGGCTAGAGTGCAGTGGCGCAATCTTGGCTTTCTGCAACCTCCACCTCCTGGGTTCAAGCAATTCTCCTGCCTCAGCCTCCTGAGTAGCTGGGACTACAGGCACCCACCACCACACCCAGGTAATTTTTTTTGTATTTTTAGTAGAGACAAGGTTTCATCATGTTGGCCAGGCTGGCCTCGAACTCCTGACCTCAGGTGATCCTCCCACCTCAGCCTCCCAAAGTGCTGGAATTACAGGCATGAGCCACTGCACCTCACCCCTTTCTACTTTTGAGCTGTACCACATTCATCCTCACTCACTGGCTTTTTTTCCTCATCTAAACCTTGGCCCTTTCTTCTTCTCAAATAAAATTCGCTCTTTAATGAGTTTTAACTATTGCTTGTATTTGTGCTGACTGTCAAGGTAAATCTGCCCTTGACCTTTCCCTCATCTTTCATTGCACAGATACTCGGTGAGTCCCTCCCCACAGCCCCCGTCTTACAGTTTCATTGTCCGTCCAGATTGCCAGCTACCATTAGACATCCACAGGGGTGTTCCACAGGTGCCTTAAATTGATACTCTCAAACCAAACCCGTTTTCTCCTCTGCCTTCTGAAAAGACTGCCTCATCCTTTTTTCTGTGCTCTATCTCAGTCTGTGTAACCACCATGCGCTGATCACCTGTTTTGTCCTTACCGAGGCTAGAAACCTCAGTTCCAGCCACCTTCTCTTTTACCTCTTCCTTCCCCACAATCAGCCAATTTAGTCAGCTCTGTCAGTTCCTCACTGTATTCTGTGCTATATAACCCTTTTTTCCCATGTTTATTTTCAGCACTCTAATTTAAGACATCTTTTCTCACCTTAACTCATCTCTGCTTCTTTACCTTCTATAATCCATCCCCGCTGCTATCACCATTAACTTTCTAAAAATACATTGGCTGTGTAACTCCTGAGCCTCCAGTGAGTCTCCCTGCCTGCAGGACGAAGGAAAATGCCTTCCCATGGTATTCAAGGCCCTTTGCTGGCTGGTCCCATTGTACTTTCCAGGCTGTCTCCTGCTCTTATCTTTCTGGCCATCGTACTTCTAGGCAGACCTCCAGCCTTAATTACTCTTTAACTCATAACTGCACAGCTTGTGTGCCACTTTTAGATCAAATGTATACATCATTTTGGCTTGTAGTGTAGTTTAAACTGAAAACAACAACAACAAAACACAAAAAACTCCCTATTACCATTACCACGACAGCTCTTTTGTGGAGGAACCTTATCTTAATAATTTTTATACCCTTTTACCTGTCTTGTACATAAGAGATACTTAATAAGCATTTATACAAAATGAACAAAAAGCCAGATGCCATTACTCACACCTGTTATTCCAACACTTTGGGAGGCCAAGGCAGGAGGATCTCTTGAGGCCAGGAGTTTGAGACCAGCCTGGGCAACGTAGTGAGATCCTGTCCCTACAAAAAATAAAAAAAAATTAAATGGGCATGGTGGTGTGTGCCTGTAGTTCTAGCTACTCAAGAGGCTGAGCTGGGAGGATCACTTGAGCCAATGCACTCTAGCCTGGGTGACAGAGAAAAGCCTTGTCTTTAAAAAAAAAAAAAAACTTTTAGAGAAAATGTGAAAGCAGCAAGAAATCCAAGGTTTTCTTCAGATGCTTTAAGAAGGTATGAATAGAATAATGAAGAAAAAGAACACATTTAAGGACTTTCATTAACTGCTGTGTCAGTTTAAAATAAATTCCAATGATATGGTCTGGAAATGACCAAATGACCAGGGAATATGCCATAATTATATTTAAACATGGTGATTTCTTATTAATTCATACTTACGTTCAGGACACATTGGCCAGATATCTTCTATGTTCAAACACTGTGCTAGCCATCAGGAATATAAAGACCTGTAAAGCACTGTCCCTGTCGTTGTGGGGCTCTCAGGCTGTGCAGACAACAAAGAAATCGTTAAAGCTTTTTTAGAATAGCTGCTCCTCAGCATATGTCCCTCACCCTCCCTGACGTAGGGACCCACCCTCAAGGGAGGCCAGTGGGGGTCCAGCTTGGCCTGTGCCTGCATTTAGTAGGTAATAAAGCTGATACCTGGATCTAAGAAAAAGAAGAAGTAATAATAGCAAATTAGTAAGTACTATGATTGATTGATTGATAGGTTGATGTAGATATATAGTGATATAAAGGAAAGTGGGATAAGAGAAGGTAGGAAGTAAAACGTTTTTTGATCTCCGGGAGTATATTGAAGTTCACCATATGGGTAATGTTTAAATAAAGTCTAATACTAAGAATCAAAATTCCTTGTATCCAGGGCTACTTAACTATACTTTTTTCTTTAGCAGCGTTAAGAGAATGTCATGTAAATGCATTCATACATACTGTTTTCAGCTACCTCATCCCATTTAGACGCCTACTGCATTCTACACTCTGTCCATAGAATAGATCTGTGAGACTGCCTCAGGATTGGAATTATTGCCTATGTTTCATAGATAAGGAAACTGATACACAAAAACAGTAGTAAGGTTGAGGCCTTAAAACTAGTCAGTGACAAACTAGAACCCAAAGCGCAGTCTGGTTATTCTGCAGCCTGTGATCTTTCACCTCCGCATTCCATTACCTACCTGAGAATGGTTGTCATGTCTTCAACTTTGCCTTTGTTTATTAAGACAGAAAATGTTGTTCCACAGAGAAATTCCAAAAGCAACACATTCAAAATAAAAATAAAGATTTGTAATAGTTATTGCTGTGTCTTTAGAGATAGTTTTTTAGAGGTAGTTTTAACACATATTGTTCAGAAAAGAGATTTTGATAATTTGAGTTAGATGTGGTTTCATTAAAAACCTTAAATCTTATGTAGGCTGTAGTCAAGGCCTCTGAGGCATTATAGGTTAAGGAAGCACTATAGCAAACAGCACCTTTAGGTCATAACTGTCTCTAATCCAGGGTCCTGTATGTTCTGCACATCTAAGCATTTCTAACCAGGCTTTCATCGCCGATGTATATCCATCATAGGTGAAGAGAAAAAAGGAAAGGTTATTTTTTATTTTTATTTTTATTTTTTTGAGACACAGTCTAGCCCTGTTGCCCAGGCTGGAGTGCAATGGTGTGATCTCAGCTCACTGCAACCTCCGCCTCCCAGGTTCAAGTGATTCTCGTGCCTCAGCCTCCCAAGTAGCTGAGATTACAGACGTGCACCACTATGCCCAGCTAATTTTTGTATCTTTAGTGGAGACGGGGTTTCACCATGTTGTCCAGGCTGGTCTCGAACTCCTGACCTCGTGATCTGCCTGCCTTGGCCTCCCAACATGCTGGGATTACAGGCGTGAGCCACCGTGCCCAGCCAGGAAAGGTTATTATTCTTCTTCCTCCTCCAGATGCGAGAATTCCTCATGGCCATGAACACTATCTGAATACTGCTGCTCTGTATTCAGAGCACTCATGCCTTTCTGTTGTCTTAAAAGGAACATAAAATATGGGGTTCAATGAATGATGTCCCCTATAATGCTGTTCCTTCTGGGCCACTCTTCTCACAGGTGGCTGTAGTTTGGCGTGGTGTGGAGCACAAGAAGATGTGACCACACGGTGTTTGGGGTGGGAATGAATTGGTCTCTTAAAGGAATGTGGTGAAGCAGCTATTGGGAAGAAAGTTGTAAGCGGTGTAGCAGGATGCAATGGAACGTGGGATTTCTGTAGCCACCGGGGATCATCAGATGAAACAGTGATTCCTGTATGACCATTTATATTTAAGGGACTTGTAAATATCAAGAACTTTGGTCTAACAATCTGCTTGTAAAGATAAAATATAGAACATAAGATGTAATTAATATTACAAGCCAAAAGCCAGATGAATGACATAAAAATAATTAAGTGAAAATTTTATATTGTACATTTTCAGAGGCAGAATTCCCTCTAGGCTGACAAAGCTTAAGCTTCAGGACCCCTTACTTGTATGGGTCCTATATGTGCCAGGAGCTATAGAGTGTTCTAGATAGGACCCCACGTTTCAATCAGGAAGCACTTCTTCAGAAGCATTTCAGATTATTATCTACAGAGTTCTCAGAAGAAGAAATTTGAATCTTGTTCATCACTCTAGTGTTTACAGCTCTTTTCTCATTCTATGTAAATATTCACTTTTATACTCAATTTTTTACTCTTAAAGAGACACCCTTCCCTGTAATTAAGCTCCAGGCCCTACAAAATGCAGATCCATCCTTATGTACTAGCAAAGTCTGTCACATATACTCTGTCAAAAGCAAAAGGGTCAGCTACTACAGTGAAATGAGAATTCACACATACAGAGTGCTGACTTGGTGCCAGGCACTGCTCTTTCATACGTCATCTCATTTCAGCCTTGCAACACTCCCTGTAGGTAAGTTGAGTTATTATCTCCATTTTACAGAAGAAGAACCTAGGTTTGGGTCTAGACTCCAGACTTCTCTAGAGTCACACAGCTAATAAGTGGTAGGACTAGCATTGAAGTCTAGATCTCTACCTAGCTCCACATCCACTGTCTCCCAGTGAAGTGGAAAGACAATTAAACCTGTTACCCAGCTGTTTACTCTTGGCTTTGTCTGCCATTTGGAAGAAGGTTGTTAGGAGTCAATTGGGTAAGCATGGTATCAGCTGTTATTTGAAACACAGAGACACCGAGTTTTAGTTTACTAGGAAGAATATTTTTTGCAGATCCCTATTTCAGAAGATGATGCACACTTTCAAGGCAGGTCAGCTTTTCCTGTCAGGAAAAAAAAAAAAAAAAAAAAAGAAGATAAAAGAGCCCAGAAAAACAGAAAGTTGCTCTCTAGACCAAAAAAGACTTCTTGGTATTTAGCCAGAATATTGGATACCAGGCTTGTTTTAGAACATTCATTTTGTACCCCTATGTGAGCAGATGAGGAATTTTTCTGTCAGAGTGAATGTTCTGTTGTCCATCATAAGATCTGTCCATCTTCACTTGTGCGATGTAACCTCTAGATAAACAACACTGGCCTTGTTAAGGTGTTCTCTCCCATTTTGGGAAGTATGTTGGGAGCAAAACAGACTTTGCAGATAGTCACTGTGACCACCCCAGTATTCATTACATCATTGATCAAAAATGAAGGAATGTAATCTGAGGGCCAAGAGTGCTTAGCTATATACAAGACCGTATGCAGTGTGTTTTAACTTGTGTTCTGGAAAAGAATGTAAAATCTGAACTTCCACCTAGAAAATGAATTTATTAGATTTCAAATATTTACACTTAAAATTTTAGATATGAAATTGCATCTTTGCCTATGTTTCTCATTTCTGTTGTTTTGTACAAAAGGAAACCCCAATTCAACATAGTCACATAGAAAAAATACACAGCAGAGAAAAGTTGTTCATTTAAAACGGACTTGGATTCTGCTCTTCCAGTGTTAGAACCTTGATATCTGTAATAGATTTAGAGTCCAGTTGGAGCTGTCTTTTTTGGAAATAAGAAATTTTGTCTGAGGAAGAAGAGTAAAATAAATAATGCCAATATCAGCGTGGTGCTGCTTCCCGTACATTCATCACTGAGATGCCTTTCCACTGCCAGTTAACACCAGATAGCAAACATTACAGAACTCTGAGGTCGTTTTGGGGAGCCTGTATCCTCTATTTCTTTAGGCCCGAAGTGGTTCTCAGAGCAGTGGTGATTTCTTATTTAAGCCTGTCTACATTAGATGGGCATGCGCATACCACCATTCTGTAAGATTCCAAGTGGTGTATTCATTTTGTTACATCTGATGGGAGGAAACAGAAGAGGAAAAGAAGCAAGCTCTTTTGGGATTGACATGATTAAACTCAACTTCTTAAAAGCTTTTTTCCTCTGGTAGACCATCTTCAATTTGTAGATCCTTTATGTCAGATGAGGGGAAAAAATTACACATAGTACATTTTATTTGGAATATTGTTAGATAGCTGAATTGTCAAAGATCAGAAGTTGTTACATATTTTTGTCTCTTAGATAATATGGAAGTATATACCTTGTGTGATTGCATTTGGGAGTCTTTTTTTTCCCTCACTTCCATGCTTTCTTAAGAAAGAAAGAGACCTTTTAACCTTTAAACCTTTTCTTTTTCTGAGATTTAACTATAAGTTAATTGTTCAGAATGGAGGGTATTTTCTATCAAACCAATGCAAATTTTGGTGATTAGATTATTGGACCAGCTCCATAAGGCCTATTGTTATCAATATTGCATCTAACGAGAGAAGTTCTTAATCTATGTGGTGCATATAGCTCTGATGGTGTAATGATAGATAGTTCTTTTAGAAGCATTACTGAACTTACTGTAACCTGTTCTTCATGTTATATATCATTTTCAAGTATGATATTGTCCTATGGGTCTCCATTTTTTTTTTTTTTTTTTTTTTTAATAGAGTCTCGCTCTGTCGCCCAGGCTGGAGTGCAGTGGTGCAATCTCGGCTCACTGCAACCTCTGCCTCCCAGGTTCAAGCAATTCTCCTGCCTCAGCCTCCTGAGTAGCTGGGATTACAGACATGCGCCACCATGCCCGGCTAATTTTCGTATTTTTAGTAGTGATGAGTTTTCACCATGTTGGTCAGGCTGGTCTCGAACTCCTGAGCTCGTGATCTGCCCGCCTCCGCCTCCCAAAGTGCTGGGATTACAGGCATGAGCCACCGTTCTTGGCCAGGTCTCCATTTTTATTGATGTTAAAAAGAGCCCTCTTACCCCAAAAGGTGGGAACCACTGACCCAATGTTTATTACAAGGAGGGATACTATAGAGGCTAATTGATCAACACATCCATATATTTCCTGGGAAGATCTGTTCTGGATTTCCAGAGAAGCCTGGAGCATGGTTGCCTCTTCCTTCCTTTCTGCCCTGGTAGTGTCCTGGCTCCTCCCTTTGCAGGCCTCCACTGCCATGAAATACCAGGCAAGACTCTTAGGAGCAGAGGGGCAGGCCCGTGGGTGGTGGGGTTGTCCAGTCACAGGTGTATGCACAGGCTGGAAGCCAGGAGCTACTAAGGGCTCAGGCTAGCACAGTAACTCTTCTAAGACTCTGGCAAAGTTCCTTCCTTTACTTTATAAGTCACCTGCTTCCCATTCTGCTGTCTTCCTCTAGCCATCAGTTTATTTCTTTTTTTTCCCCTCCTCTGGTCCGCTGTAGCACAAAATTCAGGTTTTTATGTACAGTTGTCCCTGAAGCAAATGCTCAACTCTTTGGGGAGTAAGGATTGTTACTGTAATAACAAAGTAAAATAAGGGAAAAGTCACAAACTTTCAGCAAATCTTAAAAACTCCTACTAAATGGTATTCCACGTACAGATACAATTGGAAATGTATTCTTTGAAATACATGTAAAGCTTGGTTTCAACTCTCCCATGTTGTCTTCAGTCTTTTATTTTTTGTTTTTATTTTTATTTTTGTTTTTTGAGACGGATTCTCACTCTCTCGCCCAGGCTGGAGTGCAGTGGCACGATCTCAGCTCACTGCAGCCTCTGCCTCCCAGGTTCAAGCGGTTCTCCTGCCTCAGCCTCCCCAAGTAACTGGGATTACAGGCGCCTTCCACCATGGCCAGCTAATTTTTGTATTTTTAGTAGAGATGGGGTTTCGCCATGTTGGCCAGGCTGGTCTCAAACTCCTGAGCTCAGGTGATCCACCCACTTCGGCCTCCCAAAGTTCTGGGATTACAGGCATGAGCCACCGTCCCTGGCCTTTTCAGTCTTTAGAAACCCCTCAGTTTATCTCTTTTAATCTCACAGGAGATTCTCATGGGTCTCTCTCACTTCTATAAAAACATATCCCATTTGTGTATGTCTCTTTCTCCCTCTCCCTCCCTCTCTCTTCCTCCCTCTCTCTTCCTCCTTTTCTTAGAGACAAAGGCCACTGTATAGGTAAATGATGAGTCTTTTATTACATGAAGAATTAATGTAAGGTTCATCTCTTCAGAGGAAAACTCAGTCTAATTTTCTAGGAGCTCCCTATGCCAGAGGATATTCTAAGTGGGGGGACTAGGAAATGTGGGTGAGGCTATGTGTGCAGCTTGAGGAGTGGATAGAAATCCACCCTGTCTGTCTTTTGACTGGCATTATTTCAGTACTGAAGTGATTGTACATTACCTGGCTAACCAGGTGGACATTTGAGTTTTTGTTTACTACTTCAGTGGCTTCAAATTGATAGAAGTTTTATCTTTGATTTCTGTCTATTCATTATAGTAGTCACTCAGAATTGTAAGAATATACTCTCTGCCCATTCCTTGCCTATAGGACACAATAAGGCTATTTTCATATTTTTTTAAAGCACACAAATGATGAACAATTTAACTTTTTTTGAAATGACCCTTGGAGTGAGAGTGGGAGAAGTCATTCATGATGAAGCTGAAAGTTTATGGACCTGGTATCAGTGTTTGTAAAGACCTGCAGTATCAGATATTCTTGTGTCAAAGTCATGTACCTACCAGCTTCTCAATTAGTTTTCTTGCTGTTAGGTCCACTGCTTTTAGCTCCCTTACCAAAGTATCCTCCACAAATGATCCTTGATTTTTAGACTCCCATTCCCCTGATTTTTCTCATTTATAATGTAGTCATTTGAAGTTCATCTTCTTCCAACTTTCTTTTACTTTACTTTTTTTTTGGAGACAGAGTCTCACTCCATCGCCCAGGTGATCTCAGCTTACTGCAACCTCTGCCTCCTGGGTTCAAGTAATTCTCCTGCTTCACCCTCCCAAGTAGCTGGGATTACAGACGTCTACCACCACGCCCAGCTAAATTTTTTTTGTATTTTTAGTAGAGACAGGGTTTTGCCATGTTGGCCAGGCTGGTCTCGAACTCCTGACCTCAGGGGATCCACCCGCCTCAGCCTCCCAAAGTTCTGGAATTACAGGCATGAGCCATCACACCAGGCCTTACTTTCCTTCTTATAAATAGTTTATTATAGTAATTCGTCTGAAGAGCCCCTGAGGTACTTTCATATACTCTACTAAACCCTCTCTGTTTTTGGAAATCAAGGTTTTAATTGAGCTCCCAATCCATATTCGGATACGTGAGAGCAAAGATCTAAACACCAATGAGTTTTATTTAGTTCCATTCCTGACTTAGTGACTCATAGTTTCTTTAGAAAGGACAGATAGTATAACTCCTCTTTGTATAGATGCTTTTGTAGTTCCATGATTGTAGGTTTTTCTCTAAGTCTACCACTTAACTGGGTTTAGTTTTGAAAAATTAACAGATTTCTTTTTATTCCTGCAGGGTATGTTCTTAGCCTGAATTTTTGAGATTTGTAAGTCTAATTTCCTTGGCAATTGGATTTATCCTGAGAGGATAATATAAGAGATTATTAATCTTCACATTTTTATTTTCCAAAAATTTTTTTGAGCTGTTATACTTCAGAGAACTAATTAGGCCCTGTTAGCATCCTGAGGTGTATGTATTGTTCCTGGTGTGTTGATGGAAGTTTATTTTGAGTTAAGTAATCAGCTTTGCTATGTTCATTCTCTGATGAAAGCATTCTTAGTGAAAATCTTAGATAATTAGAGTCTTTCTTTATTCAGCATCCAGATCAATGCTGTTTCCTATACTCTCCAAACAAGTGGAGTCTTCTAGCTAAATAAAGAAAAACCTTTTTAATACTTATGAATTCACAAATTTCAAATTTAATTTTTCTTTTGTTCATAAATCCCTAACACTTTAATCACGATAATCCACTAACCCCATTTCAGCACTTGGCTTAACCGTGGCAGTGCACCCTAAACCCTATAAGAGGCAGAGCTTGTCTTTTTCATCTTTGCATTTCCACCATCTAATATCATGTATTTTTAAAAAAGAAAACATAAACTACTACTTCTCTAAAACAAAATTACAAATGAAAATTAGAGAGTAAAATTCCTCGTCCCATGTGCTTGAAGTTGCTGCTGTACAGCCTGTTCAGCCCACTTGAGGGAAACAGTGTTTTCTCCAGAGTGTGGGTCACTTGGGTCTACATGGTGTCTACATGGGTCAGCAGTTGCATGGTGAATAGAGATACACAGATGAAAAATGGAATTTCTGGCTCAGAGACTGGACAATCTTGAGGGAGTTCTGAGATCTAGATCAAATAAGACGATTTATATGATACAGTAAATGATATTATGGACATGTTGTGGAAGCACAGAGGGTAAACAGCTTGGATCCCCTGAAATTCTGAGATTTCCTTGAGAAAATGGCATCTGCTGAACCAAGAAGGCCCGTCACTATCCAGTAAATTCAGTGGCACCTAAGAGCCTAGCAATGCCACTTCAACCTGGCCAGCTCTGGTAGAGAGACACCCCAAATGAAGTGGAATTTAATGCATCGTGTTCCTTTGGCTGGGCGTGTCCGGAGGAAAAAGAAATAGGCATTTCCCATCCATAAGACAAATGCTGTTGGCAAAAAAGGAAGAAAGAAAGAAAAGAAGAGAAAGAAAATCCAGCATTATTTTAATTTGTTAAAAAGAAACAATGTACATTTGGTATAGTATTCATGTTTTATTCTACTGAGAGTTAAATCAGTTTTATCATTGATAACTGAAGAAATTTTATTACTGTTAATACTGACTTTGATTTAAAATTTATTAGTAAGAAAGCCATAGAAATATAACTAAATTTAATTCATAACAGCAATGTCACAAAATAATTTTAATAAAATATACTTTTCTTTCTTGTAAGTTTCTGATTCCATTTCTATTCTCTCACAAAGCAATATAATCTTTCTGTTTAGTAGAAACTTGTCTATTTCTTTTCATTTTGACTTAGCCTTATGAAGTCTGTTCATTCCACTTTTCAGACTGAAATGATTTCAGGTTTTTTTTGTTGTACAATTAAATTATTTAAGCTAGTTTTTATTTGTAATTTGTGAACAGGTCTATTAGATTTTTGCCATTGTAAGACTGCTTGTCATTATAAATGCAGAATAATATTATTACTTCCTGCCTTTCTTCTGTAGAGCTCAGAGTGCTTCACATGCATTATTTTATTAAGTCTCATAACATCCCTGTGAAGCAGGGCATTTTGCAAGTGATTATTTATTGCTTTGCTGAATCAGCATAGCCTTACGGCATTATGATAAGCTTGGAAAAGATTGAGGTCGTGTACTAACTTGCTCTCAGGAAACCCTATATGCAGCCAAATATTTTCCTTGGCAATACAGAGCTGACAAACTGCCACCATTCCATTCTCTGGGAAGCCCACTGTCCGTTGATGTAATTTAAAAACAACACACAATGCGTTTTTGAAAAAGCAAATCTAAGACAGTATTCAGTTTATTTGAGAAGCAGGTGAATTACATATGAAATGAGTACACCATCATCCTCGTGTCCAGGCTATCAGTCTACAAAAAAAAGGCTACCTTCTGTTCTTGCTATGGCTCTGAAAACTGGACCTGCCCAGCTGTCACATCAGTCATCTTCAGCCTCACCTGTAAGCCATCACCTGGCAGGCAGGATTTCCAAAAACAGGTTTCTTGGATTCAACCCATGCATCTGCATTGAAGCTAAGCTTATTGTTTCAAACTGCCACTGGGGGAAAAATGCCATTGGGTAGAACTTTTCTGAAGTCTTATGATAGTGTATTACTAAATTAGTTAGCATCTAGAAGCTTATGTAGGATAATTAAATTGAAAGAAGAAGAAATTTTATGAGGATTTTATTTTATTTCATTATTTGAATGGTTGTAGAATGGTGGGGAAGCATCTCTTGTGGTTAATATATGTAAAACAAAACTAATTTTAAGGTAATTTAAACCAGTTAATTTGATAGGGAGTAACTTAATTACCATGTCTTTTTCATATTTATAATTAGATACTGAATTGTGATATGTTCTATGGCCTATATGGATGATCATAATTAATTTTCTGAGAGTTTTTCGTTTTTGACTTATCCATCCATAGCCATGGTGCTCACAGTCTGTATATCTGTCTGTTGTGGCTCAAACTTTTCCATAACATCTACTGGAAAATTGTTAGACTTTAAATAGACATTTGTTCTGATTTCTTGCAAGTGGATTTGATTGCTTAAACAGTCCTTGTATTTGAGAGCACGTAACCGATATAAAATCTCAGGGAATTACTAAATTACTGAGGATATTACCATTTTTTCCCCTCAGGTTACAAAATTTGCTGCAGAATTAAATAAAATAAGAAAAGGAGAGGATTTGGTTATAGAAAGGTTAGTCTGGATACCAAATTTAGGAAACATTGTAAATGTTGGTTGGCCTTTGTTAATGTCACTTTGACCTCAGCATGCAAATTGTAACCACCTCTCTTTCACACTTGTGCTGGGCTTTGCAGCATGGAAGTGCCAGCCATTTCTAAGGCCCTCACTGCTTCTCCTGCTGCCTGGTTGAGGCATGTCAATTTCTGAGTGATGCCAGTCCTTGTATTCTTTTTAATTGCCTACTGCTTTAAATAGTTGTGGAAGGTTGGTTGATGATTCACTGCCATGCCTGCTTAAATTGGAGAGAATTTATGCTGTAAGGTATTTAAAGGGTCATTTTAAAGATGTATTTAAAGCTCTTCCTGTTGTCATTATGAAATGCAGTAATTATTGAATGGATATTTGACAGGACCTCTTTTTCTAGAATGTCCTTTGAATTTAGGTGTTAATGAAGATGTTAATAAAGAAAATTCACATTTTTACAAATTAGGAAGATCTACTTTGGAATTATTTTCCAAATGCTTCCTAGTCTTTCTTCTCACCTACTGTTTTACCTGATCTCTTACTCTCAATACAGTGAGCATGTTACACAATAAGACATACTGTAAATTTGTCTGTAAATACATATCAGGTTTATTTGTTACATATGCAAACCTTGCTTTTAAAAATTTTGTAGTAGCATATTTTTGATCTTCAGAACAAATCAGGTCCTTTATTTTACCAGACTTTACTTCGCAGAATTTACCTGTCCCAGGTAACAGCTCTCTTCTGGAAGAGGGCCCTGATGATCTTAGTGCAGAAGATGAATACTTCATAACAGCTTTGTCCCTCGCAGCACCTTGCCCTCTGCAGTCAGCCCTGATCTGAGGGGCCTTGGTAGTGCCGAGTTCATAAGGACTGGGACCATTCTGAGATTAGCTGGTCAGGGGAGGAAAGTGAGGAGGGAGGACATACACTTTGTATGTAAAAATGTGAATTCAAAATTAAGCTGTTTCAAGCATTTGAACAGAATCTGTTTCTATATGATATAAATATTATTCTTTATGTAGTTTTCCCCACAGAAGTTCTGTTAGGAAGAACATAGACCTTCTAATGGTTAGAAAGTCCCTGGGTTGTGAACTGAGACCCAGGATTATAAACTTTTTACACCATCCTTTCTTGACATCCTGGAGGATAAATCTGGGCTCCTTTCCCCAAGATGGGTTTCTCTGGAGAAAGAGAGAGAGAGAGTGAGAGAGTGTGTATGTATTTAGGTTTATTATTTGTATGTGCGTTTTCATTGTTAGGTGGCCGCATTCCTATACGTAGTTTCTAATAGGTTAAAAAAAAAAATCCTGTGAACCAGGTAGAAAATAAACATACATGTAGAGAAGGACTAATGACACAACAAATAATGGCAGTTGGAGAATCACAAGAAATGGTAAACTCTGCCTGTAGTAACTGCTCAAATTGCCAAAAAAATACTTGAGACTAGACAGACCTATTCTCATATACCCACTTATTTTCCTCCCTAAATGTTCACTTAGAAATTACCTAGTTTTTGTCTTAGCAGTCAGCTTTCCAGAGAGTTGATTTGACTGAAGCAAATTCTTGGCTACTAGAGATCTTTGCCTGTGGGAGATTTGAGTGGTGTCAGATTGTAAACTTTTCTGGAGCCTGCCTCTGGAGTTGTTCCACCTCCACGCCACCCCACCACGTGCCCCATGACCCTGTCCACAGAGAGCTTGCGCCCTGGCCACAAGCAGCCTGCACTCGCCTTACAGTTACTTCCTTTGTTCTCATGGTCTTTCTTGTTTTGCTCCCTGGAGTCTGCTGTCCTCTCAGCCCCATTCTCCCTGTGCCTTCATTGCTTGGCCAGAGCCATGGTGCTGCGTATATTTATGCAGAGTTCTCCCATTGTTAACACTGCTTTGCTTTCTCTGCTACAATGATATGATTTAGCATAATGTTTTAGGCTCTAAATTGGATGATTCTGTGTTCTATTATCAGCTTTTTGCATTAGGTACTTTAAATTAGGAACACCTGCTTTTTGAAAAACCACACTGGTGAGGTCCTCCCATGATTGCTCAAGCAAATGCTAGAATGAGAGAACTGGGAATAGACGGTAGTAAGCAAAATGAAACCGGGAATTTCAACCTCCCTATGATATTGTTAGAATCACAGTAGGGGAAAGGAGAAGAGTCTACATATGATGAGTTGTAGCAGTCTCTTTAGAATGACATCAGATCCTGTGTCTGTAGAGAGAAACTGGAAGGAAAAGATAACCAGATGGGAGAAAAACACAAGGAGAGAAATGCAAGCAGGTCTGAGAAGTGGAACAAAATGCATTGGGGAGCAAGATGTCAGTGAAAAGGAAGTGAGGAGCAGGGAGGATTCCTAGGCATGGAAGATATGGCCCCAGAAGACAAATGAAGGTCAGGTACTAGGATGGTTTTCAGTCCTTTCGAAGCCTTGAGAGACACCCCTCCAGATAGCCACCATTAAGGTGAAGCAGCGGCCTGGGTGTGAAGCCTTGCAAGCTTCATAGAAATGAGGGTTGGTGGCAGAGCCAGAAAGAAGAGACAGCACAAAGTAACCAGCCCCCCTTCCTTTCCTTCATCCTTCCCTCTGTCTTTCTCTACACGTTTATTGGCCATCTTTAGGGCGTTCAGCTTTATTTTAGTCATTGGATATTCAAAGTTGAATAAGACAGGAAGAACCTTGGCAGCCTCTCCAGGGATTTTAGCCCTTCGGCCAATCCCACTTTATAAAGCCACCTATAAAGCGCTGCTTTATAGGTGGCTTTCCTCTATCAGCTGTTAACCTTATCCTTAGAATCCAAGGCTTCTCGCAGCACTCTGCGTGGGAGGGACAAGAAACCTGATGAAGTGCTCTTTTATCCTGGCTCCCCAGGCAAATGTGACAATTTGTACAACCTCCACTTGGGTAGGTTTATTTTCTTAAGAGCTGTGAGTGGCTGGGAAAATCCCAAGGACTGAAAAAAATGTCTGTGTTACCCAGATCACTTTTTTTGTAAAGTAGGTTGTAACTTCCTAGATGAGAATCTGGACTAGTAAAGTAGGCTGGTTGGGGTTTTTAAACTTCGTGGCTCAGGTGTAGAGAAAGCCTTGGTGACTTTTCTTCCAAATCCTCTTCTCATTGGCCTGACCACCTGAGCTATTATTCTTGATGCCCTTAGCAAATACGGTCTGACCTTTTTTCTCATCCCATCTCTACCTAATACTTTGACTCCAAAAATAAAAAATCAGAGTCTTAAAATGAACCTCCACTATGTTAGGTATATGGTAAAGCTCTTCCAAACAGATACCTCTGAAGAGACATTTGTGATATTTCAGCCCTGGCTAAATGGAATTTAATTTTAGCTCCAGCTGTGAAACTGTATTCACAGCTGTGAATACTGTGTTCAGTATTAACACAACATCATTGAGCGCCCACTATGTGCCAGGCAGCAAATAAAAAGTCATTTCTTACAGCCAAGGAGCCAGCAATGTAGTGAAAAGGGACAGACATGAAAATAGATCATTTCAAAATGGTGAGGGGAATGTTAAGATGGGGATGGGCATAGGGCATCACAGAAGCACGGCGGCAGGGGCCTAACTTCGTTGACATGAGCTTTCTGGAGCTGTGGTGGCATCTTCCAAGAGAAGGGGTGGAAGGGCATCTGTGCCAATGGAACAATCTGAGAGAATGCTCAAAATCTTGAAAGAATGTGATGCATTTGGGGGGAGACAGATACTAAATATTGCTATGGTGTATAAGCTAGGAATAATGGGAGATGAGGTTTACTGCGCTAATAAACAGAATTGTGATTTAGGAGATTTTAAAAGTTGCACAACTAAGACCAAAGTCTTAGAATTTTATAAACAACTTTTTAAATATAATTTTCATATTTTAAGCTATTTATCAGAAACTTTATTAAGTACTCCTACAGTGTAACTTTGTTGGCCTTGCTTTTGAGTTGACATTCATATTTGGAAGAAATAGAACTTTTTTATAATTTGGTCTTTTGACAGGCTTACTCATAATCTTCTGAATAAGTGATGACTTCGAGCCTCACCTCACTTCTCATTTCTTTCACACCCATTGATTTTTTTTCCTTCTTTCATCTAATCTCAATTTCACCTTTCAACTTTCTAAGCAAATTATGATTCCTTTATTTCCTTGTTCAGGTAACTTCCAAAACTTTAGTGAGTGGAGCCCAATAAATTAGAATTTACTCTGAAATAGCAGTTTTTATATTTTATTTTGCCTTCACCTCTCAGTACTCCATTGCTGTGGAAGATACAAATAGAGATGCACCATTATCATATCAGGGAATGAATGAATGCTGCCATAATAAATGTAGTAATATGTATAATATTTAATACTTGTTGGCTTTCAGTTCACTAACTTGAAGCACTTCTGAAGCCATGTTTCCATGGGTTCTTTCAGTGTCTACATTGTTTATTGTGTGCCTAAGTATTTTTTTTCTTCTGCAGTTGATCTTTAAATTTAAGCTCCTATAGGACATGAACTGTGAGGTGCAGGAATTTGGATTATATAAAAGGAAGATTTTGGACAAATTGTTATTCACTGACATGGCTTATCATGAAAGATTTTCCACTGCCCATTTTACCTTTCAGTAAATTCAATACTGATAGGTACTATATGAAGTGGGCTATTACATAGTAATATGTATGGGCAATAGCAGAGGGAATGATAGTGAATTCCCATGAACAAAAGCATTTTCTATTAAAGTCTATTCTGTCTATACTCAAAGCCTAAATATTCTGTCTAATACTCAAAGTCTATTCTGGTTGCTGTCCTTTCTCTTGGTAACTGTAGTACATTAATTTTAAAAGTAGGCCTGTGTATTTCAAACTTGAGACATGATTTTTGTTTCTACTTAAGTAGTCATGCCTTATACCATTGATGAAAATGAAGCCAAATATGTTGCTTTCTCTAAAGCAGAGAGTAAGAGGGTTTTGCTGGGTGGAGATGGCCTTCAGATTGGTTAATTTTGCTATTTCTTCATGCTGAAGGGAAATCATGATGTTAAGAAGCTCAATGTCAGAAAAAGAGGGAGGCAACTTGCGGCTTAGGTTCCTCCCACTACTAAAGAAAGTGCAGCTGCGCGCTTTTAATATGCACGGCAGGAGACTTCAGCAGCTTGATGATATATAGTGCATTAATGTTGAAAAGATAAACACATTTGGAGAGCACAGGAAGGGCCTTGTGTTTTTATGTTAGCAGAATGCTTCCTAATGAATAAGAATGTGCTGCTGGCTTCACAAAGCCATATGGCAGCTTTTCTAATTTTAGTTGGGTGCAGATGCATAATTCTCTCATTTTACCTTCTAGAACCTTGGAGATGCTACATAACTTTTCCTGTAATATTTCATCTATAGTGCTTGGTCAGAAACTGCCCATCATTGTTTCAGTGACTTCTTTGCTCTGCGTAGGTCTCACTGCTGCTGGGTTTGACAGTCACTTCACCTGAAACATCCAGTTCCTTAATGCAGGAAAACATAGAAATTGTGGATGTTTTCCCATTAGAATCTTCAAATTTGTTGTGGAGGTAATTAGACTTGTGTTTGACGTCAGTCTACTGAAAAATTCGTAGATTTCTAGGTGAGTGATTTTACTCACTTTGAAGCAGAGGAATTAATTATAAAACCTACACAAAGTATCAGATTCCATTTTAGTCAGAGATTCTATCTAATTTAAATAATACAGCTTCTGTAAAAACAACTCTCCTCAGGCTTGACCAAACAGAAAGATAACCTAAATTCTTAATTGTCTTTACACATCAGGGATCTGTAAACATGGGCAGTCTTAAAATGTCTCTATATATGTGTACATACCCTGTGGATTATCTCTCAGTAGATGCATTATTACAGAGTGAGTGACATTGTTTGGATTCTGACTTTTTGAAGATAGACTAATTTCTGCGCGTTTTCTACAACCTCTTCAGATGATCCCCAAAAAAGGAAAAAGCAAGAGTATCAACTTCTACCATAATGACAGTGTCACCCTGTCCCTATAATGGGAGACATTTAATAGCATTTAGGTTTCTAAGTAATCAGTAGTGGTTGCCACTGCTGCTGCTGGAGTTAGAACAATTACGTGGCTGTCCCTTGAGCATGACTGCCACCCCAGTGAAGGGATAGAACTCTGTTCTGGTAATGCTTTGTGGAAAGACTCTCTGAATTTGTAATCTCAGTTCAGTTGCCTAATAAAAAATTGATTAAGAGTACCTAATACTATGAGATTAAGTAAGCTACCAAAATTAATAAATGATACTTCAGAAGATTATGTAAAGGCCTTTTTTTAAAACATCACTTGATAATTTAAAAATGTTTAATTGTACTTTTTTAAAAATAAATTTTTTGCTAGGATCAGTTTCTAATTTATTGTTCTCACCAGAAGACTGGAATTTTACTTTCAGTTTATGCATGGAGCTGAGCATGGTGGCATTTGCCAATAATCTCAGCAACTTAGGAGGCTGAGTCAGGAGGATTGCTTAAGACCAAGAGTTCAAGGCTGTAGTGTGTGATGATCACACCTGTGAATAGCCACTGCACTCCAGCCTGGTGACATAGTGGGATGCTGTCTCTAAAAATAAACAAATAAATAAATAACAGATTTATGCCTGTACATGCCAATGAGCAATTTAATACAGCTGCTTCAAAAAATAAATATTTTTTCCTTGTATTTTCAAATCACTTATATTTCTAGGATCAGATTCTTCCCTGTTCACCTTTTCTTTTGTTCTAAGAGAAAGCACGAATAATAATTACTTATAAAAAAACCTATGGAATATAATATTAATGATTTTTCCCCAGTTTGTGGTATGACTCATCTTAACATGGTCCCTGAAGAGATGGGGTTTTGTTCTTCGCTTTGAAAGTGGAAATCTAATTAATTGGTGTTGGATTTCTGGAGCGCGGGCAAATGGAGAAGGAGATTGTGAGGGATTGCTGTTCAAGCAGCCACCCAGGAGGAAAAGGCGAGTCAGAGAAAAATTATAGAGGCATCCTTGGATGATCTCTCCAATCAGGTTTTGCATTTGTAAAACTGGGCGCTATTAAAAAGATCATAGCTACTTCCTACTGATCAGATCTAAAAAGATCAGAGATATTTTATGATTTCTTTAAGTCTTTTGTGAGTGAGGAAGACAAGGATAGAATTAGTATTTTCATTGTTACTTTCTTAGGTCGTGGTCTTTATCTAAAAAGAAAAACTGTGGGGATTGGGCATGGTGGTTCATGCCTGTAATCCCAGCACTTTGGGAGGCCAAGGCGAGAAGATTGCTTGAGCCCAGGAGTTCAAGACCAGCCTGGGCAACAGAGTGAAACCCTGTCTCTACAAAAACAAAAACAAAAATTTAATAAAATAAAAAGAATAACTTTAATGGTAAAAGCGTAGCAGGAAGAAATAATGAAGTCAGGGCTTAGAAGAAATATTCTAGTAGTCTCTGAAAATTTGATTTTATCATCTCTTTCTCTGATTTAAAAAGATTTCCATCTGTAATAATGAGATTTCATAAGGTTTTGATCATATGAAACTCTGAGACGAGCTTTCTACTGTTGAGTTTACTGAAGGATATTTTTGTAACAGAATATATTTTTATGGTTAATGGATGCAAAAGATAGAAAAGTAAATATAGTTTGTGACCGCTGAGAAAACTGCCTTATTTAAAAATATTTAATAGTGTGTTTTAGTGTAGTAATGCTGTACTTACAGAAGTATAAATATCTAAGGATTTAAGCTTATTTATATCTGGTACATAAAAATAGCATACTCATTACTGAAATGCTCTGTCAAGATACCAGTATATGTCCGGTTAACATAATAGTATCTCTCTAAAGAGTCCTTTTCTTTTTCCTCCTCCCTTCCTCCCTTCTTTTCCTCCTCCGGTATAATATCAAGGCTCAACTGAACATTCAACAGAGGTAGTAATTACTTCATGAAAAGTACCCAAATAACATAAATTTAGGGCCACTTTAATTTAGATTCCGATTACATTGGTAAAGCCATATTTCTGAGTGTTTTCTATCACTTCATATTATTGATTTTTTTCTTTTTAATATTGAGAAATGGTCAAAGCACAAATTCAATACAGAATTAAAGAATAGATGACAAATTAGCTAGAAAATACATATGTTTCATTCTTGTGAGAATAAGAGTAAGCTCTGAATTCTTCACCCTTTTTTCTTTTATTAATGAGGAATAAAAATTTCTCATTCTCTTAATATATATAAATAGCATTTGTGTAAATATTGCAACACTTTTTAAAGCTTCTCTTGCAATTAACCTATAGAGTCATTTGGAATTTTCTTTCAAATCACAATTTCCACTAATATAAGTTTAGATTGATCTTGTGAACAACTTTGTTGTTTTATTTTCTGTCTGAGTTTGCTAGAGTTCCAGCTTAGATCAATGTTTCGCCAGTGTTCCTTACCATGGGCTTTCAAACCAGGCTGAGATTTTGTAGTGGCCCGATGCCAGCCACACATCCGTCTCCACCTGTTTTCTTGCTGTCCACTTGCATATCCTGCAGAATCCAATTCGGTTACAACAAATGTGAAATACTTTCAGCTATGTCCAGCCATTTCCATCCCTTTTTTTGAACTGAGGGCTTGCTGTTTAGCCCTATGTTGTGCTCATTTGGTTGGGTTGTATACTTTTGCCCTCCTGGACAGAGGGTGAGCCCTCGGCAGACGAGGATTTTTCACTTTGCTTCCCCTGCACAGACAGTGCAGGCCACAGACCAGACACACAGACATAGGCTACTCTGCCCATCCCAGTGTCACTGTTCCATTCCCTCATGTGGGCTCACATAGGCCACTCATTCTCCATTACTGGTGTTAGCTACTGCTTTCTTCCTCTTAAATATTTATCAGTTGACTATTTTAAAGAATAAAACAGCATGTTTTGCATTTATAAGTAATGTTTCAGGGTAATAATTATTTTTATCCAGGCTTTCCTCCAGTTGTTCCTCAAACACATGTTTTGTGAGATCCAAATCATCTCCCAATTTAAATTGTAGGCCCTTACCCCAAATTATATCTGATAAATTCCTAAAAATAAAATACTGTACATATTTGATCCTGATTCTACATAACCTCTGACAAAAGTCTAAAATTCTTTGCCTGAGCACATTGCTAGAATTTAGAATACCCAGGCATGAAGACTTAGCAGTGTTGAGGAACCTGCCTGATTGAGTTATCTAAGTGTAAGGTTTTTGTATCACACAGAATGTCGATGGCTGAATTTAGATCCTCAGAAAGATTATCATACCCTGATAATATAAACATCTCACAAGGCCTACTTATTGTCTTTAAAAGGCCTAGAAATGGGTTACTATCACAAACATCATTATTTTGTATTTATTTTGCCCAAAAATGCAACATTAGTATAGATACCATAGGAAACAATAATTCATTACTATTGTGATATCAGAATCTCATGTGCCAAATAGGCTGATGTTTTCTAGTGATCAGCGATAGGCACAGGGTTGCCTTTGTGATTGGGCAGCTGTTGTTTCCTCTCACTCTCTCCCGCAACATTAACCTAAATTAAATTCATTCTTAAAAAGAATAAAATAGGACTTGGATCCTGAGAGAATAATAGGACTTGGGATCCTGAGAGAATATGAGATGCCTTGAAACTTCTTGACTATAGCAAGATAAGATTGTTATTTAAGACCAGTTTTTAGGAAACCCTTTCCCATATTACTTGACCCTGTCCACCTATTCTATCTTCCTCCTCTACCCTGGAGGTCCTGTGAGGCAAAAGGGGAAAATTACTTTATCTTTCCACACACCCTCGATCCCACTTGCTCCCATGCTTCTGGGAGGAAGTGCTGGTGGTGGGTCTAGCCTTTCAGTCAGCCCCCATAGATGCAGTGAAAACCTGGTCTGAAATAGGGACGGTGCTATTGAGGATCCAGACACAGTTCAAAAAGCTTACCTTCAAGTCGGGTAGCCTACTCTTTTGTGGACTGTGTGTCACACTGTAGGAGGCAGGAGAATGGGGATATCCTCCTAGGAAGATGTATCAGAATCTCAGCAAAGCAGACCTTTCAAGCTGTCTGTGTGTTCCCACTGCACATTCTGATAGACCCCCCTCCAGGGAGGTTGTCTTCTCATGTTTACCATTGCATTTTGAGAATCACTGCTGCTACTGAAAGATGGGAGAATGTGACCCCTGATGCGACCCCTGTGAATAGTTAGGCGAAGGAAAGGCTGCAGATCAGTCAGTCTGTGGGATGTCAGCACATTGCTCCTGCATGTGGACTGCTGCAACACTGAAGACAATAAAGAAGTAAGAATGCAGTAGGACCACATAAATTATGACATGTTTTATATGGGCCTTGAGATTTAGTATTCATGAAACATAGGGATCCTTAGGTCTGAGGCACACTGGGGCCTCTACAACAAGGACTGTTAAGGGAGGTACACACCCTGTCCACATCCAAGAAGACCCCACAGAGTGTGGTGTGGATGGAGGTGCTCAAGGAAAATCCAGCATAGCTACTGTAGCAAGATGGCCCTTGAAAATTAGATGAAGCAGCAGGTAGCAGTACAAATCCTATTCCTGTACTGGTGGGTAGAAAAGTGAGCAGATCTTGAGGAGAAATCAACATTCTTAGAGAGTGAACTGCCAAAAAAATTAAAAAGTATGCCCCAGTGCACATTTATTTTACTGTGAGTCTATTTGGCAATGAAAAAGATTCCAGTAAAAGGGGGTGGGGGCGGTCACATGCAATAATTGGCCAAGCCAATCCTGTGGCTGGAGACCCTGAGGTATTTGCCGCCTCAGAAGGGACCGGCTGAGGAATTGGAATGAGACCAAGCCTGCAGACAGAACAAATGTACAGGACCCAGCAGTGAGGAGCTTGGGAAGGCAGCAAAGCCAGAAATGAAGCAAGGACTGACAAATCCACCAATATTGAGTTATGAAGGCTACCAGACAAGTCATATCTCTATTTATAGGCAGTCACAATTTTTTCGATCTAAAGAGGTGAATCAGGAATATATTAGAGAGTTGATAAAGCAGATACAGTCTGCTTATGATAAGCTCTGCAGAGAAATTACTACATTTGGAACTCAAGGAAGAACTAATCAATACAGATATGCTAGTATTAAGATACATTTGTAAACTTCTTTGTATTTTTAAAGAGTGTTTCACATACCATCCCATTTACTTTGGCTCAGTCCATGATATACGGGAGACAGGTAAATTGAAGCAACTTGCTTGAAGTCATACTTCTTAGTGACTGAGTTTGAGCTTGAACTGCACAGGTCATCCTCCCCTCTGTGAAAGCTTTGTCATGGGAATGGCAAGATTGGGAGGACCCACATCATTCCTAATTGTTTTCTAGGTTCTCAGCCATAAATTAGGCTTTACAGATTTTCAACATACTGTATAAAATATTTTTGACAAAAAAAAAAAAATTATTAAGGTTCTGAAAGCAGGTTAATTCTGAGTGCTAAATTGATTTACAGTTTTCTATTTCTACGTTTAATTACAACGATAACATGCAGTGTAAACAGGATATAATTTATTCAAGTACAAATAATTGTCACGTTGTTTTGTGTTGTTTTCTAGCAAGTTGTTGATATGTATGTGTTATGCTGTAAACTTTTTTTGGTGTTCTTGAAATAACTACTTTACCACATACGTTGATAAGTGTGCATCTTTTTCTTCTGTGAGCTTTTTCACAAAACATTCTCATTCTATGAAGAAATGTCTTCCGGGGCCTTCCTGTCTTCATGAGCCTAAAATTTGCCTTGCACGTTTCCATCCAGGAGCGCACGCTACGCGCCTTTCTGCTAGATCAGAGGGCAGCCATTGAAATTCCCCAAGTGCCTGGTAGGGTGCTTCTAACCTCTTAGATGGAGAAGCACTTTGAACAAGTCAGGGACCAAATCTTCCTGTCCACTTTAAATGGGAATGTAAGCAGAAGTGGAACAGTAAAAGAGTCCAGGCAGACATTGCAGAATGTCTCATGGGGGCAGCCATAGCAGTTTAGGAGTCCTTGTTACTTCTTCAAATGTGTGCAAATCTATCTGTGATTATGCTACCAAATTCTGAACAACAGACCTTCCTTTATCCTAGTTTGGGGAATCTCCTGAGTAGAAATTAATTGTGCCATAGAATATAGCAGTTTCATAATCTAGAAAAAAATGCCTGTTGGGGACTGTCATGAAACCTCAAAATTCATTTTCTGGGCAGCCTGAAAGTGGATCCAAGCCACAGGTTCTAGAGGTGAAAAGTTAATGTTCTGGCTTCTGCTTCCAGCAGTTTCTCCCATTTAGGGGCAACAGGGATGTACTGTAACTCTTTTGTAGCTGCATCTGATCCCACTAGAGATTTTTAAAAATCATTACAGTAAAAACATTTCTGTGTCACTCTGTCCTTGAAATAGCACTGCCATTTAATTCACACTTATGTTTATTGCAGAGAAAGCAGCAGCTGCCAACATAGATGAAGTGCAGAAGTCAGATGTATCCTCTACAGGGCAGGGTGTCATCGACAAGGATGCGCTGGGGCCTATGATGCTTGAGGTAGCACATCTTCATTTTAGTGCTGTATTTTAAAATCTTGTTGATCTTCACATTATTACATTTAATTTCAGGTGAATATAATTTAAGGAGAATCCACACTAGTACTAGTACTATGGACCTCTTGAGCTTGCTGATATGCCTGTGTGTCTCTATGTATGTTTTGGCTCCTGCTGCCAGTATATGTGTGTTTGAAATTAACATAGAATTAAATTAACTAGATTAGAGTAGACATTGACAAGTTGTAATTGCCAGTTGAGCATTTATTTGAGAAACTGTATTCACAAGTCCTACTAAATTCTGTGTTGTATTTTAGCTTGAAATGTTCTCAAAATTCTTAAATTTTGTACATGCCATGTACAAATGCCTATACATACAGGTTAAAATATGAGGACCAAGGAGGAGCTTTATGCTTTCTATTTATGCTATTTGAAACTAGCTTATTTATCTCATAAGGAAGAAAACTGAAATAATAGGCAAAAGGAACTTTTAAGAGAAGCATAAGGTTGGTCTTAACTACCTGTTGTTTATTAACTTCAGGAAGCTTTATGACCAGCTAATGTCTACAGTTTGTAAAGTACAGTTTTTCTATTTTATTAACTAGTACTAAACGCCAAGTGCTTTGCTGTACCTGTTCCAAAATTAAAATTCAAGATGTAGGTTATGGTAAGATGAGAAAAAAAAATGTCAGTGAATATATAACAAGAAACAGAGGAACCCTGAGACATAAATTATGTCAGTTCTCAGGATAATTTGCTCGGCTGATGATACGATGAGGTTGAAAAGACTGCATGGCCAGAAGCTTTGCAGCACTGCCATTGTAGAATCAGCTAGCTTGCTGCAGCAGACAATAATTAGTATTTTTAAAACAGAGATAACCAATAGTCCCCCTTATCTCTTTTTTTTCAGTTGATGCTTAAAGGGATTTTTATTTTTAGAAAATCTAATTCTATGAAAATCTACCATAAAATTGGGGGCAGGGCGGAGGGGGGGCACACAATAAAGACTCCAAGAGCATCTGACCCAGTCTTTGTATTTAGAAATGACAAACTTCATTTCCTGGGGCTGGACCTGCTGGCCAAAAGGCTTTAAATGTCCCAGTGTTGGCCCTTGCTTATCTCCTCTAGAATCACTGGCTTGAAAACATTCAGCCTCCCTTTCCAGGAGAAAAGCAAAAACACACTTAACCCAATTTTCCATAGTCAACAAGGCAATGGAAGGCCAGAGAGTGCTACTTCTCTCTGGGTTCTTAGAAGCAGATTATGAAAACTATAACTAGGTGGACCATTTAGAATTAAATGAAAGAAACTGGATAATTTCCTTTGGAAAATGTTTGAATTACAAATTAAAAACTGATTTGAAAATTATGTTAACTAAATTATTACAATTGGGAAATTTCCCTATACATGTGTTTATTCATTGTATCTTGGGGTGGGGGGAACATTAGAGTGGCAACTCCTGGGAAGACTTTTGATACTTCTAAATAGAAATGCTGGGAATAACAGAGCTGGGACTCAAGCCCTTTGAGACTGAGTTCATTAATTGTAGAAATCAGATTGCTAGATGTCAGTAGACCTGATGTCATAAAATCAAACCAACATTTTTGTCATTCAGAATAGTCTTCTGAGAATTTAGTGCATTGATCAAGAACCTGTGTAGCAGGACTTGAGTGTTAAATGTGTTAGAGAGGTTATTCTTAAATCTGGTGACTTATGGTTTGAATTTAAATTTTTGTCCCTGTTTACGTGTAATCACTTAAACAGAGAGAACATGTTCTCATGGAGCTGTTCCTAGGCATAGATGCACACTCATGCTTACATCATAGCATAGTGGTTGCTAGGCAACAAAACCAAATGTCAGCTTTTTTCATCAGAGCATATCATAGTGAGCCTTAAAAAAAACACAGCTTTATGAGAGGAAACAATTTCGTCTTTCAGTTTTATTATACCTCAAGTCAGTCTTTTTACTGTGGTATAAGCAGTAGGAAGCAACATGTACTTTTAAAAATGAACCATAGGTAATATGATTATGAAAATCCCTATCAAAGGGTGTATCCAAAGCAGTGAGTTGAAAAGGGACACTGGGCATGTAACTTATCACCTAACCTCCTGAGTGCACACACTTGCACACAGTTCTCAAGGTTAGTACCATGTATTATGAAAGGCTATTTATTTACATATAGTCTTGCTTTGTCCTGCATGTGGTTCATACAATTGAGAAAACCTGATAGAATGTTTTAAGAAAAACTTAAAAACCAAATGGGTGAACCTTTCTCTGGTGCCTTATGGTCAGTTCTAATTTGAGAGAGCACTTAGTTTTGTGATTAAAATAGAATTAAAGATGAAATATATTCAAAGATAGCTCATAAAATAGGAGCCTGTTTAATAACATAAGGGAAAAACAAACTAGGGAAAAAGTAAACACTTCAGGCCCCATCCACCAAATTCATTGTTGTATGTGTATACATGTGACATTCATGTTAAAAATAGTAATAAACTTGCTGGGCATAGTGGCTCATGCCTATAATCCCAGCACTTTGGGATTACAGAGTGGTGGGAGGATCACTTGAGGCCGAGAGTTTGAGACCAGCCTGGGCAGCATAGTGAGTTCCTTTCTCTACAGAAAATTTAAAAAGACTGGCGCACTGGCTCATGCCTGTAATTTCACCCCTTTGTGAGGCTGAGACAAGGAGGATCACTTGGACCCAGGAGTTCAAGACCAGCTTGGGCAACACAGGGAGACCCCATCATTACAAAAATAAAAAAATTAGTCAAGTTTGTAATGGTACATGCCTGTAGTTCCAGCTACTTGGTAGGCTGAGGTGGGAGGATCACTTGGGCCCAGGAGGTGAAGGCTGCAGTGAGCCATGATCATGCCATTGCACCCCAGCCTATGCAACAGAGTGAGACTGTGTCTCAAAAAATAAAAAATATCTGGGTGTGGTGGTGCATACCTGTGATCCTAGCTACTCAGGAGGCTGAGGTGGGAGGATAGCTTGAGCCCAGGAGTTCAAGGCTGCAGTGAGCTATGATCGTGCCACTGTACTCCAGGCTGGGCGGAGAGCAAGACCTTGTCTCCAAAAAAGATAAAATTGTAATAAACACATATCACAAAGAAACTGACTAGACCCCATGGCCCTGGTCCCAGGTATGATGAATCAATGTAAAGCTTTCAGTCCTGATCACTCACGTGATCCATAAAACAGAGCTTTGATAAGCAAGGGTCAAAAAGAGAAAAATGGGGTAATGTAACCAGGAGAAACTAAACCCCCAACATTTCCATCACCAAGGTAAACATGATGGGAAGTGGATTAGGGGTGAATGAATATTAGAGTAGAGGACTGTACTGAATGGTCATCAAAGCATGAGCTTTGGAATCTGATCCTTCTGGATTCACATTCAAGCTGTACTACCACTGACTAGTTCTGAGACTTTAACCTCTTTGAGCCTCAGTTTCCTCCTCTGTAAATTGGGAAAGATAAAAGATTCCTTCCAGGAGGTACTTGTAAGGCACAGTGAACATGCTCCACAGCCACTGTTATTATCTCAACTTCCTGAAATGATCCTAGATTCTTTATCTCCTTCCCTTACCTCCGTTGGGATGACAACAAAAAGTGAGGCTGTGAACTCATTACCGGAAGCGTGCTACTGTTATTTGGGTAATTTAGGAACCTGCATCTTAATCTGGAGAACAAGTAACATAGAATAATTTGACATAATTAGTGCCCTTCTAAGGTCAGGGCAATGCTGAGGTCCCCATGAAGGTGAGTTTGCCACATCAGAGACACTTCCGAGACCCTTTCCCATATACACCAAGTAATAAAGGATTGATGTTTCTTTAAAGGTCTGAAATTATCTGTGATGTTTTTCATATAATCCGTGACAGCTAGGTGGTAAAATTCAGGAAGGTTTTCCTGGTAATTATCCTTAAACTGGGGAAAAATTATGACCCCTTTCTCTCATTGTATAACATGACAAACTATAGATCAAAATTACCTTGCATTAGGTTGATGACATAAAAGTTGTTCTTGGCCCCGTGGAGTATGTCAGTCTCATTTTGAAAATACAGATGAATGTCTGTACACTTTTACTTCACGGTAATTATCTCCTGATAAATTAATGGAGTTAGTGTTGGTCGTTTAGTTTGTGACAAGAAACCCTAGTCTAGGCTCTCTCTCCCACTTACTAAGATGGAATAATTTCTATTTCACCAAGAGAAAATGTGTTAATTGTTCCTGAAAACTGGGAGAGGGCTGAGAAAGATCTCTTTTCTATCTGTGTGTGAATTGTGTTTCCTTGAAAGGGATCATTCCCTTCTTAACAATTGCATGTGATGTTATGTTGCATCCTTTCTAACACAATTTGTACTTTGTTCCCTAGGCCCTTGATGGGTTCTTCTTTGTAGTGAACCTGGAAGGCAACGTTGTGTTTGTGTCAGAGAATGTGACACAGTATCTAAGGTATAACCAAGAAGAGCTGATGAACAAAAGTGTATATAGCATCTTGCATGTTGGGGACCACACGGAATTTGTCAAAAACCTGCTGCCAAAGTCTATAGGTAAATGTCTGCTGGGTCTCCCTCCCTACCTCCCGTCACCCCCACCTGCCCTGCCTCATACACACAGTGTCTTGGTTGAAGTGGATCAAATAAAACTATATTATATCAGATGGGGAGGAGAGTGACTGGGTAGTTTTTTACAGATGCTTGTGTGTTTAAGCTTAAAAGTCATGGAAAAGGGGGCATCTTCAGATACTGATCTCAAATGAGTGATCATTTTCGATCCTATATTTAAAGTACGTGAAAATCATTGCTTCTTAGCCAAAAGGCCAAGAAGTGATGATGATGATGATGATGATGATGATGATGATTTTGCTTGGCAGTAATTACCTCATGATAAATGAACAGAAATTGATTCAGATTCATGAAAATGATTCAGATGGAAAGTACTTATATGGCAACTATTTTCATTAAGATTGTTGTATTTTTTTTAATTTTTTATTTTTGTGCATACATAGTAGGTGTATATATTTATGGGGTACATGAGGTGTTTTGATACAGACATGCAGTGTGAAATAGTCACATCATGGAGATGGGGTATTTATCCCCTTGAGCATCTGTCCTTTGTGCTATAATGCAGAGATTGTTTTTTTAAGGTGACACATTGCCTCACCCTGTTCCATGCTAGCCAACTTTGTTTTGTCCATTTTCTCCATGACCATCTGAAAAGTCAAAGGTCATGAGAAGTTTGAGATTCAGCGTATTTTGAGTCCTGCACATGAAGCATATTATAGGTGTGTACACATTCTAAAAATAAAATGTTAAGGAACAAGTGGCAGATGGAGAGGTTCAGATGCTATAGCCCAAGCCCTGAATGGGCTCTTCGGTCTTGCAGACTCTCCAGTGGGCCCTGTAGGTGTGATCACCAGATGCCGCTGCCTTAGCCTACTCTCCCTGTCTGGAATTTCCTGACTTCATCTTATTTTGGAGATGTCGTCCGAGTACGTGATGATTAAGGACACACTGTGCAGTGGGTGATTCACAGCGTGGGCCCACCTTAGCTGCTGCTCTAGAGTACTGCTGTTCCCACTCACTAAGTGATTCTTTTTTTAATATTCTCAAATTGATGATGCTAAGAACATCTTCACGGATTGAAGGAAGTGCAAAATAAGGTCAAATCCTGAGTTGGCAAGTACTTCTGTTCTTAAGATTGTTTATACTAGCTGGTCTTATTGTTGTAATAAGTAGGAAAAGGTCCTTTTCAAATTTCATTCGGGCTAGCTTTTCCTTTATGTGATAATTCTTTGTTCAAAGTGACTATAACAGTGATACAAAATGTATGAATACTTGTGTAGGATTCCTTTATTATATTCTCTAGTAAATTAAGAAAATGGGATTTCTTATTTCAAGTAACTAATATTTTCAGATCTCTTCAGTAGTTTTATGACTTCCTTAAAAGACTTCTACTTATTAATTCACTATTATTAATTCACTTGTCTAAAGAGCTCTTTGCCTTACTTTATATTGTATCCTTTTAACTTTCAACTTATTAATCTGACTTAATAAGAACTCTTTTTCCCTTCAGTTGACTACTCTGTGTAGTCTTTATTTTGTAAATAAGCTTTTCAAAATGCTGATACTGGCTGGGCTCAGTGGCTCACCCGTGTAATCCCAGCACTTTGGGAGGCCAAGGCTGGTGGATCGCTTGAGGTCAGGAGTTCAAGACCAGCCTGGCCAACATGGCAAAACCCTGCCTCCACTAAAAAATACAAAACATTAGCCAGGCATGGTGGCTCGTGCCTGTAATCCCAGCTTCTCCAGAGGCTGAGGCATGAGAATCCCTTGAGCCCAGGAGGTGGAGATTTCAGTGAGCCAAGATCACGCCACTGCACTCCAGCCTTGGTGACAGAGACTCTGTCTCAAAAAAGTAATAATAATAAAATAAAATGCTGATGCTGAAATAAACTTCCCAAATGTCTGCAAAAACATAAAAAGCTAGTTATGGGTTTTTCTGTAATTTTCAAATAATTTCTTACAGCTAACTTTTTCCTTTCGAGGGTTTGTTTCCTTTCTCATTCTACAGCCCAGTGGCCATGGGCTCTTTGGGTTCACTGGGCCATTCATGGGCCATTGGATTCGCTGTAACACCTACATGTCCTTCTCCATTTTCTTTAGCTGATGACTGGAGAATATATTAGTTTTCTTATGACTCACCCTTTTTTTGATCTCCTGTTCTATTGTCCTACTGTCCCCAGTATATTTTAGATAAAGCATAAGGAATGATATAGAAAAGAACACCAAAATGAGAATTAGGATTGATTCTGATTCCAACTTTTCTAGTAGTTGAACATGTCTTTGGACATCAGATTTTTTTTATGTGTCAAATGAGGAAGTTAACCTGGTAAAATCCATAAACACCCTTTAATTCTCAAAATCAGTCATTGTTTTATTTCTTTCATTGTTATCTCTAATGCATTTCAAAAATAATTGTTGTCTTTCCTCTCTTTCATTGTCTCATTCTTAAATATATACTTTTTTTAGTTTTAATACTCAAATAGATGTCTGAAGTAGTTAACTTGAAAAGAAATGACATTTGCACTGTATTTTCAAGGATTTTTCAGTCTTATTGAAGAAATGTACATGAAACAATTTAAAAAGACTACCACTGAACAACTTAGGAAAAACAAAGTTATAAACTATATACTAAAGTTTCTGTAAAATTTGAGAAAAGAAAAATCTGCCCAAGGAGGCAGTATGGGGGAGTAGTTAGTAAAGTATTGATTGTAGAGGACCTCAGCCTTAGAGCATGAGTACCTATGGAGAGAGAAACTGAGGCAACCTGATATGTCAGATAGGGTGGCAGCAGGAGCAAGGACATCCATGCGGGCCCGGTATGGTGGAGCATGGGGAGGCTTGTGCAGGGGAATGTGGAAGATCCCGTTAGATGGATGCAATGGAGCTGGTTAGTGAGAGTCTGTGTTAATGGACTTCATCCTCCAGACTACATCAAGTCTAAATCCTCTGAAAGAATTTAACGTGCACTACATTTGGTGCCACTCACAGAATTTTGAGCAGGGCTGACTTATCTAAAATTAGAATGCAAGTAGATTGAACTAAATTTCTAAGAAATCAGTTAGGAAGACGCAAAAGTAGAAAACTATAGTATTCTAGTAACAAATAATCCAGGACTGGACTTGAAGGGAAGGAGTCAGGGTAAAGAAGTAGTGTAGAAAATGTTTTGAAAATCCCAAGATTCCACATGTATTCCAGAACTTGAAGTATAATAAAAGAAAAAAAAATTGGAAAAAAGAAAATCCCAAGATATTCCCAAGTTGTAAAAATGGTAAAGATTTTTCCTCCTCTAGATTATGAAAGTATTTAGACAAGTATAAAAGTAGTACATAAAGATGAAATAATCATATTTTTCCTACATCATTTTAATAATTCAGAGGCAATGAATCTGATGTTTGTTTCTTTGTAAAACTGGATTACTTTTGCCTTGCTCAGTAAATGGGGGATCTTGGTCTGGCGAACCTCCGAGGCGGAACAGCCATACCTTCAATTGTCGGATGCTGGTAAAACCTTTACCTGATTCAGAAGAGGAGGGTCATGATAACCAGGAAGCTCATCAGAAATATGAAACTATGCAGTGCTTCGCTGTCTCTCAACCAAAGTCCATCAAAGAAGAAGGAGAAGGTGGGACAGAATCCCTAGGGTGTTCTGTGTGTCTGTGTATTTATTCCTGTGCTACTTCCTTCACACTTTAATTAGTGGTCACCCAAAGAAAAGTGAGGAGGCAGTATCTTTGTTCTTTTCAATTTTACTGTTTTGTGATGGAAATTTTTAAGTCTTCAGAACAGCACTGTCCAACAGAATTATCTGCAATGGTGGAAGTGACATATCTTCACTGTCTGGTGTGGCAGCCACTAGCCATGTGTGGCTGGTGAGCCTTGAAATGTCAGTAGTGCAGCTAGGGGGCGGGAGTTTTAATTTTTATTAAATTTACGTTTGAATAGCCACATGCAGTTAGCGGCTACTGTACTAGTATAACTGTATTAGTGAGCACACTTTTGAGGGATCCTAGGCTCTTTGAACATCTAGTGCAAGCTGTGAGCCACAGCCCTAGAAAAATGCACAGTTTTCCTGGCACGGTGGCTCACGCCTGTAATCCCAGCACTTTGGGAGACTGAGGCGGGTGGATCACGAGATCAGGAGATCGAGACCATCCTGGCCAACATGGTGAAACCCTGTCTCTACTAAAAGTACAAAAAGTAGCCGGGCGTGGTGGCTGGCATGTGCCTGTAGTCCCAGCTACTCAGGAGGCTGAGGCAGGAGAATCACTTGAACCTGAGAGGCGGAGGTTGCAGTTAGCCAAGATCACGCCATTGCACTCCAGCCTGGGCGACAGAGTGAGACTCCATCTCAGAAAAGAAAAAAGAAAAATGCACACAGTTAAAACAACCTTTTAAATATACTTTCAAGGGGTTAATGGAATCCATGTAGCCTATCCATGGATGCTGGGCCCAGAATTGATAAAATACAATGGTACTAAAGAGAGGATAGAGACAGGAGTGGGGAATGGAGGGGGTTTTAGACTCTAAGCTTATTAGGCTGTTTGCCATAAAGATGTGCTGATGTAGCATTCACTTCCTGAGCCCACTAGGCAAGCCGTCCACACAGCTGAGTGTCACTCTAATACAAGGCAGTGTTGAAGAGTGCATTGTGCGTGGGGAGCAGAAGGGAAAGAGCTGAGGACCACTTGTGACTGAAAACATCCCCGGCTACATAATCAGACAGGCCAACTCCTAATTCAGCTGCTCCCAGCTCTGGGACTTTGGACAGAATCCTTGGCCTTTCTGAGCAACAGTTTATTATCAAGTGAAGTCACCAATACCAGTATCAGAATGTAATAAGGTTTAAATGAATATGCTGAACTGTGGTTGGCATTGAATGCTAGTTATTTAATGCTTATTTTAAAATTTAAATTTTATTGAGAAGGAAATATTAGAGCTGTTAGAGATAATAAACACATAGTATTTCAAAATTAAGTTTTTTGCCTAGGTCAAATGATTTTATTTTGTTTTATGCAGCGGAGTAAGTGCTGCTAATTTATCCATCTGATAATATTCCAAGGCAGTATAAAAAAGGAATAGCTGAGCTAATTTATTACTTTGTGCTTTATAAACATTTTTTGTACATTTAAAAGTACGTTCTATGTTAAGTTAACACAGTATAGCATAAGCACAGGGTTTCTGAGCCATGGCATGCTCAGATTCTAATCCTGGCTTTGCCGAAGGTTTGCGTGACATTGGACAAGTTACTTAAACTTTGTGCTTTGATCTTTTTGTCTGTAAAATGGAAATAATGCTACTACGTGTGTCATAGAGCTGTTAAGAGGATTAAATGAGTTAATAACTCATACAGTAGCTAGAAAGGTGTTTATCTCGTAGTGCCCAAAAATTTAGTTGTTATTTTCTTGAGGACTATAATTGCATTTTAGTTTTGTGATACCAGCTATTACTGGATATTTCAGTCTTGTTGAAGAAATAATACATGAAACAGTTTTAAAAGACTACAGTAGAGCAATTCAGGAACAGCCAAGTTAAAAACTATATCCTAAAATTTCTGTAAAAGTTGAGAAAGAAAAATCTGTCCAAGGAGGCAGTGTGGGGTCCTATAGTAGTTAGTGAAGTACTGATTGTAGAGGACCTCCGCCTTACAGCATGAATACCTGTGGAGGATGAAATTGAGGCAGCCTGATATTTTAGATAGGGTAGCAGCAGGAGCAAAGAAAAATAATAAACTCTTTGTCAAATTCAAGAAATTCTCAAATTTAGAGGTAAACAATCAGAAATCAGTGATATAAGAAGACATGAAGGGATTACTTAAGTTTTTTGACAACAGCATTTGTCCAGTGTTTTTTAAATGGAAAGGGCTGTGCAGAGTACTCTGCATGTTACAAAGATAAATAAAACTTTTCCCTTTCCTCCAGAAATGAACCCTGACGCATAAGACAGTTGAAGCAAGGTGAGGATTAAGTGATTAGAATTGGCTGTGTGAGAAACCGTCCACAGCCAAGATTCTGAACTATAATGCAGCTGTTCTGGTGCACGCTGCATTTTCTAGGTATTGTGGGAGTCGTTCTCTGAATCTGCGTCTAGACCCAGTTTATATTCTTTGCTTTAAATTGCATGTTGCCATTGTAGTATTTACTTAGTTTGGCATAAGGTGTACCTAGTTTTCCTGAACCCTAAAACTCAAGAAGCAAACCCTTGACAAAACAAGAGTATCATATTTTAGTTTCATCATTTTTGTACTTCATTACAAATTAACCTGGTTTTCTATCAGCCATTTAAAAAGAAAGGATTTCATTTTTTTTTCTACTGCTGGAGAGAGGGTTTCAGATTATTAACGTTTTAGTGTAGTCGATGTATTTCCATCACATGTATCGCGGGGACTTGGCAGTTTATCCTTTGCTCCCCAGCTCTCCTTACACAGCCACCCTCCGTCTCCCTTACCCACCTACCACTTTCATGAAGAGAATAAAACCAGTAGGAAGCTCAGGTACATAGTGTTTCATCACTGTCTCCCTTACTGCTTTTTTAATGACAGGCTGTGCTGTCATAAATACACTTGGGTTTGTTTGAATCACTAGAAAAGCCCAATATGATAAATGTAAACATGTGTGGTTTAAGATTTGCAGTCCTGCTTGATTTGCGTGGCAAGAAGAGTTCCCATGAAGGAAAGACCAGTTCTTCCCTCATCAGAAAGTTTTACTACTCGCCAGGATCTCCAAGGTAAATTTCCTCTCCAAAGAAGACCAAAGGAATCATTTTAGAATACTTACATATTTGGGAATGCAAGGACTCTATTTAGAAGACTGTAAGGATGCTAGTACTAGCAATTGCTGCTGCAGTAGAAATGTCAAGGAGTTGGAGGACCGGAGAGAGAGCCACTGGCTCTCACTGTATACCCTTTTGTTCCATGTACTTATGTTACCTAGTTTAAATAAATACATTTAAATCTTGTTAAAATTTAATTGTTTCTGGCTGGGCACGGTGGCTCACACCTGTAACCCCAACACTTTGGGTGGCTGAGGCAGGAGGATCACTTGAGGTCAGGAGTTCAAAGCCAGCCTGGCCAACATGGCAAAACCTCATCTGTATTAAAAATACAAAAATTAGCCAAATGTGGTGGTACACGCCTGTAATCCCAGCTACTTGGGCATCTGATTCACAAGAGTCGTTTGACCCCAGGAGGTAGAGGTTGCAGTGAGCTGAGATCGCACCACTGCACTCCAGCCTGGACGATAGAGTGAGACTCTGTCTCAAAAAAAAAAAAAAAAAAAAATTATTTCCATAAAGAATAGATCAACATGTAGGTATAATGCCTGCTGTTACTTAATAGGCAAGATCACGTCTCTGGATACCAGCACCATGAGAGCAGCCATGAAACCAGGCTGGGAGGACCTGGTAAGAAGGTGTATTCAGAAGTTCCATGCGCAGCATGAAGGAGAATCTGTGTCCTATGCTAAGAGGCATCATCATGAAGGTAAGCATCTCTAAATGATTTTTCTTAAATTATTGCTTCCTGTGGGAGCTTTCTGTCAATGATTCCTGGAGTTCACCTTGGGAACAGAGCTGGTGACTGTTCTCGTGAGCTGTCTCATCTGGCCCCAGTGTTGCCATCTAAAGGAAAATTTAACAGGAGAACCTGTAGGACAGAAGAGTGATGAAAGTAGAACAGGAGATGATAGTGTCACAGAGGCAGGCAAAAGGAGGAAGAGGTCATTTTCTTTGATCCAGGGGCTTCTAGATATGTGACAAGATTATAAGTACCATCTAATGAAAAGAAATATTAACGATTCAGTTAGAATCTGAATATAAGAGTAAGTGGAATTTTGGAGAGTGAGTGAACCCCTGGTGAAGGTAACAGTGGGACCCCAAGCCCTTCTTCAAGGTGGTAACCAACAAAGACTATCCAGGTGTTTCTAGAGGGCCCAAAAGTTGACACGACTTGTCTCAGCTCACAGACTTAAGCAATAGGACAGCTGGAACTGAGCCCAAGACTTCAGTAATAACAGCAGCCCTTATTGAGCACCTGGTCTTTGTGTGGCATTATCCCTTTTGCCTCCTCTCACTGGCCCTCACAGCAAGCCTGTGATGTGAACATCACGTCTCTCACTCTGGACAAGGGGACGAGGAGGTTCAGGCAAGTGAAATGACTGACTCTCTAGCATTCAGTGTCAGTGCAGGACGTCCATCTGAGCTCATTTTGGTCACTGTCATGCTGCTTCCGAAGGTCTTCCCAAAGAATCACTTTTTCTCAAGTGCATTGTTGTTTTCTGTTAAAGAGGTAGGAACCAAAAAAAAAAAAAATTCTTTTGCTTTAGTATGTGCTAATTTGGGGAGGGAGACTGTCCTTCTCTCTGTGTCCCAGCAGTGCGGTTGGCCAGGGCTCCACATGCACTGTCAGCTGCGCCATGCTGCACGTGAGGGACTCATGCAGTGCAGTGCAGCTTGTAACTCAGCTTCAACAGTTGTCTGCATCCTTGCAGAAAAAAATTTGTAGCTAGTTATTGAAAATGGAGTTTCAGTTTGTCATCATCCACCTAATGTGCATCTGGCACTTTACCAATAGTGTTGGTATGTTTAAACTTTATACTTTTTAGATCACTTATAAAAAAGCAAAAATCTTAATAAATGACCTGTTTCTCCCATGCCCTTTTTTTCCCCTCATCTTATTCATTCTTTTCATCCTATTCATCCTATTTTTTAGAAATAAGTGCATAATCCAACAACTTGTGTCTTCCGTCATTTTTCTTCAAGTTTGAAAGAATACAAGGAAATAATGATGCTACATTGACAGAAATCAATATTTAACCTACTATTTCATTACATCTGGTTTAAAATAGGAAGAATAGTAATAACAAAAACTAAGAAACTGGCATAAGCAAACATGTTCAGCATCCTTGGGTCCTGAGTTTAATTCTTTGACAACCTGATTCCTTACAAAAGGATTTACACAGATGGATCAGGCACTGCACTAGATTTAAACAGATGGGACCCACTGGAAGGAAACCCCGTATAGACATTTCAAACTTTTGAAATAGGTAAGATCAGGAATGATCAGTTACATTGAACAGAAATCTACTGCAAAGCGTTGTTTAAATGGAGGCACTTCCTAAATGTGTTCAGGTGCGTGCTCACAGATACCTACTTTTCAGAGGTGTTGGATGTAGACCAAGAGGAAATGAAAATCTTTAGGGATCACAGCCAAGGTCAGGTAAAATTCTGAAATTATAAGCCATTGGAAATATAAGTCTTACTATAAAAAATTACATTTATGTCATCTTTTAGACACTTTGTGCAAAGCAAGATACTCACATGTTCAGTAATTCATTTTCAGTACTTCCACTTCAGACTAACATTGTGCAACAGTTGATGGCAGAAAGTGAAACCTAAATGTAGTATCTAACTGAAACTGCAGAGAGGAGTCATTAGACAAATTGCTTAAAGTGAAATTTTACGAAGAAATTAGAATCCACATTATATGTCAGTCTCTCTCTCTCTCTCTCTCCCTCTCTCTCTCTCTCTCTCTCTGTCTCTCACTTGTGGCAGTTTTGTGGCATGGTGAATACACATGGTTGCTTTAGGGGTAACTATTCAACCCACAAAATTTGTGCTGAGGATTATGTGGTAGCAACATAGTAGCCTTGTTAAAATGGTTTAAGAGGAACTAAATTCTATGTCTTTTTTTTTAACTGAATTGAAATGTTCTTTTTTAATAGGTGATATAAGACAGTTATAAAACATAGTAGCTTTAAAAGATAAATCTCAATTCTTTTAAGAGAAATTATATTAACCTAGTTGATTTGTGTTCTATTTTGTTATTGTCTTGAAAATGGAAACACCTGATCCCTTATCTAAAAGTTAAACCAATTCCAGTGTTGCTAAGATTTGCACTTTTATTGTTTCAGTTTTGTTTAGCCTTTTTTTCTCTGAATAGATTCTTCTGATTGTTTATCTTTTACTTCCTGTTGTCCTAACCACATAAATAATACTTCTTACACAGTGAGAAACAGGACTGGGGGAGAGTAGTGTGTGAGATGATGGATTGAACAGTACGTAATTTCTAGATGAATATTCAGAGAACATATTAAATGTCATAAATTTTATTTTCATATTTGTATTAGTTTTACAAGGAAATTAAAGTCATATTGTATACGTAAGAGATACCCTGTTTATACATTGTGTTGTTTTCTACCATTTTAAGCAAATCATTATAAAGCTTGTTTGAGCAGTTAAATGGTTTACACTGTTTTGCCATAATAATAAAGATTTTAAGAACACAGTTTGAGGGTCCAGGCTCTTACTCCTTTTCATAAGGAAAACAGATAATTGAGGTTATTGGTATTTTCAGTGAAAAGTAAATGTGCTTTTAAAATGTTATGTTTCAATCTCATAAAGTATTACTTATAACTCTTTACATGCTGGTGGGAAACTATTATGAAACTTAATGAAGTTGATTACTCTTATTATGTCTTGTCCTCCCCGACCCCTCAATTTTTTTTTCTAAACGTGCCTTCTGTTTCCTTGCTTGCCTGCAGTACTGAGACAAGGATTGGCATTCAGTCAAATCTATCGTTTTTCCTTGTCTGATGGCACTCTTGTTGCTGCACAAACGAAGAGCAAACTCATCCGTTCTCAGACTACTAATGAACCTCAACTTGTAATATCTTTACATATGCTTCACAGGTAATCCTAGTTCTAAGAAGTCATTTTCCATTTCCAAGTTAAGAGGAGATATTACAAAAGCAGCAAATTATTTTAGAGCTTTGAGGATTTGTTAGACATTTCTTCTCATCAATCCCAGTAATGTAAAATATAAAATTAAATTGTTATTAGCTGTTGGCTAAAAGACAATTCATAATATAATTGGCCCTCTGTATCCATGGCTTCTGCATCCCAGGAGTCAACCAACCACAGATGGAAAATATTTGGGGGAAAAAAAAAAAAATATATATATATATATATATAATGTTATACTGTATTATTTGTATTATAACTATATTTACACTGTATCAGGTATAAGAAATTATTTCTAGAAATGATTTAAAGTATATAGGAGGATGTGTGTAGGTTATATGCAAAAATTATGCTATTAATTTCAGGGACTTGAGCATCCATGGATTTTAGTATCTGCAGCGTGGGGGCAGGGTGGAGGCTAGAACCAGTCCCCCATATAACCAAAGAACAACTGTACTGGCAAAGTAGGACTCTACTTTGAATTTTAGCCTTAACACTAGTTAATTGTAAAACCCAGTTGGCACTAAGTTTGCTTAGACATGATTGCCCATTACATTGAAAAAGGGAAATTTATTGATCAGCTCCCAGTAGCAACAAATGCAGGGCAGGAATATTGATGTCACTAGTATGATTTCTGCTCCTGTGTGTTTAAATGTAGAACTGTTTGGTTTTTTTGTTTTGTTTTGTTTTTTGTTTTGTTTTGAGGCAGAGTCTTGCTCTGTCTCCCAGACTGGAGTGCAGTGGCGCGATCTCAGCTCACTGCAACCTCTGCCTCTTGGGTTCAGGCAATTCTTGTGCCTCCACCTCCTGAGTAGCTGTGATTACAGGCATGCGCCAGCCTTGAGTGATCCTTCCACCTTGGCCTCCCAAATTGCTGGAATTACAGGTGTGGACTACCACACCTAGCCTAAATCTAGAACTTTCTATGTATATATTTACAAATAATATTTTAGATTTTTGTTCTCTGGTTCAAATTAACTTCTCAACATTAGACCTTAAATTGAAGGGTAATAAACATTTTCATAAAAAAGTGAAGATAAAGAAATTGAATATTGATTTTTAAATAAATGTCATAAGCCATATTGTCTTAGAGCACATATTTAGGAAAATGATTAAATTTCATTAGTTATCTAAATATTTATGCTTATGCTGTGGAAAACTTTATGAGGTCCTATCAGTAAATATATAACGTTGCTCTGGCTGAGGAGTTCCATTTTATCACATTTCTCAATTCACTGTTTAGGAGTAAAAAAATCAGGCAACTCTGTTTGCCAACTGTTAATAAATCTAACCTCAAACTGAAACAATTTGAAAGTGATTACAGATGTGGCAAATTTCACCCACCTAACGAAAAGCTGATGTTTGACAATTTGTGAAACCTGTTTTATTTGGATTTGTGAACACATTTGGTAACTCAAAAGTGACTGCCAAGGCTGTAAATTAAAGCTCATAGAACTTGCAAAATCATCTTGCTCAGAAAGCCTGCTTTTAGTCATTAGTAAGGAGATGGAATGGAGTTATCCAGAAGTAGAAGAATAAGATCCCAAACTAAAGTCACTCTGAACTTCCCTTCCCATGCTGTTGGCTCTGAGGTCTTGCTCTGACTTGGAGGGGTGTGGGGTGAGGAGATGAGTGGAAATCTGTTAAACAAGGTGATCTAATTCTAAACAGTTTTAGTAACTATTAGTTCTAGAACTGGCAGAGTTTCTCTTTTAACAGTTAGGGGCAAGTTGTTTTCCCCTAAGCGTGTTTATCTTGAGCCAAGTAGTAAATATCAGAGCTCTGGGCTTACAGATGTGTCTATTGTTAGGAATTATAATCTCTGGAAAAAAAACTGAAGACAGCTCTACTCATTTCTTTAAGACAGTACAAGCTCTCAACTACTCATGAGAAAGATGTATTATGTAATTGGAACCCTGTTAATGTCTTGTCTAGTAAATGCAATTTAAATACAGTAGTAGTCAAATTTAAACACACCCCCTCTGTAAAACCAGACATCTTAATGAGTTGCCTGAAAAACATCCCTCTTGGTCCAACACTGTACATGTTCAGTCTTGTCAATAATTGCAGATGATTTCAACAAAGTATTATCTATCCTTAAAATGTAGCCTGTTCTTTTAAGGTGAAGAGGCCATATCATTTTTAAAAATTAATAACAACTTGCTAAGTATTTTTCCTTTTATCTTACATTTTTTTCTTTTCTCGTTATACAGAGAGCAGAATGTGTGTGTGATGAATCCGGATCTGACTGGACAAACGATGGGGAAGCCACTGAATCCAATTAGCTCTAACAGCCCTGCCCATCAGGCCCTGTGCAGTGGGAACCCAGGTCAGGACATGACCCTCAGTAGCAATATAAATTTTCCCATAAATGGCCCAAAGGAACAAATGGGCATGCCCATGGGCAGGTTTGGTGGTTCTGGGGGAATGAACCATGTGTCAGGCATGCAAGCAACCACTCCTCAGGGTAGTAACTATGCACTCAAAATGAACAGCCCCTCACAAAGCAGCCCTGGCATGAATCCAGGACAGCCCACCTCCATGCTTTCACCAAGGCATCGCATGAGCCCTGGAGTGGCTGGCAGCCCTCGAATCCCACCCAGTCAGTTTTCCCCTGCAGGAAGCTTGCATTCCCCTGTGGGAGTTTGCAGCAGCACAGGAAATAGCCATAGTTATACCAACAGCTCCCTCAATGCACTTCAGGCCCTCAGCGAGGGGCACGGGGTCTCATTAGGGTCATCGTTGGCTTCACCAGACCTAAAAATGGGCAATTTGCAAAACTCCCCAGTTAATATGAATCCTCCCCCACTCAGCAAGATGGGAAGCTTGGACTCAAAAGACTGTTTTGGACTATATGGGGAGCCCTCTGAAGGTACAACTGGACAAGCAGAGAGCAGCTGCCATCCTGGAGAGCAAAAGGAAACAAATGACCCCAACCTGCCCCCGGCCGTGAGCAGTGAGAGAGCTGACGGGCAGAGCAGACTGCATGACAGCAAAGGGCAGACCAAACTCCTGCAGCTGCTGACCACCAAATCTGATCAGATGGAGCCCTCGCCCTTAGCCAGCTCTTTGTCGGATACAAACAAAGACTCCACAGGTAGCTTGCCTGGTTCTGGGTCTACACATGGAACCTCGCTCAAGGAGAAGCATAAAATTTTGCACAGACTCTTGCAGGACAGCAGTTCCCCTGTGGACTTGGCCAAGTTAACAGCAGAAGCCACAGGCAAAGACCTGAGCCAGGAGTCCAGCAGCACAGCTCCTGGATCAGAAGTGACTATTAAACAAGAGCCGGTGAGCCCCAAGAAGAAAGAGAATGCACTACTTCGCTATTTGCTAGATAAAGATGATACTAAAGATATTGGTTTACCAGAAATAACCCCCAAACTTGAGAGACTGGACAGTAAGACAGATCCTGCCAGTAACACAAAATTAATAGCAATGAAAACTGAGAAGGAGGAGATGAGCTTTGAGCCTGGTGACCAGGTAAGTTTTATCACATCTTCTCGCAGGTGTACTAATCTGTATCCATCAAGGATTTTCTCCATAGGGGCATTTTGAAGTCTCAGGTGATTGGATAAAAATAAGCTTTCTCCTTTGTTGTTCTTATCTTGAAAATCTCGCTGAAGCTGTGTGTTTCAAATACTCTCCTAGCAGAGTGACATTGTTATAGAACATAGGTGGGCAGGCCTTTTTTTGTGAGGACCAAATGTAAGTATTTTAGGCTTTGCAGGCCATATAGTCTCTGTCACAGCCATTCAAATCCACCATTGTAGTGCAAAAGCAGCCACAGACACTGTGTAAACAAACTTGAATATGACTTTGCTCCGATAAAACATTGCTTATAGACACTGAAATTTGAATTTCATGGAATTATCATGTGTCACAAAATATTTAAAATGTTTTTAACCATTAAAAAAATGTAAATTCATTCTTAGCTCATACAAAAACAAGATTTAGCCCACAGGCTGGTGGTAGTTTGCTGACCTCTGTTATAGAAGCTGCCTGAATTGGAGATAATCACTTCCTTGAAACTGGGCTTTGTCAGAACAGACGTAATTGAATTATTTCTTATTTACCTTTCTCTCTTTTTAAGATCAGAGTTTAACTGGTTTTGAAACCCAATGAAGGTCGTTCTACCTCTCTTTATTCTTAACTAAACTTCTGATTAATGCAAAAGAATTTCTTAGACCACTGGTATAAAAAATATTTAAGAGGGAAAGGGATAGTAGAAAGGAGAAAGAAAGATTGAACTGATATTAGTACGTCTGAGCCATGGTATGTAAATTCAAAACTAGAATAATAGGCTACATTATGTGCTCTCATTGTCTGAAAAATAAGTTCCCTGAAAAAATCCAGGATACCTTAAGTGATATTCAAAATAATACTTATTTATACTTGACAAATTAAAATTGTATATATTTATGGTATACAACATGTTGTTTTGAAATCCATATCCTGGAATGGCTAGACCAAGCTAATTAACAAATACATTACCTCACATACTTTTTGGGGTACAAACACTTAAAATCTATTAGTGATTTTCAGGCATATAATACATTGTTACTAACTGTAGCCACAGTGTTGTACAATAGATCTCTTGAACTTACTCTTCCCGGCTAACTGAAATTTGTATCCTTTGACCAACATCTCCTCAACCTTCCACCCCAAATCATTCTTGATAATCCTCTAAGGAGATAATGACATCACAGGGAAAAAGTAAGCTATTTTTCTTTATTAAAAAAACAAAAACAGACTGGGTGAGGTGGCTCATGCTTGTAATCCCAACACTTTGGGAGGCCAAGGTGGAGGACTGCTTGAGGACAAGAGTTCAAGACCAGCCTGGGCAGCATGATGAAACCCCATCTCTAGAAAACATAAAAAATTAGCTAGGTGTGGTGGCATGCACCTGTAGTCTCAGCTACTCAGGAGGCTGAGGCTGCTTGAGCCCAGGAGTTGGAGGCTGCAGTGAGCTATGACTGCACCAGTGCACTCCAGCCTAGGCAATAGATTGAGACCCTGTCTCAAAAAATTAAAACCCATTTAAAGAAAACATGGGTTATTAACAGCCACAGTGACTTGGCATGAGACGTTTCCTAGGGAATCAATGATCAAAGACTTTACCCTAGCCATCACTTTTCTCTAGTCCCTGAATATGCCCTATACTTCTTATCTGTTCTTGGGTCATGATTGGTTAAGAAGTGAAGAAGCCAAGAGGGCTTTCCTACTTTAAATGACTCAAGGTTTGTCCTTGAAATTTGTTTTGCGAGAGGATATTTCATGTGTCAGTGTCTTCAATGGATGGAGAGAGGAAAAGCACACCCCTTGCTGTACCTTGGAGCTCTGCTGAGTCGGTAGAGCTAACCCAGAGGCAGGTCTGGGGTTGAGAGCCATCCTCAGGGAAGCCAAGGCCACACTTGCTCTTCTAGCTGGGCTCCATCTAGGCTTCTAAGCACTTGGCTTCCTTATTTCTTTCACTTTGATGTCTCGACAGCTGCTACCATTCCTAAAGGTCGGATACAATTTTTCAAACCTTCATGTCCTTCACAAGGGAAGCGGAGCCAAATTATATAAACGTCTTGGGTGATTAATCCTTAAACTTAGATATTAGTGCAAGGTTCTATTAGCAGCTGTTCCGTAACACTGTAAAATCATTAAATGGGGAAACTGGTGTCTCAGCAGAAAATTAATAGCAATGTCTTGAATAAAGTGAAATGTAAAACCATATTAACACCTGTAAGTGTTTTAATCTTTTGAGGTGTACTAGATTAGAATCTACACAGCTAGTGGTAATCCAGAGTGGCAGGCACAGACAATGGCACTCCGGTCTCTTGACACATGCTGGAGGGCAAGATGGTCTCCCCTAGCTTAGTGTCTAACGTGGCCAGGCCTTCCCTGTGTAAACGATTTATTTCTATCCTAGGCCTGATCTGAGGCCCAAGGGACTTAGAGGGTCAAGGAAAGGGGCCACTCTTTGGTATTTCTGTATTTATTTATGTGATTGCACTAACTTCAGACAAGAAACTGACAAAAGAGGAGTTTTTTAAAAACTCCTTGAGTCACTTGCAGTTTCAGGTTATTTATTTAGGAGAAATGTTTTTCTGATAAAAATTGTCTCACCTAGGAAACATAAAGTCCAGAGTGTAATCAGCACAGATCTGTTTTTTTGGGGTGAATCAAAAAGCAGTGTACACAGGCACACATGCATGTGCACACACACAGAGGCACATATAGTAAGTATATTTTTCTTAATGAAATCCAGTCTCTGGTCTCGCCCTCCCTTTACTCTCATGTAAAACTCCACCAGAAGTACTGCTTTAGAGCAATTTTAACATCAAAAACATTGCAGCTTGAAAAGTTACCACAGGAAGTGTGCATTACCTATATTTAGATCAAAGTTAGAATGACTTACTTTAAGAAAAAAACAATGATTCTTTCACCTCTTGCTCACCTTCACTGTTTCCAAATACAGGTTAATTGTATCTCCTATTGATTGCTGTACAAACTTATTGAAGACTTTTCTTTCATTTCAAGGGAATACAATAAGTTATTTAGTGAGATAAAACAAACTATTAATGAGTCTGAATTGCACAGTTAACTGTCTTGTTATTTTGATTCAGAAAAGAGCCATTGACTGAGTGTGTGTTTAACCTATTACTAACTTATTAATGACAGGAAGTACTTCGATGGTGCTATTATACCCAAAATAGCATTTTTTACCGAGCAGAGTGGTTAAACATTTGTTTCTACAGCATTTCCTAACCAGCAGGAAACAGTAACAGAAAAATTTCCAGTATGTTTACACACTTTTAAGTTACATGCTTATTTACACAGTGGAACATGGTTGATACTTAACCAAACGATACTACTGGGTCCTTTCTAATGCTGCTGAGACACGTATGATAAGGGTTTGGAAATAGTCTAAAAAGAATTTCTTCTTGGTATTTGACTCCATTAGAAAGGCAAACCATATTTTAAACTGATAGTGTCCTGAAAATTTCTCTCCAGATGTGGTAGAATTGTATTACCATTTCTTAACAACTTTGTGTTAGGCAAATATGGTAAAATTATACTTTTTATTTAAAATATTTTGAAAAGATGCCTTGTAATTTATTAGAATACTGATGTTGTTTAAATGCTTGTGCTTTTTATATTTCCTGCAGAGAACAAGTTGATTTGACATGAAAAAATCCTAAAACCAGAAAAATGAAAAATTAAAGAAATCAAGTCTGATTTTCATTTTGTAGAACTTTTATAAAAATCTTTCTGACTCATTTTCTGCCTGAAATAGTTTAAACTAACAACTCAAATTGATGTGGCTAATTTGAGCATTCAAATAGATGCCTAAGCAAAACTTTGAAGTATCTTGGCAAAGCATTTTAAAGGAAGGCATTAATCTTTTTGTCTTGTAAAGAAATTGTGCCTAACAAAGTGGATAGAGACTAGAAGAACTTTTGATGAGAATTAAAGCCTACAAAAATTGAGGGGAGAAAATTTTTTAACAGAAACTTAATGTGATCAAATTTATTCCTTCCAAAACTTACATGAATACAGAAAAAAAAAAATTCTGTAGTCATCAAATGTTACTGTTAACCTGAGGGGTATAGATATTCTGAACTTTATCTCCTTGAAGAAGAACATGTAAAGTGAACTTACGACAATTAATGTTAAATGTGTACTCCATAAATTGACAAGGAATAAACACAGGCAAAGCAATATTATCTCTAGTTGGGAAAACTTCATAGTGCATTTTTCAGATGCCAAGCTTGAATGAATTCAAATAGTGTTCATAGTTTTAAGCCTTCATAGAACTAGTTCCTTTTGATACTAAGAAGATCCTGAATGGCTTTCTTAAGAAAAATGTATTTAGGCCGGGCGCGATGGCTCACACCTGTAATCCCAACACTTTGGGAAGCCAAGGCAGGCAGATCATCTGAGGTTGGGAGTTCAAGACCAGCCTAGCCAACATGGTGAAACCCCATTTCTACTAAAAATGCGAAAATGAGCCAGGTGTGGTTGTGCACACCTGTAGTTCCAGCTGTTGGGGAGGCTGAGGCAGGAGAATTGCTTGAACCTGGGAGGCGGAGGTTGCAGTGAGCCTAGATTACACCACTGCACTCCAGCCTGGGTGACAGAGTGAGACCTTGTCTCCAAAAAAAAAAAAGGAAAAGTGTGAGTCTAGACTGTTCTTAATATATATTGTCAAAAGTTCCTTTTACATATGTCTGGGATTGGAAGCAAATATAAATGTATCCATTGAGAAATAACATACTTTACTTTTATTGTTTACATGGACCTATTTATTTTGGATATTTCTCTTAAAAGTAATCTGCAGAGCTTTCTCAAGAGGCAACTCATCACTTATTATAGCCCACCTCCCTCACCCCCACACATGGAGCTTCTACCTTTTAAAAATGCTCAACACAGGACAACATTGTAGTAGGGAAACTGGTTTTCATAGAACAGATATAACCTTCTCAGTTTATTAGAGGCTTTTTCTGATCTATCTTCATGACAAGTGTAAGGAAATTTACCACACATTTTTATGAAACATTTTCTGAAAAAGTAATGGAAATTATAGGAATTCCTATGAAAAAAATTACTGATTTGGGGAAGATTTTTTAAAGTTTGTGTTAATATGATTAAAAGAAATCATCGTGTTGACTCAGTGCCCATTACTTAGTTCTAGGCACTGTCCTTGGAGGACAATCTATGTTTATACTGAGAATAACAGTTTATACCTTATGCATTCAGCAAAACATGATAAAGAAGATTACAGTGGAGTCAACTTTACATATGTATTTTAAGTACATAAAGTCAGTTTTATGTTCCTGGAAGAACAGATGGTTATTAAATGGTTATTTCAGTAGTATGAGCAGTTTTGCCCACCATTGAACTCAATGAATACCTGCCGTAGTGGAGTGATCATGAGGTGGGTGACATGACTTTGCTGGGTTTTGGTTCCCTTGTGGCTCTAATAGTGTGAACATGTACCTATGGGCTTTTTAAATGCAGTATGGCCCCTACATAAACTACTTCACTTAGGACTCAGCCAAAGAAATAGTAATTTGCTGCCACTCTGGAGGAAAGACTGTTGCTGTTGGAGGAGATAGTCAGTGCGGTGCCTTCCTACAGAGCTTTAAGGATAATTTGACCTGTCTGTGACTGTTGGTACTTTAGGATGCTAACTTTGGAACCCAGCTCTTAATTCATAACTGACTCTCCTGTATTAGATACCTCCCTCTTTTGTTACAATTGAGTGGCTAAACTAGCTAAAAAATGGTCTTGTAATTGCTCTAACAATGCGTTAGGAAAATGGATCTCCCAATCATTGCTAAGCTAGTTGTCTCTGAGAAGAACCAAATAAAATCTCACTTCATTCTATTCTTCCTAACTTGAGAAATATTTCCAATCAAAAAACATCTCATATGGATGTTAAATTTGCTGTAAGTTGCAAAAATCTTAGCATATCCAACCTCTGCATGGGGAGGAATTGTATGTCGGATAAAAATGTAAGCCATCCTACTTTCAGTGTAACTCATTATTAGATGTATGCCATGTATTTCATTTGATTTGCCAGTGTAGATGAAAGGAATAGTTGTGGTCAAGGATTCAAAGTCCAATGACTGAGGAAACTAACTTACGTTTTCCACTTACACATCAAGAAAATCGTTCGTACTACTTTCTGCACTAGAAAGCAATCCTAGCATGCACTATCTGATTTTAAATATCTGGCACATAGATAGGTTATATTTAAAAGAATATCTGTAAAATCTAGAATAAATTCCAGTTTAGCTTCCTAGCAGAAAAGTGCTAAGTGTGAAATAGTGGTGATACTTAGCTTATGTTAGTGCTTGAATTTTGTTTTTTTTTTTAATGGAAGAGAAAACTTAAAAACATTTTTTATGGCTTCTGTAGACAGGCACGGTGGCTCTCTCCTGTAATCCCAGCACTTTGGGAAGCTGAGGCAGGAGGACTGCTTGAGCTCAGAGACCAGCCTGGGCAACAAAATGAGACCCCCATCTCTAAAAAAAAAAAAAATCAAAAAATTAGCCAGACATGGTGGTGGTGGTGCATGCCTGTGGTCCCAGCTACTGAGGAGGCTCAGGTGGCAGGATCACTTGAGCCCAGGAGATCAAGACTACAGGGATGAGTGTTTGCGCTACTGCTCGCCAGTCTGGGTGACAGAGCAAGACCCTTTCTCAGAAAAAAAAAAACAAAAAAAACATTTTTATAGCTTCTGTATAATTAGGTTAATAGTGCTATGTTTGGGGGGCAACCAGTTTTTATCCTGCTTCCCTACCTTTGTTACCTAAGCTGGCAAAAGACTGGGAAAGCCATTGTCATTCAAAATTGAAAGTCCAAGCAGAAAAAAAGGACTACTCAAATTGAAAAGGCAGTGCTTAGTTCATGGATGCTTCAAGCTTATTTTGCTTCTCTCTCCCCACCCCTGTGTTCTTTTAAAGATTAAAAAAAAAAAAATCCTGAAGGGAAATGACTGTTTGTTAAATACTGATTGGGTGCAAATTTGGATTACATTATATGCCAGTTTTTTGTTGTTGTTATTTCTTAGGGAGTTTTGATGATAAAACCTAGACCTGGACCAAAGTCATAGTCTATTCATAATTAATTGGAAATATATATTCTTATAATTAATTGAATGATAAGCATAAAATAAAGGAGAATTTATAAATTGCCAATAAATCACAATGCTGGAAGAGAGCTTTCTTTCTTATTCAGCCATCTCTTTTTATAGATGAGGAAATTGAGGACCAAGAGATTAAATTATTTGTCCTTTGTTAACCTAATTTTTTAAAAGATGATCAATTATCTGTTAGGCCTGTGGTATGCAGGAATCTACCTATTTTATTTGGCTGTGGTGCCTTATGGCAGTTAGGTCAGTGATTGCAAATGGGCTTGTGGTGTCTACTCTTAGAGTAGACTGGATAAACTCTTCTGTTTGTCAACTACAGCCTGGCAGTGAGCTGGACAACTTGGAGGAGATTTTGGATGATTTGCAGAATAGTCAATTACCACAGCTTTTCCCAGACACGAGGCCAGGCGCCCCTGCTGGATCAGTTGACAAGCAAGCCATCATCAATGACCTCATGCAACTCACAGCTGAAAACAGCCCTGTCACACCTGTTGGAGCCCAGAAAACAGCACTGCGAATTTCACAGAGCAGTGAGTATGAGAAATGGCTGGTTATGCCAAGAAATTTCCATATAATCACTATCAGAAACAGGGATTATTGAAGTCTGATGCAACCAGCTTAGTCACTTTAAGGTTTTTGTGATCAAATAGCACCATCTACTGTCCTGGTCTTTTGAAACAGTATTCAAAATGGATCCTCCTGAGCATGGTTCTCTCACATTCTCTTGTGGGTTAATTTAATCAGCACTGGACAGGGAGACTGACCTACATTGATGAAGTTCTTCAACTGATTGTCATATTTCCCTTCATTTCAGTGACTGCCTTCAGACATGGAGTTTATCCTGGATTTTATGTGTTTAATAGACAATGAAATACTGAAATATATAACATTTGGGAGCTATGCTGACTTTTTAGGGATAATACACTATTTAAAAATATTCTACCCTCCCAAACTGCTCAGCTGGTAGTAACAAAAAATAAATTTAAAAAAAAATAATAAAATATTCTACTAAAAGTATTTTTACATGAAAGGGCTACACACATTAAAAATCTTGCCCTGTCTCAGGAATCTTCATATAAACATCACTTGACGTGGAACTTTACGTTTCTAAATGTATTCTAAGTTAAGTTGTCTGTTTAGAAAGAACATCTTCTATCTTTTCATTTTAAAGTTTTGTAAGCTTAGGATAAACTTGTTTACTATGAACACTCAGTTTACAAACTTGATTAATACCTGAAGTTGTCTGATAATCTTGAATGGAAGAAAATATCTGTTATGTAGCAAGGCCATAATTTATGAAAGATAGATAACCTCTTCAGCATTAAATTGGCAAAACAGAGTGATTTTTCCTTTTCAGATACAATTTGAGCCAATACCTGGCATTTGTTCTCAGATCAAAAATGGCAACCATCAGTCAAATCATAGAACATCTTTCATTGCTAGGTCTTTTCTCAAGTGATTTCTGACCATTCTGAAATAGGAAAAACAAAAGACAGATGAGTTTGGGCCGGGCGTGGTGGTGGGTGCCTGTAATTCCAGCTACTCGGGAGGCCGAGGCAGGAGAATTGGTTGAACCCGGGAGGCGGAGGTTGCAGTGGTCCGAGATTGCGCCGCTGTACTCCAGCCTGGGCGACAGAGCAAAACTCCATCTCAGAACACACACACACACACACACGCGCGCGCGCGCGCGCGAAAGATTTGCATGTGACCTCTCAAACCTCACTCTTTCTTGGGCAATGGAGAGTTAATTGTGGATCATGGGAGATCACGAAGTCAAAAGAGTTGAGAATTGGGTAAGAAACACACTAGACAGGCTGGGCGCAGTCGCACGTGCCTGTAATCCCAGCACTTGGGGAGGCTGAGGCAGGTCGATCACCTGAGGTCAGGAGTTCAAGACCAGCCTGGCCAACATGGTGAAACCCCATCTCTACTACAAAAAATTTGCTGGGCATGATGGTGGGCGCCTGTAATCCCAGCTACTCGGGAGGCTGAGGCAGGAGAATTGCTTGAACCCGGAAGGTGGAGGTTGCAGTGAGCTGAGATCATGCCATTGCACTCCACCGTGGACAACAAGAGTGAAACTCAGTCTCAAAAAAAAAAACAGACACACTAGACAGTCCATGCTCATTAGCCCTAGGGGAGGTTATGAAGGACTGTGTAGAATTTATGGTTTCTCCTCTTTCTGTAGCTCCTGGTGGTATTCAGATTATTGATGGCAACCTGATAACCAAACCTGAGGAAGTCATGATTAAGCACGCACATAATTTCCATTCTCAGCCCTAATTTTTTAAAATATTTTATTTCTATCATTGATGGTTAAGAACTTTTTCTTTTAAATGTGCTATTTCAGACTATGTTTATATAATTCAGGAAAATAAAGTACTTGATGTTATGTAATAAGTTACTATAATTTGTAATATCTTAGTATTAAATTTAATAGCGTTAACAAATTATAGGTTGTCAGTGTGATGCTGGTCTAGTGCTTAGTACACAATAAATTCTTGTCAACTAGCTATAAAAATCATATCAAATCCAAATATGTCTAGAATTTAAAGAAGCTGTACTTTGAAAAGTAAGCAGGGTCCTACAGCTTTAATTTAATACTGCTTTAGGCAACAGAGTTCACACTTAAAATTTTTAACTTCTAATGAGAGTAACCACTTTTAATCTAATTCTAATCCTAGGAAAGCCCAGTTAAGAAGTGATGTTCTAATATCCAAACCATGTATGTATAGGTTTGGTGATATATGTAAGAGATGTTAATAGCTTCATAGCTGTGAGAAAGCAGTACTCCTAAGTCTGAATATTATAACGTGAAAAAAACACTGGTTTAATTAGCAAATACAGTTATATATTTGAAATTACTATTGGGAGCCAGACACGGTGGCTCATGCCTGTAATCCCAGCACTTTGGGGGGCCAAGGCAGGAGGATCACTTGAGGCAAGAAGTTTGAGACCACCTTAGGCAATATAGTGAGACACTGTCTCAACAAAAAAATTTTAAAATTAGCCAGACCTGGTGGTACTTACCTGTAGTCCTAGCTACTCAGAAAGCTGAGGCAAGAGGATCTCTTAACCTTTTCTTAAGCCCAGGAGTTAAAAGCTGCAGTTAACTACAATTGTGCTGCTACACTCCAGCTGGCACAACAGAGTGAGACCCTGTATTAAAAAAAAAAAAAAAGGGCTGGGCACAGTGGCTCAGGCCTGTAATCCCAGCACTTTGGGAGGCCGAGGCAGGCGGGTCACACGGTCAAGAGATCGAGACCATCCTGGCCAACATGGTGAAACCCCGTCTCTACTAAAAATACAAAAATTAGCTGGGCATGGTGGCACAGCTGTAGTCCCAGCTACTCGGGAGGCTGAGGCAAGAGAATCACTTGAACCCTAGAGGCAGAGGTTGCAGTGAGCCGAGATCGGGCCACTACACTCCAGCCTCGCAACAGAGCGAGACTCCGTCTCAAAAAAAAAAAAGAAAAAATTAGCCGGGCATGGTAGTGCACGCCTATAATCCCAGCTACTTGGGAGGCTGAAGCAGGAGAATCTCTTGAACCTCGGAGGCAGAGGTTGTAATGAGCCGAGATCGTGCCATTGCACTCTAGCTTGGGCAACAAGAGCGAAACTCTGTCTCAGAATAAAAAAAGAGAGAGAGAGAATGAATGAATGAATGAATGAATGAAATTACTATTGGTGAGGAAGGTATATGGTAAATAATATACATGTGTTTGTTTTGTTTTGCAAGATCGTCAAGAATTAGAGACCAGTTGATTAGATCACACATCTATGCTTTGGGGTGCTGCATGTGTTTTTTGTCTGTGATTTTGTCTTTTATCTAGGTAGTTGGTCCCTGACATACATACCTTTGTCATTTTACAGACATTGTCCCTAAACACTACTGTTAATATTATTTTCCATTATCCTATATTAACCTTCAATTTTCATTTGTTTTCTCCTTAGCTTTTAATAACCCACGACCAGGGCAACTGGGCAGGTTATTGCCAAACCAGAATTTACCACTTGACATCACATTGCAAAGCCCAACTGGTGCTGGACCTTTCCCACCAATCAGAAACAGTAGTCCCTACTCAGTGATACCTCAGCCAGGAATGATGGGTAATCAAGGGATGATAGGAAACCAAGGAAATTTAGGGAACAGTAGCACAGGTAAGGGGTCAAATGCACTGTTACTTTATTGGTGGGTTATTTAATTTAATGGTATATTTATCCACATCAAACTAGTAGAATTTTTCAAGTGAACTTTTTATGTTAGAAAATAACATCTGAAAGTGAGAAAATTCTACAGATTTTCACTGTGAGAATGGCATGTGGGAAAGCCTTTGGGTGAGCTAACCATTTAATTCTGTGATTGTTACTTTTATGAGGTTTCCAACCATTAATCCTATAGCTGAGACTTATTTCACTTCTATCCCAGTTACTGTTCTAGGCATTGCAGGGTATATATAAAATTACTCCAGGGATAATTTACTGATACCTCAAAAACTTATGGATTGATTATTTGTGTTTGGAGAATTTCAGAATAAGAGCTTAAAATTCAACCAACCTTTTATACTTCTAGGTGATAAAATTCTTATTCCAAAAAGTACTAATTAAAAATAAAGAACTTTAAACAGTAATATGCCTGGCCTAATAGCTTTCAGATCTGGTCCCCAGCTCCCTTTTGAAGATGTAGGAAGTTGCCTGTGATCAGGTTTGGATGTTGACCTGCTATAATTGCAGGTGTCTGGCAATTTGCCTAGGCACATTTCCTAGGTAGTAGTCACTGTCTCAGTGGCCATTATATTCCCAAGCTTATATCCAGTTCAGATTGGAAGTCACTGCAGTAGCACCGATTGCTGTTGCCACCACATCCACATCCTGTACCCTGTAACATATTTTTATTATGGATATAGCAGGATGCTGTTTTCTAATGCAAAGCTGCTCACAGTTTATAGCTTTCTTCCTCTGTCTCAATGAGTCACTAGAAACAAAGGCATGGAAAGAAATCTTGTAAGAAGAACTTATAGTGGTAGGTGTTTTAACTGTTGGTATTTTATTTTTAGCCAAGCCTGTATCCCTATACACACATTGAGTGCTGTTTACACAGTTAACTGAATATAAGAGTTCAATTTAAGGGGAAGAAGTAGATTTTTAACTTTCTATTGTTTATAAGGAATTCATGGCAACTGTGAACTGTGCTGTATTAAGGTAACTTTTTCCTTCAGCAAATATTTATTGGGTGCCTGCCACATATGTCATGCACTGACTGCTTCACTAATTATATAGTCATATTCATTTCATTAAATATTCAGTAAACAAAGATTAATTTAAAATTTAAGATAAATAAAATATTGATTTATATAAAGTTCTATAAGAGAAAAAGGAGCCATGATTTATTAAGGCTTACCAGCAGAATACAAGAAGATATGAGTTCTTGTAGGAATCTTCTGCAGGAATTTGAGAATAGGCCTGTATTAAAATCCGAGCAGCCAAGAGAGCACTGGTGTCCAGCCTGTGAAGATCATACAATACTCTCACGCTGTTTAAAAAAACACAGACTAGGCCAGGCATGGTGGCTCATGCCTGTAATCCCAGCACTTTGGGAGGCCAAGGCGGGTGGATGACAAGGTCAGGAGTTCGAGACCATCCCGACCAACATGGTGAAACCTCATCTCCACTAAAAATACAAAAATTAAATGGGCGTGGTGGCGTGCACCTGTAATCCCGGCTACTCAGGAGGCTGAGGCAGGAGAATCACTTGAACCCAGGAGGCGGAGGTTGTAGTGAGCCGAGATCATACCACTGCACTCCAGCCTGGGCAACAGAGTGAGACTCCATCTCAAAAAAAAAAAAACAAAAAAAACAAAACACAGACTGAGAGGGACTTTCCCATTTATCATTGCAGTAATATTGTTGAATTATGGATCATTCTCTTTTTTGCTTTCTAGACTTCCTATAATCTTGTCATATTATTTAGATAACAGATTTTTAAAAAAATAAAATCCCTTTTTCCCATAATATTTTTCTATAGTTCAAATCTAATTCTAAAATGGTTTTTAAAATATGTGTTAATAGAATACCCTTCTAACTTTTTATTTTAGTTTATTTTTGAGACAGAGTCTTACTTTGTCACCCAGGCTGGAGTGCAGTGGCTCAATCACAGCTCACCATAGCTTCAACCTCCCAGGCTCAAGTGATCCTCCCACCTCAGCCTCCTGAGTAATTGGGACTACAGGCATCTGCCACCATGCCCGGCTAATTTTTGTATTTTTTATAGAGATGAGGCTTCCCCATGTTGCCCAGGCTCACCTCGAATTCCTGGGCTCAAGCAATCTGCCCACCGCAGCCTCCCTAAGTGCTGGGATTACAGACATGAGCCACCGCGCCTGGCCTCTTAACTTTAAAATCTAACTGACTACCTTTCACCCTTAATCATCACAGCACATTCTCATTTCGTAAGTGAAGAAACGCCCACAATGCATGTTCATTTGTTAAATATACCCCATTTTTAGTTGTTTATCGTAATTAAAGAAAATGAAAGCAGCCATATATTTGAAAGCAGAACCTTCATGTATCCATCATTAAACACTTCAAAATGAAGAGACCTCATTTGAAGAGTTTTCCCTTTAGAATATCAAGTCTTAGCAAATGTTTGGCCATTATCAGCATCCTGGGGGCCAGGACAGGACAGAGCAAACACAGTCCTGCTTAGCAGCGTTACGCTCTTATGTGTGGTCAGATAACTGTTAACACCTCAAAAAGGAAGGGATTTTTACAAATCTGTCCTAACCCATTCTAGGTCTGTATAGTCAGGAATACAGTGGATACAAGGCAAGGAACTCCCTTGCCTTGGCTATGAAGAACTACAGTAAATATCAGAAAGATCTATAAGTTCTCCATTGCTTAGAGGCTACTCTTGGTCAGTTTTGAAGTATACCCTGAAGGAGACTTGAGGATAAAGTCTCATATAGACTTCAAGATATCTTCTATGATTATCGTTTATAATGAGAGTATTGATTATCAGTTTTTACCTTATTCCTCTTGGCCTCTACCTCCCTTTTGGAAAGTAAAGCATTGACGTGTATATCAGCTAATGTGATTCACTTCCTGAGGAAGGAAGTTGGGGTTATCCACACGCCACGGCACCTGTTTCTAAGTACAAATGGGAACAATTTTAATAGCTTTTCTAAACTATAAAGAGCGGCAGGTCCATGTTATGAAAACTATGTAGTGATTGCCAATTGTTATTTCTTAGCCAAGGTCCCACATCTGCCCAATGAGAACATTAGCTATTGGCTAAGTGTGAATTACAGAATGATTGTTTTGTAGGGTAAGATCATCTGGTGTTCATACATGCTAAATATGTTTTCAGTTACTGCATCTCTCAGTTTTCTTTGGCTTGCATGCAGGAATGATTGGTAACAGTGCTTCTCGGCCTACTATGCCATCTGGAGAATGGGCACCGCAGAGTTCGGCTGTGAGAGTCACCTGTGCTGCTACCACCAGTGCCATGAACCGGCCAGTCCAAGGAGGTATGATTCGGAACCCAGCAGCCAGCATCCCCATGAGGCCCAGCAGCCAGCCTGGCCAAAGACAGACGCTTCAGTCTCAGGTCATGAATATAGGTAAGGTGGCTCTAGTGCTGTTTGCTTTTAACTTTTATGCTCTCTTAGAAAAGAGAGCGTCATAAGTTCTTTCAAGACATGCTTCTTATGGGCATTTTAGATAATCCTCCCATGAAGCTGCCATAAGTGGGATTTTGCTGGAACTCTGTATGGAATTAGAATCTCAAAAGTTCTTCAGTCATATAAGAGACCCAACTACCTTTGAGATGTTTTATTTTTACTAAATTACCTAATTTCAACTTTGGGGAAGAAATGAATTATAATGTCACACTATTAATAAAGAAATAGGCCAGGCACGGTGACTCACGCTTGTAATCCCAGCACTTTGGGAGGCCGAGGCAGGAGGATCACTTGAGGTCAGGAGTTCGAGACCAGCCTGGCCAACATGGTGAAACCCCATCTCTACTAAAATTACAAAAATTAGCTGGGTGTGGTGGTGGGCACCTGTAACCCCAGCTACTCAGGATGCTGAGGCAGGAGAATCACTTCCTGGGAGGTGGAGGGTGCATTGAGCCAAGATGACACCACTGCACTCAAGCCTGGGCAACAGAGCAAGACTCTGTCTCAAAAAAAAAAAAAAAAAAAAAAAACTTAGGTGGTACAGCAGTAGTTTCTAACGCTGTGTGATCATCAGAACAATATCAGGAACTTCAAATGCAGATTCCTGGGCCACCACCTAGACTACTAAATCAGACTATCCCAGGCCCTCACTGAAGGTTGCAAGGTCTTACAGAACATCTCACAGAATGTGAGGATTACTAGAATTCTATTTGGAGACAGTTCACATATTATTAAAATTGATGGTCTGATACATCATATGATACCATTTATATGAAATGTCCAGAATGAGCAAATCTGTAGGGACAGAAAGTAAAGTAGTGGTTACCTAGGGCCAGGAGTTGTGGGGAGGGGCTCAGGTAGGAAGTAGGGAGTGACTCCTAATGAGTAATGGGTTTCTTTTTGGGGGAATGAAAGCGTTCTGAAGTCGATTGTGGTGTGATGGTTGTACAACTCTGAATATACTAAAACTCATTGTACACTTTAAATAGGTGAATTGTATGTTATGTGAATTATCTCTCAATAAAGCTGTTATATTTTAAAAATTAATGGTCTGTACAACTCATACTTGAGATTATTTCCTTTATCATTGACATGTTAGCCCTCTTCTTGTACATTAGCATAATTCCAATAAGTTTATGTTCTTTTCATATACTTAGATATTGCACAATGAGGAAGAGCTAAATAATTCACAAAAAGATGCCAGGCACTGTGGGAGGCTGAGGTAGGCAGATCACCTGAGGTCAGGAGTTTGAGACCAGCCTGGCCAACATGGTGAAACCCGGTCTCTGCTAAAAATACAAAAATTAGCCGGGGGTGGTGGCGCATACCTGTAATCCCAGCTACTCAGGAGGTTGCGGTAGGGAAATTGCTTGAACCCGGGAGACAGAGGTTGCAGTGAGCTGTGACTGCAACACTGCATTCCAGCCTGGGCAACAGAGTGAGACTCCTCCTCAAAAAAAAAAAAAAAAAAAAAAAAAAGATGGCCAGCGTTGTTTTGACAAGACAGTGTAGAATTTTCATCCTAACTTGGCATTAGTTTTCTTACCTATTTAATTGTTCAGCATATTTTGGCTTATTGTTTCTCAGAGATGGCATTTATATTGCCTCACTACATTGAATGTACTTAATGAGTGATTCTCAAACATAAATTTGTATAATTTGACAGCACGAAAAATGCTAAAAACTGATTTCTGTGCAAAATTAAATGAGAAATTTAAAAATATTTATTGATTAAAAATCATAATAGTGAGTACCTTATATCCAGAAATGTAATTTATTCTCAGTCTTCACTGAAGAGCATCTGGCTCTTGAGCTGGAAATATGGCTCTATAAGCTTTATTGTATAGCTGAGTTTCTCTGATTTTTAATAAACTCCAAAAGCTATTAATTCAACAGAAAATTATCTTTTGGAATGGAATACAGGTCTACAGATAATGATGATAATATAATTTTTAAAAGCTCATCTCATCCATTGGCTTTAAAGCCTTTCGAAGAACTTCGGAGAAAGAGTGCTTGTGGGTTGTCTTGGCCTCCTTTCTGCTCTGCTCTTTCTCTGGTAGGGGAGCCAGCTGAAGTACAGTTAGTCGACGTTCAGGAGCCAGCAGTCTCGACATGGTGCAGCACCCTGATTCCCAGTCAGAGAGTCTGCAAGGCCAAAACTATTTTCATACTAATCCTAAAACACTGTTGGCTTCTTCACTCTTATTATCGCCCAAGCGTTATGGTAGAGTTTTCCAGAAATTTTACATGCTATATGATATCACAGAAGATGAAATGCGAAAACAGAGGATTTCACTCTATTCCATTAACCCAGGCATTAAAGCTATTTGCAGAAATGTAAAACGATGCCAATAAAAGAATTTTTTAATTTTGCAATCAAAAATCTTATTTCTTCCACTTACTTGGATCTAGAAAAAAATCTTTTAACATATAATTCATTTATTGTGATTTTTAAATGAATCTACACTTTTTTCTGTTTCTCAATTTCAATTTCCAGTACAGTAAATATCAGTAAGATATAACGCACATGAATAAAAACTTTTTTGAGTATTTAAAGTCTTAAATGCTAAAGGTTTAGAACTGCTTGTCTAGATATTCTCTGAAATGGCTTTCATATTTATTGACTTCTATTTCAGAATCAGAATTTTATCTTCTTATATTCACCTAGTTAATTATTACTGCTTCTGTGTTTTCCCTTTTTCATAAACCAGACATTTCACTTTATATTACATAGCAGAAATAAATGCTTCCTTGATTAAAGATGTAAGATTTTTTTCTTCTCCCTTTCTAGGGCCATCTGAATTAGAGATGAACATGGGGGGACCTCAGTATAGCCAACAACAAGCTCCTCCAAATCAGACTGCCCCATGGCCTGAAAGCATCCTGCCTATAGACCAGGCGTCTTTTGCCAGCCAAAACAGGTGAGTCCTGAGCACCTAGGGTAGCCAGTTATTTTATACCTGTCCAGAAATTAATCTTTTCCTTTGGAGTAGTCGGTGCCTGACCAGTTTTCATTTATTGGTACTATATTATCTACTGTGCAGTGCATGAAGAGGAGGGGTGAATCCAGAAATCAGTATGACCTAGGACATACCTTTAAAGGAGTTACAAATTAAATGGAAAATAACATATGTATGCTGATAACTGTAATATTGAGGTAGTGTGTGGTATAAAAATCATAAGCCATGTTTCAGAAGATCATCCAACCAGGATGCTTGGAGAAGCCTTCAGAATCTTGAAGAAAAGGTCTCATTTCAGATGGCAGAGATGACAGGAAGCCAGTCCAGCTGGTAAAAGCTGCATATCACAGGGCCAGAGTAAGGATTGCTGTGAGTAGAATTGAGGCAGTGGGTGACAGAGGAAGAACCTCAGGCAGGCGGTGTGGCTCGTCCCAAACTGGCTGCCAAGGGCAGTGGTAGGCGCACACTGTGTAGACAGGGAAGCATGCCCCAGGTAGATAGCCATTGCTGTCGCACTTGGAGCTGCTGTCATACTTGGAGGTGGTGGTTTCTCACAGTCCATCTTGTTCTTTGATTCTTGTTTCATGACATCAGTGAATGGTAGGCTATTTCTAGATACGTTTATTTGATATGTTAGAAACCCACCCATTTCCATGGAAACTTGAATATAACACAGGACAAATGTATAATAATTAAATCCACCACCTGTTAGTTGTTTTTGGATGAAATGTCAAAGATTAGTTTTTAGGAAGAACTAGACCCAAAATTAGGATTTTTAGTGTTGCCCAAACAGGAGGAGAGTTCTCTTAAAACAAAAATGGAGCTAGACGCGGTGGCTCACGCCTGTAATCCTAGCACTTTGGGAGGTTGAGGCGGGCAGATCACCTGAGGTCAGGAGTTTGAGACCAGCCTGACCAACGTGGAGAAACCCTGTCTCTGCTAAAAATACAAAAAAACTTAGCCGGGTGTGGTGGCGCATGCCTGTAATCCCAGATACTCGGGAGGCTGAGGCAGGAGAATCGCTTGAACCCGGAAGGCAGAGGTTGTGGTGAGCTGAGACCGCACCGTTGCACTCCAGCCTGGGCAACAAGAGCGAAACTCCAGTGATAGAGTCAGCATGTTAAGTTTGCTGTGCAAGTGTCTGTGACTCAGCACTGCCCTAGCATGTTGTTGTTTCTGTTACCATCAGTTAGGTTTTTTGCATAAGCAATGTGTGGACAAAACATTTTCATTACGTTTAAAGTTATTTCAGTTTTTCTAGCCACTCTCACATTTTTATTTTAAATAATTCAGTGTGGAAGAAACTTAGAACCAGCTTTATGGTAATCTTACTGTCATAGAAAATCAGAAGTAATGGGTAATAAAGTTTCTAACCATGTCTCTCTTTTGAAATAAAAGAAGAGCAGTGCTTTTTAAAAATCCCCTTTATAAGCATCACAGTTAATATTTAGGAACCAGGTTTTTTAACGTTTTATGAATCCAGCATCAGTTTATGTATACATTTCAAAAAGATAGTAGTTTAGCCCTTAAATCTGTAACATTCACATATTCATGTATTTATAGCTAATTTCCACTTTTAGTTCCATTATGGGTTTTTGGGTTTTTTTTTTTTTCCTTCATTCATCTGGTATATAAAAGAGATCTTTATAATATAGCCAAAAATTTATAGATGACTTTTTAAAGATATCTGTTGGTTTTATTAAAGGGGTTTTCTCTTGAAATACAATAGCTGTCTTTCATGAAAGACTTCCTTTTGCATTAAGTTCACAATTTGGTGGATTTTTGTTTGGTTTTTTTGTTTTGAGACAGAGTCTCACTTTGTTGCCCAGGCTGGAGTGCAGTGGTGTGGTCTCGGCTCACTGCAACCTCCACCTCCTGGGTTCAAGTGATTCTCCTGCCTCAGCCTCCTGAGTAGCTGGGATTACAGGTGCCCAGCTAATTTTTGTATTTATAGTAGAGACAGGCTTTTGCCGTGTTGGCCAGGCTGGTCTCGAACTCCTGACCTCAGGTAATCCACCTGCCTCAGCCTCCCAAAGTGCTGAGATTGTAGGTGTGAGCCACCGCGCCCAGCCTAAGTTCACAATTTTAATTTGATTTTCCCCTGTTTGAAATGTATCTCTAAGTAAGGTTTCTTTTGTTGACTATTTCTCATCATTCAGTAGCTGCTGCTTTTTTGCAGAATTTTGAAAATACTTTTGAAAAGTGAAGAAATGGTAATGTTATGGTTTCTCAATCAAGTGCTGAGAATTTGACCTAATTCTCCTTCTTAGTCCCGTACTTAATGACCTACTAGTCCATAAATAAACATGTAGACTTTAAGGTATGGGATTTCCATTGATTATGGATCTCTCTCTGCTTGTTTATTAGTTATTATTTTGCACCAGCCTGGGGCCTGTGTGTGTTTTTCCCTTTATTACCCTGAATTCTATTCTCGTCTTAATATTATATTTATCTGTCAGATGCTAACTAGGTTGTAACTATATGTAATTGCCCAAAACATAGGAAAATAATTTCTTCATTGTGTTAGTGGCCATTTATAAAGTTCAGATTGGGAGTCTGGATCAGTGTTTTTTCTGTAAGCAAGCATATTATGACATCTCTAAGGGAAGTGATATCACTCATGCCCAAATTTATAACACCAAGCCACAAGGCAGTATGTATTTCTGAATATAAAAGTGGTTTTTAATGTATTGTAGCTCAGCCAAATCAGGAACCTTTTGTTTTCATCCACTAGAAACTTACTGCACCTATACTGTGTTTATGTTCAAGCACTGGGCCAAAAAGAGGTAGAGGATGCAATGCTTGCCCCGTGTGAGCATGGTGTGAAGTTGTGTTTTTAACATAAATTGTTAGTATCAATTCAGCATAGCACAGTAAGTGGTTTAATGCTGAGAGGAGAAAGCGGGGCAGTCTATGAGGAGATGGGTGGCACCCCAATGGAAAGTAGACCCTCAGCTGGAGAAGAGCGTGGGAAGGATGGGGTAAATGTCAAGGTATTGGTTTTCTGGTGGTATGTGTAGCATCTTTTGGAGAAAGATCAGCTGCCCGTGGTAGCTGGAGCTCACAGGGAAGGCATGAACATTAAGTTTGGGAAGGTTAGGCGTTACCCACCACCACTACCACCCTATTCCAGGGGCGTTTTCCTGGGAGAGCTGAAGAACCACATAAGAATTCTGAGTAGGGCCTGTTTGCTCTGTAAAGTGTGCTTTGGGAATGGGAACCTGAGAGCATCATATTAGAATTAGAGATACCATGCAAGCAGGAAAGTTGTTGGGAAAGTGTCCCGAGAGTCCCAACTTGTGTTGAAGAGGGCCTTGACCAAAGTGGGACGGTCTGGAGGCACTGTTTAACTTTTTAATCTCTGCATTTATTTGGGGTTTTTTAAATTAAAAAAGAAAAGCATGTAACAAAAAGTGATTTTATGATGTAGGAAATTGTTTAAATTCAAATGATTGTTTTAGTTGTTTGTTATTAAGCATTTGGCTGTATTGCTGATCTGTCAAGGTGGAGTGGTCTTACAAAGGCACGAGACAGTGCCTGCCTCCTCCTGACAGTGGGTTTCCGCCAGATGTGAGGCTGAGAAGTCTGCTTGTACAGCCTGCACGCATTAGATTTCACACGAACCTGCCATCACTGAATACATCTGGGACGGGAGGGTTGCATATGAATGCAGCTTCCAAAGAAACAAGTTGAAAATGACAAAATCTAGGTAAAGAAAATCCTTTAATGCCTAACTTAACTAGCATTTTTAGGGAATGAGGTAGCTGCCTAGGAGAATTTGGTAAATAGCTGACATTACTCTTGACTGACTTGAACTCTTTCATGGAACTCCTGCCATATCCATGTTTGTTGGCCCCTCCTCATTGAGGAATCTCCTCTCTTTGCTATCATGGCAGACAGTCCAGTGGTTTCTCCCTCTCCTGACTGCTTTTCTGCATCTGCTTCTTCCTCCCGCTCCCTAAGTGTAGCAGTAGTGGAGCAGTCTGATCACATTTGGTTTAAAGAAAGTTCTAGGAGAGTGTGGGCTGTGGAGAAGAAGCAGGAGGAAGGAGCCAGCAAGCTCCCAGCATGTGTGACTTTGTGAAGCCCAGTAGTGACAAGAAAGGGGCAGAAAGGGGCGGGAGTGGGAAGAGCACCTGCCTCTCAGGGGTCTGGGTGGGTCCCTTAGAAATGCAAGGAGCTCCTGCAGTGAGGAAGTCGGGGAAGCAGGTGACGCGTGGCCTCAAGGGACCCTCAGCTGGACAATTTCCAAGTTACTAGAGGTGAGTGGAGAGAATAGGTTGTTATTAATGCATTCCTTTATGAACATTTGAAATTAATTGTTGGTTTCAGTGCTAGCACTTCAGTATTTCAGAATTCTAAGCCAAAATAGCATATTAGAGCATTTAAAAACCACATGGCATATTGAACTGTGTTCATAGGTAACTTCATTTCTTGATAAGTTTATTCTGACTTGCTTAAGAATGAGTTTGCTCATCTATAAACTTTTTGTTTGTTTTTTAATCTGTAAATGTTTATTTTCTCCAAAACATCATGTAGTGACTCTAAGAGTACAAAATAGACTTTTGGTAAAGTACAAATACCATTTTCCCTTTTAGTATTCAGGCAACTCAGAAGCTCTTTTTTAAAAGCCTCCTCTAGGCTAGATGTGGTGGCTCACGCCTGTTATCCCAGCACTTGGGAGGCCAAGGTGGGAGGATTGCTTGAGTCCAGGAGTTCGAGACCAGCCTGGGCAATGTAGCAAGACCCTGTCTCTACAAAAAATGTACAAAAATTAGCCAAGCGTGGTGGTACACATCAAATCTGTAGTCCCAGCTACTCAGGAGGCTGAGGTAGAAGGATTCCTTTAGCCCAGGAGTTCAAGGATGTAGTGTGCAATGATTGTGCCTGTGAAAAGCTACTGCACTCCAGCCTGGGCAACATAATGAAACCCTGTCTTTACCAAAAAAAAAAAAAAAAAAAAGTAGCAGCCAGTTGTGGTGGCACACACCTATAGTCCTAGCTACTCAGGAGGGTGAGGCCAGAGGATCACCTGAGCCCAGTGAGCCATGATGGCATCACTACACACATACACACACACACACACACACACCCCTCCTCTACTCTAATCTGACAATTAATTTAAATGTATAGGAGTTGTATGTACCATGTAATTTAGAGTTTAGTGTTCTGATTTCATCACCAATTATCTTATATAATAACAAATATAATTTGCATGTTGATGATCCACTTTCCTTATGTACCTAATGCAGGAAGGCTAACAGATACACTTCTTGAGGGTTTTAATAAATGTTTTCAGGCCAGGTGTGGTAGCTCACGCCTGTTATCCCAGCACTTAGGGAGACCGAAGTGGGTGGATCGCTTGAGCTCAGGAGTTCAAGACCAGTGTGGGTAACATGGCGAAACGCCATCTCTACAAAAAAATACAAAAAATTAGCCAGGCGTGGTGGCGCGTGCCTATAGTCCCAGCTACTTGGATGCTGAGGTAGGAGGATCACCTAAGCCCGGGAGGTTGAGGCTGCTGTGAGCCATGATCACACCACTGCACTCCAGCCTGGGCAATGAAGTGAGACCCTGTCTCAGAGAAAAATAAATGTTTTCCAGGCCTGCTTGTGCATGACTAAGAAATTTCCTATCAACCCAGCCAAATTTAATCTAGCTGCAGCTGAGTTCAAGAAAGTTAATGCAGCTCTGATGCCTCTAGTTCTCTCATTTCTCCCAGGTGGGTCATCACAGCTTCTAACTAAGAATCTTAAGTCAATCCGTGATTCCTACTAAAGGGCAGAAAAGTCCTTTGGTTCCTTCAATGCCAAGTAAATATTTACATGCTTGAGCAGTCGGTGTAGGTTGGTGAGCCCTGGACTCACACAGATCCATGTGGACCTCACCTCACTAAGCCTCAGCTTTGCCAGCCGTGAAGTGGGACCAATAGAAATAAAAATCATACCTTAAATGTCTAGATTTGTGCCTGGCCTGTATTGGGCACTGAATAAAGTGTATCGAATATTTCAGACTGTCCTTTTGTTCTGTGTTGAGTTGGTACAGTAGTTTGTTGCAACAACCCTGGAAGTCAATTGATACTTTCACCTTTGAGATAAAGAATTTGTTCTCTAATCAACTAGCTTTTCCATTGGCCCAAGGTGACATTTCTGTCTTTACAGGCAGCCATTTGGCAGTTCTCCAGATGACTTGCTATGTCCACATCCTGCAGCTGAGTCTCCGAGTGATGAGGGAGCTCTCCTGGACCAGCTGTATCTGGCCTTGCGGAATTTTGATGGCCTGGAGGAGATTGATAGAGCCTTAGGAATACCCGAACTGGTCAGCCAGGTATGCGCGGAAGGGCAGCAGGTGGGGGCCAAGCGCTCTCATGGGCGCAGAGGTGTCCATTTTCTGTTTACAGGTACTCCACGGTCTGCTTTTTAGAATATATTGTTGTTGTTTTTTTTACCTCAAAACAGGCTGGCCCTGTTTCTTCCTCCCCTTTCCTTGTAACCCTCACATAAACTTTTGCCTGAGAATGGAGAGCACTGAAAATGAGCATTGCATACAGTTCAAGTTAGCAGAAAGACACAAACTCAAGTCCATTTCACCTGGTGTCCGCCCTTGCTGATAGGGAAGGACACACAAGATACAGAGAAACCACAAACAGCACATTGCTGCCTTGTGACCTAGAACGCTTCCCCCTGGAAGTTGGTGTGAGTGTAGTCGTGACCCCAGTATTCATTTCACACCTGTGGGCTGGTGATAGGAAGCTGTTTGTGCTAAAAGAATACTTTCCACATAAGTTAGCAGAAGTCATTTTACAGGTAGCTGCAACTCTTTCATCATTTTTACCTTTAAAAATGGCGGGTTAAACCTTTCACTTATGGTTTAGCCCAGGAGTTCAAGGATGTAGTGTGCACTGACTGTGCCTGTGAAAAGCTACTGCACTCTAGCCTGGGCAACATAATGAAACCCTGTCTTTACCAAAAAAAAAATAAAATGTCACAGCCAGTTGTGGTGGCACACACCTATAGTCCTAGCTACAGTTCCTTTCACTTATGGTTTAGCCCACCATAATTTTGGGGATGTTTAAGCGTAAATGGGAATATAAAAAAGTTAACTAATCTTAGTGAGCTTATTTAGCTTTCTTCTTCCAAGTAATTAGTTGGTTACTATAAAAAAGGAAGTCCCTGCTTTTAGAGTACCTGATAGCAATGATATAGTAAATAACCTAACATAGTCCCTTGAAAGAACAAAACACTATCTGAACTGACTGCACAGCTAACTTTGTGTGAAGCAGTGCAGCCTGGCTTACTGTGTAAAGAGTAACCCAGAAAAACCATCATGTTCTAGTTACTGTTTTCCTCCTTACTTAGCATGAATCATCTTTATTTCTTACTGCCAAAAAGTACCTGCCAGTGTCCAGTCTACTTCTTGGCCATATGATGTGTCATCATCTTTCTGAGAGAAAGATGATGCAGAGTCATTGGAGACTTCTCTGAAACATTAAAATTAGTCTTGTCATAATTCCCACAGTTGAGCAGACACAGGTGGGAGTTGTGACTTACCAATTCATATTGAAAACAGCAGAATGGAAAGAAATGACTTGAGGTTACATGATATAACCTGAAATAAGAAAGGAAAATGGAGTTTAAGTATTTCCTGTGTGACTGGTTTGCTTTGTCTTCAGTGATAGTTAGAATTCAGCCCTCAGTACTATTTTATCCTTGAGTTTATCTAAGTGACATTTTAAAATGTGATCCGTGGAGTTGCTGAGTGACTTGTAATGTTATCAAAACAGGTGTCATGTCTTTTAATATTTTTAGTCCGTTTTTCACTCATTTCTGTTATTTCTATTTTGTCTCATCAAATCCACCATCATTATAATATTGTCATGAAACTGAATTATAGAAATATGTTTATTAGGTAGAATTGAGGGAAGTATAGAATACAAATTATTCGTATTCATGTTAAAGTTCTGAGATGTTTTTGTGTTTAGTTAGAGCAGTAATTCAGCAATGAGTGGTTTCCTCTGCTTAGGCTCCATCCCTGTGTTTAGAATTACCATAGGGAGGGCAGTGGGCTCCTGGCTGTCACAGGCTGGCCTTAGGGCTGTGCTGATCAGAGCTCAGGGCTCTGGGCGGCTCCAGCACTACATGGGTAGATGGTTTTCAAGAAGGCCTAGGACAACGCTGAGCTAAAGAAAACTTGAGGCTGGGCGTGGTGGCTCACGCCTGTAATCCCAGCACTTTGGGAGGCTGAAACGGGCAGATCACCTGAGGTTGGGAGTTCGAGACCAGCCTGACCAACATGGAGAAACCCCGTCTCCACTAAAAATACAAAAGTAGCCGGGCTTGGTGGCGCATGCCTGTGATCCCAGCTACTTGGGAGGCTGAGGCAGGAGAATTGCTTGAACCTGGGAGGCAAGGTTGCAGTGAGCCGAGATCACAACATTGCACTCCAGCCTGAGCAACAAGAGCGAAACTCCGTCTCAAAAAAAAAAAGTCAGGAGTGACAGACACATAAACCATGTCTAGTAGGTAATGAGAGGATGATGGCAAAATGTGGGGCACGTAGGAAATCCTGACAGCCACAGAAAGCAGTAGATAATAGGCAGCGCATCACATTGGTGAGGAGCTCAGATCCCAAATCACAAACTGAATTGGACCCCACCATGTACTAGCTGAATAGGGCTTATTGCAATTCAATTCATGTCTTTAAGTCTCATTTTTTTAAGCTACAAAATCAGGATAATGATGGTCAGTACCCCACACTGCTGATCCCAGTCAGGTGCCAAAGAGGTTATCTAATTAAAATGAACTCTACAGATATGAATAATCAATCAAAAACTTAACACTTCCAGGGGATATTTGCATCTGAAAGTCCAGGCCAATATGATTGGTGGAGTGGGTAGGAGGCATTCTGTAGTCCTGACCCATTTTTCCCCTTCCCTTGGAAGAAGTGCTGCTGGGAGTCCAGTGTGACCCCGGCTTCTGTCCTTGTGTAACCAGAGCTGTGAGCAGAAGCATTTTCTAGAAAGACAAGTGGAGTCAAGCTCTAAAGGTACCTTTGTGTAGTAAGTATAATATTAAAAAGTATAAAAAGCTTCAAATATATGATAGTGAGAGAAAACAGCCTTATATTGACTCTGCTGTTTTTATGGTTTAATTATTTGTTTGTTATTTGGGACTTTCTCTCCAGAGCCAAGCAGTAGATCCAGAACAGTTCTCAAGTCAGGATTCCAACATCATGCTGGAGCAGAAGGCGCCCGTTTTCCCACAGCAGTATGCATCTCAGGCACAAATGGCCCAGGGTAGCTATTCTCCCATGCAAGATCCAAACTTTCACACCATGGGACAGCGGCCTAGTTATGCCACACTCCGTATGCAGCCCAGACCGGGCCTCAGGCCCACGGGCCTAGTGCAGAACCAGCCAAATCAACTAAGACTTCAACTTCAGCATCGCCTCCAAGCACAGCAGGTCTGTTCTTCGATGGCACCTGGGAAGTCAGGGGTGCTGGGTGGAGGACATGGGGAAGATGATGTGAGACAGCACAGCTGTCCAACAATGTGCAGATACTGGGTTGGGGAGGGCAGTTACTTGGGAAACTTGATTTAAAGTAAAATGTATTCTGTTCTTAAAATGTATTCATCCTGTTTGTATGTATTTAGAATCGCCAGCCACTTATGAATCAAATCAGCAATGTTTCCAATGTGAACTTGACTCTGAGGCCTGGAGTACCAACACAGGTAAGGCAACATACCAGCCATTAGCTTTCATTGTATGCATGCAGCTGCTTTTGTCATTTCTTCCTCTCTGAAGAAAGTTAACTTAGTAGACGTGGATCCAGATCAGCACACTAGCCCTGTACTGTCATCTAGTTACCTACTAGTGTGTTATATTTTTCCCTTCTAATCACTGCCATTTTTATTGCCAGGTACAGTCAATTCTTGTTATTCTAAGAAGTTGTGCTACATAAAGTTACTGCAAACACTGAATTAGAGAACAGCCAACTATCGTTCCTAGGAGGAATACAGGGTTGGGTTCCTGCAGACCTCTGGTCACAACATTGTCATCATCCAGTCAACACATAACCTTGTTTTATGTGTGTTTCTGTTTAAAGAACTCACTGTAACTCAGGCCTGAATGGCGCTTATCTAGCACACCTGTTTTCTCCAGAAGGCACATCACCGCCTCTTGCACTTAGGAACACTAGAGAGCACTGCAGCACCATGCCTGGGAGCCAGTTTAAGCAGCAAAATCACCAACAGGAAAAGCAAAAAATGCAAAAATCTTGGCACCAAATAGATCACAGAGGACACTAGTTTACAGTATGAGAGCTGAAACCAGAAGGCAAAGTGTTGCCTTGTTCAACCTCTGCTGGAAGTGTGCACATTGCATATCTGAAATGTTTTACCACTGTGCTCATGTCTACGAATGACTGTGACAGTGGCATGTGTATTGATTTGGGGGTTACAAATAAATTTTACTGAGTAGGCAACTTCAGAAATGTGGAATTCATAAATGAGGATCAACGATATCTTAGCAGCCTCATGCCTCTCACTGACAGCAAGCACTGGGATCCCTTCCCTTCATCCATCCTGCCTTTCCTCCCTCTCCACCCTCCACCTCTGACTCGGTCTCTGTGCGTTCTTATCAGGCACTCTCCTCGCTCTCCCCTTTTCCTCCTGCCTCTGCTCAGCCTTTTGTGAAGTGCACCACGTCACCTTTTGTCCCAGTGATTTTATTTCTCTATAGACTTGAATGTCACTTGAATGAGACTCTAAACTACCATCCTCAGGGTTTATATTACAGTCTTCTTATAGAAAGGACTGTGTTATTTTGAGATCCTTCAGTTAATTGTGTCCTTACAAAATGATTTAATTGATATTAGCATCAAACTTAACTCTGCTGAGTCATAGCAAAGCTTCAGAATAATCATATCTTTAGAACTTAGAAGCTCATGTTCTCAATCACTAGTTGTTCAACTCTGAGTCATTCCTTTCATGTAATTTTTTTCCAAATAATTTTACAGATGATAGTACCATTTGCTAGCCTCTCTATAATACTCACTTTGTTTTTTAATCTATGTCTGTCCCCGACATTTTCCTCCATGTGTTGCCCCGGATTTCAGGCACCTATTAATGCACAGATGCTGGCCCAGAGACAGAGGGAAATCCTGAACCAGCATCTTCGACAGAGACAAATGCATCAGCAACAGCAAGTTCAGCAACGAACTTTGATGATGAGAGGACAAGGGTTGAATATGACACCAAGCATGGTGGCTCCTAGTGGTATGCCAGCAACTATGAGCAACCCTCGGATTCCCCAGGCAAATGCACAGCAGTTTCCATTTCCTCCAAACTACGGTACTGGACTTAGATCCCCACCACCTTTCACCAGTCCTTTCTCCCCAGTGTCCCCCAGTGTTGGGTCACAGCTCCTCTCTCACAGCTCTTTGCATGGCTCCCAGATGAATCTGGCTAACCAGGGAATGATAGGAAACCTGGGAGGACAGTTGGGGCCTGTGAGGAGTCCCCAAGTCCAGCACAGTACCTTCCAGGCTCTCAGCTCAGGTACCTCCTTTTCTCTGAGTGCAGGTCTTACTTTAAGAATGACCGAAGTAAGTGTGTGTGCATAGACTGTGTCTATCTTGTGTGCGAGCGTGTATGGATCTATGTTTATGTCAATGTCTACAAGTTCATATATGTTTATATATTTGAAAGCCTCTGAGTCTGACTCAAACAAATCAATAGATACAAAATGTAAAAAGACCTCTATAAATTTAAATATAGACATTCTGCGACTTTTGAAAAATACTTTACAGATTATACCAGATCATTAATGAATAGGTAATTCTTGAGAAGTACTGTATAGAAACTACAGTGGGAGACCTTTTAGTCCTCTTCATATTGATTTGTTGTTTAATGTCAGTCTTAAGAGATACCAAGTGTGTAATGTCATGAACATTAATATTTGTGTGCATGTCATGTTCAGTTAATGGTTGAATTATTGATAAAGTAAGTGCTTACATTAATGTTAATATTCAAAAATGACTTTCCCTACCCTTTGCCAGTTATCTGTAAATAACTGTGAAGTCTGTTGCCGAAATCCAAGTCTCCTGTTTCTTTAAAGAACAGAAAGATAATGTGCAGCCTTTTTCTATATGATCTTAAGCTTTTCTTTTGTAGCTAATTTAAATATTAATTAAATATGCATGTTTTACAAGTCTTCTATGCAAAAGTGTACTTAATACCATCCTCAAAATACTCTAAGTTGCCTCCTTTGTTTCCCAGCTCCTTTCTCTATTTCCTTCTTGATGATTTAGAAAAGTGTGCTGAAAGTTCTCTTTCCTTTTAGTTTAAATTCTGTTTGCCTCGAAACTGAACAAGAAGCATACATTGAATTTTTTTCTTATTCTTACTAATATTGGATAGCCCTAAAGTACCACAGAGCTCTTTATAAAGACAAAACAAGCTAACCATGAATACAGCTATTTATTTTTAAAGGTGGATCCATCTCATCATGGAATGGCTTCAGCTAATTTAATATAAATTTATTCAAATGTGTTGACTTTTGATATATAGCTGAACTTTAATCCAATTTAAATTTAATTTAAACAATCTGGCCAGGTGCAATGGCTCATGCCTGTAATCCCAGCACTTTGGGAGGCCAAGAATCTCTTGAGCTCAGGAGTTCAAGACCAGCCTGAGCAACATAGTGAGACCTTATCTCTACTAAAAATTAAAAAAATTAGCTGGGCATGGTCGTGCATGCCTGTAGTCCCAGCTACTCAGGAAGCTGAGGTGAGAGGATCCTTTGCGCCCAGGAGGTCAAGGCTGCAGTGAACTATGATCACGCCACTGTACTCCAGCCTGGGCAACAGAGCAAGCAAGACCCTATGTCAAAATAATAATAATAAGCTTAATTTAAACTAATTGCAGTGATACTTTGAGATTTTATATGTGTATATATATATATATTTCTTGTTGATCAAAATATGTGACTCATTCTTGATTTGGAAAGGAATTTGAAGAAAGAATAGCATTGTTTCTTTCTAACTCTAGCTATGATGGTTAATGGTTCCTAGGCACCATCTAACTACTAAGGGGAATCAGTATGGAGATTTTATTTTCTCCATATTTTATCCGAGCTTGGAATCTTTCTTAAATGTATGTAATTAATCAGTACACAATCATATATTTGAAAGTAATTTTTTATGCATGCCTAATTTGGAATGTTCTTTCCCCCCCACCAGTCTCTACAATATAACTAACAGTCTCTTTTGGATTTCTGTTTCTGTTTTTTTTTTTAAGGAATAAGTCAGCAACCTGATCCAGGCTTTACTGGGGCTACGACTCCCCAGAGCCCACTTATGTCACCCCGAATGGCACATACACAGAGTCCCATGATGCAACAGTCTCAGGCCAACCCAGCCTATCAGGCCCCCTCCGACATAAATGGATGGGCGCAGGGGAACATGGGCGGAAACAGGTAACCGCAAATCCTTCTCCTTTTCATACCGCCACTGTGACAGCTGAAGGACATCCCCCACCTTCATGCCTGCACCCGAGGAGCTTTCTGTTTGTTTTTATCAAACGTAGTGATAAAGGATGGCTTCTAGGTCACCGCCTTCCACAGCAATTTCTATCATAAATTGGTCGGTGGTACCTTGTTAGGGATGTTCTTGTTCCTCCAAAGAATGTTCCTTGCTAAGCTTTTGTAAATTCTAGTGACTCCTGCTCTAGGAAAAGTAAACTGGCTTATTTAGAAGTTTGCTTGATATCGCTTGCATGAGCAAAGACTTTAAAAAAAAAAAAACAGAAAGAAAGAAAGGAGACAGGTAGTCTATAGAAAGTTTCCCTGGTGATCATTTATCACAGCAACACACAGAATTGCCCCCACAGCTTCATTGAATGCCACTTCCCCTGCTGTCTCGGCTTCAGCAAGCCCACCACCTGCCGGCTGTCTCAGCCTGGGTTCATGCAGTTCAGGTTTATTCACTCAGAGTAAACGCCTGAGAAACAAGTGCCCTGAGCTGCCTGCCTCTGGATACCAGCAAGCTGTAACATTCATTCAATCTTTCCATTGTATTCCAGCATGTTTTCCCAGCAGTCCCCACCACACTTTGGGCAGCAAGCAAACACCAGCATGTACAGTAACAACATGAACATCAATGTGTCCATGGCGACCAACACAGGTGGCATGAGCAGCATGAACCAGATGACAGGACAGATCAGCATGACCTCAGTGACCTCCGTGCCTACGTCAGGGCTGTCCTCCATGGGTCCCGAGCAGGTGAGTGCCCAAGGAGAAGCAACCCAGTGGCTTCATATCACGGCTTTTTTTCTACTTCTGCATCAAATATATCTTTCCATGTATCTGACTTTAGCCACCAACTCCCACATTTACTTTGAGGAGTGTTTTTCACCCTTCACCTGTGTTAGTGACATTAATAAAAATCTTTGTTAATGATTAAATAAACAGAAAGGATTCCTGACTGCTTGAGGAGCTTTTAAAATATTTTGTAACTTTCTTATCATTGACATTTTTCTCTTGAGGAATTCACCAGTATCTAAAATGAATCTCTAAAGATGAAATAGTGAGTGTACTTTTAAAATAGCTCTATTTGGGGGTTATCGTTTGGGGGGGTTTTGTTTTGTTTGATAGAGAGTCTCACTCTGTCACCTAGGCTGGAGCGCAGTGGCACTATCTTGGCTCACTGCAACATCCGTCTCCCGGCTCAAGCAGTCCTCCCACCTCAGCCTCCTGGGTAGCTGGGATTATAGGCACATACTACCGTGCCCGGCTAGAGGATTATAGTTTAATAATGGATTTATTTCTAAGTGTAAAACCAGATGAAAAGCAAAGGCCAAACTACCTGCCATCCAGTTAGTTTGAAATGATCCTTCATTTATGCAAAGAGACCGACACAGATAATCCAAAAACTATTCTTTTTACTTTGGAACGTGAAGGCAATGATTTTTTAAAATAATTGTTTTGCGTTGAACAACATCAAAATGATTCTGTTCCTAACTTCACTAGATGGCAGAGAGACTCAAAGCATTTGAGATAGCAGTAGCCAGCCTGGAATCCAAAAATCTGTGGCTGATTCAGAGGTAAAAGTAGAGGTTAATAATTGTACCATGGTATTTACAGAAGATCTTGTTTTTAAAGGCCCAAAATGCTGACCACTCTACCACTGATCCTCAGTAGTTCACACAAGTAAAAAATATGGCAAGACCTTGACTCTTATTTCATATAAGGAGAAAGTGCAGTATGGAAAGTGTAAATGACTTAAGCATGAAATCACTGACAGGTCTGTGAATGTCTGTTAGAACAAGATTGTGAGAATGGTGAAAGATTGAAGAGTTTGATTAGATCTATTTAATTCTGTTAGTAGACCACAATTTTTGTGAAAATTTTAAGAACTATTACAGAGCTTCCGTGTTTTATTTAAAACGATTAATAAAAATGGAAAGTGGTACATGAGAAAATTTAAAGCCCTTTGCATTTTAAGAAGGTTGTGTGCTTGTAGTAATAACTTACACTTCTGTTGTTGAATTGATGGCAGTTAAATGCTTATTTGGATACATTAAGCAGACATAAAGAAATACAGACTTTTAGCCTGGCATGTTGGCTTGTGCCTATAATCCCAGCTATTCAGGAGGCTGAAGTGGGAAGATGGCTTGAAGCCAGGAATTCAAGACCAGTCTGGGCAACATAGTAAGACTCTGTCTCTGAAAAAAAAAAAAAAAGTTTAAATTAGCTAGGCATGGTGGCAGGTGCTTATAATTCCAGCTACTTGGGAAATTGAGGCTGGAGGATCTATTGAGCCCAAGAGTTTGAGGCTGCAGTGAGCTAAGATTGTACCACTGCACTCCAGCCTGGGTAACAGATCAAGACCCTATCTCTTAAAATATATGCGTGTGTTTATAGAGAGATATCTATGCTTTTATTTCTTCAATGGAGAAATGTAGGGTTGATGTTTTATTTCCTGCAAAAATGGGCCACTAATGACTCCTAATTTGCTTGCTGAGGAAAAGCGTACAAAGTAAGGGCTACTGAGATAGTCTAGTGTAATACGATCTTAGTCCAGTCTGCTCAGCAATGAATTGATGCATTTTTATTTGATGTATTTTTAACAATCCAGATTGTTTTGAAACTTCTGCATGATTTTAAACCATTTGAATCCCATGGTTAATTTGGAAGCCCCAAGGCACAACTGCAGTGTGTCTTCCTACAAAAATCATTATTCTATTAGCATTTGCAAATTTACTTTCTAATGTGTAAAGAAATGTACAAATGCAAATGAATAGTCCATTTGGTCAGAGTAAATTGACAAAGTCCAGCACTAGTTTGGGTATTTACACTTGCTCTTGATAATTAATAACTTGCCTAAGTAGCAAAGATGTCAGGAATTTCTCAGATGACTTCAAAGTCCCAAATGTGAGTCATTGGTCTAATTTGAATAAGCCAAGAAAGCATGCTGGTTATGGCACAAAAATGGCTCTATTATTATTAAGTCAATTGAATTTGATTTCTGTACAGCATGCAGATAAAGGTTAATTTTGAAGGCAGCTAGTATTTCATGAGTATTTTCATGTTCCTCTAGACTCCGCAAAATACGTACATGGGAGAGCTTGTGTAGGATGAGGCCATTGTTCTGCAGTTCCTTTTCCCCGTTTTTACACCCCTAAAAACAGAGGAAGGGCGGCGGCCACTTGTTTTCCAGTGCACTCTTGGACATTCTGCTCTGCGTAGCCACTGTCCTGTCTTCTTGTCCTTAGGTTAATGATCCTGCTCTGAGGGGAGGCAACCTGTTCCCAAACCAGCTGCCTGGAATGGATATGATTAAGCAGGAGGGAGACACAACACGGGTAAGAAAGAACAGTGAAATATATGAATATGGAAGTAAAGCAAACATGAATATTTGATAGACCAAAAGTGGCATAGATATATTGTCAACCAGTAGATTAAAGATAATCGTAAAATATCTTCTGGTTTCATCTGGCATACAGTGCTTTTGTGTGAATGATTATTTCTTTAAGCTCATTTTAACTCAGCTAATGGTACCATATGAATTAAGAACACTAAATTTTTTTTTATTTATTTATCTTTTTTTTCTGTAGTCTTCGTAGCCAACAAAAGAACAGTAATTTTGCCCTGGAATGATACTATGATAGCAAAGGAAGAAATAATGTGGCAAATAATTAGTTGTGTTAGGGCAAACTTTTATTTTTGCTATTTCTGAATTATAAGGCTAGATTTTTAGGAGGATTAAGAGGAATTAACTTACATTGTTCACTCCCTTAATTAAGTCTTCTTAAGGGTTTTCTATATTTCGTTGTGTTTAGGAACAATCTAGTACATTATTTACATTATTGTGTTATTTGCCTATTACACCTTAAACACTTCTCTTTTTGTTTTGTTTTTTTGTTTTGTTTTGTTTTGTTTTTTTGAGACAGTGTCTTGCTTTGTTGCCCAGGCTGGAATGCAGTGGCACAGTCTTGGCTCACTGCAACCTCCACCTCGCGGGTTCAGGCAACTCTCCTGCCTCAGCCTCTTGAGTAGCTGGGATTACAGGCACATGCCACCATGCCTGGCTAATTTTTGTATTTTTAGTAGAGATGGGGTTTCACCATGTTGGCCAGGCTGGTCTTGAACTCCTGACCTCAGGTGATCCACCCACCTCAGCCTCCCAAAGTGCTGGGATTATAGGCGTGAACCACCACACCTGGCCTATTAAACACTTGTTCTAAAGAGAATGATATTACCATGTTCAGCCAATGAAACTGTAGAATAATTAGTACTTAGACGTAATTGAAATGTGTACCTAGCAGCAGATCTCTTGCAGGAAGAAGTCTGAGCAGTTTGGCACATAGATAAATGGGCCTATGTGGCCCTTTAAGGTAAGAGATATTACCCTTCACAGTAGGTAGCTCTTTTTTAAAAAATCCTATCCCATACAACCTGTTAAGTGGAAGAAAATATTTGCAAACCATTTATCCAACAAGGGACTAATATCTATAATATACAGAGAACTCAACAGGAATAAAACAGATAATCCCATTAAAAAGTGGGCAAAGTTTGTGACCAGCCTGGCCAACATAGTGAAACCCCATCTTTACTAAAAATACAAAAATTAGCCAGGTGTGGTGGCACGTGCCTGTAGTCCCAACTACTTGGGAGGCTGAGGTGGGAGAATCACTTATACTTTGGAGGTGGAGGTTGCAGTGAGTGGAGACCATGCCATTGCACTCCAGCCTAGGTGACAGAGTGAGACTCCATCTCAAAAAAAAAAAAAAGTGGACAAAGGACATGAATAATTTCTCAAAAGAAAATGTACAGGTGGCCAGCAGTTATATTAAAAATGCTCAGCATCAGTAATCATCAGAGAAATACAAATAAAAACCATAAGGAGATACCATCTTACCCCAGTCAGAATGGCTATTATTAAAAACACAAAAAATAACAGATGTCGGCAAGATAGAGTAAAAAAGGGAACTCTCATACACTGTTGGAATGTAAACTAGTAGAGCCAGTATGGAGATTTCTCAAAAAACTAAAAACAGAATTATCATTTGATCCAGGAGTCACACTGCTGGGTTTCTACCCAAAGGAAGAAAGGTCAGTATATCAAAGGGATACCTGCACTCTTGTGGTTATTGCAGCACTATTCACAATAGCAAAGATACAGAATCAACCTGTGTGTCCATCAGTGGATAAAATGGATAAAGAAAATGTGGTACATATACACAGTAGAATACTATTTAGCCATTAAAAAAATGAAATCATGTCATTTGTGGCAACGTAGATGGAACTGGAGGTCATTATCTTAACTGAGATAAGGCAGGCACAAAAAGACAAATATCTATTGCATGTTCTTACATATGAGAGCTAGAAAATTTGTTCACATGGAAGTAGAGAGTGGAAAAATAGATAACAGAGACTGAGAAGGGTGACTGTGAGGGCAGGAGAGGAGGAAGAGAAGTGGGTGAGAGGTTACAGACATACAGTTGGAATAAATGTAATGTTAGCAGAGTAGCATAACTATAGTTAAAAATGTATTGCATCTGGGTAATGGACACCCTAAAACCCTGTCTTGATCCCTCACTATGCATTATGTAATGAAATTTCATATGTACCCCCATAAATTTGAACAAATAAAAATAAAATAAAAAATCCTCTCCTGGCCAGGTGCAGTGGCTCAAGCCTGTAATCCCAACACTTTCGGAGGCTGAGGCGGATGGATCACCTGAGGTCAAGAGTTTGAGACTAGCCTGGCTAACATGGTGAAACCTCACCTCTACTAAAAATACAAAATTAGCCGAGTGTAGAAGCACACGCCTGTAGTCCCAGCTACTCGGGAGGCTGAGATAGGAGAATTGCTTGAACCTGGGAGGCGGAAGTTGTAGTGAGCCGAGATCATGCCGTTGCACTCCAGCATGGGTGACAAGAGCAAAACTCTGTCTCAAAAAAAAAAAAAAAAATCCTCCCCCAGTAGAGACAGTACAAGGTTGTTGTTCAGTTTCCTCCCAAAAAAAAGTGGGTATTTGATGATTTGGTTAATACTAGCATTCAAGTTGAGAAAGTAATAGCATAAGTTTGCTCCAGATTTTAACTTACTGTGTGCATATTCTCCATGCGGTTTCTCTTGTTTTTAAGAATCACAGTCCCGAGTGGCAGAGGTGCTGGCTGTTGGTGGGAGTCCTGTAGATGTTGTCTGTATATACCTAGAGGGGCTGGTGTCTTTCCTGGTGCCAATCCTGTTCTCTCCTCCACTGAGTACAGGAAATGAGTGGCCACACAACTCAGTCGTGGCTTATGTGCAGAAGTTGAAATCAGGAATGCACTTCCCAGAAGAACAGTGATGTTACTGATAATTGGGCTCCCACAGAGGGGCCATTTTAACCCAAAAGTGCCAGGGAGCTCAACCTCTGAGCGTATCATATCTCTATGGGAGAAAAATGGATTTGGGAGGCCAGGCTTACGTCTCCCTCCCTGAATTCACCACAGTGAGATTAGACCTCCCTGCCTCACCCTTCATCATGCGGCTGCATGCTAGCCACCTAGGCCAGGGCTCCAGCAGAGCAGGTGCCCCGAGAAAGCCACTCCGTAGGGTAAGGCCCTCAAATATTGCATGGGCCCCGTCTGCCACCCCTGTCTCCCAAGAACCCCAGGAATTGACCTGCCCTGCCTTGTGCTCTTTCTTCAGCTGCCATGTAACCTCCAAGAAGAGACTCACCTACTATAAAAGCAGAACACTGAGATGGTCCCACATTCTGCCTTTTAAAAATTTACAGAAACAACCAACATGTACTGAGCATTTACTGCAAGCCTATTCTCTATTAAAAGTTTTGTTTAGATTCCCTCATTTAAACCACACCACAACTGTCTGGTAGAGCTACTGTTTTGAGAGTTTAATGACTCGATCAAGGTCTTACAACACTGGGAAGTAAATCCAGGCCGGCTGACCCCAAATATGCATTCTTAACCCCTGCACCCTCCTGCCACTTCCCTAAAGGGAACACTGAGGGCTTGTGAGATTTTTCTAAGGGGTTTTATGCAGGTAACATTGGAGAAGGCCAACAATGGATAATTTTCTTCTTTGGTGCCACTCCCTTCTCTATTTAGATCTTGAAGGGACAAGAAAGATATTGATAAACAATGTGGACAGACAGTAAATATTCAGCTACATTTTTGGAAGCATCCTCAGCCTCAGGCATTGGGATTCTTCATCTCAGGAGGGAGGAACCTCCCAGAGCGAGGGAAGGGAATGAATCTTTTGGCCTCGAATTTACCAGGGATAGTGCCAGGCCCTTCGTAGGTATTTAAGGTTCCCCACCATTTCAGATGAGACTGAATCTCAGAGGATGAGATAATTTATGCAGGGCTACCAGCTAGTCTGAAGACTTAGAGAACTGGTGACCCAGACCAATCAAGGTAGAAAGTGCCCGGCTGGGGGTTTAGGGGTAGGCCTGCAACCAGCCCTGTGGTGCGGGCCACACGGCAGGCTGGCAGGACCAGGGGTTCACCTTCACGTGCATCCTGGTGGCCCATGGGGGCCCTTTAAACCCAAAATGGAAAGAGTAGTGTTAGGATGTAAGACATCAATTTTCAGTAAATATAGGATGTTCTCTCTTCCCAGCAAAGGCGTCTTTCAGGTGAGGCACAGTGGGTGGCACGCTTGTAGTCACAGCTACTCAGGTGGCTTGAGGCCAGGAGTTCTAGGCTGCAATGAGCTATGACTACACCTGTGAACAGCCACTGCACTCCAGCCTGGGCGACACAGCACCTCTCTGTTACCATCTTGCTCAGGCCACTGATAACCTCGTCAACTTTCCCTGTTTTTTTCTAGTCCCCCTCTTGAATCTGCCTCATCCACCTGCACTTTCTTCATGCTGATTGTTAAGGCCAGAGAACAGTCCGTCATAGAGACTCATTTGCTTTAGAGAATAATCTGTATAGGATATCCCTTTTCATTCATCAGAAATAACCGGAAGTTACTTGGATTTGTCACTGTGCTACTTATGTGCACATTGACAGGGGTTCAGTCATCATCCCGTGTTTCCGTAATAAGCTCTGCTGCTGTTATGAATCAAGGAGCTTTTTCCAGAATTTTTTTTTTTTTTGAGACGGACTCTGTGTCGACCAGGCTAGAGTGCAGTGGCGCGATCTTAGCTCACTGCAGCCTCTGTCTCCCAGGTTCAAGCGAATCTCCTGCCTCCACTTCCCAAGTAGCTGGATTACAGGCCCATGCCACCACACCCAGCTAATTTTTGTATTTTTAGTAGAGACAGGGTCTCACCATGTTGGCCAGGCTGCTCTCAAACTCCTGACCTCAAATGATCCGCCTGCCTCGGCCTCCCGAAGTGCTGGGATTACAGGCGTGAGCCACTGTGCCCTGCTCTTTTCCAGAATTGTTATTGGTAACTTGGTTCTATTTGTTGAACAAGATACTACTGTCATCCTTTTTTTTTTTTTTTTTTTTTAAGACAGAGTCTCGCTTTGTCGCCCAGGCTGGAGTGCAGTGGCGCAATCTCGGCTCACTGCAAGCTCCGCCTCCCAGGTTCATGCCATTCTCCTTCCTCAGCCTCCCTAGTAGCTGGGACTACAGGCACCCTCCACCACGCCCGGCTAATTTTTTTGTATTTTTAGTAGAGACGGGGTTTCACCGTGTTAGCCAGGATGGTCTCGATCTCCTAACCTCATGATCTGCCTGCCTCGGCCTCCCAAAGTGCTGGGATTACAGGTGTGAGCCACTGCGCCTGGCCCTGTCATCCATTTTTAATTGACTGTTCCATTTATCTTGAATTGGAAATTATAATGGTACCTTGCTTTAAGCAGAGCTAGTATGTACAACCGTTGACTTACCAAAAATATATATTTAGAGAAGGGCAGTTATTTGACCTAACCAGAAGATTCTTCCTTTTATAAGAACTTACAGTATTTCTTTATATTTTAGATATATTTAAATAGATTAAAATTGAGTTTACTGCTCAGCAGCATGGTTCTCTTGTAATTACTTGTATTTACTAGTGTTATGAAAATTGATTACTAATAGGGTCGGCTTTTAGTTGATGATGATGGTGATAGTGGTGATGACATTTACTGAGCACTTATGATGTTCCAAGAACTATTTAAACACTTCATGTGCATCATTTTGTTTAATCCTTACAACCATCCTAGAAGTATTAGGTACGTAATGGACCCCACCCCTAAAGTGACACAGCCAGGGTACACCCCAGGCAGCATGACTCCAGAGGTGTGTGCGGAGCACAGCATTCTCCTTCATCAAACTGATTCTGGCCGGTGGCTGCTCATTGATGTTAGTCCATGCCAGAGAATACTGCCTTACAAAGTTTCTAAGCCTCAGAAACGCAATAGGTATAAATACTTCTCCGGGAGGCTGAGGCAGGAGAATTGCTTTAACCTGGGAGGCAGAGGTTGCAGTGAGCCGAGATCGTACCATTGAACTCCAGCCTGGGCAACAAGAGCGAAACTCCGTCTCAAAAATAAATAAATAAATAAATAAATAAATACTTCTCAGTAGACTTTTTCTAGACTAACTGGAAAATTGAGGGTTTTTCATATTTTAATCAGCACCATGGAGTGTTTTTATATGAAATCATAAAAGTGACACAAGTTAGGAATACATATCTATTCAGCTTTATATTATAAAGTATGCTAAATGTTCTTCTCTGAGAAGTAAAATCACAGGTATTCTAAGCTCATTTTTTAAGCTTAGGAGAATTGTGCACCTGATCAGGGGCTAATGTAATTCCACCTTTGGCCACTAGAACTCATGATCTGGCAATACTTTCCCCAGAACTCTCTTTTTGGAGTGCTAAGGTAAAATAGATTATTTGGAGCTGGCTTCCTCTCTAATCTTACTTAAATTAGATAATTTCTAATGGCCCTGATGGGCTAGAATTCTGTGTCTAAATATCTAAATCCCAGAAGCAATTGTTCCCAAAGCAGACAGTATTTCCACTAACCAAACTCAGATCATGTTGTTATTTGTAATAATTTGATTTGTAGCAAGGTACAATTATAATCTCCAGTGTTGTCAGCCTTGCCTAGTCGGGCAATTTTTGTGATAGCAGTGACCAAGAATGTCTTGTTGTGGATATATCCCAGCACCTAGCATGTAATAGATGCTGAATTAATATTTGCTAAGTGAATGAAAACTTTTGGAAGGAAGATAGTCGGTAGCCAAAGAAAATCATTGACAGATATATTTGCACCAACCAAAGAAACAACGCCACATAATTTGCTCACTATAACCTTTGGTATTCAGTCATTCACATCATCAGCACATAGCAGCCAAAAACCAGCAAGAACACCCCAAGAGGCCGGGTGCAGTGCCTCACACCTGTAATCCCAGCATTTTGAGAGGCCAAGGCGGGCAGATCACTTGAGGTCAGGAGTTTGAGACCAACCTGGCCAACATGGTGAAACCCCATCTCTACTAAAAATACAAAACCCCAGGAGTCAAAACCCATCATGATCTAGCTTGCTGAAGCCAGGGAGAACACACCCAGAGAACCTTGGGAGTATCTGATTAGGGAAAATCAGGAGGGCCATTTTATAGAAGAAGGGTTTGTACTGGATGAATTTGAGGAAGAATTAGGAAGCAGTGGCCCCTTCTGGATCGGATGCTGCCAAAAAGCAGCTGGGTGAATTGTTCTGTCATCTTTATTGAAGGTGGGAGAAATGAAATTGAGCTAGGATGTTGTTGGTTGGAGAGCGGTCATTAAGGAGAGATTCATCATCCATTTGCAGACGATGGCCTGCGAGAAATAGCATGTAGGATTCGCTGGGCTCCTCCTTGGCTCCTGGAAGCGTTGTGTGGAGGGAGGAATGGCGCCCTCTGCCTGTTCACCTCCACATCGAATGTACTCATCCAGATGCGGCCTCTGTGATTTGCTTTATTGAAAACAGTCAGGAATTTTGATGTTTTTGTGGTGGGCTTTATGATGTTTTTTTCAAAACCTCAAAGATGTTTCACAACTTTTTATCTGTTTTCCTACAGAAATATTGCTGACACTGCTGAAGCCAGTTGCTTCTTCAGCTGACCGGGCTCACTTGCTCAAAACACTTCCAGTCTGGAGAGCTGTGTCTATTTGTTTCAACCCAACTGACCTGCCAGCCGGTTCTGCTAGAGCAGACAGGCCTGGCCCTGGTTCCCAGGGTGGCGTCCACTCGGCTGTGGCAGGAGGAGCTGCCTCTTCTCTTGACAGTCTGAAGCTCGCATCCAGACAGTCGCTCAGTCTGTTCACTGCATTCACCTTAGTGCAACTTAGATCTCTCCTGCAAAAGTAAATGTTGACAGGCAAATTTCATACCCATGTCAGATTGAATGTATTTAAATGTATGTATTTAAGGAGAACCATGCTCTTGTTCTGTTCCTGTTCGGTTCCAGACACTGGTTTCTTGCTTTGTTTTCCCTGGCTAACAGTCTAGTGCAAAAGATTAAGATTTTATCTGGGGGAAAGAAAAGAATTTTTTAAAAAATTAAACTAAAGATGTTTTAAGCTAAAGCCTGAATTTGGGATGGAAGCAGGACAGACACCGTGGACAGCGCTGTATTTACAGACACACCCAGTGCGTGAAGACCAACAAAGTCACAGTCGTATCTCTAGAAAGCTCTAAAGACCATGTTGGAAAGAGTCTCCAGTTACTGAACAGATGAAAAGGAGCCTGTGAGAGGGCTGTTAACATTAGCAAATATTTTTTCCTTGTTTTTTCTTTGTTAAAACCAAACTGGTTCACCTGAATCATGAATTGAGAAGAAATAATTTTCATTTCTAAATTAAGTCCCTTTTAGTTTGATCAGACAGCTTGAATCAGCATCTCTTCTTCCCTGTCAGCCTGACTCTTCCCTTCCCCTCTCTCATTCCCCATACTCCCTATTTTCATTCCTTTTTTAAAAAATAATATAAGCTACAGAAACCAGGTAAGCCCTTTATTTCCTTAAATGTTTTGCCAGCCACTTACCAATTGCTAAGTATTGAATTTCAGAAAAAAAAAATGCATTTACTGGCAAGGAGAAGAGCAAAGTTAAGGCTTGATACCAATCGAGCTAAGGATACCTGCTTTGGAAGCATGTTTATTCTGTTCCCCAGCAACTCTGGCCTCCAAAATGGGAGAAAACGCCAGTGTGTTTAAATTGATAGCAGATATCACGACAGATTTAACCTCTGCCATGTGTTTTTTATTTTGTTTTTTAGCAGTGCTGACTAAGCCGAAGTTTTGTAAGGTACATAAAATCCAATTTATATGTAAACAAGCAATAATTTAAGTTGAGAACTTATGTGTTTTAATTGTATAATTTTTGTGAGGTATACATATTGTGGAATTGACTCAAAAATGAGGTACTTCAGTATTAAATTAGATATCTTCATAGCAATGTCTCCTAAAGGTGTTTTGTAAAGGATATCAATGCCTTGATTAGACCTAATTTGTAGACTTAAGACTTTTTATTTTCTAAACCTTGTGATTCTGCTTATAAGTCATTTATCTAATCTATATGATATGCAGCCGCTGTAGGAACCAATTCTTGATTTTTATATGTTTATATTCTTTCTTAATGAACCTTAGAAAGACTACATGTTACTAAGCAGGCCACTTTTATGGTTGTTTTTCTTGCCCACTCTGGTAGGGGAAAAATCTTTTATTAATAGGTGTCAGTTTCAGACAACTCCAATACCAAGAAACTGATGACCTTTTTTGAGCTATTTCTCCTTAACCCCTAATACCTTTCTTACCTAAATTTCAGAATGATATCTTTTTGATGTCTAAAAAGCAAAGCATTTTATAATATCTCATTAGCCAGGCTTTTTAGGAACAGAGAAGTTTTTCCTTGAAATTTGATTGTTTGTTTATTTGTGGCAGGGTGAAAAATGTACAAACTACCCCTATTTATACTTATATCTCTCTCTATATGTACGCATTATGGAAATATAGGAAGAGATATAGCCCAAAGATAGATGGTAAGTAGACAGTCTGAAAATGTTGCTCCATACTAAAGAACCTTTCTGGAAATTTGCATTTCGCTACTTTTTTCCACTTGAGAGGGGTCTCAATACAGGGAGGTGGCCAAGGAACAACACTTCTCAGTGGCCACCAGTTCATATATCCCCTCAAAAGGCTCTACTTTTCTCCACCAAACCATTGGGTTGCCCAACTGTGATGGAAAAAACAAGCAGATGTTGGCCCAGAACTCCAGGACCTCCCCGTGGGCTGAGGCTCATGTGGCATACAATTCAGTGTGACCAGTTTTAATGTTCAGAAATATGTGAATTAGAATGACTTTTAACTTCACACAGCACAAAAGAGAAATGGAGTTTAAACTGGATTTGTTTTGTTTTGAGTTTCAAGTCCCTTTTCACTACAACACCGTCCAAAACTATCTACCTATCTCTTCTTTTTTATCCATCTGCCCGCTGTATTTTAATGTCAATCCTAATTCAGACAAATCCGCAACTTCATGATACTGGTAATTTATAATAATTCGTGATCATTGCTGTTTTGAAGGAAAAGAGATGATAAATTCTCTTACGGTTTCAATCAGGTAATGGATTTTGTTTTACATCTAGTTAGGAGAAGAAAAGTAAGTGAAGGAATCCTCTGATCATATTGATCACTATAGAAGCAAAAGCCAAATCAGTTCCCTTCATTATCAGTATTTCTCATGCTGTACACAATAAATTTGTTAGACTGAGTACTTGGTTTTTGTTTAATAGAACAAATAATCAGTGTTTCACTTATATTACTAAATGTGAAAAACATAATGTGAAAAGTATACATACATTAACTTGGTTGTAAAACTCATTTTAAGTGTTCATGTAATGTGGTAAGTTTAAAAAGTGAAGTGAGCTGTTTTACTACAATGAATTCGTTTGACTCAAAGATTAAAATGCCCCTCCCCCTATGTGTATCTCTTATGGCCTGTAATAATTGAAAGCAATGTTTTTGCAGTTTATATAATGCAATTTTTAATCTGTGTTCAAAAATGGAGTTCATATGGGCTTAACACATGAAATGGGTGGCACAGATCCACTTGCAGAACCCAAAGATACACAATCAGTTTTGAAATGCAACTTAAGCCATTAATTGTTGGTGTGAATTTAAAATTTTCTAGTGTTTGTATGGTGGTATGCTGCCTAAGAGCAAAGCATCCTCTGCACAAAAGAAAATTACTGTAGTGGCTTCGATTTTAATTAGAATTTTCTCCCTGGTGTTTCTTTATAGACTAAAGCAAAATCTTTTAAGTTTCTTACTACAGGTAAAAGCTATGTGCAAGAACCTCAAAATGCTAAAATCTAGCATAATGCCTTAGATCTGTTTTTAAGTCTTGTATATTCCTACATAGCTGTCCGATGTATTATATTTGTATAGTGAATTGTGTACAATTTTTGAATAAGTGCATCATCACTTAACCTTTATGTTGTTTGAATAGTGATGATGATACATTTCTTCAGACATTTAACTGTCATTTTTTTCCTTTGTCATTTGTGAGTTTTATTTGTACAGTTCCTCATGAAGTTGCATCTGAGATGTGTGTATATGAAAAGATTATACAAGGGTAAAATTAAGCAATATATTAACTATGGTTCTTCAGGAGAAAGCTTACAGTGTTTCAGGTTGTGATTTATTTTCAAAATGGAGTTGACTCTGAACATCACTTTGTTCACCTGCATTGATGTTTGTATTTCTAGTGTGAGCAGTTTATGCAAAGGTAGATATATTCAGAGAAATTTTAAATACATTTATGCAAGTTAATATTGCTTTGCTGATGCTATTTGCTTATTTGATGTTAAATAATGCTATTGTAAATAAAGAATTCTGTTGTTATTGCATCATTTAATAAATTTTAATGCCTTCGGGTTTTACATGGCTTTAGAGATTTTAATGTGTTTATATTGTATCTTCTTTCATAATTGCATTTAAAAAGACCTTGTAATTTAATAATTTATTATATTTATATGGTAGTTGACACTGTTGACAGCACCTTAACATTTAATTCTTCCAATAACCCATTTTATAAATTTTTACATTTGAAATAAAGGATTATCTAATAACTTAATGGCAAATATAAGCCACATCTAGTTCCATTCAGTCCTAGATGACTCATCACCATACTGTTCCACCTTCCACTCCCAAATCTCCAGACACATTTACAAGAATAATGTGGACTTCTGACTGGCTTAGGAAGGTCGTATCATGCATTAGAATATCCATAATGGTTTAATAGTTGATAAGCAGTACAAGTACAGTACCTGAAACCTAGATCATAAACTATGTGAAATATTAGGAAATACAACCTGGAATTGTATTTTTAAAAGATCCCCCAAAAAATGATTAGAAAACTATATCAATGCTATTAACTATTTTAACAGATTAAAGGAAGAAATAAACATGATTAACAATGAGTGCCATTTGATAAATTTGTGTAGGACAAACGTTAGCTCTCATTCATTTTTAAAAAATAAAGCTAGGAAAAGTAAATGTCATAAATATATTTAAAGTTATCTGATGGCATTCCCAATGAAACATCTTAATGGTGAACTAAAAGTATTAATTAAAGTCAACAAAACAAGGAGCCCCACTACCAAGACTAAGAAATAAAGTACTAATACGAGAATAGACAGAAAACATTTTTGACAACTTGATTATGGGAAAACCCGAAAGGTTTTTGGGTTTTTGGTTTTGCCCTGCTTTTGGAATGAATAGAAAAGCTCTGTAAGATGGCTAGACTATACAAAAATCAATGTAATCTATCCACACTAATTTTGAAATCGTATCTTTAAAAGATGCCCATTCACAATAACAAAATAATACAATGCTTATTAAGTGGAATTACATCTAACAGGAAGTGTCACAGAGCTTTGTGAAGAAAACTAAAGGTTAATCAAAAGATGTAGATTTTAAAAAATGGAGACATGCTATCAACCCAGAAAGACCCAAATATAAGACCATTCATTCTTTCCCGAAATTCATGACAATCCCTATCAAGAAAAAGAAGTAAGATGCATTTGGAAGAAAAAATGTATGATAATAATGAGAAATTTGGAAGATGTGGGACTTCTAACAAAACATTTTATAATCTATTGATTTGTGGTATAAAATACTTAACACAGGTAGGAATAAATACTCTTTATTTATTCCTTTACTTAACACAGATAGGAATAAATACTCTTTGAAAAAGAGCCCAGAGACAGATTGCTGTGTAAATATAAAATCAATATATGACAGATTTCATTTCTAATTCACAGAATCATTGTTCTAAAAAAAAATGGTGTTGAGACAGTTGGTCACATTTGAGTGAAATACCAAGCTTAACTCCCTACCCCACGATATTAACAAATGCCAAATGGATCAAGGGTTAAACATAAATGTAAAATTGCTAGAAGGTTATGTTTGCATTATCAGAAAAGTGGAAACATCTTTTGAAAAACAAGTTATTAAGAAATGGATAAGTAAATATACATATATTTGTGTGTGTATAAGTATTAGATTTATTATATATAAGATTATATTAGATTTATTTATATATTATATATGTGTATACATATAAATCTAATATGTAATATATATAATATTCTACCAAAAATATTCTAATATTCTACATATACATAAATCATATATACTGTAGACTCACCAAATATAATGTATAACAGTAATATTAAAATACAAAGTTAAAAATGAAAAAAGGAAAATGAGCAAAAAAGATGAAATACTGAAAGTGAAAAATGGCTAATATTAGGTGTTGAACATCATAATAAGTTGCAAACAAAAATAGTAAGGAGATGCTATTTTTCATTTATTGATTTGGCAAAAAAGAGGTTAGTAATAGCCACAAATAACTTCCATGGACTATGGTGGAAATGAACATTCTTTGGCACCTGGAATAAATGTGTAAGTTTGGTAAGATAGGTATTTCTTTGTATTTTGGGTAGAACTCATGACTGAAGCCATATGGCTAGAGTTGTCTGGCCTCCAGTTTAATTCTTCAGAATGTCTCCTCTTACTTTTTAAACCTGTCTATTCCACCTACTGCATATTTGAACCAATTTTTTTTCCTAGCTTGTGTTTACTTTGGGTTTATCTTGGTAGGTTTTTTTCTAACTTCTTGAGAATGTATAAATTTTTCAACCTTTTTTTTTTTTTCCTACTGTATAAATTTCAAGGCTATACGTCCTCTTTACAGCTTTTAGCAGCATCCTACACATTTTGTCTACTAATGCTAACAAAGTCTCCGATTATGGTTTGGAATTTTTCTCACTTCTGTTGATTTTTGCTACTTCACTCAGAAGCTATGTTATTAGGAGCATATACGTTTCTCAAGACAAACTGGCTCTTTTATATAATGCCCCACACTGTCTCTGGTAAGCTTCCTTGCCTTGTTTTCTTTGTCCGAAATGCACATAGACATGCTAAAGCTGGATTCATTTTGCAGGTTGTATCTTTATTCATCCTTTAACTTCCAACCTTGTAGACAGAATATAAGTGGTTCCTTACTAATTTTTAATCTGGTTTGTTATCAGTTACTGAGGTCTCTTTCTCCCTTTAAGTATATTATCTCTGCTTTTGTACTTTGAAACACTATTTGGCACATAGACAGTACCAATATAACAGTTACATGCCCTTCTGATGCATTGACCCTTTCATCATTTGGTCAGAGATCAGAAAGTGAGGGAGCCTGATATGGAAGAAACTGGGAGGTGTGTTCCAGGTAGAACAAACAGCAGGTACAAAGGTCAGGAGACAAAACCAACTTGTGATGTCTGAAGGACGGTGAAGCCAGTGTGTGGTTAGAAAGACACTTGAGGGGCAACCTCAGGAGGCGAGGGCCAAAACGCAGCCTGGGGCCAGATCATCCAAGGTCTCAAGGACCAAAGCAAGGAACTTGGTTCTTATTCTAAGTATGGAAGCCAGTGGAGAGTTTCTGTTTGTTTTCGTTTTTGTTTTTTTTGTTTTGAGACGGAGTTTCGCTTTTGTTGCCCAGGCTGGAGTGCAATGGCGCAATCTGGGCTCATTGCAACCTCCACCTCCCAGGTTCAAGCAATTTTCCTGCCTCAGACACCTGAGTAGCTGGGATTAGAAGCATGTGCCACCACGCCCCGCTAATTTTGTATTTTTGGTAGAGATGGGGTTTCTCCATGTTGGTCAGGCTGGTCTCGAACTCCTGACCTCAGATAATCCACCCCCCCCGGCCCTTGGCTTCCCAAAGTGCTGGGACTACAGGCATGAGCCACCACACCTGGCCTGGAGAGTTTTTAAAAGGGAGTAATAGGACCTAACTTTTGTTTTCAAAAGGCCAGCAACTATGTGGAGAAATGTCTCAATTTAAAAAATAATTATGGCTTGGCGCAGCGTCTCACACCTGTAATCCCAGCACTTTGGGGGGCCGAAGCAAGCGGATCGCCTGAGGTCAGGAGTTCGAGACCAGCCTGGCCCACATGGTGAAACCCTGTCTCCACAAAAAAAAAAAATAAATAAAATCAGCCGGGTGTGGTGGCGCGTGCCTGTAATCCCAGCTACTCGGGAGGCTGAGGCAGGAGAATCGCTTGAACCCAGGAGGCAGAGGTTGCAGTGAGCTGAGATTATGCCACTGCATTCTAGCCTGGGCAACAGGAGCAAAACTCAGTCTCAACAACAACAACAAAAAGTTAAAATAAATTTTAAAAATGAAATACCACACGGGGCCAAATTTTTTTTTTTAAAAAGTCCAGGGAAATCAGTTAATAGCCTATTAAAGAGGTCAGTTAGAATGGAGGATTGAACCCATGACTACCTCATCTCCCTCCCATATCCCACTAACACAAATGCCTTTTTTTTTTTTTTTTTTTTTTTTTGAGACAGAGTCTCACTCTGTGGCCCAGGCTGGAGTGCAGTGGTGTGATCTCGGCTCACTGCAACCTCTGTCTCTCAGGTTCATGCGATTTTCCTGCCTCAGCCTCCCAAGTAGCTAGGACTAGAAGTGTGCACCACAACAGCCAGCTAATTTTTGTATCTGTAGTAGAGATGGGGTTTTACCGTGTTGGCCAGGCTGGTCTCGAACTCTTGACCTCAAGTGATCTGCCCACCTCGGCCTCCCAAAGTGCTGGGATTATAGACATGAGCCACTGCACCCAGCCAAATGCCTTTTTTTTTTTTTTTTTTTCACACACAGGATCTCTGTCACCCAGGCTGGAGTGCAGTGGCATAACCATAGCCACTACATCCACGAACTCCTGGGCTCAAATGATCCTTCCACCTCAGTCTCCTGAGTAGCTAGGACTACAGGCGTAGTCCTAGCCCAGCTAATTTTTTACATTTTGTAGAGACGGAAAGGTTTCACTATGTTGCCCAGGCTGGTCTTAAACTCCCAGCCTCAAGTGATCCACCCGCCTCGGCCTCACAAAGTGCTGGGATTATAAGCATGAGCCACCGCGCCTGGCCCAAATGCCTTTTTATAAAGGCATAAACCCACAAGGACAAGGATAATAGGAGATGAAACAACAGCAACAAAATGTAAGTTGAAAGCTGATAAAAGGGTGGTGACTCATTTTGTAGCCCCTGGAAAGCTGAATGGCAAGCAGTGAGTAACGTCAAGAAGCAAGCGAAGTTTCCCACAGATGTCTCCCGGCTCAGGAGCCAGCCAGCACCTCTGGATGCGTGATTAAGAAGCCAAATCATCTGGGCGCGGTGGCTCACGCCTGTAATCCCAACACTTCTGGAGGCCGAGGCGGGCGGATCACCTGAGGTCAGGAATTTGAGACCAGCCTGGCCAACATGATGAAACTCCGTCTCTACGCAGGGCATAGTGGCGCGCGCCTGTAGTCCCAGCTGCTCCGGAGGCTGAGGCAGGAGAATCGCTTAAACCGGAGAGGCGGAAGTTGCAGTGAGCCGAGATGACGCCACTGCACTCCAGCCTGGGTGTCGGAGTGAGACTCTGTCTCTAAATAAATAAATAAATAAATAAAATGTGGCAGGGATACCAAGGCAGACCCAACAGGAGACAGGACTGCTGTAAGGAGCAACCTTGACTCAAGCACTCTGTCGGCCTTGCCAAACTTGGATTTGGGACTGCACTTTTAGACCCTTTCACCTAACCTTCCTTCACGGTCTTTCCGCTCTTCTAGCCTCCCCTCGATTCCTCCCTACTTTCAGGCGATTGGCAGGTTAAGGAGCTAATTGTTAAGAGGTTTTAGATGCTGAACTAAGGAAGGTCTGTTACGCAAAAGATAGAACCCTTGTAGGAAAAGCCTGGGGCCCTTCAACATGGGTGGAAATATCTGGATGGATACTTCTGAAGCTATTGACTGAAGCTCCCTGAGCCTTCTCGGCTTGTAGAGAAGGCCCATCCTTCCCTACCGCGAGCTATCGGCTTAACAGCTACAATCAAAAAAGATAAGAATGGGCAGTTTGAATCGCGGTGGGACGAAGGAGTCTCGCCATGGGTCTGATTAGCCCTTTCTCTGCCTTGCTTGAGCTTCAGCAGAATTCGAAATGACTGGCGGTAAGGCTGGGAAGGACTCCGGAAAGGCCAAGACAAAGGCGGTTTCCCGCTGCCAGAGAGCCGGCTTGCAGTTCCCAGTTGGGCGTATTCATCTACACCTGAAATCTAGGACGACCAATCATGGACGTGTGGGCGCGACTGCCGCTGTGTACAGCGCAGCCATCCTGAAGTACCTCACCGCAGAGGTACTTGAACTGGCAGGAAATGCATCCAAAGACTTAAAGGTAAAGCGTAGTACCACTGGTCACTTGCAACTTGCTATCCGTGGAGATGAAGAATTGGATTCTCTCATCAAGGCTACGATTGCTGGTGGTGGTGTCATTCCACACATCCACAAATCTCTGACTGGGAAGAAAGGACAACAGAAGACTGTCTAAAGGCTGCCTGGATTCCTTGATATCTCAGGACTCTAAATACTCTGCCAGCTGTCCAGTGTTGCGGATTCCAGTGGACTGCATCTCTGTAAAAAACACAATTTTGCCTTTTTGAAATTCTATGTGAGCAATCTGGAAGTTTAATTAGCTTTCCAACCAACCAAATTTCTGCATTCCAGTCTTAACCATATTTAAGTATTACTGTGGCTTCAAAGAAGCTATTGATTCTGAAGTAGTGGGTTTTGATTGAGTGGACTGTTTTTGAAAAACTGTTTGGATTTTAATTGTGATGCAGAAGTTAGAGTAACAAACATTTGGTTTTGTACAGACATTATTTCCACTCTGGTGGATAAGCTCAATAAAGGTCATATTACAAACCTAAAAAAAAAAAAAAAAAAAAAGAAAAGCAAAGAATGAAGGAGCAGTTGCCTCAATTAAAAGTCATGATTCTTGTTCAGTTTCCAGAACTGAGCCAATTTTCAAATCCAAAATTCACTGATAGGAGGTGGCCAAGACCCTAGGGGTAAGAACCCTGCAATCTCATGGCAAATATATACTGCAAGGATTCCCCCAGTATTTCCCTAAAGGGAGCTATGGTCATTTACTCAGGTGACTATACACTGGGAGACATTTAAAGGATTCTTGGCACAGGGTCTGAGTTGACATTGATACCTGAAAACATGAGCGTTATCCCGAGCCCCTGCTAGATTGGGGGCCAAGTGATCAATGGAGTACTGGCTGAAGTCCCATTCACAGTGGGCCCAGTGGTTCCATGGTCCCAGTTGGCTTTTCCCAAGTCCCTGATTATACAACAGGAATTTTATGCTTGGCAGTTGGAATAATCCTCATGTTGGGTTGCTGGCCTGTACTGCCTTGGAGTGGAGTGGGGCAGTGCAGATGAGCACCATTAAAGACCTTCATATAGAATACAGAGTGCTGGCCCTTAGCATTTGCAGGGTGATCCCTGCTTTTGCACCCCGGAGAATGACTGTAGGCTACCACAGATGTAACCAACTTCATTTCTGATTGCACTGCAAGGCTGGATGTGATATTGTCACCGTGGCAGACTAGGCATCAGGTACGTGGTGATGCAGCCAGTGATTTGGCAAGTGCATTCCTTTCCATTGTAATTAGAAAAGAGAACCAGAAATATTTGCTTTCAAACAAGAGAAACAGGAATATTCATTTATAGTTTATTTCAGGACTATATTAAGTTTCCCAACATCTGTCATGATATAGTCCAAAGAGAACCTGGACCACGCAGACATCAAGCAGAACATGACGCTGACCCATTCTATCAGTGACGTTGTGCTGATTGCACAGGACAGATGAGAGGCTCATATACCAGAAGTCTTGGTAAGCTCGTGGGAAGTAAATGCTATGATGACTCAGGGACTGGCTGCTTCAGTGACATTTTGAGAGGTCCAGTGATGGAGGGCATGCCAAGATAACCACTTCAAAGTGAAAGGCAAATTGCTGCATCTGGAATCTCCTACCACAAACAAGGAGGCACAGCTCCTGGTAGAGCTATTTGAGTTTTGCAGGTAACACCCTACACTCTGAGGACTACTATTCAGTGCCTTCCACATGCAGGAATACTTCTCCAGCCTGTAAACCAGGTGACACAGAAGGCTTCCAGCTTTGAGTGAGGCCTGGAGCAGGAAAGGGTTATGTGACAGGTCCAGGCCACAGTGCAAACCACACTGCAACTTGGACCATCTGATCTTCAGACCCTATGGTGTTGGTGGGGTAGGGGTAGTCAGCAGTTGGAAAGGAGGCAGCGTGAGGGGATGGGTAATGGCGAGCTCTGGTGGAAGAATCAGATCGCAGCCTCCTGGGATTCTGGAGCAAGACCATGATATCCACAGCAGAGCAGCTTATGCTGTTTGAGAAGCAACTGTTACTGGAGCCTGGTGGAGATAGAACCCTTGGCTACCAAACACCATGTGACCACACGTCCATAAGTGACTGCTGGGAACTGGGTTCTGTTGGACCCAACAAGTCATAAAGTCACATGTGTCCAGCAGCAATCATAAAATGGAAGTGATCCATCAGGATTGGGTCCTGGAGGGGCCACAGGGCATGAGTAAGCTGCATGAGCAAGAAGCCCAGAGGCCCATGTCACCCATAACAGATGCACCCATGCCCTCCCCTGGTTATGTGTACAGCCTACTAGGGAGAGTCCATATGACTGGCTAAATAAGAAGGAAAAAGCCCAAGCTTGGTTTACAGATGGATCTGCTCAGTTCATGGGTAGAGCTAAAAGCGGACATTAGCCACACTGACGGGTGGCCCGGAAAGAGGGAACAATGTTCTCAATGGGGGAAGCTGCAAGGAGTAGATACGTGTGAGGAAAAGTGGCCTGAAGGGAAAATATGTACAAATTCCTGGCCAATGACCAATGGTCTGAGCATCTGGTCAGGGACTTGGAAGGAAACAGATTGGAAGATTGGAGACAAGGAATCCTGAGAAAGAGGCATGTGGATGTGCATATGGAAATGGGTAGACAGTTCAAGGACTTCTGATTTGCATGTTAATGCCCACTGGAAACATCTACCACAAGAGACGCACTGAACAACCAAGTAGACAAAATGACTTGCCAGTGGACATGAGCCACCTTCAGTCACCCCAGAACGGCTGGAGACATGAATGGCATGCCCATGGTGGCAGAGACGGGGCTCTGCTTGGGCCCAACAACGTGGATTTTCACTTACCAAGGCAGAGCTAGCCATTGCTGCCTCCGAATGTCCAACTTGTGAGCAACAGGGACCAATACTGAGCCCCAGTATGGCGCTATATCTCCAGACCAGATCTGTGAAAGGCAAACACATCGTGCCCCTTCAATCTTGGAGGGTCAGCAGTTCATCCTCACCGCTTTAGATACCCGGGCATGGATTGACCTTCCCTGACCACAGATCCTCTGCCAGGCTTGGGGGATTCCTGATTCACAAACACAGAATTACAAGGAGCAGAATATCTGACAAGAGGCCCAACTTCCTAGTGAAGGTGGGGCAGGAGGGGGCCCCTGGCCATAGGGTCCATGGTCATATGACAGACTGCTCCAGGTTGAAGCAGCTGGCCTCACAGAGCTTGGGAGCAGCTTCCTGAAAAACAACGGGAAGTGCTAGCTCGGAGGCATACTCCTTCAGGATTCAACTTATGCACTAAATCAGAAACCTCTAAATGGCACTGTGTCCTTAATCAGAGAATATGTGGATCTGGGACTCAAGGGATGGAAGCAGGAATGGCCCCTTTCAACATGATTCCCAATAGCCCACTGGGGAATTTTATCCTTGTCATCCCCGAAACTCTGGGTGCTGCAGCGTTGGAGGTCCTGATCTCGAAGGGAGCACACTTGCCAGTGGACATGGTAAGGGTCCATTGAACTACAAGTTACGGCCGCCACTGGCACACTTAGGACTTCACATGCCCAGAACCAGCAGGTGAGAAGAGTCACTACAGTGGCAGGGCAATTAACCCTGATTGGCAGGAGGAAGTAGGGCTGTCCAGTGCATCCCAGAATTGCCTGGATCCATTGTAACTGTGAATGGACACATGCAGCAAATCTGGACTGAAAGACTCAGAGCCCTCAGGAATGAAGATTTGGGTCACACCCCCAGGGAAGCCAAGGCCTCCTGAGGTGATTGCTGAGGATGAGGGGAATTTAGAATGAATGGAGGGGGAGAAAGAAGGCAAGTGCCAGTTGTGGTCTCAAGACCAATGGCATTGATGGCGACTACAGTTCATCCCACTGAATTCTCTCTTCTCAGTTTTCCCCAAGAAAGAGAAGTCCACAGAAATCACAGAGGAGCAGACCCGAATATATGTGAAGAAATAGATCTGTGAAGAAAGAGGTGAACTATGGCATAACAGCAATATTTAATGAAATAAAGACAAAATTTTCCAAATCTGATGAATGATATACATCCACAGATCCAAGAAGCTCACAAGCCTCAAGTAGGATAAAACGCATGCACCACCCACACTCATTTACTTATAGACACATCAACATACACGCACCAAGACGCACCACAATCAAATGGATGAATGCCAGTGATGAAAAGGGAAACCATAAAAGCAGCCAGAGAAAGATGACGCATTACACACAGGTGAACGGCATAAGAATGACTGCAATCTTCTTTTGATTTTTATTTTTTAGAGATGGAGTCTTGCTATGTTGCCCAGGCTGGTCTTGAACTCCTGGCCTTAAGCAATCCTCCCACCTCAGCCTCCCAAGAAGCTGAGATTACAGTTGTGTACTACCATGCCCAGCTGGTGCAATCCTCCAGTCAAAAACTACACAAACCAAGGCTGGGCACTGTGGCTCATGCCTCTAATCCCAGCACTTTGGGAGGCTGAAGCAGGAGGATTGCTTGAGACCAGGAGTTCAAGACCAACCTGGGCAACATAGCAAGACACTGTCTCTACCAAAAAAAAAAAAAAAAAAAAAAAAAAAACACTTCACAAGTCGGAAGAGAAGACGTGTGACTGGACAATGAAATATGACTAAAATTCTTAACATTTCAGTCAATGAAGTCAATTCAGAGGAGAAATATGAGTTCTGGTACTTGTCTGGACACCCAGTAAAACCAAAATGTACTAGAATAAAAACATATAGAATGATTCTGAATATCTTGGAGGAAAACCCCAGAGACAATAATGGAGCACTCTTTTTCCCTCTCCTCTCCTCCTCTCCCCTCCCCCCTCCCTCCTTCTCCCCTCCCCTCCCCTTCCCTCCCCTCTCCTTTTCTTTCCTATCCTTTGCATTTCAATGGCTACAATTGAAGCACTCTTTAATTCCCAGATCACCAATATTCTTAAGACAAAGAGGATAATATTACACAAAAAACACAGACAGCTGGGCGCAGTGGCTCACACCTGTAATCCCAGCACTTTGGGAGGCTGAGGCGGGCAGATCACCTGAGGCTGGGAGTTCAAGACCACCCTGACCAACATGGAGAAACCCCATCTCTACTAAAAATACAAAATTAGCTGGGTGTGGTGGCACATGCCTGTAATCCCAGCTGCTCGGGAGGCTGAGGCAGGAGAATTGCTTGAACCCAGGAGGCGGAGGTTGTGGTGAGCCGGAGATGATGCCATTGCACTCCAGCCTGGGCAACAAGAGCAAAACTCCGTCTCAAAAAAAAAAAAAAAACCCAGACATTGGCCAGGCATGGTGGCTCATGCCTGTAATCCCAGCACTTTGGGAGGCCCAGGCAGGTGGATCACGAGGTCAAGAGATCGAGACCATACTGGCCAACATGGTGAAACCCCATCTCTACTAAAAATACAAAAATTAGCCAGGCATGGTGGTGGGCACCTGTAGTCCCAGCTACCCAGGAGGCTGAGGCAGGAGAATCACTTGAACCCAGGAGGTGGAGGTTGCAGTGAGCCGAGATTGCATCACGGCACTCCAGCCTGGCCACAGAGCAAGACTTCGTCAAAAAAAAAAAATAATAATAATAATAATAGAAACACAGACATTGAAAACTCCAAGTCAAAAAGTGATTCATTAGCACTGGATTCTGAGTGTGAATTTTAGGAACACCTTAACCAAATTATTTCTCTCGTATTTTCTTTTTCACAAGAGTGATATATGATTAAAATTTATGTCTAGCAAGTCTAAAATAGCTCTTTCAATAAATATAAAAAGTTAAATTCTAAGTGATAGGATGAGGTTGTCATGGTTAAATTGGCAGCATCTTTTTCATTATTATGGGTTATAAAATAAAAGTTCATCTTTCGGCCGGGTGAAGTGGCTCACGCCTGTAATCCCAGCACTTTGGGAGGCTGAGGTGGGTGGATCACCTGAGGTCAGGAGTTCGAGACCAGCCTGACCAATATGATGAAACTCCATCTCTACTAAAAATACAAAAATTAGCCAGGCATGGTGGTATGTGCCATAATCCCAGCTACTCGGGAGGCTGAGACAGGAGAATTGCTTGAACCCGGGAGGTGTTCAATATCGGCCACTGCATTCCAGCCTGGGCAACAAGAGCAAAAAGTCTCAAAAGAAAAAAAAAGTTAATATTTCGGCCTGGTGTAGTGGCTCACCTGTAATTCCAGCACTTTGGGAGGCTGAGGCAGGTGGATCACCTGAGGTCAGGAGTTTGAGACAAGCCTGGCCAACATGGAGAAACCCCGTCTCTACTGAAAACACAAAAATTAGCTAGGCATGGTGGTAGGTGCTTGTAATCCCAGCTACTTGGGAGGCTGAGGCAGGAGAATCACTTGAACATGGGAGGCGGAGGTTGCAGTGAGCTGAGACCGCGCCATTGCACTCTAGCCTGGGTAACAAGTGAAATTTCATCTCAAGAAAAAGAAAAGTTCATCTTTCAACAACTGAAGACATTTAGATTCTTTTTTTTTGAGACAGCGTCTCACTCTGTCGCCCAGGCTGGAGTATAGTGGCATGATCACGGCACACTGCAGCCTCACCCTGCCTGGGCTCAGGTGATCCTCCTACATTAGCCTCCCGAGTAGCTGGGTCTATAGACACACAACACCACCTAATTTTTGTATTTTTTGTAGAGATGGGGTTTCGCCCACCATGTTGCCCAGGGTGGTCTCAAACTCCCAATCTCAAATGATCCACCCACCTCGGCCTCCCAAAGTGCTGGGATTATAGGTGTGAGCCACCACGACTGGCCCTAGATTCAATTAAATAAGATTATTTAACACTGTTCAAGGAAAAAGAGCCAACATAGTAAGACCTGAAACAAGATACCTCACTAGTTTCAGAAGAGAATTAAAGAACCTACTGGGGGTGGGTGAGGTGGCTCTCGCCTGTAATCCCAGCACTTCAGGAGGTGGAGGCTGGTGGATCACTTGAGGTCAGGCAGTTTAGACCAGCCTAGCCAACACGGTGAATCCCCATCTCTACTAAAAATACAAAAAAAGTAGCTAGGCGTGGTGGCACATGCCTGTAATCCCAGCTACTCAGGGAGGCTCAGGCAGGAGAATCACTTGAACCTGGGAGCAGAGGTTGCAGTGAATGCCACTGCACTCCAGCCTGGGCGACAGAGCAAGACTCTGTCTAAAAAAAAAAAAAAAAAAAAAAAAAAAGAAGCTACTAGGCTCATAAGAAATGGGTGAAAGGGGCCAGGTGCAGTGACTTACACCTGTAATCCCAGCATTTGGGGAAGCTGAGGCAGATGGGTCACTTGAGGCCAGGAATTGGAGAGCAGCCTGGACAAATTGAAAAATCTGGTCTCTACGAAAAATACGAAAAATTAGCCAGTTTCATAACCCATTCTCAAAAAATAAATAAATGGCCGGGCGTGGTGGCTCACGCCTATAATCCCAGTACTTTGGGAGGCCAAGACAGGTGGATCACGAGGTCAGGAGTTCGAGACCAGCCCGACCAACATGGTGAAACCCTGTCTCTACTAAAAGTATAAAAATTAGCTGGGCGTGGTGGCACATGCCTATAATCCCAGCTACTCAGGAGGCTGAGGCAAGAGAATTGCTTGAACCCAGGAGGCAGAGGTTGCAGTGAGCCGAGATCGTGCCACAGCACTCCAGCCTGGGTGACAGAGCGAGACTCAGTCTCAAAAAAAAAAAAAAAATTAAATAAATAAAATAAGTACAGACAGGATCTCCCTATGTTGCTCCCTAAATAAATAAAATAAGTAGAGTTCAGGCTGGTCTTGAACTCCTGGGATCAAGTGATCCTCCTGCTTTGGCCTCCCAAAGTGCTAGGATTACAGGCATGAGCCACCACACCCGGCCAAGACCCTGTCTCTTCAACAAAAAATTTATTTTAAATTAAGTAGGCATGGTGGCTCACACCTGTAATCTCAGCATTTTGGGAGGCTAAGGTAGGAGGATTGCTTGAGCCCAGGAGTTCTAGGCTGCAGTGAGGTATGATCACGCCACTGCACTCCAGCCTGGGCGACAGAATGAGACCGTCTTTAAAAAAAAAAAAGAGTTTTGAGGGAAAATAGGAGGAGGCAAGGAATAATAGGGAGGCAAAGAACACAACAGAACTCCAAAAATAAATTATCTTAGTGATTTTGTAAAGATCTCTGAATTTTTAGTTGAGTTATTTCTTTTCCTTTTCTTTCTTTTCTTTTTTTACCTAGCCCAGGACAAAGATGAATAGTTGGATAATTTCTATTAACCTACCTTCGCTGATCCTTTCACCAGCTCTGTTGAGTCGTGTGGTAAGTTTATTGAAGAATCTCTGGCACCAGCTGTTTAATTTCTAGCACTTATTTATTTATTTATGTTTGAGAAAGTCTGGCTTTGTCACCCAGGCTGGAGTGCAGTGGCCTGATCTCAGCTCAATGCAACCTCGGCCTCCAGCATTTAAGTGATTTTCTTGCCTCAGCCTCCTGAATAGCTGGGATTACAGGCATGCACCACCACACCTGGCTAATTTTTGTATTTTCAGTAGAGATGGTGTTTCACCATGTTGGCCAGGCTGGTCTCAAACTCCTGACCTCAAGTAATCCTCTGCCTGCGCCTCAGCCTCCCAAAGTTCTGGGATTACAGGTGTTACAGATGTAAGCCACCCTGCCTGGCCTTTGTAGCACTTTTTTTTTTTTTTTTTTTTTTTGAGACAGAGTTTCTCTCTTGTTGCCCAGGCTAGAGTGCAATGGCGCGATATCAGCTCACCGCAACCTCCGCCTCCCGGGTTCAAGTGATTCTCCTGCCTCAGCCTCCTGAGTAGCTGGGACTACAGGCATACGCCACCATGCTCAGCTAATTTTGTATTTTTAGTAGAGACAGGGTTTCTCCATGTTGCTCAGGCTGGTCTCAAATCCCTGACCTCAGGTGTTCCGCCTGCCTCAGCCTCCCAAAGTGCTGGGATTACAGGTTTAAGCCACCGAACCCAGCCCTTTCTAGCACTTTACTTGACTTTCTTTCTTTGTTTCTTTCCTTCCTTCCTTCCTTCCTTCCTTCCTTCCTTCCTTCCTTCCTTCCTTCCTTCCCTCCCTCCTTCCTTCCTTTTTCTTTTTTTTTGAGATGGAGTCTCACTCTGTCACCCAAGCTGGAGTGCAATAGCACAATCTCGGCTCACAGCAACCTCCGCCTCCTGGGTTCAAACGATTCTCCTGCCTCAGCCTCCTGAGTAGCTGGGATTACAGGTGCATGCCACCACACCCGGGTAATTTTTGTATTTTTAGTAGAGACAGGGTTTCACCATGTTGGCCAGGCTAGTCTCAAACTCCTGACCTCAAGTGATCCACCCACCTTGGCCTCCCAAAGTGCTGGGATTACAGGTGTGAGCCACCACACCAGGCCTTTCTAGCACTTTTTTTTTTTTTTTTTTTGAGACAGAGTCTCGCTCTGTCCCCCAGGCTGGAGTGCAGTGGCCCGATCTTGGGTCACTGCAAGCTCCGCGTCCCGGGTTCACGCCATTCTCCTGCCTCAGCCTCCGGAGTAGCTGGGACTACAGGCGCCTGGCACCACGCCCAGCTAATTTTCTGTATTTTTAGTAGAGATGAGGTTTCACCATGTTAGCCAGGGTGGTCTCGATCTCCTGACCTCGTGATCTGCCCGCCTCAGCCTCCCAAAGTGCTGGGATTACAGGCAAGAGCCACTGCACCCGGCCTCTAGCACTTTTATTTGACTCTTTCTTGCTGTTTTCATCTCTGTGCTGCAATTTCCCATCTGTTCATGCATGTTGTCCACCTTCTTCTCTAGAGCCTTTACCATAGTCATCACAGGTCTTTGAAATTCCCTGTCTAGGCTGGGGGCTGAGGCAGGAGAATTGCTTGAACCCGGGAGGTGGAGGCTGTAGTGAGCTGAGATTGTGCCACTGCACTCCAGCCTGGGTGACAGAGCGAGCCTCTGTCTCCAAAAAAAAGAAAAAGAAAAATTGACAACAGGTATCAGGAGTCTTTTTTGTTTGTCCCATTTCAGAGAATCTTACCTAAGGCAAATAATACGAAATACAGAAAAACTGTGAGCACAAACTTATGTTGGCATTATTTATATTATTGAAAAATTGGACATAACTTAAGTCAATGATTCTGTCACCTATTATATAGGCTATTAACCTTCTATGAACTTTTCATGATGTTCACACAAAAATGAAATCACCCGGCAACTCTGCTCTCAGAATGCATCCCTGTCGTTAAGCGACACATAACTGTAGTATCAGTTTTCTTAGTCTTTCCTCATTAGACATTTTTAGCTGATGAAATTCACATAACTTTTTTCTCTGACTTTTTTCCAACGTTTGTAAATATGCTATAATGATAATAAACTGCGTACTTTCATCATCAGAAACGCCTACGCACAAACCTCCTGCAGAGAAAGCAGAATGTTTCTCCCACTGGGGGGCCCCAGACCCTGAGCTAAGCAGCTGCGATGACCTCCCAAGCGAGGGAGTAACCACGGCAATTGCTTTGCCTTCTCCCTGTGAAAGTTCGCTTTTCACTGTTTGTTCTCTTGTTCCACAGCTGGCCATTGTCCCGCTCCTGATTTGGACTGTCTACTTGCCTTTTCCACAGAGACACCGGCGCCCTCGGCCCAGCACCCTCTTGCCAGTGGTTTCTCATAGAGACGAGCTCTCTCTTAATAGTTTCTATGTGGTCTGAACAAGAGGATTTTTAAATTCCTCTTGGAATTTAAAAACAAAACGAAAACACAGAAAATGATACTTCCTAAAAAGTAAGTGCCTTCTCTGAATCTACCCTTTTCCAAACTGCCCTACAAAGAACATATTTCAATTCAATTCGTGTATATTTATGAAGTATGTGCAGTGTGGCAGGAACTAATGGTGTGGAGGCCAGGGGTCAACAGATGGGTAAAATCCAGGACTTCCAACTGAGCCCACGGTCGCCAGGCCATGTGGTAGGAGCACGTGAGTAAGCGGTGGACAAGGTAGAAATGGGGCTTCTTGATTATTAGACTGCTCTGGATTCAGCATGCTGAGGCCTTGGGTGCAGCTGGCCAAATGGAGGGCAGCTCATGCGGAATCAATGAGCTCTCTCACAATACAACAAAGCTCCAATCACCAGGAAGCTGACCTCACAGTCTAGACTCAGATCCCTGGATTCATCGACCCCTGTGGGGTCCTCTTGCATCCAGTGCCCACCAGCCCACTGACTCCCTCTAACGCCCTGTTCTGTTGTCAGAATCTGTGCTGCTGAATGGTGAGTTCAGCCTCTGGTGGACCCCTCATTCCCTGGTTCTCTTCATTGTCCAGAATCTCCTGAGACTCCCAACCAGTAGGTAGTGGAGTCGGAACATGCACTTGGGTTGGCCAACCTGCGATCTAGGGCTCCATCACAAAACACACTGCCCCGTGGTCTGGCCTCAGGAAATTCGAGAGTTTCTGAAGAGGTGTGGATGGATGCCGGATAGACCCGCGGGACACCCCTGCAGCCTCTGCAGTGCATTGGCAGATGCTGTGGCGAGGCTTCTCTGGGTATTGTGAATATCCTGCATGTGTATCAGGGACTTAAGCACTTCTATTTCTGCTGCCTGCCAGGCATGTGTCTAACTCCAGCCCAGGTAGTGGGGGCTCCCCTTAAGAAAATGCCATGCTGTGGACATGATAGTGAAAGTGGCATTTCTGAGTGAGCAGGAGCATTTTTGGCTGAAAGGTGGAAAGGAAGATGCGCAGGAGGGGCTGCAGAGGAAGATGAAAGGAAAGAAAATGATGGAAGCCAATGTAATTCACTCCTTCACTGACCAAACAAATATTAAGGTCAGTGCAAAATTGTGGTTTTTGCCATTATTTACTTACAAACTGCTTTGAAAGGGCAAAAATGAATGCCTTATGGTCTACCTGGAAGATACAAATATAAGTAAGCAACTACAGAAGTAGGGTACCTGGGCTGGGCACGGTGGCTCATGCCTGTAATCCCAACATTTTGAGAGGCCCAGGTGGGAGGATTCCTTGAGCTCAGGAGTTCGAGACCAGCCTGGGCAACATAGCAAGACCTCATCTCTACAAAATACAAAAAAGAATTAGCCAGGCATGGTGGTGAGCACCTGTAGTCCCAGCTAAGTGGGAGGCTGAGGTAGGAGGATTGCTTGAGCCTGAGAGGTCAAGGCTGCAGTGAACTATGATTACACCCCTGCACTACAACCTGGGCAAAGGATCAAGACCCTTCCTCAAAAAAAAAAAAAAAAAAGTAGGGCAGAAAGTTATAGTCCTCCCAAGTGAAGTAAATTATAGGAAATAGGAGTGACTACTTTGCATTGGAAGGTTTTATAGAAATGGTGGTATTTAATCTGTTTCCAAAGGTCAGGAGTTGAGCTACTGGAGTTGAGGAGGTATACTCTCCAGGTAAGGAGTCCAGCACCACCAGCCTCTTAACTAGAAGGGAGACTTCCTGGGACCAAGCGTGGAGAGAAACTGCAGGGCTATCCCTGCTAAGACCAAAGGCCCACCTTCCAGCCTCTTCTAATAGACAAGCAGGCTCCGGGGAGGGACACAGGGGCAGCCAGTCCCAGGCTCTTTCATCCAAGGTAGGCAATAGCCTTTTCCGATGAACTAAGCCCAAACTGGTCGTTGGCAAATAAAGCTACTTGCTCTTGTTAAGACTATGTCTTTCTGGTCGGGCGCGGTGACTCACGCCTATAATCCCAGCACTTTGGGAGGCCAACATGGGCAGATTACTTGAGGCCAGGAGTTCAAGACCAGCCTGGGCAACATGACAAACCCCGTCTCTACTAAAAAATACAAAAATTAGCCGGGTGTGGTGCCACACACCTGTAGTCCCAGCTACTTGGAGGGCTGAGGCAGGAGAATTGCTTGAACCTGGGAGGTGAGGTTGCAGTGAGCTGAGATTACACCACCGCACTCCAGCCTGGGTGACAGAGCAAGACTCTATCTTAAAATAATAATAATAATAATAATAATAATAATAATAACAACAACAATAATAGGCTGGGCATGGTGGCTCATGCCTGTAATCCCTACACTTTGGGAGGCTGAGATGGGTGGATCACCTGAGGTCAGGAGTTTGAAACCAGTCTGGCCAACATGGTGAAACCCCGTCTCTACTAAAAACACAAAATTAGCTGGGCATGATGGTGCGCGCCTGTAATCCCAGCTATTTAAGAGGCTGAGGCAGGAGAATTGCTGGAACCCAGGAGGCAGAGGTTGCAGTGAGCCAAGACCACGCCATTGCACTCCAGCCTGGGCAACAAGAGTGAAACTCCATTTCAAAAAAATAATAAAATAATAATAATAGATGTCTTTCCCAGATGTCTGGGACCATCACCATGTATCAAGGCCCCTACCCTTCAAGCTAGGCAAGGAGTTCTTTGAGGACATTTAATCAGTGTAGAAAGACCGAAGAGGCAAGCTGGGCTTGGTGGCTCATGCCTGTAATCCCAGAACTTTGGGAGGCCAAGGTGGGCGGATCACGAGGTCAGGAGATGGAGACCATCCTGGCTAACATGGTGAAACCCCGTCTTTACTAAAAATACAGAAAAAAAAAATTATCTAGGCGTGGTGGTGGGTGCCTGTAGTCCCAGCTACTCGGGAGGCCTCATGAGGCAGGAGAATGGCATGAACCCGGGAGGCGGAGCTTGCAGTGAGCAGAGATTGCGCCACTGCACTCCAGCCTCTGCGACAGAGCGAGACTCCGTTTCAAAAACAAACAAACAAACAAACAAACAACAACAGAAAGACTGAAGAGGTTGTTCTTGCAGAAACAGGATTCCTGGGAGCAAACAATTCCCTGGGACTATTCCTCAGCAGAGGTCCTCGGGAGCCTCTGAGCCCTCAGTGACTGGGTCTTAGAGACGAAAGAATGAAAAACAGGAAAGTGAGACAAACTCCAGATATTATTGTTGTTAATATTAGTGCTGTTTATTACTCATGAGAGTAAAAGCATGAAAGTGTGAAGAGAGGGAAAAGTAGGAAAGAGAAAGCGAAAAAACGATCATTTGCCCTGAGAGACATGGCCGCCAATCATCACACAATGCCCAGGAGAGTGATCTGTGGGGCCCCTGCAGCAAGTGTCAGAGAGAGAGGGGGAATCAGAAAGTGCCCCTCAAAGCAGGTTCTTAAAGGGAAGAGAAGGAGAGGACCTGGCAAGAGCTACTGCTTTTCTTTTTATTTCTTGCCTCCACCAGGGACCCATAAGATGAGCTATAAATCATGAGGCCGGCATGGTGGTGGGCACCTGTAGCCCCAGCTTCTCAGGAGGCTGAGGTAGGAGGATCTCTTGACCCCAGGAGTTCAAGGAGGTAGTGCACAATGATGGTGCCTGTGAAGCTACTGCACTTTAACCTGGGCAATATACTGAGATCCCACCTCTAAAATAAGATGAGCTGGCCGGGTGTGGTGGCTCACGCCTGTAATCCCAGCACTTTGGGAGGACAAGGCAGGCGGATCACCTGAGGTCAGGAGTTCGAGACCAGCCTGACCAATATGATGAAACCCCATCTCTACTAAAACTACAAAAATTAGCTGGGCATGGTGGCATATGCCTGTAATCCCAGCTACGCGAGAGGCTGAGACAGAAGAATCACTTGAACCTGGGAGGCGGAGGTTGCAGTGAGCCAAGATCACGCCATTGCACTCCAGCCTGGGCAACAAGACAGAAACTCTGTCTTAAAGAAAAAAAAAAAAAAGATGAGCTACATATCACCTCTCTAGGCTGACCATACACACACACACACACACACACACACCCCACACACACAAACACATCCCTACCTTTCTGGAACAATTCTAACAAACTTGAGCAAAAGGAACTGTGAACAAAATTTTATCTATACTTGCTTTCCGAAGACTGACAACAGTCACGAGATGTCAGAGTTAATGTAATAAGAGGAAAGAATGGAAAAGAGAAGTTCAGCATTCATTTGGTTTAAAACTAATGAAATATGATAGAAATTTCAAATTTGTCTTTTCTTTCCCTACTTCTCCCACCATTTTAAAAACAAGGAAACGAAGCCTAGATTTGCAAGAATAAAAGGTTTGGGTTTATTTACCTGTTGGACTCTATACCAGTTATTGATTTATTGCCTCTCACCTCTGAATTCACCTTATTTGACTGCTTTGCGAAAATAAATCTGAACCTTTTCAAGAATTTGCCGTTGGCACCGAAGTTTTGCCAGTAGAGGGCGCTCGAGAAACATTGCAGGAGAAAGAGTTTTGCCTCCGGCTCGGTGGAGTCTCAGCGGGGTTGGCAGGGGCGCGTGGTTTCGCTGGCCCCCAGCGCCTTTGGCTCACAGGTTCTCCAGGGCCCTCCTGCTGCCATACACAGCCAGCAACACTCAGTGGCCAGTGGCTTTCCCCTGCAACCTCCTAAGGTGGTTTGTAGCCAAGGCGCGGTAGTGAGACATCTTCCCATAAACAGCTTTCCCCAGCACCCTACAGGACTGATTTCTAGCAAGTTTCACCATTATGGCATCACAGCAACTTGTCCGCCGTTCAGTAGCCATGACTGAGCCATGGATCTCAGCCCACGGAGTATGGAGTTGGTAACACATATATTATTGCATAATCATGCCAATCTCCTGCTATAGAGAATAATTCTTTATAGTAAGCTTTTCCTGTTCAAATTACTATATGGTTTTTCTCTCTCTGGATTGGTCCTAGATGGATACAGACATTTAAACAAAGCTGGCTCCTACTGTAGCTGCATCAGATTTGCAGGGGGGCGTGCAGTGCGGGGGTGGGGGGCTGTCAGGGGTATGGGTTGGGGGGTGGTGTAGGGTAGATCATGTTTCTGAAGACAAAAATTTTGTACATAGGAGTAATCTATTGTATTTGTTGGCCAAGCATGGTGGCTCACGCCTATAATCTCAGCACTTTGGGAGGCCAAAGTGGGCAGATTGCTTGAGCCCAGGAGTTCAAGACCAGCCTGGGCAACATGGAGAAACTCTGTCTCTACAAAAAATACAAAAATTAGCCAGATGTAGTAGTGCACACCTGTTGTCCCAGCTGCTTGGGAGGCTGAGGTGGGAGGATCACTTGAGCCCAGGAGGTTGAGGCTGCAGTGAGCCATGATCAGGCCATTGCATCCAGCCTTGGCAACAGAACAAGACCACGTCTCAAAAAAAAAAAAAAAAAAAAAGTATTTGTTGCAAATTATCAAAACTGCAACAATTAATGAGAAACAGAGACAATTCTCCATTGTTCTGTACATTTTGTGAGTGCAACAAATACCCTCTATTCTACACTATGTTTTCTCTTTTTTTTTTTTTTTGAGATAGAGTTTCGCTCTTGTCATCCAGGCTGGAGTGCAATGGTGCAATCTCAGCTCACTGCAACCTCTGCCTCCCGGGCTCAAGTGATTCTCCTGCCTCAGCCTCCCGAGTAACTGGGATTACAGGCGCCTGCCACCACGCCAGGCTCATTTTTGTATTTTTAGTAGAGACGGGATTTCACCATGTTGGGCAAGCTGGTCTCGAACTCCTGGCCCCAAGTGATCCACCCGCCTTGGCCCCCAAAGTGCTGGGATTACAGGTGTGAGCCACCACGCCTGGCTCTGGACTGTTTTCATATAGGATGTTTGAATGGCCAACCACATGGAAAATATAGTGTCTCCCTCTAGAGACAAGAGTAAGTTCGTTGTCTTGGAAGATAGAGCAAAGGGCAGGTGTGCTCACTGCCCATTATAAATGATAAGATTCCCAACTCCCTACACACCTATAATGCAGCCTTCTGTGTGCACTGGAGTCATCTGACCCTCCACATTGCCCTGTGGGATTAAGACTTTGAGAACTCGTGCAAAAATGTTGGTAGTCTGGCTGTTGCTGTTGCTGTGAGTGATAAATTGCCCTTCAGCTCTGGCCCTGGATTCTGATGTCTTCAACCAGCAACCATGAAGCTATGGCAGGCTGCCTTGGTAACTTGCAAGTAAGGATGAAATCTCAGATCTTTCACAGATCTTGACAATGGGTTTCTTGTAGACAATCTATAGTCAGAACTTGTACTGTTTTTTGGAGTTTGTTTTTATTCAATCTGATAAACTCTGCCTCTTAATGGCATAGTTAGACCATGCACATTTAATGTAATTATTGACATGCCTGGGCTTAAATCTATCATCATTTTCCTTCTGCCCCAAGAACTTCCTTTTTAAAGCTATTTTTATTTTTATTTATTTATTTTTATAGACATGGAATCTTGCTATGTTGTTCAGGCTGGACTTGGACTCTTGGTCTCAAGGGATCCTCCTGCCTCCACCTCCTGAGTAGCTGGGACTACAGGTACAGACTACTACACCCAGTTAAGAGCTTCCTTTAGCATTTCTTGGAGTGCAGGTCTGTTAGTTATAAATTTTCTCTGCTTTCGTTGGTGTGGGAAAGTATTTATTTCACCATAATTTAAAAAAGATTTTGGGGGGTAGGTCGGGCATGGTGGCTCATGCCTATAATTCCAGCACTATGGGAGGCCAAGGTGGGTGGATCACATGAGGTCAGAGTTCAAGACCAGCCTGTCCAACATGGCAAAACCCCAACTCAATACAAAAAATTAGCCGGGTGTGGTGGCACCTATAATCCCAGCTACTGGGGAGACTGAAGTGGAAGAATCACTTGAACCCAGGGGGTGGAGGTTGACTCTGTCTCAAAAAAAAAAAGATTTTTTCAGGGGCACAGAATTCAGGTTGACAGTTCATTCAGTATTTTAAAGATGTCTCTATATTGTTTTTATAGTTTGCATTGATTGTAATGGAAAGTTTGCTGTCATTCTTACCTTTTTTCATCCTTAGGTAATGTCTTTTTTTTTGTTTTTTTCTGGTTGGTTTTAAATATTTGTTATCAGCACTTTGGTGTTTTTTGTTTTTTTTTTTGAGACAGAGTCTCACTCTATTGCCCAGGGTGGAGTGCAGTGGCACAAGCTCAGCTTACTGCAGCCTCGACCTCCTGGGCTCAAGTGATCCTTCTACCTCAGCCTCCCAAGTAGCTGGGGTAACAGGCATCCACCACCGTGTTGGCCAGGCTGGTCTCAAACTCCTGGCCTCAAATGATCCACCCACCTTGGTCTCCCAAAGTGCTGGGATTACTGGTGTGAGCCGCACCTGGCCTAGCATATCTATACTAACTATTTTATCATATTTCTCTACTAATTTCATAATTGCTATCACTTCTGAGTCTGTTCCTATGGATTGTTTTGTATTTTGGTTATGGGGTCCATTTTCTGCCTTCCTGCATGCCTTTCTTTTTTTTTTTTACTAGATGCCAAAAATTGTGAATTTTACATTCTTGAGTGCTGGATTTTGTTCTATTCCATTAAAAACTGTTGAACTTTGTCCTGACATGTAGTTACTTAAGATAGGTTTGACACTTGCTTTTGAGGCTTGCTTTTAAGCTTTGTGAGGGCAGGTCCGGAGCAGCCTTTAATGTGGGACAATTTTTTTTTCCCACTCTTTAGGTAACAGTCCCCAATGCCCTATGTACTGTGGTCTCTCCGTGCCGGGTGACTGGAATGAGAAGTCTTCTCAGCCCTTGGGAAGATCCTGGAATTGTCTGGCCCACTGCTCTCTAGTGGCTTTCCCTGGCCTTGTGGGGTTTCCTCTCATACATGAGTAGATCAGTGCTCACCTGAAGACTCAGATCCCTTTGCAAATTTCCAGACCCATCTTTCTGTGTGGTTTCCCCTTCACTAGTATCCTGTGCACAAATTCTAACCACCTTGCCTCACATCATTAAAAAATAAGCCCTCGGCCAGGCGCGGTGACTCACGCCTGGAATCCCAGCACTTTGGGAATCCAAGGCGGGTGGATCACTTGAGGTCAGGAGTTCAGCCTGGCCAACATGGCGAAACCCTGTCTCTACTAAAAATACAAAATAAGCTGGGTGTGGTGGCTCCCACCTGTAATTCCAGCTACTTGGGAGGCTGAGGCAGGAGAATCGCTTAAACCCAGGAGGTAAAAGTTGCAATGAGCCAAGATCATGCCACTGCACTGCACTCCAGTCTGGGCAATAAGAGTGAGATTCCAACTCAAAAAAGAAAAAAAACAAAACAAAAACAAACAAACAAACAAACAAAAAAAACCCTTAGATCTCTGTCTTCAACTCAGCCAGCCCAGGGGATTTAATTTGGGGACCTCTTTCTGTTCTATGTCATAGAAACTGCCTCAGTGGTAAACTTAGGCATCCTACCACTTGGCTCATTTGTTTCCCTTCTCTCGGGTGTCACAGTTCCTGTGCTGCCTGCTGCCCACCGTCTAAGAACAGCTGATTCATATATTTTGTCTAGTTTTCTATTGTTTATGGCAGGAGGTCAACTTCCCTGGCAGTTCATCCTTCATAGGCAAACAGATAATCCTGTATCATAGATTCATAATGTATTGCCAGATTTCAGTGTCTCATTTTATTTGCAATTTTGCACTTTCTCATAAAAGTGAGATTGCGTTTTTAAAGTTTTCTATCTTGGTGGGGTGCGGTGGCTAACACCTGTAATCCCAGCATTTTGGGAGGCCGAGCCAGGTGGATCACCTGAAGCCAGGAGTTTGAGACCAGCCTGGCTAACATAGCAGAACCCTGTCTCTACTGTAAATACAAAAATTAGCCAGGCGTGGTGGCACACACCTGTAATCCCAGCTACTCGGGAGGCTGAGGCAGGAGAATCACTTGAACCTGGGAGGTGGAGGTGGCAGTGAGCCGAGATTTTGCCACTGCACTCCATCCTGTGAGACAGAGTGAGACTCTGTCTGGAAAAAATAAAAATAAAGTTCTCTATGTTTATCTGTCTCTACTGGACATGAGGTTTACATAGACTTCTCTAATCATTACTTTAATCTTATCTTTATCTATGGATATGTTTTCTTTCTCATTACTATTGCTGTATATTTCTTGTTTTTTGTTTATTTTTTTCCTTCCTTGGTTATGTTTGCCAAAGGTGTATCAGCTCCAATGATTTTTCCAAAGCAGCAGCTCTTGGTTTTATTTATTAATTTCTTTATTTTTAGTTTGTTAATCCATCAAGTTTAGGATTTTTTTTTAAAATAAATCCTTTCCTCCTGATTTCATTAAGTGTATTTAGTCATTCTTTCTCTAGATTCTTATCTTGAATTCTGATTTTGTTTATTTTCTATTCTATGTAAATGTCAAAATTGGCTGGGCATGGTGGCTCACGCCTATAATCCCAGCACTTTGGGAGGCCGAGGCGGGCGGATCATGAGGTAAAGAGTTCAAGGCCAGCCTGGCCAACATGGTGAAACCCCGTGTCTACTAAAAAAACCCAAAAAATTAGCAGGGCGTGGTGGTGCACAACTGTAATCCCAGCTACTGGGGAGGCTGAGGCAGGAGAATCGCTTGAACCCAGGAGGCAGAGGTTGCAGTGAGCCCAGATCGCACAATTGCACTCCAGCCCAGGTGACAGAGCAAGACTCTGTCTTGAGAAAAAAAAAAATGTTAAAATCATTTATGGTTATGATTTTTTTTCTACCTATGGCTTTGGCTGTCACTACTGTGAATCAGAACACACACCCCCCATCAGTTGTGGAAGACAGAAGCAGAATGATAGCTCTGTTGGTTATGGAATTATAATTGTACAATGTTTTGTGCTTCGAGTATCACTTCTTTCTTCAAGTAGAACCTCACCTCGGTTATATCAACCATGACCTTGAGGAATCAACCAAAGAGTCATTCCAGGTTTGATATCCCATCTCAGGAGCTTCCCAACCCAACCTGTAAGAAGAAGGAAAAAAAAAAAAAGCACACCCATTTCCCATTTCAGGATTGTATGTGGGTGTTTTTACGGTTTGTTTATCTCATAACAGGTTGTTTATTTAAGGAGGAATGATTCCACAATTTGGAGGTCCCATGGAGACTCAACTGTGACTCTCTGCCATTGCCAGGACTCTGCATCTGGGCATCTGGTGGTGGCGGGGGTGGGGTGAGGGCTGGTCTCTCTTCCGCTTGCATTTTCTGGCCTCAGCAGAGAGGGGAGCCGCACACTAAGTGTGAGCTCCAATTTCATTGACGTGGCTAGTTTTCTCAGGAAAATCATATTTTACCCACTGAAACTCCACTTTTCTGAGTAGACCTATCTTTCTAATGATTCTTGGTGGAAGTATGCTCTTTGCCTAACCTTATCTTTATCTTGTCCTTTCTTATATTGTGTAATGACATGGAAAAAAAGCAACAAATGATCAATCCACAGAGTCCCAATGCGTCCATGACAAAAGGACTGACAAGTGTAAGGTCTTGTCACACCAGTCTCCCTCGGTAGATGAAGTTTGCCTTGGGTAACCATCTAAAAACCTTATGAAGTCTATTATTCCCCTAGCTATCCTTAAGAACTGATTTGGGAAAAAAAGTCTCCAAAAACTTTGATCATCAGGGGCTGCAGTTATCAGTTCTTTGGTCAAAGGCAGCTAACCTCTGGTTGTGGGCTGAGATCAGAAGTACACAAGCAGCAGGTTTGGTCCTTACCAATTCTCAAGGGGTTGTCTCAGTCCAAGAAAGCCCATGCCATGCCTCCTGGATACTCACTTCTTTTCTTTTTTTTTTTTTGGAGACAGAGTCTCACTCTGTTGCCCAGGCTGGAGTGCACTGGTGCAATCTCGGCTCACTGCAACCTCCACCTCCCAGGTTCAAGCAATTCTCCTCCCTCAGCCCCCTGAGTAGCTGGGATTACAGGTGTGCGCCACCACACCTGGCTGATTTTTGTATTTTTTGGTAGAGATGGGGTTTCACTCTGTTGGCCAGACTTGTCTTGAACTCCCAACCTCAGGTGATCCGCCTGCCTCTGCCTCCCAAAATGCTGGGATTATAGGCATGAGCCACCATGCCTGGCCTGGATACTCACTTTTTAAACATATTCTTTGTTTTTGTTTGTTTGTTTGAAACAGAGTCTTGCTCTGTTGCCCAGGCTGGAATGCCATGGCATAATCATGGCTCACTGCAGCCTCGACCTTCCCGGCTCAAGCAATCCTCCCACTTCAGCCTCTCAAGCAACTGGGACTACAAGCATGCGCCACCACGCCTGGCTTATTTTTAAATTTTTTATAGAGACAGGGGTTTCCTGTTTCCCAGGCTAGCCTAAACTCTTGGTCTCAAGCCATCCTCCCACTTCGGCCTCCCAAAATACTGGGATTACAGGCATGAGCCACTGCGCCCAGCCTTTAAACATATTCTTGTTATTCTTATGCGTATCTTACAAAGTGACACAATTTACCAAATGACCACTTTGAGGAACTTTAAATGTGACCAAAATTATCCATTTTAGGAACATCTTAAAACAAAAGAGCAAAAAAAGGGGGAAGTAGCAAATGTTTAATATTTAATTGTCAGCCTTTTATGACCGATATGAAGAACCTGAGAATCTAGAATAGTGCTTGGAAGCAATGGTCCCAATCTCCCTGATGTACATCACCTAGTACATGTATCTAGATGCTAACCCTACCTTAAAGAGTCCACTGGAAGGACCTGGGAAATAATCTATGTATTCCTGAGGACCAGCAAACAGAAAGGGACTTTTAAGAAGCACAAAATGTAGTGCAATCCTTACTGAAGGCAATACCTACTTTATTTTGAGTAGAGATTCTCTGGTCATTAATCCAGTTTTTTTGTGTTTGTTTTTTATTTTTTTTTTAAAGCAAATTCATTAAAAATTTTAGAAATTGCTGGGCATGATGGCTCACACCTGTAATCCCAGCACTTTGGGAAGCCAAGGCGGGCGGATCACTTGAGGTCAGAAGTTCAAGACCAGCCTGGCCAACATGGTGAAACCCCAACTGTATTCAGGGTGTTGGGTGCCTATTACCCAGCTACTCAGGAGGCTGAGGTGGGAGAATTTCTTGAACCCGGCAGGCGGAGGTTGCAGTGAGGTGAGATTGCACCACTGCACTCCAGCCTGGGTGACAGAGGGAGACTACGTCTCAAAAAAAAGAAAAGGTTTTAGAAATCACCTTCAGACAACAGTCTGGGATAGATCAATAGGCAGATGTTTTGCTACATTATCCTCATTGCTTATGAACGGCCTTTAGCCAAAATTCAGGGGTTTGGTACTTAAAGGCTAGAATAAGAAATAACTCCACTAACAGCCCTATAGCATGTGTCCAAATCTTCTGAGAAACTCTTAGAACAAAAGTAGAGTAAGATCCTAAACAACTTAACGGTTTTTCAAATTAAACAACTGGATGACCTCACAACCTCCACAATCCCCCCCAGCAAAATGCCCAGTGATAAGAATACTTGCTGCTACTCTGAACAAAAGAGACGATGGAAAACCAATTGTCTCACTTTGGGCAAAAAGGAATCTGACAGATAATGAGACAGTTCCAAGAGAGAAGATGGCATCCACTTCTGAGTCTTCCCTTAAAACTTGCAAGAAGATATCATTAACTCTTCTGGGCCACACTCAGGGTTAGGGGTGCAACATTTTCAACAACAACCCTGCCACTAAGTTCACTTCTTGTCCTTGGAGTCAGCAAAAACCAAGAGGTGGATGTCTCCATCTGCCTGGCCACTCCCTGTATCCTGGCCACTGTTATTCTTGGTCTTTTTACTAAAAACACCCTTCTCTTGTGACATCACACCAGCATAAACTTAATGAGGAGTCTTTATTATGAAAATGGAATCACCAGATTAAATTTTCCTAGAAGGGAGCTCTTCCTTGAAACTCATGAGGGTGTCTCTATTCATAATCAAATCATAGCTAATTTGGATACAGATACATAAACCAGACACAATTTGAAGATCTTTGTGAGGTACCAAGTCCTAATGAGCCAAAAATGTATCACCATTTTAGGATTACTGGGGCTGAGCACATCAAGGTTCAGACTGACCAGGTCCCAACCTTCACCCAGCCTTGTACAATTCCCTTGAAGCCAGAAGAAAAAAATTAAGGCCCATAGTAGAAGGACTAATAGGCAAAAGACTCATTATTCCTTGGACCAAACCTTCTCACGCTCCTATCCTGAGTATTAGGTAACTCAACGCATGAGTGCGCAGATTTATTCATGATCTTAGGGATATCGTTAAGATAATTATTCCCCACATTCCAGCAGTGCCAAGTCCAAATACTGGACTTTGTTCTTTCCCCCAGTCCCGCCCAAGGCCATCTATTTCACAGTTGTGCATCTATGTTCTTCCTTCTTTAGAACCTGTTCTCTGTCTTTTTTTCTTTTTTTTTTTTTTTTTCGAGACAGAGTCTCACACTGTCGCCCAGGCTGGAGTGCAGTGGCACGATCCCAGCTCACTGCAACCTCTGCCTCCTGGGTTCAAGCTATTCTCCTGCCTCAGCCTCCCGAGTAGCTGGGACTACAGGTGTGTGCCACCATGCCCAGCTGATTTTTTTTTTTGTATTTTTAATAGAGACGGGGTTTCACAATGTTGGCCAGGATGGTCTGGAGCTCTTGACCTCGTGATCCGCCCACCTCGGCCTCCCAAAGTGCTGGGATTACAGGCGTGAGCCACTGGCGCCCAGCGAACTTGTTCTCTTAAATCAATGCCTGTTCTCCTGTCCTTAGGAGAACCCACAGTACATGTGGATTGTTATGCCTCAGAGATTCACTGTGGTTCCTTACTTTTTATAAGTTCTTAGGCCAGGCGTGGTGATGGCTCACCCCTGTAATCCCAGCACTTTAAGAGGCTGAGGCGGACAAATCTCTTGAGGCCAGGAGTTTGAGACCAGCCTGGGCAACATGGTGAAACCTCGTTTCTACAAAAAATACAAAAAATTAGTTGGGTGTGGTGACACACACCTGTAGTCCCAGCTACTCGGGTGGCTGAGATGGGAGGATTGCTTGAAACTGGGAAGTCAAGGCTGCAGTGAGCTGAGATCACACCACTGTCCTCCAGCCTGGATGATGGAGTGAAACCCTGTCTCAATAAATAAATATAAATAAATAAATAAATAAATAAATAAATAAAATGAAATAAGCTCTTAATCAGAATCTCAAGGACCTTAAAGTTCTTCTATAGGATGAGCTTTTGCTAATCTCTGAAGATTAGAAAAGCACTAAAAATGAATTCTTTCTACCTTCTATTTTTGCACAAAAGGACACAGGTGCTCAAAAAACTTGAAGTTTTTTCAGAAAAAAGGTTCATTATCTAGATCATGATCTGTCTCAGGCAAGTCTCTTCCCTCTGATTGACTGAACTTCCACTCAGAACTGCCCTAAACTCACCACTGAAAACTAATTGCTACGTCTCATGAGGGATTGTGGACAGGGAGCTCCCAACTTCTCTGCAATTACTTCTTCTTTAGGACCCGACTAAATTCTTGGTGACAGACTTGCCTCTCCTGGGAACACAGCATGAACAGACATTTTACACGCTAGAGCTAGCTCTTCAACAAACCCCATCCTTGACTGCTCTAACTTACCATAAACATTTCTCCAGGTTCATAGATGATCTGCTCAGGTCCTTGAGGTTTTAACTCAATGACAAGAAAACCACCCATGGGTTCCAGCCTGGCCAACATGGTGAAAACCCGTCTCTACTAAAAATACAAAAATTAGCCGGGTGTGGTGGCAGGTGCCTGTAATCCCAGCTACTCGGGAGACTGAGGCATGAGACTCACTTGAACCCAGGAGGCAGAGGCTGCAGTGAGCTGAGATTGCACCACTGCACTCCAGCCAGCCTGGGTGACAGAGTGAGAATCTGTCCCAAAAAAAGTCCCAAAACCAACAAAACAAAAACAAAAACAAAACCACCCATGGTTTACTGTAATGTCCCTGCTCCCTACTCTACTGGCAAAGGCCTATCTACCTTGTCTCAAGGCAATGGCAGTCATTGTCAACTCGGGGAGGCTTCTGCTTACTTAGTTTTGGGATCTCATGAACCCAATGGTCTCCCAAGTTGTATAATCACTGCTACTTAATCAAATGGACAACATTTCTAGCTGAGCCACCTTGCATCCTATGAAATATTGTTACAATATACTTACCTGACCAGGAAGATTCCATGATCATGAAGGTGGTTTTCCCAGGATGAGGCTTATCCATTGCACTCCAGATGTGCTGACCCTTGAAATTTCCCCAGATACAGGAAACTTGACTGCATTGAAAGGAAAGAAAGAAAGAAAGAAAAGGAAAGGAAAGGAAAGGAGGAAGGAAGGAAGGAGAAAGAAATAAAGAAAGAAAGAAAGAAAGAAAGAAAAAGAAAAGAGAGAGAAAGAAGAGGAAGAGGAAGAAGAAGAAGAAAAAAAGAAAAGAAGAAGGAGAAGAAAGAACAACTAATGCAATAATGCCCGGGTATGGGGGCTCACATCTGTAATCCCAGCACTTTGGGAGGTGCTGGGATTGGATGGATTACTTGAGGTCAGGAGCTCGAGACCAGCCTGGCCAACACGGCAAAACCTTGTCTCTACTGAAAATAAAAAAATTAGCCAGACTTGGTGGTGGACATCTGTAGTCCCAGCTCAGTCCTGGGCTGAGGCTTGAGAATCACTTGAACCTGGGAGTGCGAAGTTGCAGTGAGCTGAGATTGCGCCACTGCACTGCAGCCTGGGCGACAGAAAAAAGAAATATTGTTCTTTTCCCTATACATATGTCTGTCAATCACTGTGGTTATTTGAACTCTGCCATGCTCCTTCCATCTCAAAAGAAAAAATGCCAAACTGGCATTTGTCCAAGCCCCATGCAGATGTAATAGAAATACTTTTGGAGAGTCCATAATTGACCCTGATTGTTGATGGGTCAGATCTGCAGACAGAGGCAGGATATGATCAGTCTGACTTTGCCATAACAGATCTCAAATCACCCCTAGAATATGCATCGTTATAGCCCAGATGGCAGAAGCGATTGCTCTCACTGGAGCCTGCCAGCCAGCTGGAGAGAAGAGAGTTAGCATGCTCAGACAGATTAGTCTTGGGGTCATTTATAAAGTCTGGGTGCTCTGGAAACAATGAGGCTGTCTAACTTCAGTGGGGATTCCTATCAAGGTGGAACTTCAAAATACCTTAATGCTACCCAAGGAATAGGTAGTATCTAGGTCTAGAATGATCTAGATGCTAGGAGAAATGCCCTGTCTGATCACTTACCCTAAACAGGGGGCCCTTACAAAAATACTGGTCCATCGAGATAAGAAAAAAATTCCATGACCTTGGAGGGGTTCAAGGCGGCCATTACAGGATGCTAAAATTGGGCCTCCATATCAAAGAAAAAGTACTGAGGCAGATTTGGAGGTAAATACATGAAGATACTCTCTGGTGTTCCCAGGATGGTTTCTTGGAAGCACCAGAGTTTCTCCAGTGGAGAGGGCCTTGCTGAGGTCCCAGGTGGGACCACCCGCCAACACAGGGACACACTGGCTGCCATTGCAGACAACACTGTCCCTACCAGGCACGCCTCACTGGCTGTCAGTATATACTCTTGGCGAAAGCAAGCCATTAAGATGGGCATGGGCAGGAACCAAACTTCAAGGCCCATTTGAACTCCTCTAAATGGGTTTCCAATAATTACCCCTGTGGTGGGACATAAATATGGTTGCTGTTTGCTTTCTTCGGGGTGCCTCAAAGCTTCTCCCCTATCAAAGAGCTAAGCCTCTTGAAATATATAGTGAAGAGCATGTGCTATAAAATTCCATTTACAGGAAGTCAGAACAGGCAAAACCGCATGTCTGGAAGAAGAAAAAAATGGAACAGTTACTGGGGGAGGGAATGGGAACAGGGATTACCTGGGAAGTGACTTGAAGGCGTTTCTGGGGTGTTAAATTCTATATTGTGATAGGGATTGAGGCTACACTTGTTTATACAACTGTCAAAATGTTTTTCCTTTCTTCTTTTTTTTTTTTTTTTTGAGGCAAGTTCTCGCTCTGTAGCTCAGGCTGGAGTGCAGTGGCACGATCACAGCTCACTGCAACCTCCACCTTTCCAGCTCAAGTGAACCTCCCACCTCAGCCTCCCACCTCAGCCTCCCACTGGCATGTCACTACACATGGCTAATTTTTCTATTTTTTGTAGAGATGGTGTTTTGCCATGTTGCCCAGGCTGGTCTTGAACTCCTGACCTCAAGTGATCCACCCACCTCGGCCTCCCAAAGTGTTGGGATTACAGGTGTGAGCCACTGCACCCAGTCAATACTTTTTTTTTTTTTTTTTTTTGAGGCAGGGCCTCACTCTGTCACCCAGGCTGGAGTGCAGTGGTGCCACCTTGGCTCACTGTTACCTCCACCTCCTGGGCTGAAGCCATCCTCCCACCTCAGCCTCCTGAGTAGCTGGGATTACAGGCATGCACCACCATGCCCAGCTAATTTTTGTATTTTTTTGCAGAGACAGAGTTTCATCATGTTGCCCAGGCTGGTCTCCAACTCCTGGACTCAAGGGACCTCCCTACGTCGGCATCTCAAAGTGCTGGGATTACAGGTATAAGCCACTGCACCCAGCCATCAACTGTCAAAATTTATGGTACAGCCAAGATACATGCATTTCATCATATGTAAATTTTACCTTTCAAAAAAAGAACCATAAACAAAATGCTGAATTTGATTTAATGATATGCATGCTGAAGTTCTTTAGTGATGAAGTATGCTGATGTCTGCAGTGACTTCTTACTACTTCTTGGTGAATACTTGGAAGTAAAGCTGTAAGGATACTTACATCTTAGCAAGTGTTCTCTGCAAGACCTGGTGTCTGCTGACATTCCAACCTCAAGCTGTCTCCTGGCACCAGTTCTGTGAATCAGCCAAGCTTCCTCCAGGCTTAAGGCCTTAGCACCAAGGGTTCTGTGGCCCTGGAGTACCACTTGTCCTCATCCCCTTCACCAAGTTCATTTCTACACATCTTTCCAATTTGATAGGTTGGGAGAACCCTCCTGTACTCCCAGCCTAGACTGAGGCTCGTTACTTGTACTACACTTTCTTCCCTCCTTATTGCAGTTCATAGTGACTCATTCATCAAGTATTCACACACATACAGACCTTCTTCATTAGGCTTTTAAGGGGATCAAGACTGCTTTGTTCACAATTGTATTCCCTATGCTTGGCTTGCTGACTGGCTCATCAATAGGCAGGCATTCAAAAGAAACTTTGTTATGTAAATGACTAAAAGGCAATTAGAATACGATTTTACTTCTTATGTGAAAGACAGGCAGCTTTAAAGAATTGGCAATACTCCCAAGGTGTGGTAGCTCACACGTGTAATCCCAGTACTTTGGGAGGCTGAGGTGGGAGGATGGCTTTACACAAGGAATTTGAGACTAGCCTAGGCAATATAGCAAGACCCCCGCCTCTACCAAAAATTAAAAGGTTAGGCGGGTGTGGTGGCACATACCTGTAGTCCTAGCTCCTGGGGAGGCTGACACAGGACAATTGCTTGAACCCAGGAGTTGGAGGCAGTAGTGAGCCGCAATCATGCTGCTGCATTCCAGACTAAGTGACAGAGTGAGGGCCTGTCTCTATGAAAGAAAAAAAAATTTAAGGCCGGGCGTGGTGGCACATGTCTGTAATCCCAGCACTTTGGGAGGCTGAGGCAGGTGGATCACTTGAACTTAGGAGTTTGACATCAGCCTGGGCAACATGGTGAAATCCCTGTCTCTACAAAAAACACAAAATTAGACAGGCTGAGATGAGAGGATCGCTTGAGCTGGGGCAGTTGAGGTGCACTGTAGCCTGGGCGACAGAGTGAGACCCTGTCTCAAAAAAAAAAAAAAGGAATGGCAATATTCGGTATTAGATGAAGCATGGAGAAATAGGCACTTGCCCTCACTGCTGGAGGAAGTATAAATTGGTATGGTTTGAAGTACTTGTTTATTTTGTATTTTTTGAGGCAGAATCTCACTCTGTCACCCAGGCTGGAGTGCAGTGGCGTGATCTTGACTCACTGCAACCTCTGCCTCCTGGATTCAAGCTAGTCTCCTGCCTCAGCCCTCCGAGTAACTGGGATTACAGGCTTGTGCCACCATGCTTGGCTAATGTTCGTATTTTTAGTAGAGATGGGGTTTCACCATGTTGGCCAGGCTGGTCTTGAACTCCTGACCTCTAGTGATCCACCCACTTAAACCTCCCAAAGTGCTGGGGTTACAGGTGTGAGCCACTGCGCCCAGTCTTGAAGTACTTGTTTAAATGATCAGTGTTTATACCTGTTGATCCAGCAACTTCACACCTGGATATTTCTTCTACAAGGCACAGTAGCACAACTATGTATCTGTATCAGTGTTTCTGTACACTGCCAGAAGTATTGAAAAACTGGCAACAACTTAAATACCTTTCAAGAGGAGGCTGATAAACTATGAGCACACCTATAAAATGGAAATTCTGTACCACGCAACCATTATAAAGAATAAATTTGCCGGTGTGGTGGCTCAGGTCTGCCATCCCAGCAATTTGGGAGGCCAAGGTGGGTGGATCCCTTGAGTTCAGTAGTTTGAGATCAGCCTGGGCAACATGGTGAAACCTGTCTCCACAAAAATATACAAAAATTAGCCGGGCTTGGTGGCGCATGACTGTAGTCCCAGCTAGTTGAGGGGAAGGGGCCGGGTGGTGAGACGGGAGGACAGCTTGAGCCCAGGAGGCAGAGGCTGCAATGAGCCAAGATCATGCCACTGTACTCCAGCCTGGGTGACAAAGTGAGACCCTGTCTCAAAATAATAATGATAATACTAAAATAAGGTTAATTCTACTATACTGATAGGGAATGATTACTAGTAGGAGCTAGGCCGTTGCAGAAACGAGTGAAGTATAATCCCATTTTTATTTTTACAAAATCCTACGTAATCCTACACAATCTAAAAGTATAGTGGGTTTTGGTTTGTTTGTTTGTTTGTTTGTTTTTAAGGAATGGGGGTAGGGAGCAAACCAAACTGTTGATCAGGATTATCTCCTAGAGTAGAAATGGGAAGCATGGATTTCAACTTTTCTTTTATCGATTTCTCCCAACTTCTTAAAACAAGCAAGTGTTATTTTAAAATAGTGTCAAATATAGTAAACTCTGGATTCTTTGCAAAACAAACCTCTAAGATAAGGTTTGATATTGCTTCCGCTAAAATAAAGCTACGACACTTCCGTGCACGAAAAAACGGCCTCTTGAGGACCTGCAACCCACAGATCACCCAGGTGCCCCCATATCATTCTTGAAATCCTACCTGTAAAGCCCAGGAGGAAGTATAGCGAATGCCAGTGGGTCTAGGAGCTCTGGGGTGAGCACGCCTCCGGAAGGAAAACGGCAACAGAATTTATTCTGCTTTTCCAAGTAAATGATCCTTCCACAGAGGCACTTGGGACAAGAGGCGACGGGTACTTTTCACGTTTTCGATCTATTGGCTAAGATCCTATCACCTCAAAACAAGGAGACGAGGAAACCCTGGGATCTTGATCCCATTTCGATTGAGAAAACAACACGCTCCTTGCGAAGCGAAACGGGGCTGGCCGCGGGCAGCGCGGAACCACGCGAAGGCGTCGGGGGCGGGCGGGCGCGGGGACCAGGGCCACCCGGTGCAGCAAAGGGGGCAAGCAGGCGGCAGGGCGCGCGGGGAGACAAGGCTGAGTGCACGCCGCCCGCGCCCTCGAAGGCTCTAGTCCCACTCCTTCCTCCCTTCTTGCAGCCCCGCCGCGCCCTGGCGAAGGCTACAGGGTCAGGTTCCCCGCACCGAGGAGCCCAGAAGCCCGGCTGCGGGCGCTCTGAAGATCCGGGACCCCGGCCTCCGTCCCCCGCCAGCTTTAGGGACTCTGGCGGCGTCTCTTAGCCGGGTAGATGTTCCTCCTTTCCCTCTCTCTTCCAAGCCGCTGCCAGGCCGGGGGTGAGGCTGCACCTCAGTCTTCAGCCCCGAAGGCCGCGCCCGGGGCGGGTCGCTCCCCATTCAGCTAAGAGGAAGCAGCGGCCGGGGGGCAGGCGAGGAACCTGTCCCGGCTCACCCGGCAAGACTGCGTTTCCCCCACCCTCGGCGCTTCTTTCTGTGAATGTGAATGGAACTAAGCGTTCCTTTCTCTCCCTCAATGGCCGGCGAGGAGAATTCAAATGCGGTCTTTGGGCGCTCGGTATGGGTCTGGACCTTGGTTTTCAGAGCCTGCGCGTCCAAGGTCGCTAGCCTTTCCCGAAGGAAGTGACAGCTGCGGCGGCGCGGGAGGCCCATCCTCGGTCGTTTAAAGCCACTTAAGGAATAAAAGCCCCCGAGAGAGCAAAACGACCACCCGAAACCTCGGAAGCGTCGGGGGTGCCGGGCCCAACGCTCCCACGTGTCACTGCCGGGGACTCGCGAGGCGAAGCTTCCCAGCGCTCAAGGCGCTCCCGCCTCGTCCCCAGGTATCAGGAACAGACACCCACCAGGTCCACCAGCGGGTCAGACGCCGCCTTCGGGCAGGCTGGGATCTTCCGAACTGGGAGCGGAGAGTAAGGGGCTCGACCCCGGGACGCGAGTCCGGCCTTCTGGACTCCGGTTCAGGGTGTGTGTGCGCGCGGAGGGGCTTATCTGGGGGCCCTGGGTAGCACACGTGTTCGGTTTTTTTCTCCCCGACTCCGCACGCCTGGAGCGGCAATACTGCCTGCCCTAGAAGGCCAGCGGCGAGTGCTCGCCACTAGGGTCCCAGGGAGGGTTTGGAAAACTGATGAGTTAAGTGAGCGACCCCAGGGGACAGAGGGCGAGTCGAGAGTCGGCCAATGGCTGCGGTGGGCGGGGAGAAGACGACGCGGGGATCTGCGTGGGCCGGGTCAATTCCCTACCCTCGACCTGTCGATGCCCCGCGGCCCCGCCCGCCCTCTTAAGCCTGGCTCAGCCCTCAGGGCCCGCCCGAAGTCTACCGAGCCCGAGTGGCCTACCGAGCCCGAGTGGCCCCGCAGCGTCCAGGAGGCGCCCGCTCCGCGGTGGCGCTCTTGGAGGTGGTGTCGGAGGTAGGCACGGGACAGGACGCGCCTGGGGCCCGGGGCGGTGGTCTTCCAGGGCCGTTGGGGAGGGCGGCAGCACTCGCTGGCGCAGTTCGTTTTGGATGGTCGTTCTGCCCTCTCGGGGGCTTTGAATCCCAAGTTGCAGATCCCTGAGGTCGGAGGAGGCTAGGAGAAGGGCGCCTTTGGAGGATCGGGAGGAGACGGGCCGCTGCCTGTGTCGTGGCTGACCTCTTCTCCTGACCCCGTGTTCTTTAATTTCTGAGTCATGACCCTGCTTGGTTTTCTTATTGGGCTCATTGATCTCAAGACCCGCCGGCCCTGAAGGGGCTTCATTCTTCAGCCTCGGTGAACTTGCTGCCTGTCTATTAAAACGCCATCCTTTCCCGGCGGTGCGGGGGCGGGAGGACTGGCAGTCGCCGAGGCTCTTCGCTCCCACCTGGCCAGGGCTCGTCCACGCGGCTCCCGAGGGGCTACCCCAGGCCCCAATAGTCCTGGTAGAATGATTGGAGTTTCCGAGGAACCCGGGGAATGTGGCGGACGCTGCCCGCGAGGGAAAAGAGGTTCAGGCGGCGCATCCTAGGGCAGCCAAAAGTGGCGCGCCCCTCCCCTGCGGGCAGTCAGGACCGCCAGGACCCGCGGGGTCACACCGCTGGGCCAGAGCAGGTCGCGGGGTCCCTGGACCTGCCCGGGGGCTCTGGGAGCGCGTCTCCATCTGCGCGGTGCGACCCAGGGTCCTCGGCTCTTCCCTCCCAGCCGAGGGCCCAGGAGCGCCTGGAGCTGTCGCTTGCTCCATTGCCCTCCGACCGCCTGCGCTCGGCTCCCGGCCCAGCCCCGAGGTTGGCAGGGCCCCGCGGCTCCCACAGACCCTACCAACGAGTTTTGTAGGACTGAGAAGAAGGAAGGAAAGGGAACTTCAATGGGTTTTGCAGGAACCGGGTTGGGGGCCGAAAGCGGAGAGCGGGTGTGGGAAGGCGGCCGGGCTTAGGGAAGGGGTGCTTGGAGAGGGAAGGGGAAGGCAACACTAACCCGGAATTTAGAGTAGGGCAGGATCCCGGCAGATTTCCGTTTGGGGCTTTTTTGTGTTTGCTTCTATTGCTGTTTTTTCGTTTTGTCTTAATTGTGGGAGCGGGCTGGCGGGATCGGACTGGGGGCGTTTATCCTGTTCCCTTGGATCTGGGGCTGGCTGGGGTGGAGGAGGCTGGTGGGGAGGCGCGGGTCGGACCCCGGGAAGCTCCCGCGCGGTGTCCTCAGCGGCGCCCGCTTTTCTGCAGAGCCGCCGAGCGTGCGGTCCCGGGATGGCTCTACCCCGGCCAAGTGAGGCCGTGCCTCAGGACAAGGTGTGCTACCCGCCGGAGAGCAGCCCGCAGAACCTGGCCGCGTACTACACGCCTTTCCCGTCCTATGGACACTACAGAAACAGCCTGGCCACCGTGGAGGAAGACTTCCAACCTTTCCGGCAGCTGGAGGCCGCAGCGTCTGCTGCCCCCGCCATGCCCCCCTTCCCCTTCCGGATGGCGCCTCCCTTGCTGAGCCCGGGTCTGGGCCTACAGAGGGAGCCTCTCTACGATCTGCCCTGGTACAGCAAGCTGCCACCGTGGTACCCAATTCCCCACGTCCCCAGGGAAGTGCCGCCCTTCCTGAGCAGCAGCCACGAGTACGCGGGTGCCAGCAGTGAAGATCTGGGCCACCAAATCATTGGTGGCGACAACGAGAGTGGCCCGTGTTGTGGACCTGACACTTTAATTCCACCGCCCCCTGCGGATGCTTCTCTGTTACCTGAGGGGCTGAGGACCTCCCAGTTATTACCTTGCTCACCCAGCAAGCAGTCAGAGGATGGTCCCAAACCCTCCAACCAAGAAGGGAAGTCCCCTGCTCGGTTCCAGTTCACGGAGGAGGACCTGCACTTCGTTCTGTACGGGGTCACTCCCAGCCTGGAGCACCCAGCCAGCCTGCACCATGCGATTTCAGGCCTCCTGGTCCCCCCAGACAGCTCTGGTAAAGGGAGTTCACACCATTTGGGAGTCGAATTGGACGGGAATGCAGGCGGGAACGGGAGTGTCCGGGAAGAGGCGCTTCCAGGTGGAGCTGAGGCTGCAGAGTGCGGGAAGGGGGAAGTACCTCCATGAGAGCCAGGGCTGTTCTAGGCTCACTTCTGAGGCCCTGCTTGCTTAACTGCATGACTAAGGTTGGTTTTAGTGAGAGCTGAGGACCAAGAGAGAAATGGTTCCTGCAGCGAACTCCCAGGTAGGTTCAGATTCTATGCTAACATGCAATGACAGCCTTCAGCAGTTCACACCTAACAGTCCCAGCTCAGCTAGCTACGCTGACCTTAGTCAGGCATTACCTCTGATCCTCAAATTCCTTGAATTTGCCTAATGGGGTTAATTACATAAACTTCCATGAGGCTGTTCTGAGTCTCAAATGAGAAATTGTATATGGAATTGTTTACAGTGAAATCGTGTATGAACAGACCATGTAAAATGAGCAGGGAAAAATAGAAACAACAAATAAATATCAAACTGGGATGATGGTTACCTTTAGGGAATTAAGGAGGGAAACACCTCATAAAAGCACTTTATAATGCATTTTTAATGAAAAATTGTTTTAACCTGCCTTTTGCTAGGATCTGATTCTCTTCCTCAAACTCTGGATAAAGACTCCCTTCAACTTCCAGAAGGTAGGCAGGACTCCTTGCATGGATTTCTTTCCCTGAACTAATGCAGAGTCAACTCTCCTCATTCTCTTTTCCTGCCTCGGCTTTCCCCTAGGTCTATGCCTCATGCAGACGGTGTTTGGTGAAGTCCCACATTTTGGTGTGTTCTGCAGTAGTTTTATCGCCAAAGGAGTCAGGTTTGGGCCCTTTCAAGGTAAAGTGGTCAATGCCAGTGAAGTGAAGACCTACGGAGACAATTCTGTGATGTGGGAGGTAAATCTGTTTCTGGTGGGTCTGCTGCTGAAAATGGGGCGGGAGACTAGTCCGGGGAAATCTTGGCCTTTGCCCTTTTGGGAGAGTCCTGGTCAGAGAGAGAGGACATCCAGGGCAGATATCTGTGGTTTGTGTTGCCTGTAAAAGGAAGGAACGGCCAGTGTTTGCTCCATGAGGATAGCACCTCTGCATGAATTCTGTGTTTTGTGGGTGCCTTAAGTCATTTTAGTCTGGAAGATTAGCAATGGAATATACATTTAAAGAATCAATATGTTGTATTATATTTATAGACAAAACTAAATGCTTTAGATATTATAGAGTGCTGAAACTATGCTAAAGAGAATAAAAACAAGTTTTAAAATTCAATATTATTCACCTATAAAATTAGTCAAGGATTAAAAAAAAAATAACCAGATACTCTTCAAGATCTAGTGATGATATATTAGGGATATGCTAGTGGGACTGCAGTTTATTACCTGCAGGAGAAAATTTGTCAGAATGTATCAGATACCTTAAAATGTTCAAAGTCCCTTGACCCTGAATTTCTACTTCTAGGAATATAGTACAGGAAAATAATCTGAAATTGAGGCTATGTGGAATATGTTAATCCTAGGGTTGTTTATAATAACAAAATGTTGGAGACAGCGAAATTGCCAGCAGCAGAGAAAGAAGTAATCTTTCTTTGTTTTTTTTTTTTTGTTTTTTTTTTCTTGAGACGGAGTTTTTGTCTGTTACCCAGGTTGGAGTGCAGTGGCGTGATCTCAGCTCACTGTGACCTCCACCTCCTGGGTTCAAGCAATTCTCTTGCCTCAGTCTTCCGAGTAGCTAGGATTACAGGCATGTGCCACCATGCCCGGCTAATTTTTGTATTTTTAGTAGAGAGGGGTTTCACCATGTTGGCCAGGCTGGTCTCGAACTCCTGACCTCATGATCCGCCTGCTTTGGCCTCCCAAAGTGCGGGGATTACAGGTGTGAGCCACCAGGCCCGGCCTTGAAAGAAATAATCTATAGCTCCATTAATATGCATGAAACCTAACTGGGAGTAAAATATAAAACTATTCAGTTGTGTTTAAGTGGTGGAATTAAATAAAACCTTTTTGTTTCACTTACCTCTGCTTATGAAATTAACATGTGCTCACTATAGGAATTTGGGAAGCAAGAAAGTGATAAAAGTAAGAATCTTTTAGAATATGTCACATTAGGCAGGCTCAGTGGCTTACACCTGTAATTCTAGCACTTTAGGAGGCCAAGGTGGGAGGATCACTTGAACCCAGGAGTTTGAGGCCAGCCTAGGAAAGAGTGAGGCCCTGTCTCTACAAAAAATTTTTTTAAAAAAATTTGCCAGGCGTGATGGTGCATGCCTTTAGTTCCAGCTACTCAGGGGGCTAAGGTGGGAGGATCATTTGAGCCCAGGAATTCGAGGCTACTGTGACCTGTGATTGAGCCACTGCACTCCAGTCTGGGCAACAGAGTGAGACTCTGTCTCTGAAAAAAACAAACAAACCCAATATGTGACATTACCTAGAGAGGTGTCCTTAAACTAACAAATCTATGTTGGCATAAGTAAATTTATAAACTACTTGTAATGACATAAAAATCAGAATGATAGAAGTGTATTTGGTGGACTCAAGTGTGATATTTAGGTTACAAGTATTAAAAAATTTATTTTATAGATTAGACCAAAAAAGAAGTACAATACAAACTTCATGTCTTATTTCATTTAGATCTTTGAAGATGGTCATTTGAGCCACTTTATAGATGGAAAAGGAGGTACGGGGAACTGGATGTCCTATGTCAACTGTGCCCGCTTCCCCAAGGAGCAGAACCTAGTTGCTGTGCAGTGTCAAGGGCATATATTTTATGAGAGCTGCAAAGAGATCCATCAGAACCAAGAGCTCCTTGTGTGGTATGGAGACTGCTATGAGAAATTTCTGGATATTCCTGTGAGCCTTCAGGTCACAGAGCCGGGGAAGCAGCCATCTGGGCCCTCTGAAGGTGAGTGCACACCCTCGCCTTGCCCAATGAGGGCATCCCAGTAGAAGGACTGGGCTCTTTTCCACAAACCCTCCATGCACAGCTCCTCCCTCCTAAAGGCTAATGCAGAGGACTAACCGAGAGTGTCTCTAACCAGGGGGGAATTACCCAGGTGAAGGAAAGCATCCTCAATTTCCCAAAGCTGCGGAAGCTACTCCTATTTATAAAGATATATACTCCTATTTATAAAGACTTGTTCTTCTTCCCTACCTTCCACCCCAAGAGTAAAAGAAAACGTACTAAATGGATGTAACTTCTACCATAGGTGAGCCAGTTTCTGATTCATCTCTGCCCAGGCTAATGTAGCTGAAGTCTAATCACTAGAGCAGTGTTTTTCAAATGGTGGGTTGCAGAGTTGCATGTCTTAGTGGGGTGGGAAATCAATTTAGTGGTCAAGACCCACATTAAAAAAAAAAAAAAGTATAGAGTAGAATAGAAAATATTGATGGGAATCCCTTAAGAGTAAGGATTGTTTTGTGAAATTTCTATTTCACATGGGTATATGTGGGTATGGTGGGTGTCAAGCATAAAATACATTGCCTACTATGGGTCTCAGGCAAGTTTGAGAAATACTGAGCTGGACTCTCACTCTCAAACTTTAATGTGGGAATGAATACCCAGGGATCTTCATGATGCTGGTTCTCATTCAGGGTAGGGGCCCAGGATTTGGTATTTTTATCAACTTGCAGGGAGTGCTGCTGGTCCTGGTCCCTGGTCCACATTCCAGTAGCAAGGGGCGAGGGAACCACCAGCCCACTCTAGGGGTGAGACTTTGGAATTTGCATGTTAAATAAGCTCTCCAAGTGATTTCTATATACACTGAAGTTTAGGAACTACTAATCTAGTAGGTGGGACAAGATAAATGTAAATTCCTGTAAATAAGAGAGAAGGCAGGCCGGATACTGTGGCTCACACCTGTAATCTCAGCACTTTTGGAGGCGGAGATGGGCGGATCACTTGAGGTCAGGACTTCAAGACTAGCCTGGCCAACATGGTAAAACCTCATCTCAGGTCGGGCACAGTGGCTCACGCCTCTAATCCCAGCACTTTGGGATGCCGAAATGGGCAGATCACCAGGTCAGGAGATCAAGACCATCCTGGCTAACGTGGTGAAAACCCGTCTCTACTAAAAATACAAAAAATTAGCGGGGCGTAGTGGCACACACCTGTAGTTCCAGCTACTCAGGAGGCTGAGGCAGGAGAATCATTTGAACCCAGGAGACAGAGGTTGCAATATGCCAAGACCGCACCACTGCACTCCAGCCTGGGCAACAGAGTAAGACTCCGTCTCCAAAAAAAAAAAAAGAGAGAGAGAGAAGGCAAATTATTATGATGTAATAAATGTGTAAGGAGCAGGTTTAAAAAAAAAATGGCCCAGGCGTGGTGGCCCACGCCTGTAATCCCAGCACTTTGGGAGGTGAGGCGGGCGGATCACGAGGTCAGGAGATCATAGCCATCCTGGCTAACACGGTGAAACCTCTTCTCTACTAAAAATACAAAAAAATTAGCCGGGCGTGGTGGCGGGCCCCTGTAGTCCCAGCTACTTGGGAGGCTGAGGCAGGAGAATGGCGTGAACCCAGCAGGGGGAGCTTGCAGTGAGCTGAGATTGCGCCACTGCACACCAGCCTGGGCGACAGAGCGAGATTCCGTTTCAAAAAAAAAAAAAAAAAAAGTAAATTGCATCTGCATGCCTGTTTTCCTGCTAGGCTGAGATGCTTCAGGGCAGGAAATAACCCTAAACACTTTAGTATCTCGTGCTTCTGGATCCCAGTGCGTACTGACTGAGAGGAAGACATTAGAACTAAGCTAGAAAAAGCTGCTTAGGGATGAGATGAAATAAGGCACGTGTAAGAGGGAGAGAGGGAAGGCAATCAGGCTCAGGGAACAGTGAAGCAGAAGGCAAGGAAATGTCCAGAAATTAGGGGGTAAATAATAAGCAGTCATTATTTATCTAATGATAAATAATGAGCAGTCAGCCGTCATTATTTATCTAATGATAAATAATGGTCCCAATGATGAGGGGCTGTCAGGATTGTTTTGGTGAACTATCTTCCTACTCCCCCAGGTATCTTATGTCCATGCTGGGTTCCCCCCGCCACTGAACCATCATAAGCCCTCATTCTGTTGCTTGTTCTGATCGCCTCTGATATCTGCATACAGGTTGAGTATCCTTTTTCTGAAATGCCTGGGACCAGAAGTGTTTTGGTGGGTGGTGTGGGTGTGGGAATGTAGGTGAAGATAGGAATGGAGGCAAAAATGGTTGGGATTCTCTATGATCTGTGGAGCTCTAAGTTGTCTCCTACTTAGCACCAAACCAAGACCTGTTGGTCACTTCCTGAAATGTACCAACTCCTTTCGAAATAAAAGTCAACAGGCTGGGCGTGGTGGCTCACACCTGTAACCCCAACACTTTGGGAGGCCAAGGTGGTTGGGTCACCTGAGGTCAGGAGTTCACGACCAGCCTGGCCAACATGGTGAAACTCCGTCTCTACTAAAATACAAAAAATTAGCTGGGTGTGGTGGTGCATGCCTGTAATCCCAGCTACTCAGGAGGCTGAGACAGGAGAATCGCTTGAACCCAGGAGCAGAGGTTGCAGTGAGCTGAGATGGCGCCACTGCACTCCAGCCTGGGTGACAGAGTGAGACTCCATCTCAAAAAGAAAAATGAAAGAAAGAAAAGTGAACAATGGATTTGAGAAAAGTATCTGCTTAGTAACTGGCAAGATGGTTATTATCCTTTTGAGAAATCATTATTATTTTTTGAGATAGGGTCTCACTCTGTCACCCAGACTGGAGTACAGTAGTGTAATCTAGGCTCACTGCAACCTCTGCCTCCAGGGTTCAGGCATTTCTCCTGCCTCAGCCTCCCGAGTAGCTGGGATTACAGGCATGCACCACCACACCCAGCTAATTTTTGTATTTTTAGTAGAGATGGGGTTTCGCCATTTTGGCCAGGCTGGTCTTGAACTCCTGGACTCAAGTGATCCACCCACCTTGGCCTCCCTAAATTCTGGGATAACAGGCATGAGACACCATGGCCGGCCATTTTTGAGAAATTTTTTCACCGTATGTATCAAATTATTACAATGTTTGTAACTTTGATGTCTCAGTAATACTCTTCTGGAAATCTATTATCGAGAAATAGTCCAAAAGGAAAAAGCTATGCTTATGAAAATTTTTAACTGTGGCACCACTCTTGTGAGTGAAAAATCACAAACAACCTAAATGTTCAGTAGTATAATAATTAAGTAAATGATGATACAGGCTCAGCAGCTCCAATCAAGAAATCCCAAATCCAAAATGCTCTAAAATCTGAAACTGAGCACTGACATATTGCCAAAAGTGGGAATTTCCACACACCAGTACTTGACACAAACTTTGTTTCATGCACAAAATTATTTAAAATATTGTGTAAAATTACCTTCAGGTGGGCCAGGCACGGTGGCTCATGCCTGTAATCCCAGCGCTTTGGGAGGCCGAGGCAGGCAGATCACCTGAGATCAGGAGTTTGAGAACAGCATGACAAACATGGTGGAACCCCGTCTCTACTAAAAATACAAACAAATTAGCTGGGCATGGTGGCAGATGCCTGTAATCTCAGCTACTCAGGAGGCTGGAGCCGGATAATCGCTTGAAACCGGGGGCGGAGGTTGCAGACCGAGCAAGATTCCGTCTCAAAAAAAAAAAAATTACCTTCAGGCTATGTGTATAAAGTATGTATAAAACAAAACATAAATGGACTTTATATTTAGACTTTGGTTCCATCCCCAAGATACCTCATTATGTATATGAAATATTCCAAAGTTCGAAAAAAACCTGAAATCCAAAACACTTCTGGTCCCAAGCATTTCAGAAAAAGGATACTCAACCTATTTGTTATTAACATGGAATAGTATGCCGATATCAGAGGCAATCAGAGCAAGCAACAGAATGAGGGCTTATGATGGTTAAGTGCAGGGGATACCCAGCATGCAGATAAGATACTTGTGTTCCAGTTCTGAACCAAGTGATACCTGATGCTTACAGCATTATTATGAGGACATATATTTTGGACAATGGAGGGAAACTTGTAAACAACTTAATTTGTTGGGAATAATTATAAATGAATGTTAATTTGTTAATCTGTTAATATGAATGGTTTGGATGTGATAAAAAGGAAAGAAAAATTAAAATTCCATTGCATTCTCAAATGAGTTTTTTTCCCCAAAGGCTTTTTGGTGGGGATTGGTGGTAGGTGGGAGCCTTCCTCTTTAAGGTCTTGAGTGGTGAGGGAAGGGTCTAGACTCTATGTGGGCGGGTTATTTGAATATGCAAGCATTCCCCTCTTGTGAGGGAGAGAGGGAATTTGGGTGTGTGTTTTGGGGTGTGGAGGTGTGAAGAGCTAGGGGGAGGGAGGATAGGGAACAAGATAAAATTAGGAAGGATAGGGAACAAGATGAAATTAGGTTTCATTTCTACCTAAGTGGTTGTTCTTAAGCGAACTCAGTATTGAAACTTTATTCTGAATTTTGGTGTGCTTTAGTGCTTAGGTTTGTAAAATTGCTGACCCTCTCTTCCCTTCCCACCCCAGGAAGCAGGAAGGCCAGGTATTTCTGACCAATAAAAATTCTACCTCTGTGCCAAAAAAGTGTCCCAGCACGGGGATTCTGAGAGTATTAGCACCTCAATGAAAGTGATAGACAGAGCAGGGCGATGGATCAGCTTGGGGCTGGCAGTTGCCTTCCTGGTTATTTACTTAATGAATAGTTTATTTCCTTAGCCACCTGTTAAACGTGCCTGGGATGTAGTTGTCAACTAACAAAGCCCCTGATGGACAGCTTCCCTGCTGTCCTGATGCTGAGAAGATTTCTATCTGCAGACTCTTGCATAGACTCACTCTTGGCTGCTCTTCCTCCCTGGGGTCAAACAATGAGATCTCTGTGGTGCATTCATAGTCAAAGCCACTTTATCCTCTGGGATCCAGAGTGTCCTCTGCAGGGATGCTTTTGTAGGTGGCCCCTGTTCTCTCGCCTTCCCCCAACACATAGACACCCCTGGACGTGGGACCTGCTTTGCTAGAGTCTAGCTGCACCCTCTCTAACTTCTCTCCTCCTCCCTCCTCCATTGATAAAAACAGATTTACCTCTCAGTCTTGTCTGCCATTCAGTGATAGTATCACTCACATTGGTAAGACTCGGTAAGTGTTAGAATTAAATTAGTCATCACGGTAACCCTGTGCATTAGGGAAGTCAAGATGCTTTCAACCTTACTCTATACATAAAGATTCTAGCTCTGGAATCTGCCACAAGTTTTGAGTAATGAAGTATAAACTAAGAAGGTCCCTTGAATTGTGTAGAATAGAACAGCACTGTGAGCTGCGGGTGTCCTGGTGACTGCTCTGAGCTTGTAACTCAGGCTGATCTTAAAGGCACAAAGAGAAATAGGTCGGCCTCAGTGCCTCAGTGTATTAACCTTGTAACAAGTGCCAGGCAGGAATGTGTTCAAGAGCTGCAGGGTTGCACTGCCCTTAAATGGGGCTGGTGGAATGGTCTCTTCAACAGTACATATCAAGGAACAAAAGGGAAAGAGAGCCTATAGGTTAAGATATTTAAGAGACATAGCAACCATATACAACATGTAGACTTTGTTTGAAGCCTAATTTGAATGGACTGACCAGAAAGTAATTAAACAAATATATATGTGTGTATATAAATGTGCATATATAAGTACATATATGTTTCTATAAAAGAATAAGAGTTAATCGTTTAGGTATGACAATGTGACAATGACATTATGGTTATGTTTTTTTTTTTTTTTCGAGACAAAGTGTTGCTCTGTTGCCCAGGCTGGAGTGCAGTGGCTCAATCACTGCTCATTGCAGCCTCAACTAACTTCCCCAGGCTCAGGTGATCCTCCCATCTCGGCCTCTGGGACTAAAGGCGTGTGCTATCATGCCCAGATAATTTTTATTATTTTTTTGTAGAGATGGGGTCTTACTATGTTGCCCAGGCTGGTCTCAAACTCCTGGGCTCAAGCGATCTGTCCACTTCAGCTTCCCAGAGTGTTGGGATTATAGGCGTGAGCCACTGCACCTGGCACAATTATGCTTTTTTTTTTTTTTTTGAGATGGAGTTTTGCTGTTGTTGCCCAGGCTGGAGTGCAGTGGTGCAATCTTGGCTCACTGCAACCTGCGCCTCCCAGGTTCAAGTGATTCTCCTGCCTCAGCCTCCCAAGTAGCTGGGATTACAGGCAGGCACCACCACGCCTGGCTAATTTTGTATTTTTAGTACAGACGGGATTTCACCATGTTGGCCAGGCTGGTTTTGAACCCCTGACCTCAGGTGATCCACCTGCCTCAGCTTCCCAAAGTGCTGGGATTATAGGCGTGAGCCACTTTGCCTGGTCACAATTATGCTTTTTAAAAATATGTCATCTTCTAAAGATTACGGTTAGATGTTTTTGAGTCAAAGGATGAATTAGTATTAAAATAATCTACTATGGCGAGCGGTGATATAAATGAAAACAAAATTAGTTACGAGTTGGTCAAAGCTTGGTGTTTGGCACATGAGGGTTTATTACACTATTATTTTCACTTTGGTATGTTTACATTTTTCTGTAATAAAAAGGTTTTTAAAAATTCTCTTGGCGGCCGGGCATGGTGGCTCATGCCTGTAATCCCAGCACTTTGGGAGGCCGAGGCAGGTGGATCACAAGATCAAGAGATCAAGACTGTCCTGGCCAAGATGGTGAAACCCCACCTCTACTAAAAATACAAAAATTAGCTGGGCGTGGTGGTGTGTGCCTGTAGTCCCAGCTACTTGGGAGGCTGAGGCAGGAGAATCACTTGAACCCGGGAGGTGGAGGTTGCAGTGAGCCGAGATCACACCCCTGCACTCCAGCCTGGGTGACAGAGCAAGACTCCATCTCAAAAAAAAAAAAAGAAAAGAAAAGAAAATTCTCTTGACCAGGCACAGTGGCTCACGCATGTAATCCTAGCACTTTGGGAGGCCAAGAGGGGCTGATCACCTGAGGTCAGGAGTTCTAGACCAGCCTGGCCAACATGATGAAACCCTGTTTCTACTAAAAATACAAAAATTAGCCAGGCGTGGTAGTGGGCACCTGTAATCCCAGCTACTTGGGAGGCTGAGGCAGGAGAATCGCTTGAACCTGGGAGGCAGAGGTTGCAGTGAGCCAAGATCGTGCCACTGCACTACAGACTGGGCAATACAGCAAGATTCTGTCTCAAAAAAAGAAAATTCCTCTTGAAGTAGCCAAAGAATTCTTGGCTAAAAATAAATAAATAAATAAATATCCTCTTGAAGGAACTAGGGAGGGAAGTAACTGAAGAGACATTGTGTTTGCTGTGTTTGACAGAGTCTGCAGAAGGCTACAGATGTGAAAGATGTGGGAAGGTATTTACCTACAAATATTACAGAGATAAGCACCTCAAGTACACCCCCTGTGTGGACAAGGGCGATAGGAAATTTCCCTGTTCTCTCTGCAAACGATCCTTTGAGAAGCGGGACCGGCTTCGGATCCACATTCTTCATGTTCATGAGAAGCACCGGCCTCACAAGGTGAGTATTAGGAGGACACATGACCCACCATCACGTTCTCTCTCCCTTCCCAAGCTCCTGAACACGGGGAGTTGCCTTGTAGGTGCTAGCTGCAGGGCTGTGATGCCTGACGGACACCCTCTCTGAAGGAGGAGAGGATAGTATTACGGAACAGGCAGGCGTGAATAGGCACAGCGATGCACATGTGTTAGGATGCAGGTACCCACAGAGGGAGGAACATGGAGGAAGGAGTGTCCACGGCCACCTGGACACGTGGATTATGAAAGATGCACAGAGGTGGCCTTGAGCCAAGTATAGAAGGACAAATGGGGTGTCTGATTTATACTGGTGGCAGGGTTAGTTGGGCAGGAAAGAGTCGAGCTGTTCCAGACAGGAGAGAGCCTGGCATGTGCTCCTGGGGAACTGCGCCTTGTTCCAAATCTGTGCAGGTGTGTTGACAGGTATAGGTAAGAAGGAAGTGAAGGCACGGTCCTTCCAAGGAGCGGAAGGCCTCTACAGTGGGCCGAGGATTTTGTAAGACAGAAAATCAGTAATGACATTACGGAGCCATTCCAAATACCTGGATGCTCTGCTAGGCTTGCTGCAAAAAAGTACAATATTCCCTTGGGCTTAATTAAAAGGAGGACGAGGCTTGGGCACAGATGTATTCTTGCTTGACTGTTGGCCTTGTCGGAACTACCTCAGGCAGCTACGACCTTGAGCCCATTTTCCTGTTTTGAAAACTGAGAATAAAATCATCATAAAATTGTCCTAATTTCTCCCTTCCTTCCTAAGCTTCTGGAAAAGTCATGTTTAATCACTATATTATATACTCCTATAAAATTTGAATACATTTACAGTTATCATGCATTTGTGTAATTCTAAAAGGATTTAAAAATATCAGGACGGTGAAGGTATTTCTCGCTTATTAGACTGGCAAAAGTGAAAACTATCCAGTATTCTGATAGTGAAAAGTTTGAGACTGCATGTTCATCAACACAAAATTGATTATATAAATTATGGCTTACTGGCCAGGCGCAGTGGCTCACGCCTGTAATCTCAGCACCTTGGGAGGCTGAGGTGGGCAGATCACCTGAGGCCAGGAGTTCGAGACCAGCCTGGCCAACATGGCGAAACCCCATCTCTACTAAAAATATAAAAACATTAGCCGGGTGTGGTGGCAGGCACCTGTAGCCCCAGTTACTCTAGAGGTTGAGGCAGGAGAATTGCTTCAACCCCAGAGGCGGAGGTTGCAGTGAGCCGAGACTGTGTCATTGCACTGCAGCCTGGGTGGCAGGAGTGAGACTCCATCCCAAAAAAAAAAAAAAAATATTGTCTTATCAAGCAAAAACCAAATTACAGAAGATGTATAGAATGCTTGCTCTCTTTGAAATTGGAGGCCGGGAGTGGTGGCTCACGCCTAATCCCAGTACTTTGGGAGGCCGAGACAGGTGGATCACGAGGTCAGGAGATCAAGACCATCGTGGCTAACATGGTGAAACCCCATCTCTACTAAAAATACAAAAAATTAGCCAGGCGTGGTGGTGGGCACCTGTAGTCCCACCTACTCGGGAGGCTGAGGCAGGAGAATGGCGTGAACCTGGGAGGCGGAGCTTGCAGTGAGCCGAGATCGCGCCACCGCACTCCAGCCTGGGTGACAGAGCGAGACTCCGTCTCAAAAAAAAAAAAAAAGAAAAGAAACTGGAGGGCTGTCAACCAGGAGGTCAGTAGATGACAGGACTGATGAGGAAGCTGGTGATAGTGAGATGATGGCTTACCCTTCAACAGACGAGGTGCTCTTACAGTACAGTGGAGGAACAATCTTTTTTTTTTTTTTTTTTTTTGAGACAGTCTCACTCTGTTGCCCAGGCTAGAGTACAATGGCATGATCTCAGCTCACTGCAACCTCCACCTCCTACGCTCAAACAATCACCCAACCTCAGCCTCCCAAGTAGCTGAGCTGAGGCTATAAGTGCATGCCACCATGCTCAGCTAATTTTTTGTATTTTTTGTAGAGATGGGCATGTGGTGCGCACCTGTGGTCCCAGCCACTCGGGAGGCTGAGACACCAGAATTGCTTAAACCCAGGAGGCAGAGGTTGCGGTGGGCCGAGATCATGCTACTGCACTCCAGCCTGGGCAACAGAGCGAGGCTCTGCCTCAAAAATAAATAAAAATAAATAAATAAACAAATACAAAGATTTGCTCTCTCCTCTGCCCCATAAGCATGCCTGGAAAGAGGTTGTGAAAGCACAGAAACCTTTCTCAGAGAAAAATTGTTTTTTCTCTTTAGTTAGTGTAATTTCCTTAAAAGTGATGTCAAAACCAAAGGCCTTCTGCTTTATCCCTGGCAAACTCTCGGTGCTTGCACCTCTCTGGTAGTTTACTTCACCTGGTGTAGAATTCCTGAGACAGTTTCGAGAGGAGTTGCCAGGGTCAAGAAACAATATTAATTATTCACAGCGTGTGAACAAAATATTAACCTCTTCATGCAAGTTCAACACGTCTCAGATAATCTGCTACTGTGCATTACCATGTTGGCTTACATGTTCATCGTCACCCCTCCTTGATTTCTAGCTCCTGGTTTCTAGCAGTGTGGAGCACACAGTAGGTACTCTGTAAGTCGTAGATAATTGTTGAGTTAATTGCACAGTACTTGTAGTTTACTCATAGCTCTGTGAGGAAGGCAGAGCAGGTATTTTGCCCATGAGCAAGATCGGGAAACTAAGATTCCAGATTTAACCAATGTTCTGTAGTCACACAGCTACCTGTTGAGAGAGCAGGACTAATTCAGGCCTCTGCCATATACCACAAACCTGTTCAGTTCCCACATTCCACATCTGAAGCAAGAGTTCTCTCAGGTCGGGTGCCGTGGCTCAAGGCTATAATCCTAGCACTTTGGGAGGCCAAGGCAGGAGGATCTGTTGGAGTTCAAGACAAGGCTGGGCAACATAGTGAGACCTCATCTCTACAAAAAAAAATTTTTTAAGTTAGCTGGCTTAGTGGCACGCACCTGTAGTCCCAGTTACTCAGGAGGCTGAGGTGGGAGGATCGCTTGAGCCTGGGAGTTCCAGGCTGCAGTGAACCGTGATTGTGCCACTGCAGTCCAGTCTGGGTAACAAATTGAGATCCCGTCTCAAAAAAAAAAAAAAGAAAAAAATTGGAAAAGAGTTCTTCTCTAACCCCAGGTAAACGCAAGGTTGAAATGGACTTGTTAGAGGAAGGTGTGATTTCAACTATATTTTTCTTTTTCACCTTAGTGTTCTACATGTGGGAAATGTTTCTCTCAATCTTCCAGCCTAAACAAACACATGCGAGTCCACTCTGGAGACAGACCATACCAGTGTGTGTATTGTACTAAGGTAAATGGAACCTCTTACTAAGGGATGTGTCCTGAGCTCTGCTTGAGTGTCTATGGATAAGAACTTGAAACAAAGCCTGGCTTAATGAGTTCTTGGTAAATGTTAGTCAAATATCAGCCCAGTCCTCATTTCCACCCCTAAATATGCTCAAGTTTGCTAAAGATGGTCAAATATAACCAACCTCCTATTGCCAAGCTGGCATTTAGAGTACATGTAATAAAATACATTCCAAATTTATGGGGACCTGATGACCTATTACATAGTATTTAAAAGCACTAGCTGAGTGTGGTGGCTCACACCTATAATCAAATTTTCCATGCATCGGTGGCTTATGCCTGTAGTCCCAGCTACTTGGGAGGCTGAGGCTGGAGAATTGCTTGAGTCCAGGAAGTGGAGGTTGCAGTGAGCCAAGATTGCACCACTGCACACTCCAGCCTGGGTGACAGAGTGAGACACTGTCTCAAAAAAAAAAGGAGGGGGTGGGGAGGCGTGGTGGCTCAAGCCCGTAATCCCAGCACTTTGGGAGGCTGAGGTGGGCAGGTGCCTGGAGATAGGGAGTTCGAGACCATCCTGGCCAGCATGGTGAAACCCCATCTCTACTAAAAATACAAAAATTAGCTGGGCATGGTGGCACGTTCCTGTAATCCCAGCTACTTGGGAGGCTGAGGCAGGAGAATCACTTGAACCCAGAGGCAGAGGTTGCAGTGAGTCAAGATTGTGCCACTGCACTCCAGCCTGAGTGGCAAAGTGAAACTCCGTCTCCAAAAAAAAAAAAAAAAAAAAATCACTATTTCATAGTATTTAAGAACACAAACATGGCCAAGTTTCAAATCCTGCCTCTGGTGCTTACCTAGCTGTGCCACCCTGAGCAAGTCCATGAACTCCTGTTAGTTTCCACATTGATAAACTGGGGAGAATAGTCTTTACCAAGTTGTTGGATAACATCAGTAAAGTATATAAAACTCTTGTAACAGTGCCTGGCATAACATAAAAGTACTACTGGAATGTTAACTGCTATTATTACTACTTTAATCTGTGAAGGATGCTACTGATGTAATTTTCTATAGGAGCATTGCAGAAGCGGCATCTAGTCTATGTTACACAGAATACAGAGTTGTAAAAACAGAGATGAATCATGTGGTTAGAGGTTGCTATAATAGAAACAATAGGTTGACCACGCTTTAGACATATTACACCAAAATAGCTCTATGCTACCCAATGTGCAGTTCGCGGTTAATCATATGTGGCTATTTCAATTAGTAAAGACGAAGTAAAGTTGAAAAATTCCGTTCCCTAGGTTGCATTAGCCACATTTTAAGTGCTCAATGGCTCCATGTGGCCATTGATTTCCAAGATGGACAGCGTGGGTAATGAATATTCCCATTATTGCAGCAAGTCCTGTTGGAAAGCACTGGTATAGATTATGTTTTCAGTCACTGAGTCATTTACGCTTTTTACAGTAAAGCCGTAAAAGGAGTAGAGGCTGTCCTACAGCTACTTCTAAGCCTCTCAAAAGGAATAAAACATTGAGTCTACCAGATTAGAGCAACTAATACCTCCAAAGTGTGTGTCAATAGAATGAAAATAATGGGCATAGAAAAACACCACTGAGCTGGGCGTGGTGGCTCACACCTGTAATCCCAGCACTTTGAGAGGCCAAGGTGGGTGGATCAACCTGAGGTCAGGAGTTTGAAACCAGCCTGGCCGACATGGAGAAACACCATCTCTACTAAAAATAGAAAAATTAGCTGGGCATCATAGTGCACCTGTAATTCCAGCTACTTGGGAGGCTGAGGCACTAGAATCGCTTGAACCTGGGAGGTGGAGGTTGCAGTGAGCCAAGATTGTGCCACTGCACTCCAACCTGGGTGATGGAGTGAGATTCTGTCTCAAAACAAACAAACAAACAAACAAATAAAACAAACCTACAAACCATCTCAAAAAGTTTAAATTAAAAAGAAGAAGAAGAAGAAGAAAACCAGTAAGGCACTGACTTATGCAAAGACACTGGCCGATATTAGCTTCTGGTCGATATTAGCTTCTCTTTCTGTAATGAGGTTTGTCTTGAAGTATGATCCTAGGACCCACATGCATCAGAATTGCTTGTTTAAATGCAGGCTCCTGGGTCTCATGTCAGATTTATTGGGTCACACTCTCTTGGGTGGGGTTGGTAATCTGCTTTTTTTTTTTTTTTTTTTTTTAAAGAGAGGGTCTTGCTCTGTTACCCAGGCTGGAGTGCAGTGGTGCCATCATAACTCACTGCAGCCTTGACCTTCTGGCTCAAGTTATCCTCCCACCTCAGCTTTCCAAATAGCTGGGACCACAGGTACATGCTACCATGCCTAGGTAATTTTTTTACTTTTTGTAGAGGTGAGGTATTGCTATGTTGCCCAGGCTGGCAGTCTGCTTTTTTTTTTTTTTTTTTTTTTTTTTTGGAGACAGAGTCTCACTCTGTCACCCAGGCTGGAGTACAGTGGTGCAATAACGGCTTACTGCAACCTCCGCCTCCTGGGTTCAAGAAATTCTCCCATCTCAGCCTCCTGAGAAGCTGGGATTAAAGGTGCACGATAGCATGCCTGACTAATTTTTGTATTTTTAGTAGAGATGGGGTTTCACCATGTTGGCCAGGCTGGTCTCGAACTCCTGACCTCAGGTGATCCACCTGCCTTGGCCTCCCAAAGTGCTGGGATTACAGGTGTGAACCACTGCGCCCAGCCTGCAATCTGCTTTTTTACAAACTGGACCTCCAGATAATCTAGCCATTGAAGAACCACTGTTCTAACATCCAGTGCTTCTCAAAACTAGCCAGAAGGACACATCAGTGGAGTCCTTTCGGATTAAGGCTACTGATGATGACCAGGAGTGCTCTATGGCCTTAAAACCCAAGGTTCGTCCATAAGGATGAGCAACAGTGAAATTTACCCCTTAGTTTAATTGGTTGTCCAGCTCGTGGAAGTTGACTTTTTCTTGTGTTCTGTATTTCTGTTCTCTGCAGAGGTTCACAGCCTCCAGCATACTCCGCACACACATCAGGCAGCACTCCGGGGAGAAGCCCTTCAAATGCAAGTACTGTGGTAAATCTTTTGCATCCCATGCTGCCCATGACAGCCATGTCCGGCGTTCACACAAGGAGGATGATGGCTGCTCATGCAGCATCTGTGGGAAAATCTTCTCAGATCAAGAAACATTCTACTCCCACATGAAGTTTCATGAAGACTACTAGCCCTGCCAGGCACAATGACTCACGCCTGTAATCCCAGCACTTTGGGAGGCAGAGGTGGGTGGATCACTCAAGTCCAGGAGTTCGAGACCAGCCTGGGCAACATGGTGAAATCCTGTCTCTACCAAAAAAATACAAAAATCAGCTGGGGGTGGTGGCACATGCCTGTGGTTCCAGCCACTCAGGAGGTCGAGGTGGCAGGATGGTTTGAGCACAGGAGACGGAGGTTGCTGTGAGCTGAGATCGCCCCACTGCTTTTCAACCTGGGTGACAGAACCAGACCCTGTCTCAAAACAAAACAAAACAAAAAAAATGAGTAGCCCTCAAGAGTGTGGAGACAATGTAAAAACAAGAGATTCGGATTCTCTCTATTTCCTTTTATGGGTTATAGAAGTCCCTGCAGTTGGCTGTGTGTGGTGGCTCACGCCTGTTATTCCAACACTTTGGGAGGCCCAGATGGGCGGATCAGCTGAGGTCAGGAGTTCAAGACCATGCTGGCCAACATGGTGAAACCCCGTCTCTACTAAAAATGCAAAAATTAGCCTGGTGTGGTGGCACATGCCTGTAATACCAGCTACTTGGGAGGGGAATTGCTTGAACCCAGAGGCGGAGGTTGCAATGATCTGAGAAAAAGGTAGCTTTTTCTCTACTATTTGCCTTGGGCCCCCAATTATACAATGCGGTCATCACGTGTTACATTTCTTTATAGAAAAGATTCTTATACAGAGAGGCAGATCCCAACATGTTACCCAGGCTGGTCTCAAACTCCTGGGCTCAACTGATCCTCTGGCCTCAGCCTCCCAAAGTGCTGGGATTATAGGTGTGAGCCACTGCATCAGGCCTAGAACAAATCCTCTAAAAATTCGCTTATCATACTGTGCACTTGGCAGAAACAAAAACAAACAAAAACCCCACTAAATAAATAAATATTAATTTAAAGCCAAGCGTGGTGGCACAAACCTGTAGTCCCAGTTGCTTGGGAGGCCAAGGCAGGAGGATCCCTTGAGGTCAGGAGTTTGAGGCTGTAGTGCTCTATGATCACACCTGTGAATAGTCAGTGCACTCTAGCCTGGAAACAGCAAGATTCCCACTTCTAAAATATACATAAATAAATTAAATAAAAGTAAAAATTTGGCTGGGCACAGTGGCTCATGGCTGTAATCCCAGCACTTTGGGAGGCTAAAGTGGGCAGATTGGTTCAGCCCAGGAGTTCCAGACGAGCTTGGGCAACATGCTGAAACCCTATCTCTCCAAAAAAAAAAAAAAAAAAGAAAGAAAAACTAGCCAGGTATTGTGGCACATGCCTGTAGTCCCAGTTACTCAGGACACTGAGGCGGAAGGATCAGTTGAGCCTGGGAGGTCGAGGCTGCCATGAGCCATGATGGTGCACAGCCTGGGTGACAGATCGAGACCCTGTCTCAAATAAATAAATATAAATAAATAAGAACTCATTCGAGTCAGAGCTTCATTAGTATTGTAACTCCTCGGTCGTGAATTAATATTCCATCTTTATTTTGATTAATTTTAAACACTTTGTTCCCACCCCTCCCCCACCACATGACAAATGCCAGTTAATGTGTTTAGCTCCAAAGTTACTTGGAGGGCACAGAAGTTATCTGTCGCACCATCTGTGATGTTAAGCAATTGGGGAAGAAATATGATAACCAAATGAAGAAAGGCTAAAAAAATACTGATACTGCTGTAGGTTTAAACCTGATTTCATTATTGATTAATAGACAGTATGAAATATACAGGATATTTTGGGGGGATTTTCTAATTAGCTGGTAATTAGAGGCCCACTGAAAAGAAAAATGTGCCCTGCATGGTATCCTACGGCTGATGCAAGTGTTCGGGGAATGGGTTTCTCTAACGTGCACAGAGACATCAGACTCATCTCATACGTGGATCATAATAGCCAACAACTATCGAGCATTAACCCTGTGAGAGGATACCACTGAGTTTACCACTTTACAGATGAGGAAACTGAGACTGAGAGAGATGAAAGAAGTGGGGCAAGCTGATTTGCCTCTAAGAGGCAAAGCCAGGTCTGCCCAGCTCCAGAGCCCAGCCTCCTAACTAGCCTCTATGCCTGGTTTATGGATCCTGTTAAGAATATAGCATTTTTTCTGGGCCAGGTGCAGTGGCTCATGCCTGTAATCCCAGCACTTGGGAGGCTGAAGCAGGTGGATCACCTGAGGTTAGGAGTTCGAGACCAGCCTGGCTAACATGGCAAAACCCCATCTCTACTAAAAATACAAAAATTAGCCAGGCATTATGGTGTACAACTGTAATCCCAGCTACTCGGGAGTCTTGAGGCAGGAGAATTGCTTGAACCCGGGAGACAGGTTGCGGTAAGCCGAGATGGTGCCACTGTACTCCAGCCTGGGTGACAGAGACTCCATCTCAAAAAAAGAAAAAAATAAAAAAAAAAAAGAAAATAGCATTTTTCTGGAGACTACCCATCCCATTCTTCCCTATATTAAGTTAAGCAATAACAGACTGAAATACCCACGTGGAAGATTTGAGACCAGAATAAGCAGGATAAAAGTGCTTTGAAGGCAGCCACAGCTGCTGAGGATCTGTCCCATCCCAGCTGTGTTTCTGCTGACTGCCTGGGGATCTGCTGCACCCTCCACCCATGGCCACAAATGGAGCAAATTCAATATGGAACAGATGCCCCTTCCAGAGGGAGGCTCCCAGCTCTAGCCCAGTCCTTTGAGAGAGAGATATAGTGCAGGTGGAAAAGCAGTGACAGATTCTACTCTAGGGAATTATTTGCTGCCTTGCTGAAGTCTGAGTAATTTATCCTAATGGGAATGTGCCCTGTTGTTTTAGGACTGATTTACTTCATGTTAATTAAGACAGAACAATGGTCTTTCGAAGACGTGGGGGCTCATTGTGTAATTAGGCAGCCTTTCCTTAACTGCTGGTTCAAAATGTATTACTCGAAACATGTTCTTACTGTTATGGGTTTAAACATTATTTTTAAATCAAATAGTAAAACAAGTCATCACAAACTGGTGTGATCCCAGTTTTTTCACTCACTGAATAATTCAAATTAACAACTTCATTCTTTGACCTAGAATAGCAGCAAAGGGAGGTAGGGTTATTTTTTCTTATTTTATTTTTTTTGCTATTTTCTAACAGTCATTCAAATGCATGCATGCCAGTAATTGAACAATCAAATAATAATACCGTATAACGGATAATATATCCTATACTAACTAGAAAATTTTGGGGACCATTTCATTTAATACCTGTTTACTCAAAGTTTTGGTCATATTGATAGGGTTACATAATTCAACTTTTAGTTTGGGAAATACAGTCATTCATAACATAACATCTTTCTATAGTAATACCCTGAAGCTCTTTTATGTTTATTTTTTTTAATGTATATTATTGGCCAGGTGCAGTGGCTTATGCCTGTCACCCCAGCACTTTGGGAGGCCGAGGCAGGAGGATCACTTGAACCTAGGAGTTTGAGACCAGTTTGGGCAACACTATAAGACCCTGTTTTAAAAATATATTTAAAATTTTTAAAAATAAAATGTATGTAATCTATTTCTAAAGCTAATTTAAACCAGTTTAAAATAATAATAAAAGCTGTAGACAGCCAGGCATGGTGGCTCATGCCTGTAATCCCAGCACTTTGGGAGGCCGAGGTGAGCAGATCACCTGAGGTTGGGAGTTCACCACCAGCCTGACCAACAGAGAAACCCGGTCTCTACTAAAAATACAAAATTAGCAGGGCGTGGTGGCCCGTGCCTGTAATCTCAGCTACTCGGGAGGCTGAGGCAGGAAAATCACTTGAACCCAGGAGGTGGGGGTTGTGGTGAGCCGAGATCACGCCATTGCACTCCAGCCTGAGCGACGAGCGAAACTCTGTCTCAAAAAAAAAAAAAAACAGTAGACTAGGACAGTCAAAGTAGAAGACAAAGCACCACGTAGAATGTAGAATGAGATTAAAACTACGCTAATACACTTATTCTGGCTGAACATTTTTAGATGCAGCATAAGGTATAACATAGAGAATGCAGATTTTGGAGTCAGGCAAACTAGTATTTGTCCCCCATTTCCTCATTGTATAATGTTGGAAAAATCATTTGATTTCTGAGGTTTAACATCACATCCATAATATTGAAGAACCATTGCTTTATTTGATTTATCCTCCCAGTCACTGCAGCTATTAATTAGGAGACACCATTATAATGAGGACTGCAGGCAGTATGGTGTACTTACTGGGAATAATGGATACCAGTGGAAAACAGTTTTCTTATTTTATTGTTGGAAATACAGAACTGTTTCTGGAGCTACAGATAGAATTTAGAGATCTCCTGAGGTAGTTTCTCTGCTTATATTTCTTTTCCCTACCTGAGTCTGTATCTGATAATTGTATCATCCTTCCACTCATTAGAATAAAAAAAAATGTATAAAGAGGGACATTTAAAACCCTGAAAAAATAACTAGGCTAAAAGTAAAGCGGCATCCCTGATATTGATGGTGCTCCTAATAAGCCCTCAGGATGTCCTTTCTGAATCTGGGGAAGTTGGCAGTTGCAGTGAACAAAGCTATCAGAGTAGATAGATGCTTGGGATCTCAATGGGCCTGCAGAAGACTCAGTGTTCTGGCCACACTGGCCACAAAGTTACAGCTCATTTGTACCCAGGCAAAGCACAGGGCAGGCTGGGGTTGGTAGGAGCTGCCATTCCAAGTATAATACAGGTAAAATCACAAATACTGTCCTAGACCATCTATTATTGGTGGATCTGATTTTGACATTATAGATTGCAGAATATTTTGCTCAGACATAGTTTTTAAGGGCGTTCAGAATGCTTTGTGAGGCCGGGCACGGTGGCTCATGCCTGTAATCCCAGCACTGTGGGAGGCGGAGGTGGGTGGATCACCTGAGGTCAGGAGTTCGAGACCAGTCCGGCCAACATGGTGAAAACCCATCTCTACTAAAAATACAAAAATTAGCTGGGTGTGGTGGTGGGCACCTGTAATCCCAGCTACTTGGGAGGTTGAGACAGGAGAATTGCTTCAACCCAGGAGGCGGAGGTTTCAGTGAGCCGAGGTCACACCACTGCACTCCAGCCTGGGTGACAAAGCAAGACTCCATCTCAAAAAAAAAAAAAAAAGTTTTATGACTCCAGGGGCAGTAACTGAATAACTGCAATGGACTCTTAAATTTATGAACCCTGCCCAAAGTTCAGGGGAACAGACTTGTACATTGAATTATTTCAATAGAAACATTGAGCTAGAATCTCATATCATAGAACTTTTTTGTTGTGGCCGAGCACCATGGCTCACGGCTGTAATCCCAGCACTTTGGGAGGCCGAGGCAGGCAGATCTTTTGATGTCAGGAGTTCAAGACCAGCCTGGCTAACATGGTGAAACCCAGTCTCTATTAAAAATACAAAAATTAGCCAGGCGTGGTGGCATGTGCCTGTAATCCCAGCTACTCGGGAGGCTGAGGCACAAGAATTGCTTGAACCGGGAGGCAGAGGTTGCAGTGAGCTGAGATCGTGCCACTGCATTCCATCCTGGGTGACAGAGTAAGACTCCATCTCAAAAAAAAAAAAAAAAAAAAAGAACTTTTTTGTTATTTGGCAGATATTAAAATAGAATTACCAAAATTATCTTGAAAGGAAAATAATGTTAAAAATTATATAAAACAGAGATAAATGTCTTCCTCATTGACATTCTCTTCATAAAGTATGAGAATCTCATATAGAAAATAATGGTTTTCTTTATTTTTTTTTTTTTGAGAGAGAGTTTCACTCTGTCACTCAGGCTGGAGTGCAGTGGCATGATCTTGGCTCACTGCAACCTCCACCCTCCGGGTCCAAATGATTCTCCTTCCTCAGCCTCTTGAGTAGCTGGGACTACAGGCGCCTGCCACCGTGCCAGGCTAATTTTTTGTATTTTTAGTAGAGATGGGGTTTCACCATCTTGGCCAGGCGGGTCTTGAACTCCTGACCTCGCGATCCACCCGCCTCGGCCTCCCAAAGTGCCTGGATTACAGGCGTGAGCCACCGCTCGCAGCCAGAAAACAATGGTTTTCTACATTATTCAAAGAGGTTACGTGTTCAAGAAATAAAAAGTACTTCCACTAGTTAATGCAAAAAATTTTCACCACATCACTTTGTTGGTGTAAAGGAGCTTAAATAGAATAAATTCTAGTATTTTGAGATGAGATATTTAGCCCTGATTACAACTAGGAGAGAGAATGTTTAGGGAGAAGATTGGTTCTATTTTTGCACATGATCTCAGGATATTCTTTTCACTGTTAAATTGTTTTTCATCTTAAATTATCTCAGAATTCTTATTTATTTATTTATTTATTTATTCTCAAACTCCTGACCTCAGGCGATCCACCTGCCTCTGCCTCCCAAAGTGCTGGGATTACAGGTGCGAGCCACTGCACCCGGCCAGAATTCTCTTCTCTTTTGAAAAATAAATTTTAGGCCGGGCACAGTGGCTCACGCCTGTAATCCCAGCACTTTGGGAGGCCGAGGCAGGTGGATCACGAGGTAAGGAGATCGAGACCATCCTGGCTAACACGGTGAAACCCCGTCTCTACTAAAAATACAAAAAATTAGCCGGGCATGGTGGCAGGCGCCTGTGGTCCCAGTTACCCAGGAGGCTGAGGCAGGAGAATGGCGTGAACCCGGGAGGCGGAGCTTGCAGTGAGCCGAGATCGAGCCACTGCACTCCAGCCTGGGCAACAGAGCTAGACTCCGTCTCAAAAAAAAAAAAAAATTATTGTTTATATTTGAGATGAGAATTCTTGATACATTTTTTGGTATATTAAAAAGTGAGATAAATTGTTTGTGCTTTAACATGTAAATTGCATCGTAGATTCATAAAATTCATCTTGGATTTATTTCTAGCACAGTACTTTCTATTGAAAGCAGTTTACTATCAAGAAAATCTATCAAAGGGGATGGAATCCCATTCTTCATTTTCATGAATTGTTTTAAAAAGTGTTCTTCTGGCCAGGGTCGGTGGCTCACACCTGTAATCCCAGCACTTTGGGAGGTCGAGGTGGGTGGATCACGAGGTCAGGAGATCGAGACCATCCTGGCCAACATGGTGAAACCTCGTCTCTGCTAAAAATACAAAAATTTGCTGGGTGTGACCGCACGTGACTGTAATCCCAGCTACTCGGGAGGCTGAGGCAGGAGAATCGCTTGAACCTGGGAGGCGGAGGCTGCAGTGAACCAAGATCGTGCCGCTGCACTCCAGCCTGGCAACAGAGCCAGACTCCGTCTGGAAAAAAAAACAAAACAAAAAACAATGCCGGGCGCGGTGGCTCACGCCTGTAATCCCAGCACTTTGGGAGGCCGAGGCAGGCGGATCACGAGGTCAGGAGATCGAGACCATCCTGGCTAACACGGTGAAACCCTGTCTCTACTAAAAATACAAAAAATTAGCCGGGCGTGGTGGCAGGCGCCTGTAGTCCCAGCTACTCGGGAGGCTGAGGCAGGAGAATGGCATGAACCCGGGAGGCGGAACTTGCAGTGAGCCGAGATCGCGCCACTGCACCCCAGCCTGGGCGACAGAGCGAGACTCCGTCTCAAACAAACAAACAAAAAACAAAAAACAAAACAAAACAAAAACAGTAGACCTCCATTTGTTTCTGTGTGGGGAAGGTAGGGGGTGGGGGAGGGGCAGGGGTTGAAACTGAATTTCGCTCACTCTGTCTCCCAGGCTGGAGTGCAGTGGCTCATGATCATGGCTCACTGTATCCTCAACCTCTTGGGCTCAGGTGATCCTCCCATCTCAGCCTTCTGAGTAGCTGGGACTACAAGCATGGGCCACCACGTCCAGCCAATTTTTTTTTTTTAATAGAGATGGAGTTGTCACTTTGTTGTCCAAGCTGGTCTCTAGCTCCTGGGCTCAAGCGATCTTCCCGCTTCCTGGGCTCAAGCGATCTTCCCACTTGGTCTTCCCAAAATGTTGGGATTACAGGTACAAGCCACTATGCTGGGCCCATTTGTGTTTTTTTTGGCATCTCTATATATGTATCAATTGTTTTTTTCAATTTTAGCATGTGTGCTGCTGAAGCAAGCACTTTTTTTTTTTTTTTTGAAACGGAGTCTGGCTCTGTCACCCAGGCTGGAGTGCAGTGGGGCGATCTCGGTTCACTGCAAGCTCCGCCTCCCAGGTTCACGCCATTCTCCTTCCTCAGCCTCCCTAGTAGCTGGGACTACAGGCGCCCACCACCACGCCCGGCTAATTTTTTTGTATTTTTAGTAGAGACGGGGTTTCACCGTGTTAGCCAGGATGGTCTCGATCTCCTGACCTCCTCATGATCCACCCGCCTCGGCCTCCCAAAGTGCTCGGATTACAGGCGTGAGCCACCGCGCCCGGTGCAAGCACAATTTTTTAAGTGTTAATAATGAAAATATTATGTAAGATTTTTCTTACCTAATATATTATTTTTTTAATTCTTGGCATTTGTGTTTTGTTTTGAGACATAGTCTCTTTCTGTCGCCCAGGCTAGAGTGCAGTGGCGCTATCTCTCTCATTGCAAACTCAGCCTTTCAGGCTCAAGCGATTCTCCTGCCTCAGCCTCCTGAGTAGCCGGACTCACAGGAGCACACCACCACGTCTGGCATTTTTGTATTTTTGGGGAAATGGGGTTTCACCATCTTGCCCAGGCTGGTCTTGAACTCCTGAGCTCGAGTGATCCGTCTGTCTCGATCTCCCAAAGTGCTGGGATTTCAGGGGTGAGCAACCGTGCCTGGCCTTTTTGTGTATTTATTTATTTTAAAGAGACAGAGACAGGGTCTCACTTGGTTGCCCAGGCTGGTGTGCAGTGGCCATTATAACTCACTCAAACTCCTGGGCTCAAGGTATCTTCCTGACTCAGTTTCCTGAATAGCTGGGGGTTGGGGGTGGGGTTCGCATTATTAACCAATGCACGTACTGAGATGCAGCCAGAGAATGCAGAGGGAAAACTGCAAAACAAAATCACTCATTTTATCCCCATTAAGCTTGCTTTGGGGTCAGTAGGATTTTTTTTCCTTTGGAAAAGTTTCCTCAACCTTACTGCTACAAGGCTGTGCAGACCTGACCTAGGGAAGAGCCCTCTAGGTGAATTCCACTCCCCCGGGTTATCTGATTTAAAGGTGCCAGAACCAAATTCTCTTAAATTTGATTTTGAATCTATCTTCCATTAAAACTGTGTACGGTGTCTTCCAAGGTTGCTGTTCCGGATTCTCCTTAGAGGGAACCGGCCGTCTCTCTTTCCCAGTTGTTAAATACTATACCAAATCCCTTCAGCCCTAAAACCCCCTCAAGGCAAGTCCAAGGTGGGTCTCTCTATTCCTGATGATAACAGGGGGGTCTGAAATCTTTCCTGTTGACTAGTAGCTTAGGTTATGGCTGGTGTGACATGTGGCTGGTGTGACATGGGATCCCAGTCTTGTGCACGTGCCCAAGGGGAGGACTGCAGGGCCTGGGAAGGCCAGTGCAAAGACAATGCTCCAATATAAGGCCCTTTAAGGCCCTCCAGGCTCTGGCTGCCTGGGGGTTTTGAGCCTGCAGACTCAAGTGCCCAGTAAGAGGAAGAAGACACTTGAACACTGTCAGCCAGGAACTTTTGCAATTGCCAATTTATGAATTGCAAAGGCACCTCCTGGTTCACCAGTTAGCTGGATACTTACATGCAATTGTTTTTTCAAGATGTGGCAAGATTTGAGAGGGAGAGAAAGTAAATACGAAGAAACAGATGTTTGTAAACTATTACTTGAATAACAAATACAAAATGACTCTCAAAAATAGAGATCTGTCTGTGAATTACAGTATATTAATCACAAAATGCTTAAAGGCAGCATAGGGGAAATTCTCTCTGAGAAACCTAAACTCACAACCCAAACAGGACAAACACTATGATTCCACTAATATGTGGTACCTGGAGTAGTCAAATTCACAGAAAGTAGAATGGTGGTCACTGGGCCTGCAGGGTGTCACTGTTAAATGGTTGTAGAGAATCAGGTTTGCAAGATGAAGAGTTTTGGAGCTGGATAATGGCTGTGGCTACACAACAATGTGAATTTACTTAATGCCACTGAATGTGAAGTAACTCAGGAATGGAAAATCAAATCTTGTATGTTCTCATTCATAAGTGGGAGCTAAGCTATGAGGATGCAAAGGGATAAGAATGACATTAATATAATGGATTTTGGGGACTGGGGGAGAAGGGTGGGAGGGGGGGTGAGAGATAAAAGACTACATTTTGGGTTCATTGTACACTGCTTGGGTGACAGGTGCACCAAAATTTCAGAAATCCCCACTAAAGAACTTACCCATGTAACCAAAAACCAGCTATTTCCCCAAAACTAGTGAAATTAAAAAAAAAAAAAAAAAAGGCCAGCCTCAGTGGCTCACACCTGTAATCCCAGCACTTTGGGGGGCCAAGGTGGAAGGATCATTTGAGACTAGGAGTTCGAGACTAGCCTGGGCAACATGTAAACCCCATCTCTACAAAATACAAAATAATTAGCCAGGTATGGTGGCGTGTGCCTGTAGTCCCAGCTACTTGGGAGGCTGAGATGGGAGGATCACTTGGACCCAGGAGGTCGAAGGTGCAGTGAGCCGTGACTGTACCACAGGGACACCAGCTTGGGTGACAGATGACAGAGTGAGACCCTGTCTCAAAAAAAAAGAAATTTAAAAAAAGTTTAGACAATAAATGTTACATCTATTTTACCACAATTTTAAAAAATCATTTTAAAATAATTTTTTTAAAATTAGACCAATGACAGATGCTACAAGTGGACAAACCATATGAATCCTGGGGCTCTAAAGGTACTGCCCCAATGGACAGCCTTCCCCCAGCTCTGAGAGGCTTTTCCCCTGCTGTCTTGTCTTTGTTCCTAGCTCTTCCTATCGGATCCCGGCACTGATGATAGTGTGAGGGCTGCACACTCCCCACTCCCAGGAGAAGCTTCACTTTTCAGAGTGTTTACTCCAGGCCCTCTCTCTAAGTGGCTACCTGTCAGTTTCCATTTCAACTCTACCTCTACTTGCAGGACTGCTGACCACCAACTGACATATTACCTGTATTGATTCTCTAAGAGCTGTCGAGGTGAAGGGAAAGACTATTCTAAGGCAACCCTGAGCTCTTAGCTGAGTGGGATCATAAAACGCCCCCATTAAAGGTTTCATTCAATAACAATCTTTGCAAAAGTAAATGGACATCAGTCTCCCACCCCCACAACTAATACAGAGGCCATTATCAATGGGCAGAGAGCACTGAACGGCGGCAGTATCAGTTTCCACATTTTCAAATGATTCCTTTAATGAAAAGCTGCATTCTTTTCAGGCCATAAAACACCAAGGAAAAGTCTATTCATTTAGCTATTGTACATATTAGCTTATTTATTTATGGCTAATGCTGCCATCAGCATTCCCTGGGTGTAGAGTTAACTCACTTAATGATTGGTTGATAAATTGCTAAAAAGCGGAGAGGTTGAAATTGGCTATCATGCAGGGTGATTTAAGTTTGTTTTGTCATTTCAAATACAAACTCACTGTCTTTATACTCTATTTTAAATGATCCATCTCACATAAGGTGTTTTATATTCGCATGCCTATTTGATCCAGAGTGCACAAAGATTGATTTTCAACCACGTGCTTAGGAAATAAGCATATTGTCATTATTTTACCAAAAGAGAGATAACATCTACTAGCTATTTGAAATAGATCTTCACCACCAAATTATGGACTCTTTTATTGCAAAACTCATCTTCTCATTCTTTCCCTCTCTTGCTCCCTTCCTTCCTCCCATCTTTCTTTCATTAAATAGTTACTAGTAGGATCATCTCAGCAGTTTTATGTCTTGCATAGCAGGGACTCGATGGTTGTTGACGCAATCTGCTTTGGGGAAAAAATAGTGCCTAAATGAGACAAGTCATGAATGGGTCTTGGAAAGCAATTAAACGCTACACCTTGGTGTTTTCTGAACATCAGGGTTCAGAACTTCATTTCCTATTTGTACAATTCTGAAGATACTGTACTTAAAAATGTCCACTTGTATTTACTTGATAATAGCTGATGTGGAAATGGTGGAAGATAAGAGTAATGAAATGTTGACAGCAAAATGTGTTCTTTCATTAAATTACCCCCTTTTCTTTGTTAATTGAGATATACATGTAAAAATCTGAAATAAACTACAAAGCGAGGCCGGGTGCATGGCTCATGCCTGTAATCCCAGCACTTTGGGAGGCCGAGGCGGGCGGATCAAAAGGTCAAGAGATCGAGACCATCCTGGCTAACATGGTGAAACCCTGTCTCTACTAAACATACAAAAAAAATTAGCCAGGCATGGTGGCAGGCACCTGTAGTCCCAGCTACTTGGGAGGCTGAGGCAGGAGAATGGCGTGAACCTGGGAGGTGGAGCTTGCAGTGAGCTGAGATCGCGCCACTGTACTCCAGCCTGGGTGACAGAGCGAGACTCCGTCTCAAAAAAAAAGAAACTACAAAATGAGGCCTAAAGTTCACTTGCTAGACCTTCAAAATTATGTTCTGCTGAAACAAATGGAGCAGAAGGAGGGCTGCCCATCAGCCCACAGCAGAATCACTAACTGCAGTTTACAAATCTGAGAGCCCTGCAAACCCTGGTCCCAAGGATACTCCAACTTCCATGTCCAGCAGGCGAGTCGGCTCCTGAAATATGTGCTGCCCTCTGATGTTCCTCCCCGCTCCTGGTTCCTGGGGTACATTTACAGGCTTCCTGCATTCAACCTGTAAATGTTTGTGCCCTGCACTCTTGTCACTGTTCTCTCTGTCCCTGCACAGTCTCCTGCATTGCCATAGCTTGTTTCGATTGCCATCTGTACACTGACAATTCCTACATTTTGATCTGTCTTTCTACATGGAATCTCTACTTGTGTGTCTCAGAGGCAACTGACTTTGACACATCTAAAACTAAACTCAAGATCTTTCCTACAAACCTGACAGTGTCTCCATCCCATCCCCAGGTCCCTATCTGAGGAATGGCACCACTATCTACTGCCCTAGCAAGCTGGTTGTCACACCTCACACCCAGTTCATGCAATTCATCTCAGAAGCCTAAGGCCCTCATCTCAACCCATCTGATAAAATAACTTTTATATCTGTTCTTGCCCCAATCCAGATCATTTTCTTCCCAGCTAGAGGCATCTTTTCAAAACACAATGTTATCACTCCTTTGCTTAAGCCCCCACCCCCTTTTCTTTTCTTTTCTTTCTTTCTTTCTTTTTTTTTTTTTTTTGATACAGGGTCTCTGTCATCCAGGCAGTGGCACACTCACGGCTCACTGCAGCCTTGACCTCCTGGGCTCAGGTGATCCTCCCACCTTAGCCTTCCTGATAGCTGGGACTACAGACACACACCCAGCTAATTTTTTATATTTTTGTAGAGACAAGGTCTCACTCTATTGCCCGAGCTGCTCTTGAACTTTTGGGCTCAAGTGATCCTCCCGTCTCAGCCTCCCTAAGTGCTGGGATTATAGGCGTGAGCTACTGCCGGCCTCAAGACCTTGTAAAAGCTTCACATTTGTAGTCCACAATTTTTTTTTTTTTTTTTTTTGAGACGGAGTTTTGCTGTGTCACCCAGGCTGGAGTGCAGTGGTGTGATCTGGGCTCCCGGCAACCTCGGCTTCCCAGGTTCAAGCAATTCTCCTGCCTCAGCCTCCTGAGTAGCTGGGATTATAGGCACCCGCCACCACACCTGGCTAATTTTTGTATTTTTAGTAGAGATAGGGTTTCACAATGTTGGCCAACCTGGTCTCGAACTCCTGACCTCATGATCCACCCACCTCGCCATCCCAAAGTGCTGGGGTTACAGGTGTGAGCCACCGTGCCCAGCCTCTGTAGTCCAAAATCTTTAACACTGACCTACAAGGCCTTGCCTCTTCCTCCAATTAGGTCTTGGGCTCCCTTTAGAACTCTGTTATGGCCACATAAACTTTCTTTCAGCTTTTTTTTTTTTTTTTTTTTTTTTTTTTGAGACGGAGTTTTGCTCTTGTTGCCCAGGCTGGAATGCAATGGCATGATCTTGGCTCACTGCAACCTCTGCCTCCCAGGTTCAGGTGATTCTCCTGCCTCAGCCTCCTGAGTAGCTGGGATTACAGGCATGCGCCACCACGCACAACTAATTTTGTATTTTTAGTAGAGACAGGGTTTCTCTATGTTGTTCAGGCTGGTCTCGAACTCCCGACCTCAGGTGATCCACCCGCCTCGGCCTCCCAAAGTGCTGGGATTACAGGCGTGAGCCACCGGCCTTCTTCTAGTTTTTAACAAGCCAAACTGCTTTCTGCTTCAGGGCCTTTGCTTATGATATCCCTTCTGCCTAGAACACTCCCCACTCTTCTGAAATCTGTCTGAGTGCTGACAGCCTGGATTGGGATCCAGGCTCCACCATTTAACCAGCTGTATGACCTTTAACTTCTGTAGTCATTAGTTCTCTTATCTGTAAAATGGGGTAAATAATAGTACTTACTTAATCCTTAAGTAAGATCCTGTGCACAGTCTTATCCTTAATGCAGTGCCTGTCTTTAGTGTTCAATAAATGTTAGATATTAATGTCAATATTATTTCCTTCTGTGTCCGCAACAAGCACTGCATATAATAGGTGGCTCAATGAATAGTTGTGAAATGAGTAAATGAATGAATGTGCGAACAATGTGATCTGGCCTTCCCTTTGTTGTCATTACTTTGGAACTAAAATATCCCCAAGTAAGAGTGACAGCAGCCACCCAGGGCACATGACAGTGTGAAAAAGGGGAGATGAGGACACAGAGCAAAAGGACAAATGCGAAAGCATGACATGCAAAGACAAGCATGGGAAAGACAGTGTAATGATGTCCTTAGACCTTCTGCCAGCAGCTTGTATGTCTGCTATTTTCCACTGAGTGTGCACAAAGAGACGACAGCCCCAGAAACTGAGCAGTTGTGACCTATGGGAGTAGGTGTGGGGGATCAGAAGCAAGGTAGGAACATATTTATTCAGTCAACAACATGTATGGTGCTGGATGTGCTAGAGATGCCAAGCACAATGGGTTTTTGGTGCAGTTAAAGAAGGTGAAGGCCAGGTGCGGTGGCTCACGCCTGTAATCCCAGCACTTTGGGAAGCCGAGGCGGGCGGATCACGAGGCAAGAGATCGAGACCATCCTGGCCAACATGGTAAAACCCCATCTCTACTAAAAATACAAAAATTAGCTGGGCGTGGTGGCGCATACTTGTAGTCCCAGCTACTTGGGAGGCTGAGGCAGGAGAATCGTTTGAACCTGACAGGCAGAGGTTGCAGTGAGCCGAGATCACACCACTGCACTCCAGCCTGGTGACAGAGCGAGACTCCATCTCAAAAAAAAAAAAAAAAAAAAAAAAAAAAAAAAAGAAGAAGAAGGTGATGCCTTTAGAATAGAATACCTAGAATACCCCGTCTGATCATGATCTACCTGCGTAAAGACCTTGTCACTCTTGCGTATTCTCAAACTCACTGGTAATGAAAAGATACGAGTGCACCTATTCTGCTAAACCTATAGACTGGCACAACCCTTTAGTAAGCAGTTAAGCACTGTGCACCAAAAGATCTGTAGTCTTTTTTTTTTTTTTGAGAGGGAGTCTCACTCTGTCACCCAGGCTGGATGCAGTAGCACGATCTTGGCTCACTGCGACCTCCGCCTCCCAGGTTCAAGCTATTCTCCTGCCTCAGCCTCCCAAGTAGCTGGGATTACAAGAGCCCACCACCATGCCTGGTTAATTTTTGTAATTTTGGTAGAGATGGGGTTTCACCATGCTGGCCAGGCTGGTCTCAAACTCCTGACCTCAGGTGATCCGCCCGCCTCAGCCTCCCAAAGTGCTGGGATTAGAGGCGTGAGCCACCACGCCCAGCCAGGTCTGCAGTCTTTAACCCGGAAATTTCAGTTTTGGGTATTCCTTCCAAAGAGTCAGAAATACAAAGATATATGAACAAGAATGTTAGCAGCACTCTTTTTGATGATGAAAACTGCTAACAGCCTAAATGTTCAGCAATAGGACTTGTGGCACATTGCTAAAATTGAGTATTGGGTAGTTACTAAAACTGAAGTTTTTCAAAGACTGTTTGGCATTCTTTCTACAAACATTTTTGAGAACCTTCTTCAGGACATTGGGAAACACTCACAATACAATGCTAAGCTGAAAGTAATCCAAATTCTCTGTATAGCAAATTCTGTGTATAGCAGGTGTTATCTCTGGGGCACTTATAGATAATTCTTCATTCAAGACAGGTAACAACTATTTCATCCATTTTTCCAGGCATTAGTAGCTGAGCAGATGGAAATTAGATGGGAAACCCTCCTAAGAAGCGTCCATAGACCTTATTTGAATTCTTTCACAGCTGTCATTATGGACTGAAGCTACAAGCCACCCAAGCCTGGCCTGTCACTCCAATGGGCCTTAGTTTCCTTACATGTCAAATGGGGAGGTAGGATTACATTATTATTGCTACAGCTTCTATGAACAAAATATGCAAGGCAGGCGAGGTCTCAATTATCCTTTGTCATTAGCATATCTTTGTTTTCTGGTCCCTTTTGGAAAGGCCGAATGGTGTGCAAAGCTGATAAGCATTTGAATTAGAGAACTCGGGAAAGGCATTTTTTTTCTCCTGGTCCCCAGCAGCCTCCAACTGGGCGATGGAGAAGAAGAGAATCACAGAATGGGTGTCCTGTTGGTTTTGGGGGCGGAGGGACAGCACGGCAGATTCTGAGGAATACGATAACGGCTCCCAGGGATCCTCGAGCAGATGCCCCCAGGCGGGGCCGGCAGATGGCCAGGACTTCCTCTCCCGGTTGTGTCCCGGGGGAGCCGCAGCCACCTCGGGTTCCGCTTCCTCTTCGTTTTCTGGTCTCAAGTGGGAGTCAATCTGGTCTCTGCTCTCAGACACTAAGGCCATCCCTCCCCACCAGTCAGGGGCACTGGGAACGGAGGCCCCAGCGCAGCCCCTCCCGCCCTCTGTGAAAGCCTCAGGGAGACTTCTCGGGGAGGGGACGCCTAAGGTTACCGCGGCGAAGACCCTCGAGGGTCTAGAGGGGCTGTTTGAAGCCTTTCGGGCCTAATCGGAGCTCTACATCAGAGGGCATTTAATTGGCCTTGAAATTTTCGATCGATTCCCGAATTCAACACACTTTGGAAAACGTGCCTTGAGAGAGGCACCGGGCGAGAAGGGGTGCAGAACACATGGACGCCGGCTCACGTCCCCAACCCGCCTCTGGATCTGGGAACCGCAAGCCCCGCCCCTTTGCCCGTAGCATCCACCTTCCGCACCCCGGCAGAGGCCGAGGGTCCCGCCAGTCTCAACCCGACCCCGCAGCCGGCACTCCTGCGGCGCGCGCGTTCCGAGCTCTTGGGGCCAGTGACGCCGGCGCCCTTCCTGCAACTCCGGGCCGCTTCTTGAACCTGACAACCTCTAGGGAGGCGAAAGGGAGAGTGGATTTGGAGAGGAGCAAATTCCGTATATTTAAAATAACGTTTTTCTCCTAGCCTTACAAAAATAACATTGCGGCCAACCTATACCCAGCATCCAGCCACCTAGAGATAATCACTCTTCAGTCTCCGCCATCCAGATTATGTCTACGTGTTTTCTCTTTTCACCAGAAACTGTTCTGTAAACAGCTTTCCCCCCATTTAGTGTGTAGTGAGCATTTCATTTTGATAGTATTCTCCGGTAAAATGACTTGAAACGTGCCCATTAAAGTCGACCAAAATGATTGGTCGGGCGCGTGGCTCACACCTGTAATCCCAGCACTTTAGGAGGCCGAGGCGGGTGCATTACGAGGTCAGGAGTTCAAGACCAGCCTGGCCAAGATGGTGAAACCCCGTCTGTACTAAAAATACAAAAAAATTAGCCAGGCGCGGTGGCAGACACCTGTAATCCCAGCTACTCGGGAGGCTGAGGCAGAGAATTGCTTGAACCAGGGAGGCGGTGGTCGCGCCACTGCACTCCAGCCTGGGCGACAGAGCAAGACTGCGTATCAAAAAAAAAAAATTACCATGATTTACAATCAATCGACTATTGTGAAACAGGTAGCTTACAATTTTTTGAGTATTACAAATAGCTGTGCTAAACATCAGTGTAGATTAAATAATATACCTACATCCCAGACTGTTGTTCACTTGAATACATTTCTAGACGTGAACAAATGGAAGAAAACACAGGTAAGGAATGGAAAGGTTGGGCCCAGGTGTGCCGAGAATAGCACAGCGACAGCACAGAAACAGTGGCCACTTCTTCCTTTCTTTTCTTTTCTTTCTTGCTTGCTTGCTTTTCTTGCTTCCTCGCTTTTTTGTTTCTTTTTTCTTTTCTTTTCCTTCTTTTTATTTTTGGATCTCGGTTCATACAACCTCTGCCTCCCGGGCTCAAGCGCTCCTCCCACCCCAGCCTGCCAAGTAGCTGGGATTACAGGCGCATGCCGCCACGCCCGGCTAATTTTTGTATTTTTAGTAGAGACGGGTCTCGCCATGTTGGCCAGGCTGGTCTCGAACTCCTGGGCTCAAGCGATCCTCCCGCCTCGGCCTCCCAAAGCGCTGGGATTACAGGCGTGAGCCGCTGCGCCCACCTCCTTGTCACTTTCTTGATTTACCTTGTTGCTTCCTGTCCTCCCAATAATTATTATTCAGAGCTGAGCTGGATAAAGCAGGGACCTGATTTCACCAGGACAAACGGTGCCAGAGATGTTTTCCCCTTAAGAAACCTAGCTCAGAGACCCGGGGTCGGGGATGGGGGGTGGGAGTTACGAGGAGAAAAGGCACAGGCGGGGGCAGATCCGGATTATGAATGGATGCTCCTCCCAGGTGGCACCCAGAGCCTGGCCCCATCCACGCGTGCGTGGGCGCGGCAGGGGGTCGTGACGATGGCTGTGACCACAGGTGGTCCTCCTCTGACCCTTGAAGTGCCCAGTCTCTCCCTTCCTCCTTTCTCCTCTCCCTCCCTTACTCCACACCTTTAGACCTCCTCCCCTTCCCCTCCACCTGGCGCAGATGAGTGGGACCAGCCCAGGCGCTGCGAATGGGGCTTTGGGCTAGAGAGGGGGCAAGCGAGCCCGAGCGCGGACCACGCGCAGCGGCAGAGAGGGAACTGAGCGCGGCTTTACTCCCTCCCTCCGCTCACGCCCCAGGCATCCTGGAGCTCCCAGACCCGCTCCTGGCAGAGCTCCGCCCGGCCAGCTACTGCCCTAACCCTGGGGGCTTGGCTCCCTCTCCATCTATCTTTCGGGAGTGCCCAACCACAGCTAGAGACCAGCCGATGGAGGAAAGGGTCTAACTCCAGGTTCTTTATCTGCACACTGAAATGGGGGTGACTGGTTTCTTTTAGTGGTGTTTTTCTTTTTGCCTGAAGGGGATCCGTACATCTGAAAGCGGTTCGTGAGGGAGCAAGGCGTCAAAGCCGGAGGGAGGCCTTTCCTCCCATCCTTGTCTTCGTGTTTTGCTAGCTGTTCAGGGAGTGAAAGGATGAAGCCTTAGTGCAAGGCCGATGCAGACCACTCACCTGCCATTTTGTGGTATTTTTTCATTATTCACTTTCCCTAAATCTGACTCCCCTGTACATCTACTTCACAACTGCATAACCTTCTTGAATATAAGAGATTAGCTCTTATACTGCTCATGTTGGTTCCTTGATAGATTAGTATATGTATAATATATATTTGTATATGTTAAATATATATATTTAGGCCAGGCTTAGTGGTTCACATTTGTAATCCCAGCACTTTGGGAGGCTGAAGAGGATGGATAGCTTGAGCCCAGGATTTCGAGACCAGCCTGGGCAACATGGCAAAACCCCTTATCTACTAAAACTAGAAAAACTAGGTGGGCATGATGGCAAGCACCTGCAGTCCCAGCTACTCAGGAGGCTGAGATGGGAGGATCATTTGAGCCCAGGAGGCAGAGACTGCAGAGAGCTGAGATCATGCCACTGCACTCTGCATTCCAGCCTGGGTGACAGAGTAAGCCGCTGTCTCAAAAAATATGTACATATACACACATAACCTGCCTGCTTGTGTGTGCTACTTACTGCTTGAGCAAAAGATATAGCTAGGAGTAAAACCTATGCAACAATTGCCCTGCATAGCAATAGGCTGCTTCTCATACTCACTGCATTTTAAAATATTTATTTATTTATATATTTTTTTGAGACAGAGTCTCGCTCTGTCGCCGAGGCTAGAGTGCAGTGGTGCGATCTTGGCTCACTGCAAGCTCCGCCTCCCAGGTTCACGCAGTTCTCCTGCCTTAGCCTCCCAAGTAGCTGGGACAACAAGCGCCCACCACCACGCCTGGCTAATTTTTGTATTTTTAGTAGAGATGGGGTTTCACCATGTTAGCCAGGATGGTCTCGATTTCCTGACCTTGTGATCCGCCCACCTCGGCTTCCCAAAGTGCTGGGATTACAGGCGTGAGCACCTGGCCTAATTTTTATGTTTTGAGACAGGGTCTTGCTCTGTCACCCAGGCTGGAGTGCAGTGGCATGAACATGGCTCACTGCAGCCTCGACCTCCTGGGCTCAAATTATCCTCCTGCCTCAGCCTCCAGAGTAGCTGGGACTACAGGCATGCACCACCATGACCAGCTAATTTTTTATTTTTCATACAGGCAGGGTCTCACTATGTTGCCCAGGCTGGTCTTGAATTCCTGGACCCAAGCAATTCTCCTGCCTCTGCCTCCCGAAGTGCTGGAATTATATACATGAGACACCATGCCTGGCCTCATACTCACTGCATTTGAACCATCATTAATAGGAATGTCCCCTGACTACTGTTGCAGGGGTCAAGGGATATATAGGGAGATAATTTACTCTACCTGGGTCACCACGCTTCACCTAGCTAAACTCCTTAAATCTCAGCTTAACCTTCCCTTTCTCTGGGAAATTAGTTCTAACTTTTCCCCATAAAATTAGGAGGCATAAATCCTCAGGAATCCCACCCTTGAATGGATTAACTTAAAATGAATCACCAGGCTGGGCACAGTGGCTCACACCTGTAATCCCAGCACTTTGGGAGGCCGAGGCGGGTGGATCACCTGATGTCAGGAGTTCAAGACAAGTCAGGCCAACATGGTGAAACCCTGTCTCTACTAACAAAATATAAAAATTAGCTGGGCATGGTGGCAGGTGCCTCTAATCTCAGCTACTTGGGAGGCTGAGGCAGGGAGAATTGCTTGAATCCGGTAGGCAGAGGTTGCAGTGATCTGAGATGGTGCACTGCACTCCAGCCTGGGTGACAGAGTGAGACTCCATCTCAAAACAAAATAAAATAATAAAATAAAATAAAATAAAATAAAATAACCTCTCTCTGATGGTCTATTATCCCTTGGGAGTGAAGGAGGGCTGTGAGTCATGGGAAGTATACCAGATGTATAAATAGCATGAACATGAAATACGATGTCCAATATACAACTAGTGAGTTAGAGTGAACTAGAAGGATTGGGAAAAGATGCAGCTGGCAATGGAGGAATGCTTCATGGAAGGCAAACACTGCGAATAGAGTTTTGGAGAACTGAAAAGATAATATTTAAGAAAAGAGAAAAAGTTTCATTATGCCATTGTTCTAGAAAAGTTGACTCAAGATATGTGGGAAACCATGGGAGAAAAAAGAAGCCAAGCAGTTGTGAAATCTAAGGGTTTCTTTTGCCTTTATCATCAAAATTCTGGAATCAGGTGTGATGAAGACCTGAGTACTATACATGTTAGCACAAAAATGTAAATTGCATAAGAGAAGTCTGCTGTATTTGAATTGCTTGGTTTGGAAGGTCCAGGGGAAACATTTAGAACCCAGATGTTTATATCTGTTCCCTCATGAAATCCAAGTGAAATAGTACTAAAAGGCTAAAAAGGAGAAACCTATAAAAACAAAGGGAAAAGAAATGACAGTAGATGAGCGATTTCAACCTAGTTTTTTGTAGAAGGCTGGAAGCAGATGGCCAAGTATTAACTGATTTAGCCAACCCGAGAGAGCTGACTCCCCTGAGTTGGTGGCGAATTTGACAAGAACCAAGAGAATTCCCACCACAGACCTCAGGACGGCTCAGGAAAAAAGACATCAATTTCTTCTGAAAACGCGAGTGTGGGTGGGAAGGAAATTAGGATAATTGGTTGGAAGTTGTATAACGAGCAGTTAGATGCACAGATCTCATCCCCAACGTGTGCATCCAGGCCCACCTGAGAGTGAACAGAACATGCCAAACAGAGCATCCCCAACAAGGATCACCAACATTAGAGAAAAGCCTCCAACATACCAGACAGAGACCAAAATAAGGAAATAGGGCCAGGGGCAGTAGCTCATGCCTGTTATCCAGGCACTTTGGGAGGCCAAGATGGGTGGATCACCTGAGGTCAGGAGTTCAAGAACAGTCTGGCCAATATGGTGAAACCCTGTCTCTACTAAAAATACAAAATAAATTAGACAGACGTGGTGGTGCACATCTGTAGTTGCAGCTACTTGGGAGGCTGAGGCAGGAGAATAGTTTGAACCTGGGAGGCGGAGATTGCTGTGAGTTGAGATCGTGCCACTGCACCCCTCACTAGGCAACAGAGTGAGATTCCATCCCCGCCCCCCGCCAAAAAAAAAAAATAAGGAAATAGAAAGAAAAATAGAGACAGTATATGGAGCAGAGAAAACTTTAAAAATAAACTCTCAGACCTTCAGAGACATACTAGAAGATCTTGCATTCATGAAACAAGAACAGGGGTATATACAACAGTAAACAGAGGACAAAAACCCCTTGGAAATTAAAAATATAACAGCAAAATTTTTTTTAAATAGCACAGTTGGAAGGGTGGAAGATGAAATTGAGGAAATCACAGAAAGTATAAGAACAACAACATTAACAAGCACAAACAAGTGGAAAATGGGAGAGAAAAAAAGGTTTAATCCAGGAGACCCCAAATCTAAAAGGAATTATAACCGCTGATATGGTTTTGTTGTATCCCTACCCAAATCTCATCTTGAATTCCCATGTGTTGTGGGAGGGACCTGGTGGGAGGTAATTGAATCATGGGGGCAAGTGTTTCCCGTGCTGTTCTCATGATAGTGAATAAGTCTCATGAGATCTGATGGTTTTATAAAGAGGAGTTCCCCTGGACAAGCTCTCTCTCTTTGCCTGCTGCCATCCATGTAAGATGTGACTTGCTCCTCCTTGCCTTCCACCATGATTGCGAGGCCTCCCTAGCCACGTGGAACTGTAAGGATCCAGGAAACAGAGGACACAGCACAGATGTTTGCATCCCAGAATAATGGCAGGAGAAGTCACAGGATGATGGCTATGTCCCAGGGCCAGAGAGCAAGCAGTACAAACCAGAGCAGAATGGAGGCACCTCAAGGGGTAAGGAGGGAAGTGAGGAAGAAACCCACAATAAACTAGGCAAGCAAACACCAGCCAAAAAGGAAGACACTTATGAACTCCAGGGATAAAAAGAAGTGGTAACAAATAAAAAGTAAAATAAAAAAGAATTTTTAAAAAGTAAAACAAAAAAAAAGAGAGAAATGGTACAGGAAAGGGAAAATATGCCATAGCTATAGCCAGGATACTATTTAGCTCATCTAGGAATAATATGTGCTGCCATAACAACAAACAATGAGTAATACTGATAAAACTGAAAGAATGATATGAATATATTGTGAGGATAGAGGGAGGGGATAACACATGTGGGACCTGGGAGGTATGAGAGCCTCATCTTCCATAGTAGGAAGGCAAGAGTTAACAAATAAAATAAAAGAAAAGAAAATAAATGGTGGTATATACATATTATTTACAAATTTGGGGCTAGCTATTGCTGATAGTTTCTTTAGGGAGAATATGAATCAACAATAGCCTCACAGCTTACCAGCAGTAAAAGAAAGAACAGAGAAAAAAAAGAAGAAAAGAAGGAAAAAAAGAAGGAAAGAAAGAAGGAAGAAAGAAAAGAAAAGAGAAAGAAAAAACAATGGGGCATGCTAGGATTAGGATCTGGCAAATTTTTGTTATAAACTCTGCAAAATTATGTGAGTTTTTAAATAGTTGTTATTTTGAAACATTTTAAGCCTAACAAGAAGTTTCAAAGATATTACATGGGGTTCTCATGTACCATTCATCTCATTTTCCCCAATGATAACATCTTATCTAACCATAGAACATTATCAAAACCAGGCAATTGACACTGTTATAATACTATTAACTCTACGTGACTTTTAAAATCATGTTCATATATAATTTTGTTTTGAATAAGCATTAAAAGAGAAAGATACGGCCGGGCATGGTGGCTCACGCCTGTAATCCCAGCACTTTGGGAGGACGAGGCAGGTGGATCACGAGGTCAGGAGATTGAGACCATCCTGGCTAACACGGTGAAACCCCGTCTCTACTAAAAATACAAAAAATTAGCCGGGCGTGGTGGCAGGAGCCTGTAGTCCCACCTACTCTGGAGGCTGAGGCAGGAGAATGGCGTGAACCCGGGAGGCGGAGCTTGCAGTGAGCCGAGATAGCCCCACTGCACTCCAGCCCGGGCAACAGAGCGAGACTTCATCTCAAAAAAAAAAAAAAAAAAAAGAGAGAAAGATACGGGCTGGGCATAGTGGCTCAAACCTGTAATTCCGGCACTTTGGGAGGCCAAGGCAGGTGGATCACTTGAGGTCAGGCATTTGAGACCAGCCTGGCCAACGTGGTGAAATCCCATCTCTACTAAAAATACAAAAATTAGCCGGGTGTGGTGGTGGGCGCCTGTAGTCCCAGCTATTTGGGAGGCTGAGGCAGGAGAATCGCTTGAACCTGGGAGGTGGAGGTTGCAGTGAGCTGACATCTCGCCACTGCACTCCAGCCTGATGACAGAGTGAGACTCCGTCTCATAAAAAAAAAAAAGAAAGAAAAGAAAAGGGCTGGGTGCGATGGCTCACGCCTGTAATCTCAGCACTTTGGGAGGCCTAGGCAGGCAGATCACGAGGTCAGGAGTTCAAGACCAGCCTGGCCAACATGGTGAAACCCCATCTCTACTAAAAATACAAAAAATTAGCCGGGCGTGGTGGTGCACGCCTGTAATCCCAGCTACTCAGGAGGCTGAGGCAGGAGAATCGATTGAACCCAGGAGGCAGAGGTTGTGTTGAGCGAAGACTGTGCTACTGCGCTCCAGCCTAAGTGACAGAGCAAGACTCCGTCTCAAAAAAAAAAAAAAAAAAAAAGAAAGAAAGAAAGATGGACTGTGTTGCATAGCCTGGAGGTGAGACAGCCAAATAAAAAGAGCTCCCCAGAGAATCTCCAACTGGCCTGCACACTGGGAGACAGGGTGGGGCCTTGGGAAGTTTCTGAGGTTCTCAGCTAGTGGGGAGCCTAGTCCTGTGTGGTAACCTGGGATTCAATCTGTGAGATGGGGGCCTGTTAACAGGAACACCTCTCGCTTTGCTGTGTTTCCTTTTTACTCAACAAATTCCATAACCCCCTCACCCTTCAAAGTGTCTGCGAGCCTGATCTTTCCTGGTTGTGTGACAAGAACCCGTATTGCCTCCAACAGAGGCTGTAGCATAGTGGTGCAATCAGAGCTCACTACAGCCTTGAACTCCTGGGCTCAAGTGATCCTCTCACCTCCTTCCTAAGACTACAGTTGAAAAACTTTCTATGATTTACCATACAATCTTTCTGGCACATTCTCTCAAATTCCAGATTGTGTTTTTCTTTCCCATTTGTTTGTTTTCCCCTTCTTTTTTTTTTTTTTTTTCTGAGATGGAGTCTCTTTCTGTCACCCAGGCTGGAGTGCAGTGGTGCGATCTCTGCTCACTGCAACCTCTGCCTCCTGGGTTCAAGCAATTCTCATGCCTCAGCCTCCCGAGTAGCTGGGATTACAGGCATGTGCCACCACACCCCACTAATTTTTGTATTTTTAGTAGAGACAGGGTTTTGCCATGTTGCCAATGCTGGTCTCAAACTCCTGATCTCAAGTGATCTGCCCGCCTCGGCCTCTCAAAGTGCTGGGATTACAGACATGAGCCACTGCGCCCAGCCTGTTTTCCCCTTCATTCTAGTCATTTTTCCTTTTTCTTTTCAAAATCACAACCTGTTCCTAAAATGCATACATTCTTCAGTCTTGTTGAGCAATTTAATTCACTGGACAAAACCCCCCCAAAATATTGAAAATATTTTGTCTAAAAGAATTTCAGACAGTTGGTGATATACAGTTTGAAGAATTTTGGTAGCAATTACAGTTAAATGTGTCTTTTTGGCTTGGGGTATAAGTTTAGAGAGAGCATGTAATCTTGACCATTTCTTCATCACTCATCTGGTACACATTTCTAGTTACATTTCCCTTCAATGCCTCTGAGCAAACACTGGGCACTGATTGAACATTTTCGCTAACTCACGCAAAAGGCTGCTTACTAGAAATTGATTTGTTGATTTTTAAAATGCCTCTTAGAATAAGAATCCTCATTAAATTTCATATTGGAAAAAGAAACAGTATGTATGATAGACACCACCAGAAATCTCTGTGTGCTGCATATGTACAATTTTTTGTAGTCATTATATTGAACATGCCTCATTTTAAGAGTATGACCTTGAGTTGTCATTGCCTTAGAAAACATGGACTGGTTAGGACATCCATTAATGTCCTAGAACAAATGCTGTAGCAGAATCCCCAAGAGAGGCAGGGATTTTACTGGTCTCCGGACACAGGAATCCATTTGTTGGAGCATGTGCTGAGTGTGATGAGCTGTAAAATGAAGTTAATTTCTGTGCCAGACCAAACTAGGTGAAAGACCGAGCAACCCGATGAGGGCTGCATATCCTTCTGAAGGAACAATAACTGTATTTTTTCAGATACTGTCATATGTTTGTTTTGGTTTATTTCACAGGGCCATATAGAGCAATAAAGAGGAATGAAATCTAAGTAATCACTCCAAATCAGAGTCTAGGAAGTTCTCACTGTGAAATTTTTAAATTTGAGTTGTATTTCATGCAGAGTAGTAGAAGACAATACCTTATGGCATCCTCTAAGGGAAAAAGCTATTAGCACGTGTGTCATAGGTCTTTGTAGCTGAAAATTTTACAACAAAAGAATTGCAATTTTTAGGCCAGGAGCGGTGGCTCATACCAGTAATCTCAGCACTTTGGGAAGCCGAGGCAGGTGGATCATGAGGTCAGGAGTTCAAGACCAGCCCAACCTACATGGTGAAATACAAAAATACAATTTTCAGTCTCTACTAAAACACAAAATTAGCCAGGTGTGGTGGTGCATGCCTGTAATCCCAGTTTCTTGGGAGGCTGAGGCAGGAGAATCGCTTGAACCCGGGAGGCGGAGGTTGCAGTGAACTGAGATTGTGCCATTGTACTCCAGCTGGGCAACAAGAGTGAAACTGTCTCAAAAAAAAAAAAAAAAAAAGAAAAAGAAAAAGAAAAGAATTACAATTTTCTTTCTTTCTTTTTTTTTTGATACGGAGTCTCACTCTGTCACCCAGGCTGGAGTGCAATGGCACAATCTCAGCTCACTGCAACCTCCGCCTCCCGGGTTCAAGCAATTCTCTGCCTCAGCCTCTAGAGTAGCTGGGATTACATGTGCCACCACCACACTAGGCTAATTTTTGTATTTTCAGTAGAGATGGGGTTTCACCATCTTGGCCAGGATGGTTTTGAACTCCTGACCTTGTGATCCACCCGCCTTGCCCTCCCAAAGTGCTGGGATTACAGGCGTGAGCCACTGCACCTGGCCAAGAATTGCAATTTTCTATCTTCCCTTTAGGGTATTGAATTGTCAAAGCAGAGGCCAGGCACAGTGCTGGTGAGAAACAAGTGACAAGATAAACTTGCCCTCAGGCTGTTAAAAAGCTGACGGGAAAAGTTCTCATTTCAAAGCTGCAAATTTTCAGTCTTGCAAATGATGGGGCTTGAATTCATTTTTGGGCCTGACAGTTTCTTGGAAATGGATAGATCACCTGAATCTAGGTATGCAAACTCAAAGAACTTATCAAAACATGTTGCAAATTGCCCTTGGTGAGATTATAAATGGCTATTTTAACCCCTTATCTGGTGGGTCGGTCACTCTCCTACTCCCACCCCTTGAAACATTCTCTGCCCTTGACTTCTTGAAAGGATGGCCTCTGCAAGGTCCTCCTGTCCTCCTCATGGACCTGCTCTTCTAGCTACACAGTAAACCGTTGTTCATGATAGTCACCTGGAATAGCTGCTGAGGTTGTGTCCTTACCTCTGTTCTGGCTCCCCTTCAATCCCTTCTTGCTATAGTAAACGGACGTTTAAAAACACAAACTGGGCTGGGCAAGGTGGCCTCTAATCCCAACACTTTGAGAGGCCGAGGCTGGTGGATCACCTGAGGTCAGGAGTTTGAGACCAGCCTGGCCAACATAGTGAAACCCCATCTCTACTAAAAATACAAAAATTGCTGGGTGTGGTGGCACACGCCTGTAGTCCCAGCTACTTGGGAGGCTGAGGCAGGAGAATCATTTGAACCCAGGAGCAGGAGGTTGCAGTGAGTCGAGATTGCGCCATTGCACTCCAGCCTAGGACACACAGCGAGACTATGTCTCCAAAAGAAAAAACAACAACAACAACAACAAAACACAAACCTGGCTGAGTGTGGTGGCTCATGCTTGTAATCCCTTTGGGAGGTCAAGGCAGGTGGATCACCAGAGGTCAGGAGTTTGAGACCAGCCTGGCCAACATGGCGAAATCCCATCTCTACTAAAAATACAGAAATTAGCCAAGTGTGGTGGTGCATGCCTGTAGTCCCAGCTACTTGGGAGGCTGAGACAAGAGAATTGCTTGAACCTGGGAGGCAGAGGATGCAGTGAGCCGAGATTGCGCCACTGTACTCCAGCCTGGGTGACAAAGCAAGACTGTATCGCAAAAAGATAAATAAATAGGCCAGGCTCGTGTCTGTAATCCCAGCACTTTGGAAGGCAGAGGCAGGCAGATCACGAGGTCAGGAGTTCGAGATCAGCCTGACCAACATGGTGAAACCCCATCTCTACTAAAAATACAAAAATTAGCCAGGCATGGTGGTGCATGCCTGTAATCCCAGCTACTCGGGAGGCTGAGACAGAAAAATCACTTGAACCCAGGAAGCAGAGGTTGCAGTGAGCCGAGATTGCGCCATTGCACTCCAGCCTGGGCGAGAGAGTGAGACTCTGTCTGAAAATAATAATAATAATAAATAAAATAAAATAAATAAAAAAAAATACACCAACCTGGGCTGGGTGTGGTGGTTCATGCCTATAATCCCAGCACTTTGGGAGGGCCAAGACTGGCTGATTGCTTGAGGTCAGGAGTTCAAACCAGCCTGGCCAACATGGTGAAACCCCATCTCTACTAAAAATACAAAAATTAGCCAGGCGTGGTGGTGCATGCCTGTAGTCCCAGCTACTTGGGAGGCTGAGGCAGGAGAATTGCTTGAACCTGAGAGGCGGAGGCTGCAGTGAGCCGAGATCATGCCACTGCACTCCAGCCTGGGCAACAGAGAGAGACCCTGTCTCAAAAAATAAAAATAAAGGCTGGGCGCGGTGGCTCACGCCTGTAATCCCAGCACTTTGGGAGGCCAAGGCCGGCGGATAAGGTCAGGACTTTGAGACCAGCCTGGCCAATATAGCGAAGCCCCGTCTCTACTAAAAACACAAAAATTTGCCAGGCGTGGTGGCACATGCCTGTAGTCCTAGGTACTCGGGAGGCTGAGTCAGGAGAATTGCCTGAACCTGGGAGACGGAGGTTGCAGTGAGCTGAGATCGCGCCATTGCACTCCAGCCTGGGCAACAGGGCGAGATTCCAACTCAAAAATAAATAAATAAATAAATATAAAAATAAATATAAAACCACAAACCTGATCTTAGCCCCCATTGCTTACAGCCTTTCAGTGGCATTTTATTGCTCCTAGGAAAATTCCAGAGGCATCATCATGCATGCAGAGCCAGCCTGATGAGTTTGGGTGGCCTTTCCAACTTCCAGTGGAGCTGTCTCCTTTCCCACCCTCCAGGCACACTGGAGGTTTCACACACATACATTTCACAAATGAAGGGAAAGCCCTTCAGTGGAACAGCCTCTCCCTCCCCTCCCTCAGTGCTCTCTGCCTAAGAAACTTATTTTTAGTTTCCAACTTGAATGCCTCTTTTTCAGGGAAGCCTTCCCCATTCCAGTCTCTTCTTAAATTGTTCGCTTTGCACAAGATGCGGAGAAACCGGGAATCAGCAGGGTGTGTGTGGGGAAGCCAAGCAACCCACTATCGCCAGGAAAGCAGAGGGCAAGGTAGCTGCAGAAGTGAGGGACTGGGAGTGGAGGTGGATGGGCGAGTGAATGGCATGGGCTTTGGGAAGATATGGAAAGTGGTTTCCATCATGACTTAGCCACTCTCATTAGGAAGGGGATTTTGGAAAGTTACTCGATCTCTCTGAACCTCAGTCTTCTCAGCTCTAAGTGGGTTGATGAGGTTTGATGTGGGGCTTCCAGGAAGGAATAGTTGAAAGAGGCTGCTGGTTACTAGTTATGCTGTGGGTGTTGTCAGCCTTTCTGGCAGCCTAGTCTGAGGTTCAGTGGCTCTCTTGAGGCTGGCTATGTAGATTTGGGAGCTATCAGCATCTGGGTGATAGTTAAAGTCAGAAGAGAGCCTGAGGCCAGGTGTGGTGGCTAACTCATAATCCCAGCACTTTGGGAGGCTGAGAAGGGAGGCTCACTTGAGCCAAAGATTTCAAGATCAGCCTAGGTAACATAGTGAGGCCTTGTCTCCACAAAAAAATAAACGAAATTAATCAGGCATGGTGGCATGTGCCTGTGATCCCAGCTACTTGGGAGGCTGAAGTGGGAGGATCCCTTGAGCCCTGGAGATGGAGGCTGCAGTGAGCTATGATTGCACCATTGCACTCCAGCCTGGGTGACAGAGTGATACTCTGCCTCAAAAAAAAAGAAGTAGAAGAAGAAGAACAACAACAGCAATAGAGCTTGAGATTGCCAGGGAGGTGAAGAGAGGGGAAAGAGGATTGAGGCTGGAACAACGGGAGCATCGGCATTTATAAAGGTGGCACCCTGCCCCGTTCGGCACACAGCAGGCACCCAGTACATCCCATACATGTACCTCTGGGTGAAATGATTAGGCTTCTGATAAAATCTTAGCCCTTAACTTAATTCCCAAGATTTTGGCCTTTTGGCAACAGAAAACATTTCCCAGTAGCCCAGTGGATAGGAGACTCTGGGTCCAGGGCAATTGTCTTGATTATAATTTATCTATTTGAAGAAATGCTAACCAGAGGACTAGGGTGAGACTACACTATCTATCTTTTCCTTATTCCACTGGGAGCAAACTTCTGGCTCTCACTCCTGACAGGTCTCAGGGACTGAGCTGCTGCACGGGACACCAGGTGTCTGAGTGAACTAGCTCGTGTAGGCTTCACACCATGCCTTCACAACAGGCCTTTTTATTATTAAAAAGAAAAGCCAGGCCAGGCCTTCATTTGTTTCTTGTATTTTATTTTATATTACATTATTGTATTTTATTTTTTGAGATGAAGTCTCACTCTGTTGCCCAGGCTGGAGTACAGTGGCGTGATCTCGGCTCACTGCAACCTCCGCCTACTAGGTTTAAGCAATTCTTCCTGCCTCAGCTTCCTGAGAAGCTGGGCTTACAGGTGCCTGCCACCATGCCTGGCTAATTTTTTTATATTGTTTAGTAGAGACAGGGTTTTGCCATGTTGGCCAGGCTGGTCTTGAGCTCCTGACCTCAGGTGACCTGCCTGCCTCAGCCTCCCAAAATGCTGGATTACAGGAGTGAGCCACTGCACCCGGCCACATTATTTTATTTTTTAAAGATAGGTTGTTGCTCTGATGCCTAGACTGGAGTGCAGTGGTGTGATCATGGCTCACTGCAGCCTCAACCTCCTGGGCTCAAACAATCCTCCCACCTCAGCCTCCCCAGTAGCTGGGATTACAGGTGCATGCCACCATGACTGGCTAATTTTTGTATTTTTTTGTGGAGATGGGGTTTCATCATGTTTCCCAAGCTAGTGCTTCTTGTATTTTAAATTATTATTCGAAAGCCAAGCACTGTGGGATGTACCTGTAGTCCCTTTACTTAGGCTGAAGCAGGAGAACAGCTTGAGCCCAGGTATTTGGGCTGCAGTGAGCTATGATCCACACCTGTAAATGGCCATTGCACTCCAGCCTGGCAATACAGCAAGACCCTGTCTCTAAATAAATTTTTTAAAATTATTATTATTAGCTGGGTGCAGTGGCTCACACCTGTAGTCCCAGCACTTTGGAAGACGAGGCAGAAGGATCACTTGAATCCAGCAGTTTGAGACCAGCCTGGGCAACATAGTGAGATGCCATCTCTACAAAAAATAAACAAAATTAGCTGGGCATATTGGTATATGCCTGTGGTCCCAGGTACTAGGGAGGCTGAGGTGGGAGGACCACTTGAGCCCAGGAGTTTGAGACTGCAGCGAGCTGAGATCATGTCACTGCACTCTAGCCTAAGTGACAGAGCAAGACACTGTCTCAAAAAATATATATATTATTGTCATTTTGAGATAGGGTCTCATTCTGTTGCCTAGGCTGGGGTGCAGCAGTGTGATTATAGCTCATTGCAGCCTCAAAGTCCTGGGCTCAAGTGATCCTCCCACCTCAGCCTCCCAAATAGCTGGACCACAGATGATCATCACCATACCTGGCTAATTTTTTATTTTTAGTAGAGACAGGGTCTTGCTATGTTGCCCAGCTGGTTTCCAACTCCTTCCCTCAAATGATCCTCCTGCTTTGGCCTTGCAAAGTTTTGGGAATACAGGAGCCACTGCACCTGACCTATGAAAATTATTGTTTGATGCTAGCCTGGGCTTGATATGCTTTGCCAGCACCTCAGCCACCCCTGTGCCTTCAGCCTTGAAGATGCTACCGGTTCCCCAGGTTCTGGTTGTGCTCGGCTTTGCTGAGTCTCTGGATTTTGCACCAAACTGGCCTCTGTGCCCTGGACATACATCGCTCATAACAAAGAAATCAGGACACCACGCTGGGTTGGGGCCTTGTCTGGTCTTGGGTGGCTTCTCCAGTTTCCCAGTCCAGCCTGCAGAGGTGAGGGTGAGGATTGAGCCCACCACACTCACAGGGTGGCTAACATTACCCTTATTCAGGTGCGGCTTAGCTGGCTTGGCTCAAATCCTCCTAAAAATAACCTTGGAAAACCATGGGTGCCTTCTCCCCACTTTAAAGTTGACATCTGCATTTGTTCATTATAAGTTCAAATAATTACAAAGGATGACTTTTCTGGCACATTGTAAACACTGACTTTAAAAAATGAAATGGTTATACACTCTTTAAAAAGTATCGGCTGGGCAAGGTGGCTCACGCCTGTAATCCCAACACTTTGGGAGACCAAGGTGGGTGGATCACAAGGTCAGGAGTTCGAGACTAGCCTGGCCAGCATGGTGAAACCCCGGCTCCACTAAAAATACAAAAAATTAGCTGGGTATGGTGGTGTGCATCTATAATCACAGCTACTCGGGAGGTTGATTCAGGAGAATCACTTGAACCCAGGAGACAGAGGTTGCAGTGAGCCGAGATTGCGCCACTGTACTCCAGCCTGCACGATAGAGTAAAACTCTGTCAAAAAAAAAAAAAAAGTATATAGTGGAATTAGAGCAGGCACTGTGGCTCACACCTGTAATCCCAGCACTTTGGAAGGCTAAGGTGGCATGATTGCTTGAGGCCAGGTGTTCAAGACCAGCTGGGGCAACATATGGAGAATTAATCAAGCATGGTGGTGCATGCTTGTGGTCCCAGCTACTTGGGAAGCTGAGGTGGGAGGATCACTTGAGCCCAGGAGTTCAAGGTTACAATGAGCCATGATAGCATCACTGCACTCCGGCCTGGCCGACAGAGTGAGAACCTGTCTCTGAAAAATAATAATAATAAATTAAAAATAAATACATACATACATAAAAAGTATCTAGTGGAATATCTGTACATTAATTATTGAATACTCACCATTATCCATTAAAAAATACACTAGTAGTCTCCTTTTTTTTTTTTTGAGATGGAGTCTTGCTCTGACACCCAGGCTTGAATACAATGAGGTGATCTCTGCTCACTGCAACATCCGCTTCCCAGGTTCAAGCGATTCTCCAGCCTCAGTCTCCTGAGTAGCTGGGATTACAGGCGCCCGCCACCACGCCCAGCTAATTTTTGTATTTTCAGTAGAGATGAGGTTTCACCATGTTGGTCAGGCTGGTCTTGAACTCCTGATCTCGTGATCCGCCTGCCTCGGCCTCCCAAAGTGCTAGGATTACAAGCATGAGCCACTGCACCCAGTGTAATCTCCTCTTTAACATTTGAAAATTTTACATTATTCCTTTTCTCTTTGAACATTGCATTTCACTTACTCCACACATTTTTACTTTTTTTTTTGTCTAAATAATTTTATTCCAGCCTGGCCAACATGGTGAAATCCCATCTCTACTAAAAATACAAAAACTAGCAGGATGTGGTGGTGCATGCTTGTAATCCCAGCTACTTGGGAGGTTGAGGCAGGAGAATTGCTTGAACTGGGGAGGCGGAGGTTGCAGTGAGCCGAGATCGTGCCACTGCACTCCAGCCCGGGCGACGGAGTGAGACTCTGTCTGAAAAAAACCACTTTATTACTATTCTTTTCTTTCTTTCTTTCTTTCTTTTTTTTTTGAGATGGAGTCTGGCTCCGTTGCCCAGGCTGGAGTGCAGTGGTATGATCTCAGCTCACTGTAATCTCCGCCTCCCAGGTTCAAGCGATTCTCCTGCCTCAACCCCCTGAGTAGCTGGGATTACAGGCATGCACCACCACACCTGGCTAATTTTTGTATTTTTAGTAGAGATGGGGTTTCACTATGTTGGTCAGGCTGGTCTCGATCTCCTGACCTCGTGATCTGCCTGCTTCGGCCTCCCAAAATGCTGGGATTACAGGTGTGAGCCACCGCGCCTGGCTTTACTAATATTTCTTTTATCTAGAACATGTCTCTCTGACAATAGAACACGTAAATCAATAAATTTTATGGAAATAAATAAATTTTCCATCAAAGGGAAAATTCTCAACTAGTTTTTTTCCCTGTGACCATGATGCAGCTAAGTGTTAACAAATCTATTCTGCATTATTATTCTATTAGTTCATAACTAATACAAACACATAAGTATATTACATATTTTGAGAAGGAGTTACAAAGAGAAAAAGTAAACCTACTGAAAATGTGTCTCTTATTGACATGGATCATAATTAAACTTTCTCCATGTGCCTAATGGAAGATGAAGATATGCTCTCCTCAAAACAAATTGATCTGGCAGCTAGCATATAAATTCGTTCGAGGTTAATAGGAGATAGAAGATATTAAACATTTTACAAGATGAAATAAAATGAGGATTGACTATAATTAGCAAATGTCATGATCTGATTTGCTAATGTAATTTTTACCTCTTTTAAGAATAACACACATCAAATATGAAAGAATAACATAAAAGCTCTATCTGAGGGTTTTATCCAGTATGTTTTGAATAATTTTGCAGTTTAAAAAAAAATTTCTAATCATATTTAAAAGGAATCAGCTTTACTAATGCAATTGTTCTGCCTGTTTGAAGGTATCCCCTCCCCTACCCTAGAGTGTGGAGTCCCAGGACCGAGTATTGAGAATAGCTAAAAAAGAATTGCTCATGTTCAAATGTTAGACAGTCTCTTTCTTTCTCTCTCTCCTTCCTTCCTTCCTTCCTTCCTTCCTTCCTTCCTTCCTTCCTTCCTTTCTTCCTTCCTTCCTTCCTTCCTTCCCTCCTTCCCTCCCTCCTTCCTTCCTTCCTCTCTCTCTCTCTCTTTCTTTCTTTCGACAGAATTTCCCTCTTGTCGCCCAAGCTGGAGTGCAATGGTGCAATCTCGGCTCACTGCAGCCTCCGCCTCCCGGGTTCAAAGGATTCTCCTGCCTCAGCCTCCCGAGTAGTTGGGATTACAGGCATGCACCACCACGCCTGGCTAATTTTGTATTTTTAGTACAGACAGAGTTTCTCCATGTTGGTCAGGCTGGTCTCGAACTTCCAACCTCAGGAGATCCGCCCGCCTCGGCCATCCAAAGTGCTGGGATTACAGGTATGAGCCACCTCTTCTGGCCTAGACAGCCTTTCTTAGCAGTCCATAGTTCTTCCCCAACTCTCTTTCCCTTTCCTCTTGGTACTGTCTCTCAGGAATGACGCATTCTGTGACTAATGATCAGGAAAAGAAGGAGCAAAGTCAAACAAAAATTATCATTTTTCCACTACTTACTCTACCATATATGTAAAATAAAAATATCTGATACAGACCAAAATACCACATTTCTAAGGCCATGTTTCTCCTTTAATAGATGTAAGATTAGACAGGGAGAAGACCAGGAAATGCAAGCCCTGAGGATTTAAGGCAACTGGAGTGAGCATTAAAACAGTCTTCCTCTTTGGGTCTCCAAGAGGCCTTTCCACCCTGGAGCAAATACACAGCTGCCTTCGGATGGGTGAGACGTGCATTTTTCTTTTGTAAAGCTGTTGTGAAGCTGAGTAATTGCGAAAGTAAAGGGTTTGGTAGGTAATTCCCCTAAGACTAGGTAAGGTCTCACCAGGTGCAGTGGCTCATGCCTGTAATCCCAGCACTTTGGGAGGTTGAGATGGGTGGATCACCTGAGGTCAGGAGTTCAAGACCAGCCATGACCAACATGGCGAAACCCTGTCTCTAATAAAAATACAAACAATTAGCCGGGCATGGTGGCACATGCCTGTAATCCCAGCGACTCTGGAGACTGAGGCAGGAGAATCGCTTGAACCCAGGAGGTGGAGGTTTCAGTGAGCCGAGATCATGCCATTGCACCCCAGCCTGGGCGACAAGAGCAAAAACTCTGTCTCAAAAAAGAAAAAAGAAAAAAGAAAAAAGACTACGCAAGGTCTCATAACCCTTGGAAAGTGTTTGTGTACCCCAGGGGTATGGGCACTCCAGTTCAAAGACTTGACCTTGGGGTGGTCTACGGGCGTCAGAATGTTCAACACCTTTGGGAACCTCCATCTCCACTCGCTTGGTGGTCACAGAGAAAGCAGCTGACTCTAGTCTTGAAGATGTAACAACCAAAGTGCTGAGAAACATGCTGGAGCCAGGTGTGGCTGTGGTCCTAGCTACTTAGGGGGCTGAGGTGGAAGGAGCCTCTGAGCCCAGGAGTTGGAGCCTCTGAGTCCAGGAGTTCGAGCCCGCAGTGAGCTAGGATAGCATCACTGCACTTCAACCTGGGCAACAAAGAGAGACCCCACCCCTTCTCTAAAAAAAAAGAAGAAGAAGGAGAAGGAGAAGAAAGAAGAAGAAGGAGAAGTTCTAGAACTTGCCTAAGGCCACACAGTTGCTAATGTCAGAGCCAGCAATTGGAGCTTCTGTCTGTGAGTTTGTCTTCACAAGTACACCCTTTTTCCCCCACCTCCACTCTGCCAACACCTTTCTGTCCAACTATTCCAAAGTCTGGTTGTTTACAGAACTCTTTTATGACCATTATCTCTTCTCACCCTCATGGCAACTTTGTCAGGTTAGTGTAATAATCTACTTAGTAACAAAGGGAGAGTAAGAGATAAGCAAGCGCAGGGGGAGGGTGGAATATCGTGTCAGTCACAGCCAGACAGTAAGCACACCCTGTTGGCAAAATGTTTTGGGATACGACTCTTGGGCTCAATACAGGGCATCTGGAGAAACATATAAACCTCATTTACCCAGTAATTCAAGAACCTGCCTTTTTCTAGAAAATATTGAAATGACTATAATAAGCTAAAAAAGGAGGTGGGCTGGGGGAAGGGGACACCTTTTCAGGCAGAGGGGACAGTATGGTCAAAGGCAGAGGCAAAAACAAAAACATCATGGTGAAGGCAAGAACGTAAAAGCATTCTGGAATGAAAATGTCAAACACTGCTCAACCCTCAAGTTACCTTGCCTAAACATAAGGTGTATTACTTGGATTGCAACTTATCTTTCTTTTTTTCCTTTTTTCTTTTTCTGAGACAGGGTCTTACTCTGTCATCCAGGCTGGAGTGCAGTGCGATCTCGACTCACTGCAACCTCCACCTCCAGGCTGAAGGGATCCTTCCACCTCAGCCTCCCGAGTTGCTGGGACTGCAGGCATGCACCACACTTGGCTAACTTTTTTTGTATTTTTAGTAGAGATGGGGTTTCACCATATTGGTCAGGCTGGTCTCGAACTGCTAACCACTGGTGATCTGCCCGCCTTGTACTCCCAGTGTTGGAATTACAGGTGTGAGCCATCGCGCCTGGCCCCTGCAACTTATCTTTCTATATTTCTCATTTTTCACATGAAAAGGTTGGTCTATTGTATCTGATTTTATGGAAGCTGTGCTCTGTATTTGTGGGTTCTGAAATTGTGCTTATGATATGACTCATTACTGATTGTTTCACATCTTAGAGATGAGGTTAGACTGAAATGTGGACCGGAAGCCTATTTTTGTGTTTCAATTTAAAAAATAAAGCCAGGCGCAGTGGCTCACGCCTGTAATCCCAGCACTTTGGGAGGCCAAGGCAGGCGGATCATGAGGTCAGGAGATTGAGACCATCCTGGCTAACATGGTGAAACCCCGTCTATACTAAAAATACAAAAAAATTAGCCGGGCGTGGTGGCGGGCGCCTATAGTCCCAGCTACTCGGGAGGCTGAAGCAGAAGAATGGTATGAACCCGGGAGGCGGAGCTTGCAGTGTGCCAAGATCACACCACTCTACATCCAGCCTGGGCGAAAGAGCAAGACTCTGTCGCCAAATAAATAAATAAATAAATAAAAATAAAAATAAATGCCTGCCGGGTGCAGTAGCTCATGTCCATAATCCCAGAACTTTGGGAGGCCGAGGCAGGTGAATCACTTGAGGCCGGGAGTTCAAGACCAACCTGGCCAACGTGAAGAAGCCCCGTCTCTACTAAAAATACAAAAATTAGCTGGGTGTGGTGGCACCCACATGTAATTCCAGCTACTTGGAAGACTGAGGCGTGAGAATCACTTGAGCCTGGGCAGTGGAGGTTGCAGTGAGCCAAGATTGCACCGTTGCACTCTAGCCTGGGTGACAGAGCAAGACTCTGTCTCAAATAAATAAATAATAATAAAAAAAATTGCTGACCAGGCGTGGTGGCTCACGCCTGTAATCCTGGCACTTTGGGAGGCTGAGGCGGGCGGATCACGAGGTCAGGAGTTTAAGAACCAGCCTGGCCAACATGGTGAAACCCCGTCTCTACTAAAAATACAAAAAAAAAAAAAAAAATTAGCCGGGCGTGGTGGCATGCACTTGTAATCCCAGCTACTTGGGAGGTTGAGGCAGGAGAATTGCTTGAACCCGGGAGGTGGAGGTTGCTGTGAGCCCAAATCGTGCCATTGTACTCCAGCCTGGGCGACAAGAACAAGACTCCGTCTCCAAAAAAAAAAAAAAAAAAAAAAAAAAAAAAAATATATATATATATATATATATATATATATATATAAAATTGCATATGTATGTATACAAAAACATATATACAAATTTATGAATAGGTTATCTCTGAGAAGACATACAAAACCCTGGTAATATGGGTTGAGTTCCTGGGAGGGCAACTAGTTGGCGAAAACTAGGAAACAGAGGTATAGAAAGGCATTACTTTTTCTCTGTCCACTCTTTTGTGATGTCTGAACTTTGTGCACACATTATCTACTGAATTCGTTTAATAAAGAAAAGAACTGGAGACAAAGATAAGAAATGGTACTTATTTGTAATGAGTTTCTTAAACTGACAAAAAAGGGAAAGGCACACGGCGGTGGCAGAGGAGAGACGTGTGTTGGAGAGTGAGACCAGCAGCTCTAGGTGCTGGCATGCCCACCCTCACAGCCCCGGAGCCTTGGGCAAGTGAAGCCTTTCTCATTGGCTTCTGTAGTGTGTATTCCCTGCCCTGGGTAGTACAGATGGTCCCTGCAGAGACAGATAATGAAAGCACTAAGTAGTTTATCAGCATATACTAAATGCCAAAATGATTTCAAAGTTTAAGTTAAAATCTAGTCTATTCTGACTGGGCGCGGTGGCTCACACCTGTAATCTCAGCACTTTGGGAGGCCAAGGTGGGTGGATCACCTGAGGTCGGGAGTTCGAGACCAGCCTGACCAACATGGAGAAACCCCGTCTCTACTAAAAATATAAAATTAGCCAGGCGTGGTGGTGCATACCTGTAATCCCAGATACTCAGGGGCTGAGGCAGAGAATCACTTGAACCTGGGAGGCAGAGGTTGCGGTGAGCTGAGATTGTGCCATTGTACTCCAACCTGGGCAAAAAGAGCAAAACTCGTCTCAAAAAAAAAAAAAAAGTCTTGGCTATTCTTTAAGTTTTAGAATTTCGGGCCAGGTACAGTGGTTTATGGCTGAGGCAGGTGGATCAGCCAAGGTAAGGAGTTTGAGACCAGCCCAGGTAACATAGTGAGACCTTGTCTTTATTTTAAATAAAGAATAAGGCTGGGTGTGGTGGCTCACGTCTGTAATTGCAACACTTTGGGAGGCTGAGGTGGGTGGATCACCTGAGGTCAGGAGTTTGAGACCAGCCTGGCCAACACGGTGAAACCCTGTCTCTACTAAAAATACAAAATTAGCCGGGTGTGGTGGCACATGCCTGTTAATCCCCAGTACCTGAGAGTCTGAGGCAGGAGAATTGCTTGAACCTGGGAGGTGGTAGCTCTCAAAGTGGGGTGCCCAACAAGCAGCATCAGCATCACCTGGGAATTTATTAGAAATGTTAAGTCTCCAACCCCAGACTACTGAATCAGTGACTCTGGGGATGGAGCCAACCATGTGTGTTTTAATAAACCCTCCAGGTGATACATGCTCAAGTTTGAGATTCCCTGAGCTAGAACTATACTGTCCAGCATGGTAGCCATTAGCCAAAGCTGTCTGTTGAGCTCTTGAAATGTGACTAGTTGGAATTTAGATGTGTTGAAAGTATAAAATATACACCTGATTTCAAAGGTTTAGTGTGGAAAAAGAAAGCACAATGGTTCATTAGCAATTTTATTTAGGTTACATGTTACAGTGTTATTTTTGAGATACTGGTTTATATAATATACACTATTAAATTAATTTTACTTGTTAATTTTTAATTTATTACTATTGTTACTTTTTTTTGAGACAGAATCTTGCTCTGTCGCTAGGCTGGAGTGCAGTGGCGTGATATTAGCTCAATGCAACCTCCGCCTGCCGGGTCCAAGCGATTACCCTGCCTCAGCCTCTTGAGTAAGCTGGGACGATAGACATGTGCCACCACACCCGGCTAATTTTTTGTATTTTAGTAGAGACAGGGTTTTACTATGTTGGGCCAGGATGGTCTCGATCTCCTGACCTCGTGGTCTGCCCGCCTCCGCCTCCCAAAGTGCTGGGATTGCAGGCATGAGCAACCATGCCCGTCCTATATTTCTTTTTTTTTTTTTTTTTGAGACAGAGTTTTATTTCAGAGAGTTGGGAAAATATGAGAAATGTGACATCCTCTGACAAATGTTTTACAAAAGAAAGGCATAATAATTATTATTATTATTTTATTTTATTTTTTTGAGACGGAGTTTCACTCTTGTTGCCCAGGCTGGAATACAATGGCATGATCTTGGCTCACCGCAACCTCCACCTCCCGGGTTCAAGCGATTCTCCTGCCTCGGTCTCCCGAGTAGCTGGGATACAGGCATGTGCCACCACGTACGGCTAATTTTGTATTTTTAGTAGAGACGGAGTTTCCCCATGTTGGTCAGGCTGGTCTCGAACTCCTGACCTCAGGTGATCCACCCGCCTTGGCCTCTCAAAGTGCTGGGATTACAGGCGTGAGCCAACGTGCCTGGCCTTTTTCTTTTTTTTGAGACAAAGTCTTGCTCTGTCGCCCAGACTGGAATGCAGTGGCATGATCTTGGCTCCCAGGTTCCAGGGATTCTTGTGCCTCAGCCTCCCCAGTAGCTGGGACTACATGTGTGCTCCACCATACCAGGCTAATTTTTGTATTTTTAGCAGAGATGGGGATTTCACCATGTTGGCCAGGCTGGTCTCGAACTCCTGGCCTCAAGCAATCCACCCCCCTCGGCCTCCCAAAGTGCTGGGATTACAGGCGTGAGCTATCGCGCCTGGCCCCAATGTTAAATTTTTTTTTTTGAGACGGTGTCTCACTCTGTCGCCCAGGCTGGAGTGCAGTGGCGCGATCTTGGCTCACTGCAGCCTCCGCCTCCTGGGTTCAAGCGATTCTCTTGCCTCAGCCTCCCGAGTACCTGGGATTACAGGCACCCACCACCATGCCCAGCTAATTTTTGTATTTTTTTAGAGGCGGGGTTTCATCACGTTGTCCAGCCTGGCCTCGAACTCCTGACCTCAGGTGATCTACCTGCTCTGGCCTCCCAAAGTGCTGGGATTGCAGGCATGAGTCACCGTGCCTGGCCGATTTTGAATTTTTTAAACGTGGCTATTAGAAAATTTAAAATATTTCTATTGGATAGTGCTGGTCTAGAATATTGAAATATTCTCTCAGTGTTGGAGAACTCCATTCTGAATTTGAGTTTGGAGAAGAGGTGCTTCTTGTTGTATATTTTGTCCATTTCCTGCAGAGCAGGAATCATCATGATCATCATCATCATCATCATTATCGTCATCGTTGTCATACTCTTTCTTTGGCTGAGAGCAACATTTGCCTGATATCCTGAATAACAGAGGCCCTTCACGCAAAATTTCCAAATAATGTCACCAAAATAGGACTGTTGCACCAAGTGACTAGTGCTGGAGAGTGTGTGCTGACTTCGTGGGACTATTCTTATATTACCATATTCCAACTTGGCTGGTGTTAAAATGTAAGATAAAGAAAAGATGGTTAAAAAAAAGTAGTAGGGACTCTGTGTCTTGAAATAAAATTGCCTCCTTAGTTTGCCCTTGCACAGTTGAGCATCAGTGCCTTATTGATCAGAATTAGGAAGTTAATAAGGTTTGGGCTAATTAATCAGATGGGTAGGGACTGGAACTGCACTGCAAGGCTTAATCAAGTCATCAAAGCTCTCAAGCCATGAAGAAGGTAATTAAAGGAAAAGGATGCCTGTTATATAGTAACAGGAGACCAGGAGAGGACAAGAGCAAGATAGAGAACCTCCATTTTCTTTTGTACACTTTTCTGATATAAATCAGGCCCAATGACCACAGCACGTTGCTTAGCTTCCTATCAGAGAATTGAGTTGAATGAATTTATAAATCACCTCATTGGGTAATTTACTTGCTTCACTTGCCCTAGACTAAATGTCAATGAAACTACACTTATTTATATCAAATCTGGGCTTCGCCAGGTTCTGCAGAAATGAGTTCTTGAGGATAACCTGCAGTTATCATGAAAGGTTGCAGCAATTCTGACCTACAAGCAATGCATAATTGAGTAGTTGATTATTCAACAGATACTGAGTGCCCCTGCTTTCAAACATTGTATTAGACACAGAACCATGGACCTTATCAACTGTAGAGATACTCAGGTAAAGTATGCTGCAAGGTGAATGTTGGAGATTCTTGGGAAATATTTTTTATCCCTGGTGCTCAATCGGTCTGTGCCCACACCCTGCCCCTCCTTAAAATCCTTCACTGTACCATTCTCAAACTCAAGCAGAAAAGAAATAAGGATGACGTAAGGAGGGGAAGATGCGAAGGGGAAGAAGAGGCATGAAAATAAATGCAGAGATTATTGTGTGACCCAGACATCATTGTGTCTGGATTAGATTCTCTTGGACTGGGGTGATGAACTCAACTCAAAGGAATAGGAGGTGTGCCGCTATTCAAACTGGGTCTGACCTTGTAGGTTAATAAGAATATCAGCAAAGCACTGCTATCTTTTGGGGACTATCTACAAGACCCTAAGAAAAGAGTCCATTGGATTTCAAAACCAGAAAAACCTAGTGTCCTTTGTCAAGAGCATTTCGGTGGAATGGGGTAGCAGGAGCCATGTTGCAGGGGAAGGGAACACCGCAAACTCATCTGTTTTTTTCTCTTGCGAGTCAGGGTCTCACTCTGTCACCCAGGCTGGAGTGCAGTTGGTGCAATTATAGCTCACTGCAGCTTCAAACTACTGGGGTCAAGCAATCCTCCACCTCAGCCTCCTGAGTAGCCAGGACTACAGGTGCGCACCACCATGCTAGGCTAATTTTTTAATGTATTTTTTGTAGAGATGGGGTCTGGGTTTGTTGCCCAGGCTGATCTCCAGCTCTTGGACTCAAGCAATCTCCTGCCTTGGCCTCTCAAATTGTTGGAATTATAGGCAAGTGCCACCAGGTGAAAGTGCCCAACCTCATCTTTCTTGTCTCCTCCCTTCCTCCCTCTAAACTCTTTCTTCCTCCTTTTCTCTCTTTTACAACTCGCAGTGTCTGTGGGGACAGGTTGAGCTAATTAACATCTGAATGTTCCCTTGTTTTCCTGCCCCCAATCCTTGAGTCTCTCTAGTACTTACCAAATCTTATTAAAATGTGAAGAGGAAGTATCTTGAAATTAAGTACTCATCTATTCAATGTAATGTATAATACATTCTGAAAATAAATAAAAGGAGTGAAGGGATCCTTAACAGACATTAAAATGTTTTGTGAAACTACAGTAAGTGAAAGAGTTTGGTACTGAGGCATGGATACACTAGTCTCCCCTTACCTTGGTTTTGCTTTCCCAGGTTTCAGTTATCTGTGGTCAATTGTAGTGCAAAAATATTAAATGGAAAATTCCAGAAATAAACAATTCAATTCATAAGTTTTAAATTTTGTGCCATTCTGAGTTATGTGATGAAATATTTCGAGGTTCTGCTACATCTTGACTGGATGTGAATTCTCCCTTTGTCCAACATCTCCATGCTATAGACGCCATAGAGGCTACCTTCCCCTTAGTCGTTTAGTAGTTGTTTGGTTATTGGTTAACAGATTGCAATACTTGTGTTCAAGTCACCCTTATTTTACTTCATCATGGCCCCAAACTGCAAGAGTAGTAATGCTGGCAATTCAGATATGTCAAAGCAGAGCTGTAAAGTGCTTCCTTTAAGAATAAGGAAAGGGGCCAGGTGCGGTGGCTCATGCCTGTAATCCTAGGACTTTGGGAGGCCGAGGCGGGTGGATCACCTGAGGTCCAGAGTTCAAGACCAGCCTGTTCAACATGGTGAAACCCTGTTTACTAATAATACAAAAAAAAATTAGCCGGGCATGATGGCGGGCAGCTGTAGTCCCAGCTACTTGGGAGCCTGAGGCAGGAGAATTGCTTGAACCCAGGAGGCGGCGGTTGCAGTGAGCTGCAGAGAGCTGAGATAGCGCCATTGCACTCAAGCCTGGGCAACAAGAGCAAAACTCCGTCTCAAAAAAAAAAAAAAAAAAAAAGAATAAGGAAAGGAAAAACAAAAAAGTGTGCTGAGGTTGCTAAGGTCTACAGTAAGAGCAAATCATCATCATCTTCTTTTTCTCCTTCTTCTTCTTCTCCTTCTCCTTCTTCTTCTTCTTTTTTGAGACAGCGTCTTGCTTTATCACTCAGGCTGAAGAGCAGTGGTGTGATCCTAGCTCATGACAGCCCCGACCTCCTGGGCTCAAGCGATTCTCCTGCCTCATCCTTTCGGGGAGCTGGGACTACAGGTGTGCACCACCACAGCTGGCTAATTTTTTAATTTTTGTAGGAGGGGTCTCAAACAATTCTCTAACCCTCTGAGTTGGTTGGGTTGGTGCAGCAAAGTGTTCAATGAGGAGTCAGCAATGGAGTAAACTCTAATACAGGGAGAAAATGGTTTTGTTGGAGGTTGATCATAAACATTAAATACAAATCTTTGATATTCTGGCCTCTGACCTCATGAAGCACATTCATAATTGATCACACAGGGTTGCTAAATCTTAGTATTATAGTAAAGTTTCCATTTAGATTAAATTTTAAGTTTTTTTAATTGATAAAGCAATAAAATTACATGCTGATTATTTTCAACTGTTTTGGCAATAATTTCAAACTTGGAGAAAAATGTCAAGAAAAGTACAAAGAACTAGGCCGGGTGTGGTGGCTCACACCTTCAATCCCAGCACTTTGGGAGGCCGAGGCGGGCAGATCACCTAAGATCAGGAGTTCGAGACTAGCCTGACCAATATGGTGAAACCGTGTCTCTACTAAAAATACAAAAATGAGCCGGGCGTGGTGGCAGGTGCCTGTAGCCCCAACTACTCGGGAGGCTGAGGCAAGAGAATCATATGAACCCGGGAGGTGGAGGTTACAGTGAGCCGAGATCATGCCACTGCACTCCAGCCTGGGCGAGAGAGCGAGACTCCATCTCAAAAAAAAAAAAGGAAAAAAAGAAAAGTACAAAGAACTTCCATATGCCCTTGAACAATAAGATTCACCAACTTGTAAAAAACAATTCACTAATCACTTAAAATTTATTTTTCTTCCACACATTTTTATTAGAAATGGTGCTTGCTGGTTAGCATACGATAGGTAATGCTATTTAATTTAGCACAACATCTATTATCTTTTGTATGTTAGTTTTTTCATGGCTGTTCATAATGAGGACCTCTTTGTCCAAGAATTCTATCACCTGGAAATTTTGAGAATTATTGCCCCCAAGGTGTGCTCTGGTGGAAATTTCACAAGAAATGAGCAGGGGGCTCGCTTGAACCTGGGAGGCAAAGGTTGCAGTGAGCCAAGATTACACCACTGCACTCCAGCCTGGGCAACAGAGTGAGACCCTATCTCGAAAAAAAAAGAAGAAGCAGCAGAGAGAAAGCAGGATCTTTTTCAGGACCTTCATCTTAGTGGGATTTTCTCTAAACCACTACATTGCTCTATCATTGGCCTTTCTAGTAAAATTATTGGTTTTTAAATTTATTATTATTTTTCCTTTCTTTCTCCCTCCTTCCTTCCTCTCTCTCTTTCTTCCTTTCTTTCTTTCCTCTCTCGCCTCTCTCTCTCCTCCCTCTCTCCCTCCCTCCCTTCCTTCTTTCCTTCCTCTCTCTCTCTTTTTTTTCCTATTTATTTATTTATTTTTGAGACGGAGTCTCGCTCTGTCACCCAGGCTGGAGTGCAGTGGCACAATCTCGGCTCACTGCAAGCTCCACCTCCCGGGTTCATGCCATCCTCCTGCCTCAGCCTCCCGAGTAGCTGGGACTACAGGAGCCCACCACCACGCCCGGCTAATTTTTTATGTTTTTTAGTAGAGACGGAGTTTCACCATGTTAGCCAGGATGGTCTCGATCTCCTGACCTCGTGATCCGCCCGCCTCGGCCTCCCAAAGTGCTGGGTGTGAGCCACCGTGCCCGGCCCTTTTTTCCTTTTCTTTTCTTTTTTGATAAGGTCTTGCTCTGTTGCCCAAGCTGGAGTGCAGTGGGACAAACATGGCTCACTCCAGTCTCAACCTCCTGGGTTCAAGTGATTCTCCCACTTCAGCCTTCCAAAGTGCTGGGATTACAGGTGTGAGCCACCGCGCCTGGCCCCTTTCTAGTAAAATTAAAGTATTGATTCAAAAACGTTCCCTTGGCTGGGCACAGTGGCTCAAGCCTGTATTTAATCCCAGCACTTTGGGAGGCAAAGGCAGGAGGAGTCCCTTGAGCCCTGGAGCTTGAGACCAGCTTAGGCAACGTAGTGAAACTCCATCTCTACCAAAAGAAAAGTCCCCTTTGCAGGTTCATTAGCCACTGTCACCATTCTTACTCTATTGTTATAATGGAAAGTGTGAGTTTTGAAGTCAGGCAAACTCAGAATTGATTTAAGACTATCACTTACTAGAGGCAGGACTTGTCTTCAAACCTTGAGTCCTCATTGGTAAAGTAGCTGATCACACAAGATTGCTACAAGGATTAAAAAGAGATCCTATAAAGAAAAGTGCCTGGCACATCACAGGTTTTTGATAAACGCCCCATGCATAAATGATTTGTAAGTAGTTATGAAACTAGGAAAGCCAGGAAGATCATAGGGAACATAAACTGACATGCCTCAGAGAGTTGTTTTTGATTTTAACATCTTGGATTTTTTGGCATCTCCCTACCACTTTCTCCCTTTTCTCCCATCTGCAAAATGAAGCATGGTAGGTCATCATCAGCATCTATCAGCTACTGTTACTGAGTTTTCTTTACCTCTCTTCTAAGTGTTATACATGTTTCATTGTAATTCTCCTAATAACCCTATGTGCTAGAAATGCTTATCATCTTCATTTCACAAATGAAGAAGCTGAAGCTTTGGAGGTTCTGCAACTTGCTGAGGAATCACCCAACCATCACTGAATCACTTTACTATACTGAAAATACAACATAGTTATGCTGATGACCCTGAAGAAAAAGGTTCAATTATGTTTAATACATTCTCTTAAAAGGGCAGGGAAGTGGGCTGGGCAGTACATTTTAAAAATAGTCTCACTGAGCTGGGTGCGGTGGCTCACGTCTGTAATACCAGCACTTTGGGAGGCCAAGGTGGGCAGATCATGAGGTCAAGAGATTAAGACCATCCTGGCGAACATGGTGAAACCCCACCTCTACTAAAAATGCAAAAATTACCTGGGTGTGGTGGTGCGCACCTGCACCTGTAGTCCCAGCTACTCGGGAGGCTGAGGTAGGAGAATAGCTTGAACCTGGGAGGTGGAGGTTGCAGTGAGACGAGATGGCACCACTGCACTCCAGTTTGGTGACAGAGTGAGACTCCGTCTCAAAAAAAAAAAAAAAAAAATTGAGGCTGGGCGCCGTGGCTCACGCCTGTAATCCCAGCACTTTGGGAGGCTGAGGCGGGCGGATCACAAGGTCAGGAGATCGAGATCATTCTGGCTAACATGGTGAAACCCCGTCTCTACTAAAAAGACAAAAAATTAGCCGGGCGTGATGGCGGGTGCCTGTAGTCCCAGCTACTCGGGAGGTTGAGGCAGAAGAATGGCGTGAACCTGGGAGGCGGAACTTGCAGTGAGCCAAGATTGTGCCACTGCACTCCAGGCTGGGCAACAGAGCGAGACTCCATCTCAAATAAATAAATAAATAAAAATAAAAATAAATAAAAATAGTCTCACTGACATATGATTTATGTGCTATTGTAGCCAGACATGGTGGCTCAAGCCTGTAATCCCAGCACTTTGGGAGGCCAAGGCGGGTGGATCACCTGAGGTCAGGGGTTCATGACGAGCCTGGCCAACATAGTGAAACCCCATTTCTATTAAAAATACAGAATTAGTCAGGCATGGTGGCAGGTGCCTGTAATCCCAGCTACTCAGGAGGCTGAGGCAGGGAGTCATTTGAACCCAGGAGGCAGAGGTGTCAGTGAACCAAGATCGCGCCATTGCACTCCAGCCTGGGTGACAAGAGCGAAACTCCATCTCAAAAAAAAAAAAAATTACGTATTGTAAGTGCACAGTTAAATTATTTCTAGTAAATTTATGGTTGTGCAACCAATCCCACAATCAGGTTTTAGAACATTTCCATCACCCTAAAAAGTTACCACATGCTCACTGGCAATGAATCCCTCTCCCAACCTTAGCCCCAGGAGAGCATTGATCTGCTTTCTTTCACTATAGATTTTTCTTTTCTAGAAATTTTATAAAAATAGGTAGATATATACATCATACAATATGTATTTGGCTTCTTTTCCTTAGCATAATTCTTCTGAGGCTCATCCATACTGTTGCAAGTTTCAGTAGATTGGTTCTTTTTATGCTAAAGAATATTCCATTGGCTATTTATGAATAATCCTGCCAGCAATGTTCATGTATAAGTCTTTGTGGGGAAGAAGTATTTTTGCAACTCAGAAATTTTAGGTAATTCAATGATGACTATATTGTCAGATCAAAGCTAATAAGATTTAAGCAGGCTGCTTCTGAGAGGTGATTGAGCTGGGAGAAAAAGTGTATATAAGTGAAGGGGGGCTGAGAAAGAGAGGACAGAGAAGAGGGGGACTCTAATCCTTAACATCCTCTTTTTTATTTTTTATTTTTTTTTTGAGATGGAGTCTGGCTCTGTTGCCCAGGCTAGAGTGCAGTGGCACCAGTGGCGTGATCTTGGCTTACTGCAACTTCTGCCTCCCAGGTTCAAGCAATTCTGCCTCAGCCTTTTGAGTAGCTGGGATTACAGGTGCACACCACCATGCCTGGCTAATTTTTTTGTATTTTAGTAGAGATGGGGTTTCACCATGTTGGCTAGGATGGTCTCGATCTCCTGACCTCGTGACCCACATGCCTTGGCCTCCCAAAGTGTTGGGATTACAGGTGTCAGCCACCGTGCCCAGCCCTATCATCTTTCTTTAAAAAAATTTCTTTTATTTTATTATTTGTATTTATTTATTTATTTATTTATTTTGGAGACAGTCTCACTCTGTTGCCCAGGCTGGAGTGCAGTGGCATGATCTCAACTCACTGCAACCTCTGCCTCCTGGGTTCAAGCGATTCTCATGCCTCAGCCACCCCAGTAGCTGGGATTACAGGCATGCGCTACCATACTCGGCTAATTTTTGCATTTTTAGTAGAGACAGGGTTTCACTTTGTTGGCCAGGCTGGTCTCAAACTTCCAACCTCAGGTGGTCCACCCACCTCCACCTCCCAAAGTGCTGGGATTACAGGCGTGAGCCAATGTGCCCAGCCTATATACGTGCCCTTGTATCTTCCCATTACATTAAGGTGTAAGTCAATTTGCTACCGCTGGCCCTTCAGACCAGCACACTGGCTGCAGAGCTTGGCCATGGCACCGACCAGAAGGACTGCCCTCTCTTATATATCTGACAAAGTGTTACATTTATTAAGATTCAGCCTCTCTCTGACCACCCTTTCCCCGTCAGGTGAGCTGTAGACCCTTCTGTTCTCTTATATCTTTACATAGCAGTGGTTGTCAGTTGTCCCTCTCTAACCATCTGGCAGATATATGATCTACAATATATCTATATCCATATATGCACATACATCTTGCTGTTTTTTGGGGGCGGGGGGATGGGATCTTGCTAGGTTGCCCAGGCTGCTCTTGAACTTCCAGGCTCAAGTGATCCTCCCACCTCTGCCTCCCTAATGCTAGCATTATATGCATGAGTCACCACGCAGCCACATCTTGATTTCTTTTGTTGATATATCTAACTTCCTTCAGTACATATGAGCTCATTGGCAGCAGAGGATTTTTGGTCTTGGTCATCTATGCATCCTTAGCATTTAGCATGGTAAATACTCATTATGTGTTTGTGAAATGAATAAAAGAACTAGCAAATGAATGAATAAATAATAAATTAACATTCTGGGAATAAAAGAGAAAGGTGGTCTCACTGCAGATCCAATATAAGGGACAACATTTATGTGTCATGGAGTGACAGCATGCACTGGTGTGTCATAATAAGTTGTAAGGTAATTTTACAAATATTTTGTTTTTTCGAGAATATACTCAAGTTATGACCCGGGCATGGTAGCTCACTCCTGTAATCCCAGCACTTAGGGAGGCTGAGGCAGGCAGATCACTTGAGGTCAGGAGTTTGAGACCAGCCTGGGCAACATGGCAAAACCCCCATCTCTATAAAAAATACAAAAATTAGCCAGGGGTGGTGTGCATACCTATAGTTCCAGCTACGTGGGAGGCTGAGGTGGGAGGATCTACTTGAGCCCAGGAAGTCAAGGCTGCAGTGAGTGGTGATCATATCGCTGCACTCCAGCATGGGCAACAAAATGAGACCCTGTCTTGAAAAAAAAGAGAGAGTATATGCAAGTTTGCAAATATACCCATGTTGGCTTGCTTTAACAAAAAATCAGAGCAGATTTGAGGTTATTTATACAGTAATATGACTCTTACTTGCTTTCCACTATATTTTCTTGAGTGGGAGGAAAAAGGATAAAGTTACATATGGTCATTCAAAACTGGTGCCCAGGCTTGGGTATGCTCAGTCATGTGCTGTGAAAGTGGATTGCATCTGTCAGAAGTCACCGTATAGAAGAGGACAAAGCTGTCAGGCCAGAATACCATGAAGAGGGAATCTGTGAGGTGCTGATTCCAGAGACTCCTTCCCTGACTGGGACTGAAACAAAGGCAGTCATGTCTGTCAAGGAGGAAGGCATTCATTCTTGGCATGCAGTTGGTAGGTACAGCACTCTGCCTTCTTTTGCCTGGAAGTCCAACACACTGTACCCACTAGTATGCATATTTTTTCAGGATGTGAAATGAAACTCCCTAAAAGAGAGACTTGGTCTCTCTTGGAAAACAGTTATGAGACACACATATAGAAAAATTTCCATCTAAAATAACCAGAAATTTTGATGATAAAAGCTTCTGGAACTGGGAAAATTCATTTGTGTGTTATTTCCTTACACCTTAAGTACAAAGACCTATTTTCTACAAATTCCTCTTAAACTTCAATTATCATAAAATTGACCACATGTCAAAAAGTGACAGATGAATTGCACCAGAAATCCAAATGTGTAAGAGCCTGGCATTTCTGCAGACCAACTGGTGCTTGAATGTATGACTCCAGAAGAACTAACCAGGTTCACAGACATCTATTATTTTGGCTATTTATTTATTTATTAATTTATTGACACAGAGTATCACTCTGTTGCCCAGGCTGGAATGAAGTGGTGTGATCTCAGCTCACTGCAGCCTCCACCTCCTGAATTCAAGCGATTATCCTGCCTCAGCCTTCTGACTAGCTGGGATTACAGACATGCGCCAACACGCCGGGCTAATTTTTGTATTTTTGGCAGAGACAGGGTTTCACCATGATGGCCAGGCTGGTCTAGAATTCCTGACCTCAAGTGATCTGCCTGCCTTGGCCTCCCAAAGTGCAGGGATTACAGGTGTGAGCCACCACGCCAGGCTTTGGCTGTTTAAAACTAATAGCTATCAGGCCAGGCGCGGTGGCTCACACCTGTAATCCCAGCACTTTGGGAGGCCGAGGCGGGTGGATCACGAGGTCAGGAGATGGAGACCATCCTGGCTAACACGGTGAAACCCCGTCTCTACTAAATATACAAAAAATTAGCCGGGCGCGGTGGCAGGCGCCTGTAGTCCCAGCTACTCGGGAGGCTGAGGTAGGAGAATGGTGTGAACCTGGAAGGCAGAGCTTGCAGTGAGCCAAGATCATGCCACTGCACTCCAGCCCTGGTGACAGAGTGAGACTCCGTCTCAGAAAAAAAAAAACCTGATAGCTACATGTGTTCATCAGGGCAGGAGGGGTATAGTGTGATTCAAAAGCAGCAACCCAAAATGACAATCTTTGCTCTATTTATTTATAGTTACCTTAATTCTTTTTGTTTGTTTGTTTATTTTGTTTTGTTTTGTTTTGAGACAGGGTCTTGCTCAGTTATCCAGGCTGGAGTGTAGTGGCTCAAACATGGCTCACTGCAGCCTCAACCTCCTGGGCTCAAGCGATCCTCATTTTTGTCTGTTTTGTAGAGACAAGATTTTGCGATGTTATCCAGGCTGGTCTCCAACTCCGGGGCTCAAGTGATCTGCTTGCTTTGGCCTCCCAAACTACAGGCATGAGCTATCACACCCAGCAGTTGCCTTTATTCTAATGAAAAAAATTAAACAACTTATGTGAGATTTCTTTCCATGGTTTAATTATAAATTGTTTAAAATCACCATTTGTTTGTATTATCATTTTAATTATGCAAAATAGATGCTGTGTAATAAAATAACAGCAAATACATTGAATGTCCCCTTTTACTCTTGAAAGTGTCCTGGTTTTGATGATGTAATCGCACTATTCACTGAACATTTACTTGGTGCTATGCCCTTTTCTAAGTACTTTATATGGACTCGTTATATATTGTAGAGGTCCCATACATTGTAAGACCATGCCTTCAAATTTTGAAGGCAGTTAGCGATTCAGCATTAGCTAGAATGATATTGTGCATGCTACTAATAGATTCTTCTTAGTATTTTCATTAGTCAGGAGTGTAATGGTGCTGGGGAAACCTAATAATAAAGTAAGCAATGGTAATCGATTGTTATGGATTAATCAAAGAGTACATAAAGCAGAGCATATACATTTTGGAATGAATCATCACCATTTGGAAGCATTCTGTCCTTTCAGGGAAGATGAATGAGCATTGAGAGAAAACTGATTTTTTTTTTTTCTCATTAATGACACTTCTTTTCATTAAAGGTAAGTTTATCACTGTTAATTACCTTCATTCCTTCAACCAGACTTGTATAGGAGAACAGGACTAGAGAAAAAAAATCTGAAAAACTTATCATAATCAAATGGAAATTATTGGTTCTTTCACATTTTGTACCCCTGTATAACAAAAATTAAAAATTTAATTCCCTGACAACTCTATGACTATACTAAAAATCATTGAATTGTACACTTCAGTTGCATTGTGTAGTATTTGAGTGAATTATATCACAATAAAATAGTTCTTAAGATTTTTTTTGGCTGGATGCAGTGACTCACATTTTGGGAGGCTGTAATCCCAGCATTTTGGGAGGCTGAGGCAGGAGGATTGCTTGAGCCCAAAGTTCACAATCAGCGTGGGCAAAAAAGTGAGATCCCATCTATACAAAAAATAAAATCAACCAGGCATGGTGGTCTGTAGGTCTAGCTATTTGGGAAGCTGAGGCAGGAGGGTTGCTTGAGCCCAGAAATTTGATGCTGCAGTCAGCCATGATCACATCACTGCACTCCAGCTTGGATGACAGAGCAAGACCCTGTCTCTCTTTTTTTTTCTTGAGATGGAGTCTCTCTCTGTCACCCAGCCTGGAGTGCAGTGGCACGATCTCGGCTCACTGCAACCTCTGCCTCCTGGATTCGACCGATTCTTTTGCCTCAGCCTCCCAAGTAGCTGGGACTACAGGCACATACTACCACGCCCAGCTAATTTTTGTATTTTTAGTATAGATAAGGTTTCACCATGTTGGCCACAATGGTCTCGATCTCTTGACCTCATGATCCGCCTGCCTCGGCCTCCCAAAGTGCTGGGATTACAGGCATGAGCCACCACACCCGGCCTGACCCTGTCTCTTAAAAAAGAAAAAAGTGGGAGTCTGGCCTATTCACATGTAGATCTATCAAATCAGAATCTCTGGGGATGGAACTGGCCCACCAGCAAGTTTAAAATCTTCCTAAGTGATTTCAACATGCAGTCAAAGTTGAGAGACACCAGTTTAGCTAAAGATGACTGGGGTCAGAGCTCTGGGTGACAGGTACCTTCTTCCAACTGGATAGGGTAGAAACGGGCCCTTTCCTAAGGGCAGTACTCATGGATACTGCTAAGTACTAACTCTGGATGAGCTCAGCATGTACTGAGTGGATACAAAATAAGAGGACAACATAGCTAAGGAGGGCTGGAAGCATGAATTAAAAGAAAAAATCAAGGTTGGGCACAGTGGCTCAAGCCTGTAATTCCAGCACTTTGGGAGGCCAAGGCGGGTGGATCAACTAAGGTCGAAAGTTCGAGACCAGCCTGGCCAACCTGGAGAAACCCCATCTCTACTAAAAATACAAAAATTAGCTGGGCGTGGTGGCACGCGCCCGTAATCCCAGCTACTCTGGAGGCTGAGGCAAGAGAATCACTTGAACCCAGGAGGTGGAGGTTGCAGTGAGCTGAGATCGCACCATTACACTCCAGCCTGGGCAACAAGAGCAAGACATCATCTCAGGAAAAAAAAAAAAAAAGAAAGAAAAAATCAAAATAGAATAGAAAGAGCTAAGGAGGCAAAGGAGAACCTAGAAACCCTTTAATTGGTCTTACATTTTAAAATTAGAAAGGACATTAAAAATCTAATTAAAAAAAAAAGATATCTAGACCGGGTGTGGTGGCTCATGCCTGTAGTCCCAGCACTTTGGGAAGTCGAGGTGGGTGGATCACCTGAGGTCGGGAGTTCGAGACCAGCCTGGCCAACATGGTGAAACCCCATCTCTACTAAAAATACAAAAAAATTTAGCTGGGAGTGGTGGCGGGCGTCTGTAATCCCAGCTTCTCAGGAGGGTGAGGCAGGAGAATCACTTGAGATTTTTTTTGGCTGGATGCAGTGGCTCACATTTTGGGAGGCTGTAATTGTAGCATTTTGGGAGGCTGAGGCAGGAGGATTGCTTGAGCCCAAAAGTTCACAACCAGCCTGGGCAAAAAAGTGAGATCCCCTCCAGGGGGCAGAGATTGCAGTGAGCTGAGATTGCGCCATTGCACTCCAGGCTGGGTGACACAGTGAGACGCTGTCTCAAAAAAAAAAAATCTAATTCAATATCCACAGTTTTCTAAGGTAAGGGATTAGAAATTAAGCAGTGTATCCCAGCAGGACACATTAGTTTACAACAAAACCTTGAGTAGAAGTCAGGATTTATCAGTGCCAGTGCATTCTAAACCTAATACAAGATGGGAGGCCCTCCTTGTTTTCCAAGTCATCTGCCCCTGAAACAGAGAAGCTGCAAAAATGCAGTACTATACACAATTCTCACAACCTGGCTTTCCTGTATGTTAACATTTTACATAGCCAACTTTCAATGATCCAAGCCAAAAAATTAACATTGGTACAATGCTATATTCTTTTACAAATGAAGGAACCAAGGCCTGGAGGGGTTAAGGGACTTGCCCAAGGGCGCTCAGTCAACAAGTGGCTGAATCTCCATAACCTTAAAGGACACAGGTACCCAGTTCCCTTTTGTTTCATCTGAAGACCACTTTACATTGAAACATGTTTCTAGAAGAAGGCTGGTTATAAGCATTATGTTGTCCGGCTGACTCCACGGATGCAAGACTAGAGATGAGGCTGCTAGAACTGCCTCGCCTGCTCCTCTGGAAATAGGAGTAGCTTAAGCCCACATAACTGTATGGGCATGTGACAGCCCCCTCTAAGAAAGGCCTTTGCGCCTGGTTCAATGCTCTGCTGTTTTTTTTTTTTTTTTTTTTTGCACAGGTCTCACTGTCACCCAGGCTGGAGTACAGTGGCATGATCTCGGCTCACTGCAACCTCTGCCTCCTGGGTTCAAGCGATTCTCCTGCCTCAGCCTCCAGAGTAGCTGAGATTACAGGCACACGCCATCATGCCCACCTAATTTTTGTAGTTTTAGTAGAGACGGGGGTTTCACTATGTTGGCCAGGCTGGTCTCGAACTCCTGACCTCAAGTGATCCTCACCGCCTTGGCCTCCCAGAGTATTGGGATTATAGGCGTGAGCCACCGCGCCCGGCCCCTGCACTCCTAAAATTCTTAATTATTTTATCGTTGAACTTGTTTTGTAAGTAAAATCCCATGGTACAAAGGAGTATGAGCATGAGCTGGAGCGATAAACCCGCAGCAGGGTGGGGGACTCCGGCCTGCGGGCAACGCAGGCAGGGCCGGCGCCTGAGCCATTATTCAGGCGCCCAGTGCGCATGCGCAAGCCTCGCCACGGCGGCGAGGCCGGAATAGACCTCGGAATAGCTGTGGCCACTGTAGCAGCTGAAGGGCTGCGGGCGGGAGGAGGGCTGCGCGCGTGTGTCTTTGGAGTCCCTCCCTGCAGCGCCTTGCCCGCCCGTTGGTTCACACAGGGCAGACGTTGTCAGTAAATCATTACAGAACAGAAGCGTCCGCGTGGACATTGCCATCAAGCACACCAGGGGTTACTGGACTTCTGCAATGAATTTAGACTCTGGTTTTGAAAACTGCTGCAGCATTGCAAAAGTGAATATCCACAGGCTTAGAAATAGAAATTAAAGGCCGGGCGCGGTGGCTCACGCCTGTAATCCCGGCACTTTGGGGCTGGCGGATCACCTGAGATCAGGAGTTCCAGGCCAGCCTGACCAATATGATGAAACCTTGTCTCTACTAAAAATACAAAAATTAGCCGGGCGTGGTGGCATGTGCCTGTAATCCTAGCTACTCGGGTTGGGGGGGGGGGCGGGGGGGACCGCGGGGAGAGGGTGCTGAGACAGGAGAATCGCTTGAACCCGGGAGGCAGAGGTTGCAGTTAGCTGAGATAGCGCCACAGCACCCCAGCCTGGGCAACAAGAGCAAAACTCCGTCTCAAAAAAAAAAAAAAAAAAAGAAAAGAAAAGAAAAGAAAGAAATAGAAATTAAATTTAAAGAGTGTCACATTCAACAGAAAACACTTTTCATATGATGCTTCGGATGAACCAGTAATTACAGAGAAAGACAATTTTAAAATGGCTTTTGGCCGGACACGGTGGCTCACGCCTGTAATTTAAGCACTTTGGGAGGCTGAGGCCAGTAGATCATCTGAGGTCAGGAGTTCGAGAGCAGCCTGGCCAACACGTCGAAACTCCATCTCTACTAAAAAAAAACAAAAATTAAGACCGGGCGCGGTGGCTCACGCCTGTAATCCCAGCACTTTGGGAGGCCAAGGCAGGCGGATCACCAGGTCAGGAGATGGATACCATCCTGGCCAACATTGTGAAACCTTGTCTCTACTAAAAATACAAAAATTAGCTGGGTGTGGTGGGGGGCGCCTGTAGTCCCAGCTACTCCGGAGCCTGAGGCAGGAGAATCGTTTGAACCTGGGAGGCGGAGGTTGCAGTGAGGCGAGATTGCGCCACTGCTCTCCAGCACGGCGACAGAGCTAGACTCCGTCTCAAATAAATAAATAAATAAATAAATGAAATTTAGAAATAAAACGGGTTTTTCCTAAGGTGATGGTTATCCCAGTTACACTGATTTTATCTTTACAAGTTATATGAATGTATTAAATTATCATGTGCACTCTGAAAATGGGTACATCTATGACATATCAATGAAAACATTAAAAAATAGGTCAGACTCAGTGGCTCCCGCCTGTAATCCCAGCACTTTGGGAGGCCGAGGTGGGCGGATCACCTGAGGCCAGGAGTTGGAGACCATCCTGGTCAACATGGTGAAACCCTGTCTCTACTAAAAATGCAAAAATTACCCGGGTGTGGTGTGCTTCTGTAATCTCAGCTGCTCAAGGGGCTGAGGCAGGAGAATCACTTGACTCTGGGAGGCAGAAGTTGCAGTGAGCCGAGATAGCGCCACTGCACTCCAGCCTGGGTGACAGAGCAAGACTGTCTCAAAAAAAAAAAAAAAAAAAAAAAAAGGCTGAGATGGGAGGATCACTTGAGCCGGGGAGGGTGAGGCTGCAGTGAGCTGTGATGGCACCACTGCACTCCAGTTTGGGTGCCAGAGGGGGGTCTTTGCAGATGTAGTCAAGTTAGGGATCTGGAGATGAGATCATCCTGCATTATCCAGCTGCGCCCTAAGCCCAATGACAAGTGTTTATAAGAGAAAGAAGAGGAGGACCCAGACCAGGAGAAAGTCATGTGAAGATGGAGGCAGAGATTAGAATCCTGCAGCCACAAACCAAGGAATGCCGGGAGCTGCTAGAGGCTGAAAGAGGCAAAGAAGCATTCTTCCCTAGCACCTTTTGAGGGAGTACAGCCCTGTTAACACCTTCGTTTTGGACTTCTGGCCTCTGGAACTGTGAGAGAATACATTTCTGTTATTTTAAACCACCCACTTTGTAGAACTTTGTTACGGCAGCCTCAGGAAATTAACGCAGTCGTCTTGCAGAGCATAGTAAAGCTGAACTTCAGTGTTGGTAAATTCTTGTTAAGAGGATTTATTAGCCTGTTTTTTATGAAACCAACATTTTGGTGGCATCATTCAGAACAGTCCTGTGGCTCCTCCATCTTGCCACCAACGCTATCTAACTTCCCGAATTCCCCCCTTCTCCCTCCTACGTTTTATTCCCAGACCACTGATCTGAATAGAGAATGCACAGGTAATACCCAAGGTGACTTATTAGGAAGACAACTACCTAATTTAGTATTCCAACATCAGAAAACGTAAATCTAATGAAGGATGATTTTTACCCAAATGAACATCGGGAAGGTAATTACCGCTGTGATTTGGGGGTGAAGTAGCACGCTTTGTTTCCTCAAGGTGTTACTTCTCTGTATTAACAGAGCCACATCCAGGCCTTGGAATGCCTTGTTAAGAGAAGAATATTCTCTTTCTTTCAAAGCTGCCAGGCATATGTTTCTTTATATTTTCCTTCTTTTAAGAAAGAAACACAAACTGGTTTTTTTTTTTTTTTTTTTTTTTGAGACGGAGTCTTGCTCTCTCGCCCAGCCTGGAGTGCAGTGGCGCGATCTCGGCTCACTGCAAGCTCCGCCCCCCGGGTTCACGCCATTCTCCTGCCTCAGCCTCCTGAGTAGCTGGGACTACAGGGGTCCACCACCGTGCCCGGCTAATTTTTTTTGTATTTTTAGTACAGACGGGGTTTCACCGTGGTCTCAATCTCCTGAACTCGTGATCCACCCGCCTCGGCCACCCGAAGTGCTGGGATTACAGGCGTGAGCCACCGCGCCCGGCCCCAACACTAAAAGGATGCACAAACAGATTGATATTTCTCTCCCAAATGCGGCAGTTACGAAGAATGAGGCAGATCTGCGTTTATTGAGTAGAAAAACAGAAAAAACATATTTCAGAACAATGGGTATTTAGTCCTTGCATTTTTTCTCTTTTGTCTCATAGCTTTAATAATTATCTTTATGTGGACAAATATTATATTTATATCTTCAGCTTGGATCTCTTCCCTGAGCCCAGATTCTGCCCAACATCTCCACTATGAAGTCCAACAGGCATCTCAAACTTAATTTGTGTGGCTGGGCGCGGTGGCTCACGTCTGTAATCCCAGCACTTTGGGAGGTCAAGACAGGCAGCTCACGAGGTTAGGAGACCGAGACCAACCTGGCTAACATGGTGAAACCCCGTCTCTACTAAAAATACAAAAAATTCGCCGGGTGTGGTGGCGGGCGCCTGTAGTCCCAGCTACTGGGGAGGCTGAGGCGGGAGAATGGAGTGAACCTGGGAGGTGGAGCTTGCAGTGAGCCGAGATCGCGCCACTGCACTCCAGCCTGGGCGACAGAGCGAGACTCCATCTCAAAAAACACACACACACAACAACAACAACAACAAAAACCCACTTAATTTCTGCAAAAACAAATCATGGCATTCCTCCCTACCTTGCTTCATCCATGACTTCTCTCAGTTAATGCCATTCTAATCTTCAGCTGCTCAGTCAAATGTAAGTGAACAAGCAGGTAAGCAGGAAAAAAAAAAGGCCTTAGAGTCATCCTTCTCTTGTCTCTTACCCTACATTGAATCCTTGAATGGGACCAGCCCTCACCATCTCTGTAGCTGTTGCAGGGCTCCTAACATCATCTCTCTGGCGTGATCACAGCTCACTGCAGCCTCAGTCTCCCTAGGCTCAGGTAATCCTCCCACCTCAGCCTCTTGAGAAGCTGGGGCTACCGGCATGTACCACCATACTTGTCTAATTTTTTTGTATTTTTGGTAGAGACAGGGTTGGCCAGACTGGTCTCAAACTCCTGGGCTCAAGTGATCCGCCTGCCTCGGACACTCAGAAAGCGCTGGGATTACAGGCATGGGCCACCATGCCCAGCCACACACTGATCTTTTTAAAACCTAAGACAGGTCATGTCACTCTTCTGTTCAAAATCTTCTGTAGACATAAATGAAGACCAACTGAGAAAAGCAAAGGCTATTTATTCAGCGCTTGCTATAGCAAGGCAGTCAGCCACCATCACTTGTGTTTGCAGAGTCTCAAAGGCAGGTAGGGGAAACAGAAAAGCTTTATAGCAGAAAAAGGGAAGGCTTCAGGTCGGTCCTGAATGGAGGCTGCTGGCTTGGGAAAACTGTAGGTGGCTAACTGAAGGAAAGCACCTGATGTGATTGGTTAGGGGTGTGTATTTGACTTTTCTGCTTGGTCCTAAGTTGGAAGTGAGCATAAAAACCAGGGAAGCTGTCAGTTACTAATCAAGTTCTTCCTAGCCATTTTGGGCCAGTCGTTATAGCTGGTGTTATTTAGCATCCCGAACTGTTTTAGAGATAGAGTGTGGCTTCTGCAAGTCTGAGTTAAGCATGCTGGATCCCTGTGCTGTTAATTGTAGATAAGGGATTGATTTTCTGGGCAGGTGGCTGCAGGTTGTCGGTCAGAGTTCTAGTTTATTTATTTATTAGAGATGAGGTCTCTCAATGTTGCCCAAAGTGCTGAACTCAACTCCTGGGTTCAAGTGATCTTCCTGTCTCAGCCTCCTGAGTAGCTGGGTAGTCCCAGCTGTGGCACCAAGCACTGCTCAGAGTACTCTTTTTATTTGTATTATTATTAATTTATATATTTATCTGTTTTTGAACAAGGTTTTGCTCCGTCACCCAGGCTGGAGTGCAGTGTGGCACAATCATAGCTCACTGCAGCCTCAAACTCCTGGGCTCAAACAATCCTCCTTCCTTAGCCTCCCAAGTAACTGGGACTACAGGTGTGCACTAACACACCCAACTAGTTTTAAACATTTTTTGTAGCTGGGCACAGTGGCTCATGCCTGTAATCCCAGCACTTCGGGAGGCCAAGGCGGGTGGATCACCTGAGGTCAGGAGTTTGAGAACAGCCTGGCCAACACAGTGAAATCCTGTCTCTACTAAAAATATAAAAAAATTAGCTGGGCATGGTGGCACACACCTGTAGTCCCAGCTACTCAGGAGTCTGAGGCACCAGAATCGCTTGAACCTGGGAGGCGGAGGTTGCAGAGAGCAGAGATCGTGCCACTACACTCCAGCCTGGGCAAAAGAGCGAGACTCTGTCTTGAAAAAACAAAACCAGGCCGGGCGCAGTGGCTCACGCCTGTAATCCCAGCACTTTGGGAGGCTGAGGCGGGTGAATCATGAGGTCAGGAGATCGAGACCATCTTGGCTAACGCGGTGAAACCCCGTCTCTACTAAAAATACAAAAAATAAGCCGGGTGTGGTGGTGGGCGCCTGTAGTCCCAGCTACTCGGGAGGCTGAGGCAGTAGAATGGCGTGAACTCAGAAGGTGGAGCTTGCAGTGAGCCGAGATCACGCCACTGCACTCCAGCCTGGGCGACAGAGTGAGACTCTGCCTCAAACAAACGAACAAACAAAGAAACAGACAAAAAACAAACCATTTTTTGTAGAGACGAGGTCTCGCTATGTTACCCGGGGTGGTCTCAAGCTCCTGAGCTCAAGCGATCCTCCCATCTTGGCCTCCCAAAGTGCTAGGCTTACAGGCGTGGACTGCCACGCCTGGGCTTCTTGCTACCCCTTAACAATAAGGCAGCTCCTCCTCAGGCTTTCACAGTCAGCTCTTACTTCTACTCCAATGCTTTTCCTTCAGGAAATCCCAAGGTCACTGTAGATAAATAAAATAGATTTTTTGAGCTCCTTTAAAATTTTTATTTCATTGTTTAAATTGACAGATAAAATTGTATTTATCATGTGTAGCATGATATTCTGTATATATACATTGTGGAATGACAAGATCTAGCTAATTAACATATGCATTACCTCACATAGCTATCATTTTTGTGGCAAGAATGCATAACATCCACTCTGTTGGCATTTTTCAAGAATACATTATATTGTTATTAACTACAGGCACCATGGTGTATGGTGGAGCTCCTTGGAACATCTCTCAACATAGGCTGATGGCATAACAGCAATGAACGGACACAAAATTATATGGTCTACATTTGTCATTCTCTGAAGGTCTGGCTAATAGATAAAATGTTGACTATCAGGGTAGAATTGAAGGGCTCCATTTATTTCAAAACATTCCCTAAGTAGACAGCTTTTTGACCGGCGTGGTGGCTCAGGCCTATAATTCCAGCACTTTGGGAGGTCGAGGTGTGTAGATTGTCTGAGCCCAGGAATTGGAGACCAGTCTGGTCAACATAGAGAGATCCTTCCCTTCTCTCCCTTCCTTCCTTCATTCCTTTCTTTTTAAAAATCATTTTTATGGCTGGGCACGGTGACTCATGCCTGTAATCCCAGCACTTTAGGAAGCTGAGGTGAGCAGATCACCTGAGATCAGGACTCGAGACTAGCCTGGCCAGCATGGTGAAACCCCATCTTTACTAAAACTACAAAAATTGGTCAGATATGGTGGTGGGAGCCTGTAATCCCAGCTACTTGGGAGGCTGAAGCAGGAGAATCACTTGAACCTGGGGAGCGGAGGTTGCAGTGAGCTGAGATCACACCACTGCACTCCAGCCTGTGCGACAGAGCGAGACCCTATCTCAAAAAAAAAAAAAAAAAAAAAAAAAATATATATATATATATATATATATATATAATTATTATTATTATTATTTTTTGAGACAGAGTCTTACTCTGTCACCCAGGCTGGAGTGCAGTGGCACAATCTCGGCTCGCTGCAACCTCCGCCTCCTGGGTTCAAGCAGTTCTCCTGACTCAGCCTCCTGAGTAGCTGGGATTACAGGCATGCGCCACCATGCCCGGCTAATTTTTGTATTTTTAGTAGAGACGGGGTTTCACCGTGTTGGCCAGGCTGGTCTCGAACTCCTGACCTCGTGACCCACCCGCCTCGGCCTCCCAAAGTGCTGGGATTACAGGCATGAGCCACCGTGCCTGGCCTATTATTAATTTTTTTAAAAAAAAGATTTTGCTCGTTCCATGCGAACCTGGTACCTCTCTTGTGAAGCTACAGCTGAGGAGACTCTGATGCTCACCATAGCTGACGAAAAGCCCAAGGAAGGAGTCAAGGCTGAGAACCACGATCATACTAATTTAACGGTGGCAGGGAAAGATGGTTCTGTGATGCAGTTTAAGATTAAGAGGCATACACCACTTAGTAAACTAATGAAAGCCTATTGTGAAAGACAGGGATTGTCAATGAGGCAGATTAGATTACAATTCCACAGGTAACCAATCAATGAAACAGACACACCTGCACAGTTGGAAATGGAGGATGAAGATACAATTGATGTGTTCCAACAGCAGACGGGAGGTGTCTACTGAAAAAGGAACCTGCTTCTTTACTCCAGAACTCTGTTCTTTCAAGACCGAGGAGATTACATTCTCAATTAGAAAACTGCAATTTGGTTCCACCACATCCTGACTACTACAGTATAGTTTTCTCTATTCTTTCATTTCCCCTTTTCCCATTCCTTTATTGTATGTAAAGTAATTGGTATATGTGCACAAGCATATTGCATTTTTTTTTAACTAAACAGCCAATGGTATGTTTTGATTGACATCAAGTGGAGATGGAATGGGGAAAAATACTGATTCTGTGAAAATACCCCCTTTCTCCATTAGTAGCATGCTCATTCAGCTCTTTATATTCCAGTAATTTATTTTACTCTCACTGTTTTAACAAAAAAATAAATAAATAAAAAATAAAAATCCTTGCATACTTTGTTCAATTGGAGAATTTTACTGTTTTTCATTTATCATTGTAAAACCAAGGACAATTTTATAACTTTTTTCTACGTAGCTGTTACATGTAGGGCAATCTGTCTTTAAGTAGGGATAAATTACTCTAAAACAAAAAAGAATCCTAGATAGTTTTCCCTTCAAGTCTTGTTGTTTAAATAAACTTCTTGTTTAAAAAAATAAGTGAATAAAATAAAAAAGAGTTTTTACTAAGATGGGGGGCTTACCATGTTGCCCAGGCTGGTCTTGAGATCCTGGGCTCAAGTATGTTTTGTGGTTCATCCACATTCATGTATTAGTACTTCATGCTTTTTTCTTTCTTTCTTTCTTTCTTTTTTGGAGATGGAGTTTTGCTCTTGTTGCTCAGGCTGGAGTATAATGGCGTGATCTTGGCTCACTGCAACCTCTGCCTCCAGGATTCAAGTGATTCTTCTGCCTCAGCCTCCCGAGTAGCTGGGATTACAGGCATGTGCCACCATGCCCTGCTAAATTAAATTTTTAGCAGAGACAGGGTTTCGCCATTGTTGGTCAGTCTGGTCTCGAACTCCTGAGCTCAGGTGATCCACCCACCTCAGCCTCCCAAGTGCTGGGATTAAGGTGTGAGCTACCGTGCCCAGCCTACTTCATGCTTTTTTATGGCTAAGTAATATCTCAATGTGTGTATACCATGTTTTGTGTAACTGTTCATCCACTGTTGGACATTTGGGTTATTTTCATCTTTTAGCTCTTGTGAATAGTGCTGCTATGAATATTTGTGTATAAACATTTGTTTGAATCCCTGCTTTCAATTATTTTGGGTTTCAAGTAGAAATGGTGGGTCCTATGATGATTCTATAATTGCTTTTTAAGGAACAGATAAACTATTTTCCATAGTGGCTGCAGTATTTCACAGTCACACCAGCAATGTAAGAGGGAGGGGTCAAATAATAAATTTGCCAACATTTGTTATTTCCCACTTAAAAAATTATAGCCATGCCGGGTGTGGTGGCTCACGCCTGTAATCCCAACACTTTGGGAGGCCAAGGCAGGCGGATCACCTGAGGTCAAGAGTTTGAAACCAGCCCGGCCAACATGATGAAACCCCGTCTCTCCTAAAAATACAAAAATTAGCCGGGTGTGCTGGTGGGAGCCTGTAATCCCAGCTACTCGGGAGGCTGAGGCAGGAGGATCACTTGGACCCTGGAGGCAGAGGTTGCAGTGAGCCAAGATGGCGCCATTGCATTCCAGCCTGGGTAATAGAGTGAGATTCTGTCTCAAAAAAAAAAAAAATTATAGCCCTCCTAGTGCGCACGAAGTGCTATATCGTGGTTTTGACTAGTATATACCTAATGACTGATGATGAGAAACTATTATCTTCTTTGGAGAAATATTTAAGTCCTTTGCCCATTTTAAAAATTGCACTTTCTGCCGGGTGTGGTGCATCACGCCTGTAATCCCAGCACTTTGGTAGGCCAAGATGGGTGGATTACCTGAGGTCAGGAGTTCAGGACCAGCTTGGCCAGTATGGTGAAACCCTGTCTCTACTAAAAAATACAAAAATTAGGCCGATTATGGTGGCTTACACCTGTAATCCCAGCACTTTGGGGGGCTGAGGCAGGCAGATCACAAGGTCAGGAGTTCAAGACCAGCCTGGCCAACATGGTGAAACCCCATCTCTACTAAAAATACAAAAATTAGCCAGGTGTGGTGGCATGCACCTGTAGTACCAGCTACTTGGGAGACTGAGGCAGGAGAATTGCTTGAACCTGGGAGGCGGAAGTTGCAGAGAGACAACACCGCGCCATTGCACTTCAGCCTGGGCAAAATAGTGAGACTCTGGGCCGGGCACGGTGGCTCATGACTGTAATCCCCGCACTTTGGGAGGTCGAGGTGGGTGGATCACCTGAGGTCAGTTTGAGACCCGCCTAACCAACATGGAGAAACTCTGTCTCTACTAAAAATACAAAACTAGCCAGGCATGGTGGCGCATGCCTGTAATCCCAGCTACTTGGGAGGCTGAGGCAGGAGAATTGCTTGAACCCAGGAGGCGGAGGTTGCAGTGAGTCGAGATTGTGCCATTGCACTCCAGCCTGGGCAACAAGAGAGAAGGAGAGAAGCTCCGTCTCAAAAAAAAAAAAAAAAAAAAAAGTGAGATTCTCTCTTAAAACAAAAACAAAACCAAAAACAAAATTAGTGACAAGAGTGAAACTCCATCTCAAAAATAAATAAATAAATAAATAAAATTGCACTTGTTTGTCTTTGTTGAACCACTGCATCTGTTTATTTCTGTTATACAACAATGATTAATACTTTTAATGGGCCGGGCTTGGTGGCTCTCACCTGTAATCCCAGCACTTTGGGAGGCCGAGGTGGGTGGATCACGTGGTCAGGAGATCGAGACCATCCTGGCTAACGTGGTGAAACCTCGTCTCTACTGAAAATACAAAAAATTAGCCGGGTGTGGTGGCGGGCACCTGTAGTCCCAGCTACTCAGGAGGCTGAGGCAGGAGAATGGTGTGAACCCGGGAGGCAGAGCTTGCAGTGAGCCGAGATCACGCCACTGCACTCCAGCCTGGGCGACAGAGCGAGACTCCATCTCAAAAAAGAAAAAAAAAACACCACTTTTAATCATGACCCAGAAGCACACCCAGAAAGAATATATTAGAGTCACCATAATTTTGGTATTTGGAGATTATTGTCATATTTCAATTATTTGACAATTGATAATCCAATTATAATGAACATAACCATTAACGAGGCTATTTGATAGAGCATCTCATTCTTCAACATATTTCTTTCTTTCTTTTTTTTTTTGAGACAGAGTCTTGCTGTGTTGCCCAGGCTGGAGTGCAGTGGTGCAATCTCAGCTCACTGCAATCTCAGCTCACTGCAACCTCCGCCTCCTGGCTTCAAGTAATTCTCTTGCCTCAGCCTCCCAAGTAGCTGGGACTACAGGCATGCACCACCACGCCTGGCTAATTTCTGAATTTTTATTAGAGACAGGGTTTCACCATATTGGCCAGACTGGTCTCTAACTCCTGACCTCGTGATCCACCTGCCTTGGCCTCCCAAAGTGCTAGGATTACGGGTGTGAGCCACTGAGCCCAGCCTGTTTCTTTGAATTTTATTTCTTTTTGAGAAGGCGTCTCACTCTGTTGCCCAGGCTGGAGTGCAGTGGTGCGATCTCAGCTCACTGCAACCTCCACCTCCCAGGTTCAAGTAATTCTCTTGCCTCAGCCTCCTGAGTAGCTAGGATTACAGATGCCTGCCACCATGCCCGACTAACTTTTGTATTTTTGGTAGAGATGGGGTTTCACCATTTTGGCCAGGCTGGTTTTGAACTCCTGACCTTAAGTGATCTGCCCACCTTGGCTTCCCAAAGTGCTGGGATTACAGGTGTGAGCCACTGCGTCTGGACTCTTCAACATATTTCATTCAGTAATAATGTTTGCTAAGTAAATTGCTTTTCAGTTGCTATACCGTATGGATTTGCAGGAAAGAGTTTTGTATAGGCTTTCTGTCTAGTCACCCCGTATAACAACTAAAGCAAAGTTGGCTGCTTGGAAAAGTTTTTTTTCTTTTCTCACCAGAGGTTGAATGCTGGAAAAAGTTTTTAATTTTGACATTTTCCATCCTTGATTTTAAGCGTATTTAATAATAACTATAATAATTTCAAAGTAATTAGGTGTTACCTGGGTGCTAGAAGATTCTAACAATAGGTTATTATTATGTGCTTTGCCAAAAATACTAAATTCAGTGGCCAAGTATTGTATTGGCCTGCAGGAAAAGCATAAGAAATAATGGGGTTGAGTCCAAGGGAGAAAGTAAAGGTTCTTTTTATTCTGAATGATCTAGCTTACTCTTAAATTTGTACAATACCTAACCTCTCTGCTTTGGTGAACCTTGGTTATCATCTATTCTATAGAATTAAAAACATGGTGGGGGCTGAGTGTACTGGCTTACTCCTGTAATCCTAGCAATTTGGGAGGCTGAGGCAGGTAGATCACCTGAGGTCAGGAGTTCGAGACCAGCCTAGCCAATATGGTGAAACCCTGTCTCTACTAAAAACACAAAAATTAGCCAGGTGTGGTGGTGGGTGCCTGTAGTCCCAGCTACTCAGGAGGGGGAGGCTGAGACAGGAGAATTGCTTGAACCCAGGAGGCAGAGGTTGCAGTGAGTTGAGATTGTGCCACCGCACTCCAGTCTGGAGGACAGAGGGAGACTCCTCTCAAAAACAAGCGAACAAACAAACAAAAACATGGCGGGACAAGGTAGGTGGCTCATGCCTGTAATTCCAGCACTGTAGGAGGCCAAGGTGGGTGGATCACTTGTGGCCAGGGATTTGAGACCAGTCTGGGCAACATGGTAAAACCCTGCCTCTACAAAAAATACAAAAATTAGCCAGGAATGGTGGTGCACACCTGTAGTCCCAGCTACTCAGGAGGCTAAGATCAGAGGATTGCTTGAGCCTGGGAGGCAGAGGTTGCAATGAGCCGAGATGGCACCACTGCACTCCAGCCTGGGTGACAGAGACTCTGTTTCAAAAATAAGTAAATAAATAAAAATGAAACATAAAAAATAAAAACATGCACAGTGAATTTTCTTGGGCAAAAACCAAAAGCCAACTGTCTTGACCTTCATTTCCAACTCTAAAGGCCACTGTACCTTAACTTAGCCAAATGACCAGATGGAAAATGATTGCATTTTCGGCCAAGAAATGCAGTGCTAGGATCTTTTATTTTAGCTAAATCTTCAGAAATGACATTAATTTTGGTATTGGAAGGAAGCCATATAGCACTATTATATTAAAATCCTGAGGATTCTTTTTTTTTTTTTTTTTGAAACGGAGTTTTGCTGTTGTTGCCCAGGCTGGAGTGCAATGGCATGATCTCGGCCTACTGCAACCTCTGCCTCCTGGCTTCAAATGATTCTCCTGCCTCAGTCTCCCAAGTAGCTGGGACTACAGGCACCTGCCGCCACATCGGCTAATTTTGTATTTTTAGTAGAGACAGAGTTTCGCCATGTTGGCCAGGCTGGTCTTGAACTCCTGGCCTCAAGTGATCCACCTGCCTTGGCCTCCCAAACTGCTGGGATTACAGACATGAACCACCGTGCCTGGCTACAAATAGGTTCTTAAATTTCATCAAGATTATACTCTTGATTTGGTTTTGATTTAGATTTTTTTTTTAAATGATAGCTATACCAACAAGTGCATCAGCCAGATACAGTTATGTAGTGTCTCCTTCCAAAGAGAGAAGCTTTGCCCACTGGGATTGAATCTTATTAACCTTGGCCTAATTGTGGTCTTGAGCCGTCACTCATTTATTATTTATCTTCATACCCTCTAACCTGGTTCTCTATCCATTTTAAACAAACAAGATAGCCCTAAGGGCTCTCTTAAGCCACCTAAAATACAGACATTCTTCCACTTACCCGACATCCCTAGGCCCTCTCCTTATAAAAAATGGCTGAACCTGACAGGATCAGCTGCATGGTTCTTGAGATAAATAAGGCTTAATGTTTGCATTCTTTAATAAATCCAAGATATACCAAAGGTCTAATATCCTAAAATATATAAAATAAAAATAATTTTAAAAAGAAAAAGAAATCCAAGACTAAAAAGCTATTGAGCCAGGCGCGGTGGGTCACACCTGTAATCCCAGCACTTTGGGAGGCTGAGGTGGGTAGATCATGAAGTCAGGAGTTCGAGAACAGCCTGGCTAACATGGTGAAACCCCTTCTGTATTAAAAATACAAAAAATTACCGAGGCGTGCTGGCAGGCATCTGTAATCTCAGCTACTCGGGAGGCTGAGGCAGGAGAATTGCTTGAACCTGGGAGGTGGAGGTTGCAGTGAGCCGTGATCGCGCCATTGCACTCCAGCCTGGGAAACAGTGCGAGACTCCATCTCAAAAAAAAAAAAAAAAAAAAAAAAAGCTATTGAAATCTTAGGGGTGTAGTTTCAGGCATTTGTTAGCAGAGGCTGGGGGACTTCCAGGGCTTGCCTTCTTTGCCTGCCCGTCGAAGTGGGCCCCTAGTCACTGGCACTGTTTCCAGAGTCAAGATGGAAGGCAATCTAATGTCAATAGAATGCTGAAGCTGTACCTACAATTGGCATTACTCAACGCTGCACACACCCAGTCTTCTAAATTGTGAACACCTAATTTAGGCATATCTTGCCAAGGTAAGTGGTCAATTGTACACTATCCTCTTTATCTCCCTCTTGCCTGGAGGCCATTTCAGCTAGTTATCAAAGTGTATCTTCCATCTTTCCTGTATCTCTGCACACAGGGACATTGGCCCAGCCATGCCTCCCTTCTCCATCTTTTACTGGCAAGAGTTTCCTTACAGATATAAACACAATCTTTTTGCCTGCCTCAGGTTCCGTCTGTCCTCCAGCTCATACTTTGAAGGACAGGAGGAGAGGGAATCTCTTTAATCCTCACTCAACCTCACTTTTGTTCTAGAAAGCCTTCTAGAAGGGAAGACTTTGAGATAACTCATGCAGTTTCCTAAACTTGCCAGAGGAGAAGAGGCACCTGGGCTGCTGGTTAAAATACCTACTCTCGGGGGCCCCAGAGCGGCTCTACGGAGTGACTCTGAGTAACTCCAGGGAATGGGTTCTGAGAATCTTTCCTTTTAATCAGGGCCCCAGGTTATTTTTTTTATCACTAGGATAGTTTTGGAAACAGAGGCCTAATCCAGTTCTTCTCGAACTTTAGCATGTCTCGGAAGCCCCTGGAGGCCTATGGAAACCCAGATGGCAGGGGCCCCACCTGGGAGTTTCAGTTTCAGTAAGGCTAGGGTAGGGCCCGGGAATTTGCATTTCTAACCAGATCCCAGGTGATGCTGATGTTGTTGGTCAGGGAACCCCACCCTGAGAACCACTGATCTGTCCAGTGGCTTCATCTGAAAGTGAGTTATCTAGCTGTGAAGGGATTTAGGCATCACGACTGAGATGATAAGAATAGTGCTACGTCAGTGTCAAGGAAATGGTGAGCTATCCTTCTCAATTACATACACTAGCTAAAGGACACTCGATAGGAAAGAAATCACGCCTGCCTGCAAACCTCCTGAACAAGCCCGTAACAGTCTCTAATTAAATCTGCTTTTCTCAAGCACTGGAATTACGGATGAATACACCAATTTCTTATCCTTTTATTTTTACAGTTTTGTTTAATTTCATTTTGCTTTCTAGTCTTTTTTTTTTTTCCATTGCAAATTAGCAGAATGACTGTGAAAGCTTTTGTGTCCTGGCCAGAGAACTTCACAACTATTTTAACATAGTTTCTTCTTTTTTTTTTTTTTTTTTCCTGTAACATAGTTTCTATGGAAAAAGTTATTCTAATTCCAAACAAATGAGCTCTGAGGAAACTTTGGGAACAGATCTTGCTGACTCCGACACAGTGCAGTGTGTGTGTTTGGTAGGTTCATTACAGTGTGTGGGAATGGTGCAAGAACTAAGCTAGTAACTGGAAGCAGAGTGCATCAGCCGGCATTTTGCTGATCAATTAGGTATTGATGCGTTTGCTCCTGTAAGTAGGTCTTTGGGGAGTGACTAAAATGGGATCCAATACTTTGATGCTGTACTACTTTGCAGACATTATGAGAGTTAATAAAACTCATTATCTTTTAGCTTCTTAGCTTCCTTCTGGCAAGGGACAAAACACTAATTTACTCTAGCATAGCCTTCTCTCTGTGTGTGTGTATGCAAGCAATTAAAATAACTTTCATGAAAAACAGTGCAGAGTGAAAACGGGTTACCAACATTTATCAGCAATTTATTTGTGGAATCCTGCAGTTTCAGTGCATTGTTATGTTGATTCTACTTTCTAAGATGTCTGGCTTCTTGGAATGTAAATCTCATCAAGAGAGCTTGTGGTAACCTCATATGCATTTATAGATAAATATTTTCATTCACTGCCGAGGACCTGTGAAGAACATTAGAATGCACAGCTCTGGTTGGTGGGCAAGGGGAATAGAGAAGGAGAATTTATGCAAATTTTAATCACTGTTTCATGGGGTTAAGGGTGCAAACTGTCCAAAAATAAAATAATTTAATGAAAGGGAAAGACCAAATGTTCTTTTCAAGATCTTTAGGCAGAAAAGTTTGAATGCATTACACAGGGAGAAAAAAGTATTAGAGATTCACGTTAATTGACAGCAACAAATTGACAGCTATGTTGTCAGTACTTTCTAAGGAGTCTTTGTGTAAATATTGGGTAAATATAATGAACAGTCAAACAGGAAATTTTGATGTAAATTAAACTTGCAAGAACTAAGCAAAGGCAATCTGAATTAAAGAAAAAATTCAATAAAACTAAAGTTCTGTTTTCAAAGATGCTTCTTTTTTAGTCTTTTTTTTCAAGAGACTTATACACTTAATTTTTATTCATTAATGTCAGAGATGAGTCTCTAAGATTCTGCTTTGTACATGCTGCAGGAAAAGAATTCAAAAATGGAGTTTTCTGTCTAGTATAACATTTTGGAGGGCAGAGGGGTGGGATGCCAGGAAATGAAATGAAAAATTAGGTATCTGGGAAGCTGTGCCTCAGAAAAATTTTGTAAGAGGCAAACAGTAAGGACAATCTTGGCTGAATAGATACATTGAAAGAATAACCTGCATCCTGTCTGCATGCCTTTTTCTTCACTGAAAAAAAAAATGATGGTCAATATTTTGTCAATTTTCAAAATAATTAAAAAAATTGTTTTACTATGTGCTCATTATACAAACCCAAATACTACAGAAATATGTGTAAAATAACCTACCTACCCACTCCCCCCAGTATTGGATCAGATTAGCTCTTCCATTTCCATTTTCATCAGAAAACTAAGGTAGAGTGTGAATAAATGACTATTTTTCCTGGAAAATTAATTGGGAGTTGTAACCAGTGAATCTTGAGTTCATGCTATGCTTTCTCAGGCTTTCTCTCTGTGGACTTATAAAAATGTTTATTTTACAGCTACTGTATTAAGCTGCACCTGTTTAAGAATAAAATTTATGTTAGATTTTGGCATTCAATAGAATCTGTCAGGTAATCATTCTTTTAGAGGAAAAAGTATTGCACACACAAATGCTTCACGTTTCCTTGTGGTCCTATCAATCCATTCATTGATCAATGTCTCATGAAAAAATAAAAAGGTCAGAATGGACTTTATGGCATATAGACCCAGCTAGTTAATAATCTACAGACTGGACTTGTCTTCCCCTTTAGGAAAGACCTGGCCCAAACTCCAAGACCTAATAAACCTAATTAGTACGTGTTAAAATAATTGCAGTTGCTGCGATGAGGTTAGCAGTGAGTGACACTGATGATTTGGGAAGTGATGATGGGGGGTTGGGGGCGTGGAGGGAGCAAGCTTTTAAAACCTTTAAAGGTTTTCAGAGTTTTATGCCTCATTGTAATCGTGCAAAGATGAGGCAGGGACCCATGACTCACTTTGGCTCTTTGTGCTAAAAGGGGTCTCTATTTAGGTTAAAACGAAGCACTTAGCCCATGTTTTAAACAATGAAAGGTACTTAGGCTCTAATACCTTAACCCTGCAGAGCCATTGTCTTCTTGCAAGTATATTCTATAGGCTTTGCACTCAAGATTGATCTATGTAAATAAGAAAACCTTTTGTTAAGTAAATTTAGGAATGCAAATAAATATGCAAGAAAAAGAAGCAATTAAAAAATCTTTAACTTACATTACTAGTCATTCAAGTAATAAAGCCATCGAGAAAAAAATAGAAGTGTATGTGGGGTTGTAAATGTGTATTTATTGAGTTGCAATATATTCTTTAGTTTAAAAAGCACTGCATGAGGGGAGGGGAGAGAAAAATAAATAAAAAGCACTGGGTGAAACACAGAATTGTACCACTTGCTAGTTTGATTGGGAGCAGGTAAACTGAGTTAAGTGAAACACTTAGATAGTGTATTCCTTTTTAGATAGTCATACATCAATTATTTTTCTATTTTCTGAACATAATTACAGTGTACCAGATATAGTATAGTCATCCACAATTTATCTTTCTGTTACTTTATGTAAACACACAAGGTAAACATCAAACAATGTCTTAAATTTACAGGAGAAAATTTCAAGAAGTCTATTTTCTACTTTTGTCACCTTTGGCAATCATAACTATGGGGCAGTAATTTTATCTGTTATTTTTAAGGTGAAGTGAATCTCAATGACGTTTTTCTTGTACATATTATGTTTTCTAATGGGTTCATAAAGTGTGTGAACAGGGATCTTTTCTTAGCTTTCTGCGGGGCCAAGGCCAGAAGGCCTTCATCCTATCCCCCTTCATGCATACCATGAATGTGTGACCTTGGGCAAGTCAATTACCTTCTCAATGCTTCTGTCTCTTCCGCTGTGAAATGGGAATAATAAACGTAGTACTAAATCAGAGAAATGCTACCTGGATTGAAGAGACTAATGCAAAATACCCAGCTTGTTCAATAGAGTACGTTTATTATTATTTGGTAAATATCTTACTAGATATGAAAGTTACACTTAATGTTTATAAACTTGTAAAATCTTTGCTGTGTTTTCTAGTAGAGATAATAACATTTACTAAGTATTTGCTTAGGGGCAGGCAGGTTTTGGGTTCTTTAGATACCTTTTCTCATTTGATTTTCAGTCACTCCATGAGGTAGGAATTACTACTGTCGTTATGTGTAGAGAGTAAACTGTCCAAGGTCACGTGTTGTGGCAGAGCTGGGATGGGGTTCCCAGTCTATCTGGCTCAGTACTGGACGCATACTCAACTGTGTGTCATCACTATGGATTGGCCCTCAGCCCTTTTCCTTCTCTATATGCTGTCCCCAAGTGGATTCATTCATTTCTGTGCCTTCCACTGCCACTGATGATTCTGTAGTTACAGCAGATCTTTCTCCTGTGCTACAGACTTCTTATTTCTAAATGCACACCGTTTAGATCTCAATTTGAACTCCTTTCCTAACTAACTATCCCTCCTGAATTCTTTCTGTCACCAGGCTGGAGTGCAGTGGTGCCACCTCGGCTCACTGCAACCTCCGCCTCCCAGGTTCAAGCGATTCTCCTGCCTCAGCCTCCCGAGTAGTCGGGATTACAGGAGCCCACCACCACGCCCGGCTAATTTTTCTATTTTCAGTAGAGATGGGGTTTCACCATTTTGGCCAGGATGGTTTCTGTCACTTGACCTCGTGATCCGCCCTCCTTGGTCTCCCAAAGTGCTGGGATTACAGGCGTGATCCACCATACCTGGCCCCCTCCTGAATTCTCTATTGCCACTTAATGGTCTTTTGTCACTTAATGGCGTTACCAGAAACTTGGGAGTGACCCAGGATGTTGGGTCTGTCTTTCCTTTGTCTTCCACATCCAATTCATTGTCATCAGGTCCTGCCTCATTTCAACTTCAAATTAGCTCTCAAATTTTCCCTCTTCCAGTTAACAGTCATTACCTTAATTCAGAGTCCCCACCCCTTGCCCCATTTTTTAGAGATGGGGTCTCCTTTTTTCTTAGCCTCCAAAACCACTGGGTTTACAGGTGTGAGCCACTGTGCCTGGACCAGTTTGTACTTCTTTCTTCTTTTTTTTTGAGACAGGGTCTTGTCACATCCCGTGCTCATCTAATTTTTGTATTTTTTTGTAGAAATGATATTTACCATGTTGCCCAGGCTGGTCTTGGACTCTTGGGCTCAAGCGATCCACCTGCCTCGGCCTCCCAGAGTGCTGGGATTTCAGTTGTGAGCCACTGCACCTGGCCAGCTTGTACTTCTTAAAACTAAGATGACATTGCCCGTCTTTGACACACACTGGGCTTGTTAACTCTATGACCTTAGGCAAAAGTTGGCTAAATTCCTCTCCTGTAAATTGGAGATGATAATAGCGGCCTCATAGGATTGCTATGAAGATTACATGAGGGCCTGGCACAGCGGCTCATGCCTGTAATCCCAGCACTTTGGGAGGCTGAGGTGAGTGGATCACCTGAGGTCAGGAGGTCAAGGCCAGCCTGGCCAACATGGTGAACCCCCCTCCCACAGCCCCCCGCCACCTGTCTCTACTAAAACAATACCAAAATTAGCCAGACATGGTGGCACGTGCCTGTAATACCAGCTACTTGGGAGGCTGAGGCAGGAGAATCGCTTGAACCTGGGAGGTGGAGGTTACAGTGAGCTGAAATTGTGCCACTGCACTCCATCCTGGGCGATGGAGCAAGACTCCCTCTCCAAAAAAAAGCAAGATTCAATGAGACAATGAAGACATTATTATTATTATACATCTTGAGCCAACATAGTAACATGTAGAAAGTTTTCAATAAATGCTGCATGGATTAATAAACCTATTAATACATGTATCATGTCTTTTCTTCTGGTGACCAATAGGATGCAGTCATAAGAGTTAAGACTGCAACCATGATTATGGATATTCTTATGACTTGTTGGTTCTAGAACAAACTGAAATTTGTTCTAAAAGAAGGTACATTTTGGCTGGGCATGGTGGCTCATGCCTGTAGTGCTAACACTTTGGGAGGCTGAGGCAGGCAGATCATTTGAGCCCAGGAGTTTGAGAGCAGTGTGTCCAATGTGGTGAAACCCTGTCTCTACAAAAAATACAAAAATTATCCGGGTGTGGTGGCTTTCACCTGTGTTCCCAGCTACTCAGGAGACTGAGGTGGGAGGATCACCTGAGTCTGGGGAGCTCGAGGCGGCAATGAGTCATGATCCCGCTACTGTACTCCAGCCTGGGGGACAGAGTGAGACCCTGTCTAAAAAAAAAAAAAAAAAAAAAACTAAGAAGGCAGCCAGCACATTTTAATTTATGTTGATGCTATTTAATGGACTATACAGGAAACAATTCTAAACGCGTTTCTTTTCAACTATTTTAGGACTTGGAGAAATATGAATTTAGAATTAGAAAATGGTCTAGCCAGGATTTGGAGAAAAGTTCTTACATGGAGCCAACATAATTCACAAATACACACAGTCCGTTATGGCTTTATCTTACCCCAGGTGATGAGATAGAGAAATGAGAGCTTTGGGAGTTAACTTCCCATCAGGAGCAGAGAACAGGCAATAACTATTACTCTATGGATGCCAAACAGACATGCCCGTGTCGGGGAAATCTGGTGCATATTAATGACATTGATCAGAGTCCTTCTACCATGAAGCTATTACCCAAAACAGCTCCAGATTGGATCATTGGATTTTTTTTTCTTTTTGAGATGGAGTCTCCCTCTGTCGCCCAGGCTGGAGTGCAGTGGCGCAATCTCTGCAAGCTCCGCTTCCTGGGCTCAGGCCATTCTCCTGCCTCAGCCTCCCAAGTAGCTGGGATTACAGGCGTGTGCCTGCACGCCCGCCTGGCTAAGTTTTTGTATTTTTAGTAGAAATGGGCTTTCACTATGTTAGCCAGGCTTGTCTTGAACTCCTGACTTCAGGTGAGGTGCTCACCTCGGCCTCCCAAAGTGCTGGGATTACAGGTGTGAGCTACCACGCCTGGCCAGAACATTGGATTTTTCTTACTCATACACTTTTTTTTTAAAGGTAATTGGTCAGGCACAGTGGCTCATGCCTGTAATCCCAGCATTTTGAGAGGCTGAGATGAGAGGATTGCTTGAGGCCAGATTTTGAGACCAGGCTGGTCAACATAGCGAGACCCCATGGGAGGCCGAAGCGGGTGGATCATGAGGTCAGGAGATCAAGACCATCCTGGCTAACGTTGTGAAATCCCGTCTCTATTAAAAATTCAAAAAATTAGGTGGGCGTGGTGGCGGGTGCCTGTAGTCCCAGCTACTCTGGAGGCTGAGGCAGGAGAATGGCCTGAGCCCGGGAGGCGGAGCTTGCAGTGAGCTGAGATTGCACCACTGCGCTCCAGCCTGGGCGACAGAACGAGACTCTGTCTGAAAAAAATAAATAAAAATAAAAATATAAATAAAAAAGGTAATTGAAGAAGATTATCTATGTAATCTTTTTATAATATGTGTAGCATATAACATAGAAGATAGTGAATAATATATTCTGAGTTACAGTTTTCTAAATATTTGAAATGTATGTTTTCCTTTCAAGTGGGTTAGAATACTTCGTTGAAATTCTCAGTTTGTTCCCAAACATCAATGACATGATATCTTTTTCTTTTTACTCACATTACCCATGGGCGTCTTGTAAGGTACTCAGTAAATATTTATATAATAAAGTTCTTGAATTAAGAAAATGTATGAATCATGGGAAGGAAAGAAGTGGAAGACAGAGCCACTTCTGTGGCTTTTGGCTCCACTTGAGTACTGGCTAAGGGTCTTTTGGCTACAAGTGCAGAAACTGGCTCAAGCTAGAATTTTTTGTAGGGACACAGGTAGGCTTTGTGAAAGCTGAAGACTCTAAACTGGAGTCAGGAACCTGAGTACACTCAAGCGTTGTCCTTCTCTTCTGTCTGTTTTGTTCTTAGGTCTCTGCTTGATTCATTTTCCTCTCTCTCCTGCCTCTTTCATTGACTCCTTCTGTCCCCACAACAGAGTATAAAATGGCTACCATCAGCTTCTGCATTTAGATACAGCAGGTCCAGCCTCCTGCAGAGGTTAACCTCCCTCAGAGTCCTATGCACATTTAAGGAGGAAAGGATTTTGATTGCCACGGCTCAGCCAGGTTCCCAGTGGGACTTATCAGCCATGAGCAGGGTCAAGGTTAGGTCTTTCCACAAACCTGGAGGGAATCATTCCCATAGCCAAGAGTTAGACAGAGGGTGCTTACTTTTGTACCCACAAAAAATTAGGTAAGGCCAGGCGCGGTGGCTCATGCCTGTAATCCCAGCATGTTGGGAGGCCAAGGTGGGTGAATCACATGAGGTCAGGAGTTCGAGCCCAGCCTGGCCAACATGGTGAAACCCCGTCTCTACTAAAAATACAAAAATTAGCCAGTTGTGGTGGTGGCACCTGTAATCCCAGCTACTCAGGAGGCTGAGGCAGCAGAATCGCTTGAACCCGGGAGGCAGAGGTTGCAGTGAGCCGAGATCTCACTATTACACTTCAGCCTGGGTGACAAGAGCAAAACTCCATCTCAAAAAAAAAAAAAACAAAAAAAAAAACTAGGTCAATTGGCAAGCAATTTGGGAGGGATCCACAGTATATTACCCATTTTTATAAAGTAAGCTAAAAAGTTATTGGCCAACATCTAAAATTTCTGTCTTGTTTCCCTTCTCATTTTTTTTTCGTAGTATTCATCCAAAAAGAAATATACTGAATGGAAAACATGTAACAATTTACAACATTCTTGTAATATCTATGCCATTTACCATTTCTTTAATGAGGTCCTTAATTCTTTTCTTACTTTATTTATTTATTTTTTTGAGACAGGGTCTCACTTTGTCACTGAAGCTGGAGTGCAGTGGCGGGATCATGACTGACTGAGGTCTTGACCTCCTGGCTCAAGTGATCCTCCCACCTCAGCCTCCCAAGTAGCTAGGACTACAGGTGCTTGCCACCACGCCTCGCTAATTAAAAACAAAATTTTTGGCCAGGAGTGGTGGCTCATGCCTGTAATCCCAACACTTTGGGAGGCTGAGGCAGGTGGATCACAAGGTCAGGAGTTCGAGACCAGCCTGGCCAACACAGTGAAACCCCATCTCTACTAAAAAACCAAAAATTAGCTGGGCATGGTGGTGCGTGCCTGTAGGCCCAGATACTTGGGAGGCTGAGGTTGAGCCTGGGAGGCGGAGGTTGCGGTGAGCCGAGATCGTGCCACTGCACTCCAGCCTGGTGACAGCAGAGGGAGACTCTGTCTATTAAAAAAACAAAAATAAAAACAAAAACAAAAACAAAACTTTATTGTAGGCCAGGTGCAGTGGCTCTGTAATCCCTGCACTTTGGGAGTCCAATTGCTGGAGGCCAGGAGCTCAAGACCAACCTAGGCAACATCACAGGACTTCACCTCTAAAAAATTAGAAATTAAAGAAATTAGTTGGGCCGGGCAGGGTGACTCATGCCTGTAATCTCAGCACTTTGGGAGGCCAAGGCGGGCTGATCATGAGGTCGGGAGATTGAGACCATCCTGGCTAACACGGTGAAACCCCGTCTCTACTAAAAATACAAAAAATTAGCTGGGCATGGTGGCGGGCGCCTGTAGTCCCAGCTACTTCAGAGGCTGAGGCAGGAGAATGGCGTGAACCTGGAAGGCAGAGGTTGCAGTGAGCCGAGATCGCGCCACTGCACTCCAGCCTGGGTGACAGAGCAAGACTCCATCTCAGAAAAAAAAAAAAAGAAATTAGTTGAGTGTGGTGGCATACGCCTATAGTACTAGCTACTTGGGAGGCTGAGGCAAGAGGATCACTTGAGCTCAGGAATTGAGGTTACTGTGAGCTATGATTGTGCCACTATACTCCAGCCTAGGCAACAGAGTGAGACCTTGTCTCTAAAAACTAATAATAATAATTAATAATAATACTAAATACTTTATTGGTAAAAAATGCTAATGGTCATCTGAGCCTTCAGCAAGTCATAGTCTTTTTTTTCTTCTTCTTTTTTTTTTTCGTGAGACAGAGTTTTGCTCTTGTTGCCCAGGCTGGAGTGCAATGGCATGATCTCGGCTCACTGCACCCTCCACCTCCTGGGTTCAAGCAATTCTCCTGCCTCAGCCTCCTGAGTAGCTGGGATTACAGGCATGTGCCACCAAGCCTAGCTAATTTTTTGTATTTTTAGTAGAGACGGGTTTCTCCATGTTGGTTAGGCTGGTCTTGAACTCCCAACCTCAGGGGATCCACCTGCCTTGGCCTCCCAAAGTGCTGAGACTACAGGCGTGAGCCACCGCACCTGGCCCAGCAAGTCATAGTCTTCGTGCTGGTGAAGAGTCTTGCCTTGCCTTGATGTGGATGGCTGCTGACTGATCAGGGTGGTGGTTGCTAAAGGTTGGGGTGGCCATGGCAGTGTCTTAAAATAAGACAACAATGAAGTTTGCCCATTGATGGATTCTTCCTTTCATGAAAGATTTCTCTGTAACATGCAATGCTATTTGATAGCATTTTACCCACAGTAGAATTTCTTTCAAAATTGGAGTTGATCCTCTCAAGCCCTGCCCCTGCCTTATCAAACTAAGTTTATGTAATATTTTAAATCCTTTATGTTGTTTCAACAATGTTCATAGCATCTTCACCAGGAGCTGATTTCATCTCATGAAACCCCTTTCTTTGCTCATCCTTAAGAAGCAACCCCTCACTTGTTCAAGTTTCATCGTGAGATTGCAGCAGTTCAGTCATGTCTTCAGGGTTCATTTGTAATTCTCATTCTCTTGCTATTTCCACCACACCTGTGATGACTTCCTCCATTGAACTCTTAACCCCTCAAAATCATCCATGGGGGTTGGAATCAACTTCTTCCAAACTTCTGTTAATATTCATATTTTGACCTCTTCCCATGAATCATGAATGTTCTTAATGGCATCTAGAATGGTGAATCCTTCCTAGGAGGTTTTTAGTGTACTTTGCCCAGATCCATCATAGGAATACCTATCTGTGGCAGCTATGGCCTTAAGATGTATTTCTTTTTCTTTTTCTTTCTTTCTTTTTTTTTTTTTTTTGAGATGAATTCTCACTCTGCCACCCAGGCTGGAGTGCAGTGGCACAATCTCGGCTCACTGCAATCTCTACCTCCTGGTTCAAGTGATTCCTGTGCCTCAGCCTCTTGAGTATCTAAGATTACAGGCATGCACCACCATGCCCAGCTAATTTTTGTATTTTTAGTAGAGATAGGATTTCACCATGTTGGTCAGGCTGGTCTCAAACTCCTAACTGCAGATGATCCACCCACCTTGGCCTCCCAAAGTGCTGGGATTACAGGCATGAGCCACCATGTCCGGCCAGTGCCTGACCTTCTTAAAATGTATTTCTTAAAAAACATGACTTGAAAGTTGAAATTACTCCTTGATCTGTGGGCTGCAGAATGGGTGCTGTGGTAGCAGCATGAAAACAGCATTCATCTCCTTGTACATCTCCATCAGAACTCTTGGGTGACCAGGTCCCATTGTCAATGAACAGTAATATTTTGAAAGGAATCTTTTTTTTCTGAGCAGTAGGTCTCAACAATGGGCTTAAAATATTCAGTAAACCATACTGTTAACAGATGTGCTGTCATATAGGCTTTGCTGTTCATTTCTAGAGCACAAGCTTAGTAGATTTAGCATAATTCTTAAAGGCCCTAGGATTTAAAAATGGTAAATGAGCTTTGGCTTCACCTTAAAGTCACCAGTGGCATTAGCCCCTAACAAGAGAGCCAGACTGTCCTTTGAAGCTTTGAAGCAAGGCATTGACTTCTCCCCTTTAGCTATGAAAGTCCTAGAAAGCATCTTCTTCCAGTAGAAGGCTGTTTCACCTACCTTGAAAATCTCTTGTTTAGTGTGTTGACCTTCATCAGTGATCTGAGCTAGATCTTCTGAATAACTTGCTGCAGCTTCTCCATCAATGCTTGCTGCTTCACCTTCCACTTTTATGTTATAGAGATGGCTTCTTTTGTTAAGACAACTTGTGCTTGCTTCAAACTTTTCTTCTGCAGCTTCCTCACCTCTTTCAGCTTTCATGGAATTAAAGAGAGTTAGGGCCTTGCTCTGAATTAGGCTTTGGCTTAAGGGAATGCTGTGGCAGGTTTGATCTATGCAGACCACTCACTTTCTCCATATCAGCAATAAGGCATTTCACTTTCTTATCACTTATGTGTTCACTGGAGGAGCACTTTTAACTTCCTTCAAGAACTTTTCATTTGCATTCACAACTTGGATAACTGTTTGGCGCAAGAGGCCTAGGTTTTGGCCTGTCTCTGTTTTGGACTTGCCTTCCTCATTAAGCTTAATCATTTCTAGTTTTTGGTTTAAAGTGAGAGATGTGCAACTCTTCCTTTCACTTGAACACTTAGAGGCCATTGTAGGGTCTTTCATTGGCCTAATTTTAATATTAGTCCAATGTTAATATTAGTCCAGGGAATACAGAGGTCCCGAGGAAGGGGAGAGAGATGGGGGAAAGTTAGTTGATGGAGCAGTCAGAACAAATGCATTTCTCAATTAAGTTTACAGTCTTACACGGGGGTGGTTTATGGTGCCCCCAAACAATTACAATAGTAACATCAAAGATCACTGATCACAGTTTACTACAACAGATATAATAACAATGAAAAGTTTGAAATGTTGCAAGAATTACCAAAATGTGACACAGATATTTGAAGTGAGCATCTGCTTTTGGAAAAATGGCACCAGGGCATGGTGGCTTATGCCTGTTATCACAGTGCTTTGGGAGGCTGAGGCAGAAGGATTGCTTGAGGCCAGGAGTCCAAGACTAGTCTGGGCAACATAGTAAGACCCTGTCCCTACAATACACATATACATATATGTATATGTATTGTTTAATGTATATATGTATATTAGCCAGGAACAGTGGCTCATACCTGTAGTCCCAGCTACTGAGGCAGCAGGATCACTTGAGCCCAGGAGTTTGAGGCTGCAGTGAGCTATGATTTGTACTCCAGCATGGGCAATAGAATAAGAACCTGTCTCTGAAAAACAAAACAAAAGGGCAATGAAAAATGGTGCCAATAGACTTGCTCAATGCAGGGTTGCCAGAAACTTTCAATTTGTAAAAAACACAGTATCTGTGAAGCTCGATAAAACAAGATGTGCCTGTATTATTTATCTCCTTTATTACACAAAAAGTAGCCTGCTTAACACTCTTAGATTAGTTAGTTATTGCTGCATAGCAAATTTCCCTAAATTCAGCATCATGCAACAACAAACATTTATTACTTCTCTCAGTTTCTGAGAGTTGTGAATCCAGAAATGATTCATCTGGGTGGTTCTAGCTCAAGGTCTCACAAGAGGTTTCAGTCAAGCTATCGGCCAGGGCTGCAGTCATCTGAAAGCTTAAACATGGATAGAGGACCTACTTCCAAACAGGACTTGCTCACATGGCCATTGGCTGGAGTCCTCAGTGGCTTGACACATGGGACCATCTGCGTGTTTTCATGGCAGTGATTCAAGAGAAAGGGCAAGGAGGAAGCGGCAGTGCCTTTTATGGAGTCTCTGCAGTCACCATCACTTCTTTTCTCATTCTTTTTTTTTTTTTCTGAGTCGGAATTTTTTTTTTTTTGAGACCGAGTCTCGATCTGTCGCCCAGGCTGGAGGGCAGTGGTGCGATCTCGACTCACTGCAACCTCCGCCTCCAGGGTTCACTCCATTCTCCTGCCTCAGCCTCCCGAGTAGCTGGGACTACAGGCGCCCGCCACAACGCCCGGCTAATTTTTTGTATTTTTGGTAGAGACGGGGTTTCACCATGTTAGCCAGGATGGTCTCGATCTCCTGACCTCGTGATCCGCCCGCCTCGGCCTCCCAAAGTGCTGCGATTACAGGCGTGAGCCACCGCTCCCGGCCCTGAGACGGAGTTTTGCTCTTGTTGCCCAGGCTGGAGTGCAATGGCGCGATCTCGGCTCACTGCAACCTCCGCCTCCCAGGTTCAAGCAATTCTCCTGCCTCAGCCTCCCTAGTAGCTGGGATTACAGGCATGTGCCACCACGCCCAGCTAATTTTGTATTTTTAGTAGAGACGGGGTTTCTCCATGTTGGTCAGGCTGGTCTCCAACTCCCGACCTCAGGTGATCCACCCGCTTCGGCCTCCCAAAGTGCTGGGATTACAGGCATGAGCCACCCGGCCCGGCCACTTCTTTTCTCATTCTATTCCCGAGAAGCCAGCGTCTAAGCCCAATCTCTACTCAAAGGGAAGGGGCATTAGGCTCCACCTCTTGAAGGGAGAAGTATCAAAGAATCTGTGCACATATTTTAATACCACAACAATTATTTTGCACCTTTTTTTTTTCCTGGAAAGTCTTGGTCCTGGGGGGGAAAAAAAGATCCAATATATATCATGAAGATTTTTAGATGTCTGTACATATAAAGCTTTCCCATTCTTTTTTTATTTTTTAATTTTTTTTTTTTGAGACAAAGTCTCACTCTGTTGCCCAGGCTGGAGTGCAGTGGTGCGATCTCAGCTCACTGCAGCCTCTGCCTCCCAGGTTCAAGTGATTCTCCTGCCTCAGCCTCCCGAGTATCTGGGACTACAGATGCGCGCCACCACCACTGGCTAATTTTTGTATTTGTATTTTTATTTTTTTATTTTGTATTTTATGTTATTTTATTTTTTTGAGACAGAGTCTTGCTCTGTCACCCAGGCTGGAGTGCAGTGGTGTGATCTCGGCTCACTGCAACCTCTGCCTCCCAGGTTCAAGCAATTCTCCTGCCTCAGCCTCCTGAGTAGCTGGGATTACAGGCATGCACCACCAGGCCCAGCTAATTTTTGTATTTTTAGTAGAGATGGGGTTTCACCATGTTGGTCAGGCTGGTCTCAAACCCCTGACCTCGTGATCCACCCGCCTCGGCCTCCCAAAGTGCTGGGATTACAGGCGTGAGCCACCGTGCCCGGCCGACTTTTGTATTTTTAGTAGAGACGGGGTTTCACCATGTTGGCCAGGCTGGTCTCAAACTCCTGAGCTCAGGTCATCCGCCCACCCTTGGCCTCCCAGAGTGTTGGGATTACAGACTTGAGCCAATGCGCCCAGCCTATTTTTAAAATTTATTGCCAGGTGCAGTGGCTCATGCCTGTAATCCCAGCACTTTGGGAGGCTGAGGTGGGTGGATCACCTGAGGTCAGGAGTTTGAGACCAGCCTGACCAACATGAAGAAACCCCGTCTTTACTAAAATTACAAAATTAGCTGGGCGTGGTGGTGCATGCCTGTAATCCCCACTACTCGGGAGGCTGAGGCAGGAGGATCGCTTGAACCCAGGAGGCAGAGGTTGCAGTGAGCCAAGATCATGCCATTGAACTCCAGCCTGGGCAACAAGAGCAAAACTCCATCTCAAAAAATAAAAAAAAAGGCTGGGCGTGGTGGCTCATGCCTGTAATCCCAGAACTTTGGGAGGCCAAGGTGAGTGGATCACGAGGTCAAGAGATCGAGACCAGCCTGGCCAACATGGTGAAACCCCGTCTCTACTAAAAAAAAAAACACAAAAAATTAGCTGGGCGTGGTGGCACGCACCTGTAGTCCCAGCTACTCAGGAGGCTGAGGCAGGAGAATTGCTTAAACCTGGGAGGCGGAGGTTGCAGGAGGTTGCAGTGAGCCAAGATTGCACCACTGCACTCCAGCCTGGGCAATAGAGTGAGACTCTTTCTCAAAAAAAATGAAAAATGAAAATAAATAAATAAATAAAATAAATAAGTAAAATAAAATTTATTTAATTTTAATTTTTTTGGGGGGGAGATGGGGTCTCACTGTGTTGCCCAGACTCGTCTTGAACTCCTAGGCTAAAGTGATCTGTGCACCTCAGCCTCCCCAGATGCTGGGATTACAGGTGTGAGCCACTGCACCCAGCCCAATTCTGTTTTAATTTTTGATTTTTGTTAGAGACGGGGTCTCACTATGTTGCCCAGGCTGGTCTTGAACTCCTAGGTTTAAGTAATCTGCCTGCCTCAGCCTCCCAACGTGCTGGGATTACAGGCATGAGCCACTGTGCCTGGTGCTTTCCCATTCTTTTCTCCATTGTTGAACGTGTTGTCATTAATTTAAAAATTTCTATAGATGGGCTGGGCATGGTGGCTCACACCTATAATCCCAGCACTTTGGGAGGCTGAGGTAAGTATATCACTTGAGGTCAGCAGCTCAAGACCAGCCTGACCAACATGGTGAAATCCCGTCTCTACTAAATATACAAAAATTAGCCGACTTCTCAGAGGATGAGGTGGGAGAATTGCTTGGCTTGAACCTGGGAGGTGGACGTTGCAGTGAGCCGAGATTGTGCCATTGAACTCCAGCCCAGGCAACAGAGTGAGACTCCATATAGACAAAAAAAGTTTTCTATAGATGGACAATTGGATTGTCTTCACCTTTTGCTATTAGAAGTCATGCTGATTTTAATAATCTTGCTTATTTAGAATGTATCCAGGGATAACTTAGGATAAATTCTTAAAAGCACCCTTGCCACTTGAAAGGGTCAATGCATTTGTAATTTTAATATATATTGCTAAATTACCTCCATAGGGGTTGTACTTCTCCTATATCCCCCACAGAGTATGTTGCCCAAATTTTGATTTTTTGCCAGCCTGATAGATAAGACATTATGATATCTCCATGGAGGTTTAACACACGTATACTTTCTTCACTGTGAGTGAAATTGAGCATCTTTTCACATGTTGCAGGCCTTTTCTGCTTTAATTTCCCTAAACTGTCTATTCATGGCCATTCTTTGCCATTAACAGCGCCCTTAAATGTGACACTTTTTCCTCTGGTAGTCTCACTGTGTGTGTGTGTGTGTGTGTGTATGTGTGTGTGTGTGTGCAAGTGTGTAAATAATAATATATTTCTCTGTTGCTGCAATCTCTCCTCCACCCTCCCCGCTCTGATGTTGTTTGATTTTATACTCCCATTCTGTTTTTTTCTCACTAATAAAATGGAATACAAAGACTATTAGTCAATTAATTTTATTTTTTATTTAATTAATTTATTTAATTTGAGACAGAGTCTAACTCTGTCTCCCAGGCTGGAGTGCAGTGACGCGATCTCAGCTCACTTCAACTTGATTCACCTCCCGGGTTCAAGCGATTCTCATGCCTCAATCTCCCGAGTAGCTGGGACTACTCTCCTTGAGCCACCATGCCCGGGTAATTTTTTTTCGTATTTTTAGTAGAGATGGGATTTCACCATGTTGGCCAGGCTGGTTTTGAACTTCTGGCCTCAGGTGATCTACCCGCCTTGGCCTCTCAAAGTGGCAGGATTACAGGCGTGAGCCACTGTACCCGGCCTTAATTTTAGTTACTACTCACAATTAACACATCAGATATCTCATTAGGTAGATGCTTCATGTCTTCTGCACATACTTTTTACGTCTTCTTTGCTGCATTAAAGAAAAACACGGCATCAGAGACAAATAGGCAATAACAGCTGTGATGCTATTTTTAAGTGTGGGAGCTCAGAGCCCCATCCTGGTTTTATTTCAATGAGCTGATGAGGCAGCAGCGATGGATGGGTTCTTGGACCTTTCCTGACTACTGGAGAAAATGGGTTCAAAATAGAAATGACCTTTTGGGAAGCACAGGGAAATTTTGGAAAGCCTGATGAGCTTCTGAAACCATCTGTGTAACATCCCTCAGCAAATGTATTTTCAGAGAAATAAAATGACTGTAGAGTCCATTTGCTTTCCTTCTGGCTCACTGAATCACCTCTGACTCTAATTTGTTTTTGTAAGTCTGACTCAGGAACAATCGAACAAATTTGGGTTTGTAATTTTCATAGGAAAGTGAGCCAAGTGTAGGGATTAGAAATGTCTATGTGGGTAGGGTCCAGTGGCTCACACCTGTAATCTCAGCACTTTGGGAGGCTGAGGCAGGAGGATTGCTTGAGCCCAGGAGTTTGAGACCAGGCTGGGCCATACAGCAATACATCATCTCTATTATCTTTATTATTAAAAACAAACTAATACATAAAAATTTTAAAAAGAAATGTCTATTTACTAAAAATAAAACCTTCCAGCCAATAGAGACAATTTTATTAACTAAGGTTATGATTTATTGATTCATAAGTGCTTAGGGAAATCTGAAAATATGGCAGGTGATCATTTCTTCAAGAAAGCCTCCTAGCTCAACAACTCTTATAAAAAGTATGAAAAGGCACGTTATGGTGGTTCATGTCTATAATCCCAGCATTTTGGGAGGCCCAGGTGGCCTTTTGAAATCTGGCAAAACTCTGTCTCTACGAAAATAAAAAGAAAAGAAAAAAAAAATAGCCAGATGCGGTGGTGCACACCTGTAGTCTAGCTACTTGCGAGGCTGAGGATCTCTTGAGCCCAGGAGTTGAGGCAGAAGTGAGCAGCGATTGAACCACTGCACACCAACCTGGGCGACAGAGCAAGATTGTGTTTCAAAAAAAAAAAAAGTTTTGAAAATAACAGTGATGTGAATGTGAATGTGTGTTGTTGCTGTGATTTCTGGGTATTGGGTTCTGTATTAGTTTCCTAGGGCTGCTGTAACAAAGTACCATCAGTGAAGTGGCTTAAAACAACAGAAGTTCGGCTGGGTGCAGTGGCTCATGCCTATAATGCCAGAACTTTGGGAGGCTGAGGTGGGTGGATCGCCTGAGGTCAGGAGTTCGAGACTAGCCTAGCCAACATGGCAAAACCCCGTCTCTACTAAAAATACAAAAATTAGCTGGGCGTGGTGGTGGGCACCTGTAATCCCAGCTACTCAGGAGGCTGAGGCAGGAGAATCACTTGAACTGGGAGGTGGAGGTTGCAGTGAGCCAAGATCGCACCATTGCACCCCAGCCTGGGTGACAAGAGTGAAACTCTGCCTGAAAAAAAAAAAAGCAAAATGTTAGTCATAAAGGACAAATAGCATGATTCCTGTTTTTTTGTTTTGATTTGTTTTGTTTTGTTTTGTTTTTTTGAGACAGGATCTTGTTATGTCACCCAGGCTGGAGTGCAGTGGTACAATCTTGGCTTGCTGCAGCCTCAAATTCCTGGGCTCAAGCGATCCTCTCACCTCAGCCTCCCGAGTAGCTGGGACTTCAGGCATGTCACCATACTTGGCAAATTTTGTTAATTTTTTTGTAGAGACGGGGTTGCTCTATGTTGCCCAGACTGGTGATTCCTATATTATATAAGGTTCCTAGAATAGTTAAATTCATGGAAGCAGAAAATAGAATGGTGGTTGCTTAGGGCTGAGAGGAGGGTGGGAATGGGGAGTTAGTGTTTAGTGGATATGAGTTCCCTTTTGGAAAGATGAAAAAGTTCCAGAGATGGATGGTGGTGATGATTGCACAACAATGTGACTGTATTTAATGCTACCGAGCTGTACACTTAAAAGTGGTTAAATACAAGGCTGGCCGCGGTGGCTCATGCCTGAAATCCCAGCACTTTGGGGGATTTCGAGGTGGATCATGAGGTCAGAAGTTCAAGACCAGCCTGGCCAACATGGTGAAACCCCCTGTCTACTAAAAATAAACAAAATTGCTGGGTGTAGTGGTGTGCACCTGTAATCCCAGCTACCCAGGGGGCTGAGGCAGGAGAATCGCTTGAACCCGGGAGGTGGAGCTTGCAGTGAGCCGAGATTGTGCCACTGCACTTCAGTCTGGGAAGCAGAGCAAGACTCTGTCTAGAGAAAAAAAAAAGTGATTAAATACAAAAATTAGCCGGGCATGGTGGTGGGCACCTGTAATCCCAGTTACTCAGGAGGCTGAGGCAGAGAATTGCTTGAACCCGGGAGGCGAAGGTTGCAGCAAGCTGAGATCGCACCACTGCACTCCAGGCTGGATGACAGAGCAAAACTTTCTCTCAAAAAAAAAAAAAGTGGTTAAAATGGTAAACTTTATGTTCCAGTTATTTTCCCATACACAACAACAAAAAAATGGTTACAATGGTAAATTTTTATTTTAATTTATTTTTTGGGACGGAGTTTCGCTCTTCTCACCCAGCCTGGCGTGCAATGGCATGATCTTGGCTCACTGCAATCTCTGCCTGCCGTGTTCAAGTCATTCTTCTGCCTCAGCCTCCCAAGTAGCTGAGATCACAGGTGCCTGCCACCACGCCCGGCTAATTTTTGTATTTTCAGTAGAGACAGGATTTCACCATGTTGGCCTGGCTGGTCTCGAACTCCTGTCCTCAGGTGATCCTGCCACCTCGGTCTCCCAAAGTGCTGGGATCACAGGTGTGAACCACTGCACCCAGCCCACAATATATATATATATTTTTTTTTAGGAAAGGGTGTGCTAGCTCCCTCGTGATGGAAGAAACCGACCAAGCCAGTGGTGGTTGCAGCCCTTCCTGTGATAACTTTGATTCAATTAAGCACGTTCTCTTCAGACAATCAAGGGTTAGTGGTTGTGGGGTGGAAGGGGGTTAACTGGTGGTGGAGGGTGTTTTGATTAAGAGCTTTATTTTGTTATCTTCTCCTAGGGCTCAGAATTCTTTTTTTTTTTTTTTTTCCGACAGAGTCTTACTTTGTTGCCCAGGTTGGAGTGCAGCGGCAGCGGCGTGATCTCGGCTCACTACAACCTCTGCCTCCCTGGCTCAAGTGATTCTCTTGCCTCAGCCTCCTGAGTAGCTGGGATTACAGGTGGCCACCACCACGCCAGGTTAATTTTTTTTGTATTTTTAATAGAGATGGGGTTTCGCCATGTCGGCCAGGCTTGTCTCTAACTCCTGACCTCAAGTGATCCACCCGCCTTGGTCTCCCAAAGTGCTGGGATTATAGGCGTGAGCCACTGCGCCTGGCCAAGGCTCAGAATTCTGACTGAAACTCCTTTTTTGGTTTGTTTGACACCTTTTCAAGGGAGTATCACTTTCCCTGCTCTGAGTCTAGTGGCCTAGTCACTTGTAGAGTTATTTCCTGAGAAACCCAAGCACCACTCCTCTGATCTTGGCTAGGAAAGCAGTTCACAGCCCCTGTGTCTTCATGAAAAAAATGTATCACTCAAGGGCCAAAAGGTGGGTATTTGGATGTGAGTTCTTTGGTCTTTTGTCTAGGTATTTCTTGAATCTCAAAGAGCAAAATATAATATAGCCCCTGGTTTTCTAAACAAAAGTATCATACCAAGAGACTTTTTGATATTGAGAATTTCCAATTAAAACAAAAATCCATTATCGTGGAAAAATTGGTAGTTACTCACTCATTTGTCAATGCAAAATAAGAGACTAAAAAAATATGTAGCTTTCTAATTTTAGCCAGGCCTGTGCTCTTCATAAAAGCTCCCTGTCGGCTGGGCATAGTGGCTCACGCCTATAATCCAGCACTTTGGGAGGCCAAGGCTGGCGGATCATCTGAGGTCAGTAGTTTAAGACCAGGCTGACCAACCTGGAGAAACTCTCATCTCCACTAAAAATACAAATTAGCCGGGCATGGTGGTGCATGCCTGTAATCCCAGCTACTCGGGAGGCTGAGGCAGGAGAATCGCTTGAATACGGGAGGCGGAGATTGCGGTGAGCCGAGATCGTGCCATTGCACTCCAGCCTGGGCAACTAGAGCAAAACCCTGTCTCAAAAAAAAAAAAAAAAAAAATGCTCCCTGTCACCTCTCTCCGCATTGCATTCCTGTGATCACGGGTAGTTGTCAAGTTGAAAATGGTAAATGACCCTACAGCCTTTGCTAAGAAACATTATGTATTCAATTAATGGCCCATAAAATGATTTAGGTAAAAGACAAGACTGCAATTTCTTCTTCCAAAGGAGAAAGAAAGACGATACTGTCTAATTTACCAAACTTCAAGCTTTTAAAAGGTTTTAGGAAATGTAAAATATCTCTTGCACAGGATTATAGAAGCTGAAAGAGGAAACCTGGAGCTATAAGTCAAAGAGAAACTATAGGTACATTCTAAAGGTACATTCCTTTCTGTGTATGTGACTGTTTCCTCCTCGCAGCCTTTCTGTGGGCAGATTGCTCATTTAATTAGAGAAAACGTTGATATGGAATGAGATAAACACTGTGTACTTAAAAATTAAATTAAATACACCAGGCACCATGGCTCACGCCTGTAATCCCAGCACTTTGGGAGGCTGAGGTGGGAGGATCCCTTGAGCTCAGGAGTTTGAGACAGTCAGGGCAACATAGTGAGACTCCCATCTTTATAAATAATAATAAAAAAATATATTAGCTGGGGCCGAGTGCGATGGCTCACGCCTGTAATCCCAGCACTTTGGGAGGCCGAGGGGGGCAGATCATGAGGTCAGGAGATTGAGACCATCCTGGCTAACACGGTGAAACCCTGTCTCTACTAAAAATAAAAAAAAAAAACAATAACTGGGCGTGGTGGCAGGCGCCTGTAGTCCCAGCTACTCGGGAGGCCGAGGCAGGAGAATGGCTTGAACCTGGGTGGTGGAGCTTGCAGTGAGCCAAGATTGCGCCACTGCACTCCAGCCTGGGTGACAGAGCGAGACTCTGTCTCAAAAAAAAAAAAAAAAGAAAAATATATTAGCTGGGTGTGGTGGTGCACGTCTGTGGTCCCAGCTACTCTGGAAGCTGAGGTGGGAGGATCACCTGAGCATGGGAGGTCAGGGCTGCAGTGAGCCAAGATCGCTCCACTGCACACCAGTCTGGGTGACAGAATGAGACCCTATCTCAAAAAAAAAAATTATATGTAGAAAAACGTGACATTCATAAGGAATATACACAGATCCTTTGCTCTTTATCACATATACTATAGATGAATAAAGTTGCATAATTAAAACAACATGGCATGAAAGGAAAGTGTGTAACACCCCAGATGGTAGGAAGGCACCACTGAAGAAGGGGGTACTGTATGTACTCTGGATGTCTGTTTGTATTTTTTTTTTTCTTTTTGAGAGGGAGTCTTGCTCTGTGGCCCAGGCTGGAATGCAACTGCACAATCTCAGCTCACTGCAACCTCCGCCTCCCAGGTTCAAGCAATTATTCTGCCTCAGCCTCCCAAGTAGCTGGGATTACAGGCAGGTGCCACCATTCCCGGCTAATTTTTGCATTTAGTAGAGACGGGGGTTTCACCATGTTGGCCAGGCTGGTCTTGGACTCCTGACCTCAGGTGATCCACCCACCTTGGCCTCCCAAAGTGCTTGGATTACAGGCGTGAGCTACCGCGCCTGGCCTAGATGTCTGTTTTCATGAGACTGTTAACTTTACCAACATCTGAAGAGGTTCTTTAATTCAGGACCTTATAATAACATCAAAAGTGTTCTTTGAGGACAGGCATGGTGGCTCACACCGGTAATCCCTGCACTTTAGGAGGCTGAGGCGGGCAGATCACCTGAGGTCAGGAGTTTGAGACCAGCCTGGCCAACATGGCCAAACCCTGTCTCTACTAAAAATACAAAAATAAGGTGGGCTTAGCGGCAGGCACGGGTATCCAGCTACTCAAGTGGCTGAGGCAGGAGAATCCCTTGAGCCCAGGAGGTGGAGGTTGCAGTGAGCCAAGATCGAGCCATTGCACTCCAGCCTGGGTGACAAAGTGAGACTCCATCTGAAAAAAAAAGTATTTTCTGAGAATGGCTGAACTACACAATGAAGTGAGACTTCTGTTTTCTGAAACCACTGGCTTAAGCGTGAGTAAATATATCACAAACACCGTGTTGTGTGGCTTTGGTATTAAGCCCTAATTCATCCTGAGGCAGCTGTGGGGCACTGGACTGGGCATGTCAGGAGATGTCTTCATCTGTCACACCCGGAACCCTGTGGCTGCCCTGGTTCTTTTCTGGCTCTTTCTCTGCCGCTCCCTGATGATAGGCACCAGATGGATACCAACCACGGAAACACTAGGTCTCTCTCTGCAGTTGCTCAGAGCTCTGAAGAGTTGAGGTTCGCTCACTTTTGGAAGTCCCCACTTCATCCTGGGAGGGTAGGCGCCTCACTGCACTGTCGGCAGCTCTCTCATCTGTCACTCTCAGAGTCCCTGTGAGCCAGGTGCTTGTGTCGGTGGGGATGCAATGGGGATACTGCTCAACTTTTGGATACTAGCACAGAGCAGCTTCCAATTTGAATTGCACCTAAAAAATCCTCCTCCCCAAAGCAGGAATTATAGACTCTGAGATTCATTCAGTCTTTCATTCATTCATTCATTCATTCATTCATTTTGGTCTTTTTTCCCTCGTAGTAGAGAAAGCAATCAAACCCAAATTTGATCATGTTATTATTATTATTATTTTTTGAGACAGAGTCTCACTCTGTTACCCAGGCTGGAGTGCAGTGGCGCAATCTCGGCTCACTGCAAGCTCCGCCTCCCAGGTTCACGCCATTCTCCTGCCTCAGCCTCCTGTGTAGCTGGGACTACAGGCGCCTGCCATCACGCCCGGCTAATTTTTTGTATTTTTAGTAGAGACGGGGTTTCACCATGTTGGCCAGGATGGTCTCGATCTCCTGACCTCGTGATCTGCCCTCCTTGGCCTCCCAAAGTGCTGGGATTACAGGCATGAGCCACGGCGCCCGGCGATCATGTTATTTTTCTGCTCAAAAAATAGCCAAAGTGCCACTGCCCTTAGAATGAACTCTAAGTCTGTATCTTGGCTTACATGTCATTCTTTGGGTCTTTATCATGAGCTCTATGCCATGTGCAAGGCCAGTTTTAAGATATTTGGGATGGATCGGTGCAGCAAATAAGACCCCCCATGCCACAGGGGCTTGCATTCTGGCCAGGGGAGATAGTAAATATAAACATGACATGGAAGTAAATTTTAAAGATTGTTAGGTGATAAGCACTTGGAAGAAAGCAAAAGTAGTGCATGGGCCGGGCGCAGTGGCTCTTGCCTGTAATCCTAGCACTTTGGGAGGCGGAGGTGGGTGGATTGCTTGAGGTCAGGAGACCAGCCTGGCCAATATGGTGAAACGCTGTCTCTACTAAAATACAAAAATTAGCTGAGCGTGGTGGCTACTGGGGAGGCTGAAGCAGAATTGCTTGAACCCAGGAGGCGGAGGTTGCAATGAGCCAAGATCACACCACTGCACTCCAGCCTGGGCAACAGAGTGAGACTCTATCTCAAAATAAATAAATAAAATTAAATAAAAAGAAAAAGTAGTGCATGGAGTACAGGTGTGTGGTGGTGAGTTGTCCTTTCAATCAAGACCCTAACTGCTTATCCTTGCCCTGGGCCTCCCTGTACACTGACCACAAAGTGCTCTGCCTCAGTGCTTTTGCGCTGGTTCCTCTGCAGGGAGTGCCTCTCATACGGATCCAGTTTTTTTGTCACTTCAGTCAGTTGTCTCCTCAAACGTCATCTCCTCTGAGAAGACCTTCCTGCCCACTTAATCTAAAGTTCCCCCACCCACCCCCAGCAAACTCTATCTCCTTATCTTGCTGTTTTCTTCATGATAATTAAACAGGGTTGTGTGATATTTGCATTGGTTATATATTTGTCCTCTCTCTCTACCCACTAGAACATAAACACCACAAAGTCAGGGATTTTGTGTGATAGTTTTGCTTTTCTATCACCAACACCTAGCTTTTTTTTTTTTTTTTTGAGAAGGAATCTCGGTCTTTCGCCCAGGCTGGAGTGCAATGGCGTGATCTTGGCTCACTGCAACATCAGCCTCCTGGGTTCAAACGATTCTCCTGCCTCAGCCTCCTGAGGAGCTGGGATTACAGGCGCCACCACCATGCCCAGCTAATTTTTGTATTTTTGTAGAGATGGGGTTTCACCATGTTGGCCAGGCTGATCTTGAACTCCTGACCTCAGGTGATCCACCTGCCTCGGCCTCCCAAAGTGCTGGGATTATAGGCGTGAGCCACTGCGCCTGGCCCCTTTTTACATTTTCTTGTACCTTTGTTAACACTGAGCCTAGTATTTATTTCATTCTTGGTTCTGAATTGCTGCTGCTGCTGGGGGTGGAGGTGGATGCTGATGGGACCAATAAGTCCTCACCCAGAAGCTTCCTCAAGTATTAAATATTCTCTCAGGGGACTGCCCCAGGTGTTCTTTGTCTAATGCTCACCTTTCTGAGGCTCCATGTAGGTCTTTATAATATGAATCCAGGGCTCCGATTATGCTGACACCAAATTGGCGTGTTCTAACCTCAGCTTCAAAAGCTTCATTAGAATCACAATGGCTAATATGATGGAGCACTTACTTTGCTGCCGACTTCTTGCTAATCTCTTTCTGTGCTTCAAACGTTTTCAGTCTCACCCCTCTGAGGTGAATACTATTATTGACCCCAATTTTACAGATGAGGGAGCTGAGGCTCAAGGTCACACAGCTGGTGCAAAGCCGAACCGAGATGGGAAAGCAGCCCACCCCACTCCAGGATGCTACCTTTCACTGCAGTGGACCACTGGTTCCAGATTGGCCCTCATTTTGGAAGATGGGTTTCTGTACTCCCACAGTCCAAGCCCCTTTCTCAGCTTCTACTGAGATGTTGGTGCCTGTAGGCAATATTCTTCTTTTTAATTCCTGTTAAAAACTTGTCCCAAACCCCTGTCAGGTTTCTCCTACTGAGAAGCTTTGGGGGACAGCATGGAAACCTCAGACTTTCTTCCTCCTGTCTCAAGGCCCAGAGAAGAAACAGCTGGAATCCGTTGGTTCTGGGCTTGCTTCCTCTAACCTGGGCCCCGCGGGGGTCCTGCTGGGCCTGTTAGAGGTGAGAGCACCTCACAAGCTGAAGGGTCCCTAAAGCCCCTCTTTCTTGCACTTGTTTTATTGGGTGGCAGGGCCTTTTGAGCACTGTTTCTGCTCCCATAGAAAGTTCTACCCTCCAGTAATGTTACTAAATTATGCATCTGGTAGACAGGATTTTGTCCTTTATCAGAACTTCTCTGTAGGGTTGGGAATACAGGAGGGAAGGAGGCCTTGACCTCTCTTCCTAAAGGTTAGAGGGTCTGACCCAACACAAAGCAACATGCATTTGGACTTTAGTTTTCATTTCAACAAAGAGGTGATGATTTTCCAAAGTGACATATAATCATTAACCTCCTAGTTGGATTGGAAAATGGATCTCTCCTTGCAGCTTCTATGCTCAAACCACTTCATCACACTGTTGTCTTTGGGTAATTTCAATTAGAGTATAGACTGTCTAGCAGAGTATCATGTCCCCAATAATACGGTGGCTGGATAAAGGACAGGAGAGATGAAGGAGTTATGTAAATCATATTCTGTTTCCTAAAATGTTTTCTAGAGCAATATTCTGTTTCCTAGGTTTGCATGTCTGTGGGTAAGCTAGGGTGCTTGGTGACTCACATCTGCTTACACATTCAGATCTTTGTGAGGGAGTCGTATAATACTGAAGTTCAGCTAGGTATGTAAAAATCTATATATTTAGCCAGTAGGATAACATTTGATTGAAACACTTCTTCAAGGACCAAAGACTTTCCCCTTGCCAGGGAGCTGAAATACAACTTTCCCAAAAGATCTTGTTTGCTTCTAAGAAGAACCACATTACTGAACATTGAGCCTCAGTTGTCAATTTTATGGGTACCTGCGGATAAGATATTGTGATTCTTTGTTTGTCTTTGCCTATTGTGTGTGTAGACTGTGGTGTAGAAGTTCAAAAACAGAACAGTCCTTTCAGTACTCCTCCAGCTGTGCATCCCATAGACCCACAGGGGAGAACTAAAGCTTGTACCAGTTTATGCTGTTGAAGGATTCAGGTCCTCTTCCCTAGCCCTAATGCCCTAATGGCCTCTTCTTTCTTTCTTTTTTTTTGAGATGAAGTCTTGTTCTGTCACCCAGGCTGGAGGGCAGTGGCCCGATCTCGGCTCACTGTGACCTCTGGCTCCTAGGTTCAAGCAATTCTCCTGCGTCAGCCTCCCAAGTAGCTGGGACTACAGGCGGCCACCACCACGCCCGGTTAATTTTTTGTATTTTTAGTAGAGACGGGGTTTCACCGTGTTAGCCACGCTGGTCTCGATCTCCTGACCTCGTGATCTGCCCGCCTCAGCCTCCCAAAGTGCTGGGATTACAGGCATGATACACTGCGCCCGCCCTCTTTTTTTTTTTTTGAGAAGGAGTTTCTCTCTTGTCGCCCAGGCTGGAGTGCAATGGCACAATCTCAGCTCACCGCAATGTCCGCCTCCCGGGTTCAAGCAATTCTCCTCCCTCAGCCCCCTGAGTAGCTGGGATTACAGGCGTGTGCCACTACACCCGGCTAATTTTTGTATTTTTAGTAGAGAACATAAAACTTCATTCAATAAATACATCAAATGATAAAATAGATAGTGTCCAGTAACCATTAGGGAGCAATAATAAAAGCAAACTAAGATGAAGAAGGGAAACATTTGAGCCGAGTCATAGATGTTCTGTTAAGCACTATGTCGTGCAGACAATAAAAAATAAAAGTGGACTTGATGGGCCAAATCAAGTATTACTAAATGCAATCGAGGATAAATGTCAAGGCCCTTGATTTGTCAGAAAAAAATCAGCTGCAGAAGTATGGGGGGGTAGAAATATTAATAACTTGGCACTTAGGTGTCAAATAGGCTTTATCTGTGTGTCAGCTGTCAGTGGCTGATTGAAGATTGTGTTGAGAAGGAACCTGAGAATACTTCTAACTTTTGAGTGTTAAAAGAAAAACCTAGGCTGGGCATGGTGACTCATGCCTGTAATCCCAGCACTTTGGGAGGCTGAAGCGGGCAGATCACCTGAGGTTAGGAATTCGAGACCAGCCTGGCCAACACGGTGAAACCTCGTCTCTACTAAAAATACAAAAATTAGTTGGGTGTGGTGGCTCATGCCTATAATCCCAGCTACTTTGGAGGCTGAGGCAGAAGAATCGCTTCAATCCAGGTGGCAGAGGTTGCAGTGAGCCAAGACAGCACCATTGCACTCCAGTCTGGGTGACAGAGCAAGACTCCGTCTCAAAAAAAAAAAAAAAAAAAAAAAAAGGAAAAACCTTAAACAAATTAAGTTGAACACAGTTTAACTGAGAAACAACCGATATCAAGTTAGGCAGCCTCCCGAGCCAGAGTAGGCTCAGAAAATCCAGTGCAGCCATATGGTGGATTTTATGGACAGAAAAAGGAAAATGTCCTACAGAAAACGGAAGTGAGGTATAGATACAGCCAGATTGGTTACAGCTCAGTGTTTGCCTTATTTGAAAACGGTTTGAACAGCTGGCAGCCTGTGATTGGCCCAAACTCAGTGACTGGCACAACAGTGTGTTATAGTCTGTTTACACATCAAGTGAGGTTACAGTTCACTATGTATGGAGATACCTTTAGGCCGAACTTAAAATACACAAGGAACCAGCTTTAGGCTAAACATGACTTAACACAGGGAACAATGTGACACATTGAGTGGCATTGCCTGTCATAGATGGCTGGTGGTACATATGTAGTAAATATCAATTCATGAAATCATCTATGCATTTTAGTAGATGGCAAGTTCTGAATGTGTCAACAGTGTAATGTGACTGCCTCACATCATTATACTATGTTAGAGGAAGTATAGTTTCAGGAAGAAAAGAGGCCATGCATCGCAGGAATCCTGTGCTCAGTACCGGGTCTGCATTTTTTGGAAGGACATTGATGAGCTCATTAGAGTGTGTTGGAGATGGGCATCCAGGGTGGCGAAGAGATTGAAAACCATGCCAAATGAAGAAGGAAAGTGTCAGGGATAGTCTGGATGTGAATGGAATTAAGGTGGCACTTACGGCCTAGATACATAACTATTATGTGAAAGAAGAATTAGGTTGAACTCAGAGGGTAGAAATAAGACCAGAGTCGAAGTTGTAAGGAGGCAGATTTCCACTTAACACAAGGAAGGATTCCTTAACAATTTAAGTGTTTTGAAAATGGAACGTAGGGCTAGGTGCGGTGGCTCACGCCTGTAATCCTAACACTTTGGGAGGCCAAGGCTGGAGGACTGCTTTAGCTCAGGAGTTCGAGACCAGCCTGGGCAACATGGCAAAATCCAGTTTCTACAAAAAATACAAAAGGTAGCTGGACATGGTGGTGCGTGCCTGTAGTCCCAGCTACTTGGGAGGCTGAGAAGGGAGGACCACCTGAGCCTGGGGAGGTCAAGGCTGCAGGGAGCTAAGATCACACCACTGCACTGCAGCTTGGTCGACAGAGTAAGACCATTTCAAAACAAACAAACAAACAAAAACCCACAAAAAATCCAACAGAATAATCCTTAATAAATGGCTCACTTTTAACATGAAAAATGATTTATAGTAATGTCTTTACCCTTGACTTTGTCACCATTTTATTTTATTTTTTGAGACAGGGTCTCACTCTGTCACCCAGGCTGGAGTGCACTGGTGAGATCTCAGCTCACTGTCTCCCAGGCTCAAGTGATCCTCCCACCTTAGCCTCTAGAGTAGCTAGTACTACAGGTGCATGCCATCATGCCCAGCTAATTTTTTTTTTTTTTTTTGAGACGGAGTCTCACTCTGTCGCCCAGGCTAGAGTGCACTGGTGCCATCTCAGCTCACTGCAAGCTCCGCCTCCCAGGTTCACACCATTCTCCCGCCTCAGCCTCCCTAGTAGCTGGGACTACAGGCGCCTGCCACCATGCCTGGCTAATTTTTTGTATTTTTGGTAGAGACAGGGTTTCACCGTGTTAGCCAGGATGGTCTTGATTAATTTTTGTATTTTTTAGTAGAGATGCGGTTTTGCCATGTTGTCCAGGCTGGTGTCAAACTCCAGGGCTCAAGTGATATACTCGCCTTGGCCTCCAAAGTGCTGGGATTGCAAGCACAGACCACCATTCCTGGCCTTGTCACCATTTTTTATTTTTTATTTCATTTTTTTTGAGACAGAATATTGCTGTGTTGCCCAGGCTGGAGTGTAGTGGTGCGGTCTTGGCTCACTGCAAACTCCACCTCCTAGGTTCAAATGATTATCCTGCCTCAGCCTCCCAAGTAGCTGGGATTACAGGGACATCCCATCTCAACTGGCTAATTTTTGTATTTTTAGTAGAGATGGGTTTTTGCCATGTTTGCCAGGCTGTTCTCGAACTCTTGATCCCAGGTGATCTGCCTGCCTCAGCCTTCTAAAATGCTGGGATTACAGGCATGACCCACTGCACCCGGCTCTTGTCAACATTTTAATCAAAGACTTGGATGAATATAAATAAAGTCTACTTATCAAATTGTAAATAACATGAAGTTGAAGGGGGTTGTAAATGTATGGCATCATAATTCTGAAAGATCAGATCATATTGCCTGGCTAGAATGATAGGTGAGATCTAAGAAATAGAAATGTAAAGGAAATAGTATAAGATTCTACAATGGACTCTGAAAACCCAACTGGACAAATTTGCATGAGAAAGACTCACAGACTGGCAGCTAATTTGAATAATTTGGAGCAGCATGATCTGATAGAAAAAGAATACAAGCCATGCATAAATTTTGCATTTTCTAGTAGATTCCTTAAAAAAAAAAAGAAAAGAAGCAGATGAAATTAATTATAATAATATATTTTTACTGAACTAAATATATCCAAAATACTCATACTGATTACATGTTGAACATGTATAAATTATTGATATATTTACATTTTTATATAAGGTTTTTGAAATCCAGTGTATATTTTATATGTACAGCATATCTCCATTCAAAAGCTAAATTTAAGGTTGAGGTCAGTGGCTCATACCTGTAATCCCAGCAATTTGGGAGGCTGAGACAGGTGGATTGCTTGATCCCAGGAGTTCAAGACCAGCCTGGGCAATAGGGTAAGACGCTGTCTCAAAAAAAATACAACCACACACACACAGAAAAACAGGCACATTGGTGTGCACCTACAGTCCCAGCTACTTGGGAGGCTGAGGTAGGAGGATTGCTTGAACCCAGCAAGTTTGAGGCTGCTCTGGGCAACATAGCCAGATTTTGTGTCTAAAAAAAAAAAAAAAAAAAATTAAAAGATTTTCAGCTAGGTGTGGTGGCTCATGCAAATCCCAGCCCTTTTGGAGGCTGAGGCAGGAGGATCACTTGAGGCCAGGAGTTTGAGACTAGCGTAGGTGACAGAGTGAGACCTTCTCTCTCTGTTTTTCGTTTTTGTTTTTGTTTTTTGTTTTTGGGATAGAGTCTCACTCTATTGCTGAGGCTGGAGTGCAGTGATTTAGCCTCGGCTCACTAAACCTCTGCCTCCTAAGCTCAGGTGATCCTCCCACCTCAGCCTTGCAAGTAGCTGGGACTACAGGTGTGTGCCACCATGCTTGGCTAATAAAAAATTTTTTTTCGTTTTTGTTTTTGTAGAGATGGGGTTTAGCCATGTTGTTTAGGCTGGTCTCATGCAATTCATCTGCCTTGGCTTCCCAAAGTGCTAGGATTACAGGCTTGAGCCACTGTGCCTTGCCTCTTTTTATTTTGAAAAATTATTATTATTATTTTTTATCTTCTCCACAGATAAAGAAGAGACCTTGTCTCTGACATATATATTTAGGAATTGAATTGAGTCTGTTTTTTACATTTAAATGATATAAAACTAAAAATTTGGCTGGGCGTGGTGGCTCACGCCTGTAATCCCAGCATTTCGGGAGGCCGAGGTGGGTGGATCGCCTGAGGTCAAGCATTTGAGACCAGCTTGGCCAACATGGTGAAACCCCGTCTCTACTAAAAATACAAAAAACTTTAGCTGGGCGTGGTGGTGCACATCTGTAATCCCAACTACTCAGGAGGCTGAGGCAGGAGAAGCACTTGAACTCGGGAGGCAGAGGTTGCAGTGAGCCGAGATTGTGCCACTGCACTCCAGCCTGGGCAACAAGAGTGAAACTCCATTTCCCCCCCAAAACAAAACAAAACAAAACAAAACCCTAAAAATTCAATTTCTCAGTTGCATTGGCCATATAGTCAGTGCCCAATAATCACATGTGATTGGTGGCTACCGTATTGGATCATGTAGCTGAAGCGGTTTTAGTTGGTTTGAGTTGTTTAGGAGCTTACTAATAATTTGAAATAAAAGTACATATTTTGAACAAGGAAGTTGACGGTTCTGTTCTACTCCACTTTAGTTAAACTTTACCTGAAGCGTTTCACTCACTTCTAGGTAGTAGAGTTTAAAGGGACAAAGACAAACTGGGTGTGTGTGTGCTTGAGTGTGTGAATATAGAAAGTGGCCCTTGGAGCAGGGGTAAGGCTTACCTGAGGGTGTAGGATTAGGGCCGAGGCTTGGAAGCCCACACAGTATGGGTTGTTGTGTGATGTAATGGACTGATGACTCCTGGAGTCACAATTTTCTGGGAGAGATATGGCAGAAAATTTCCAAGAGCAGAATGGCTTTTTGAGCTGGATTCCCCTCATAGTCCCTTTCAACTCTGATTTCACAAATTCTTTCCTTTTACTAAGGGATCATTCAGGATTCCTTTTGGGGGAGAACAAAGTAACATTTATGAATTAGAGGGGACTTTATTATTATTATTAGATTCTTGCTCTGTCACCCAGGCTGGAGTGCAGTGGCATGATCTCGGCTCAGTGCAGCCTCCTCAACCCAGGTTCAAGCAATTCTCACGCCTCAGCCTCCTGAGTAGCTGGGATTACAGGCGCACGCCACTATGCCTGGCTAATTTTTTTTTTGCATTTTTAGCAGAGACTGGGTTTTGCCACATTGCCCTGGCTGGTCTCAAACTCCTGACCTCAAGAGATCCACCCGCCTTGGCCTCCCAAAGTGCTGGGATTACAGGCGTGAGCCGCCGTGCCTGACCTCACCCTTATTATTATTTATTTATTCTTATTATTTTTTTGAGATGGAGCCTTGCTCTATCGCCCAGTCTGTAGTGCAGTGGCGCGATCTCGGCTCACTGCAAGCTCTCTGCCTCCCAGGTTCACGCCATTCTCCTGCCTCAGCCTCCTGAGTAGCTGGGACTACAGGCACCCGCCACCACGCCTGGCTAATTTTTTTTTGTATTTTTAGTAGGGACGGGGTTTCACTGTGTTAGCCAGGATGTCTCGATCTCCTGACCTCGTGATCCGCCCGCCACGGCCTCCCAAAGTGCTGGGATTACAGGTGTGAGCCACCGCGCCCGGCCACCCTTCTTATTTTCTAGATGAGAAAGCAGGGACCGTAAGAGAGCCTGCTCAAGGTCACATGGCTTTTTGGCCTTAGAGAGGTGCCTGGGAGCTGGCACTTCTGCGGTGGCATGGGTTAGGTCTGCTCCAGATGGATACAAGTCTTGTTAAGGGGAGAATTTTTAGATGAAGGCATAGGGAGTGAGGCTATATTCTTTCTCTCTTACTTAGAATAAAAGGAGTCATTATGTAAGATGCATCTGTGCCTAGTATGATTCCTGAAAGGTCAACGCGTTCTTTCAGTTGAAACCAGTACACGGGTGCCACCTACAGGATTTGTAGAAAACAGATGTTCAGCATTTTCCTATCAATAGGCTTGGCTTTCAGCACAAAGGTATTAGACATTCATTTAAGGCCATCTGAAAATTACTATTATTAATATTCAAAGGGGGCTGATAACTAGTGGTTTTGCTGAGGAAAAATGTGTAGCCTAAGAGACCTAGGAGTGACAGAGAAGGCTGTGAGGTCGTGTGCCTATGGGATGTGACATCAGGACCATCTTTTTTTTTTTTTTTTTTTTTTGAGACGGAGTTTAGCTGTTGTTACCCAAGCTGGAGTGCAATGGCGCGATCTCCAGCTCACCGCAACCTGTGCCTCCTGGGTTCAAGCGATTCTCCTGTCTCAGCCTCCAGAGCAGCTGGGATTACAGGCCACCATACCCAGCTAATTTTGTATTTTTAGTAGAGACGGGGTTTCTCCACGTTGGTCAGGGTGGTCTCGAACTCCCAACCTCAGGTGATCTGCCTGCCTCGGCCTCTCAAAGTGTTGGGATTACAGGCATAAGCCACCACACCCGGCCTTAAAATGAGCTTATTAAGTGAATGCCTGAAGTATGGAAGGATGGTATAATGGGACATGTTGGGGAAAATTATTTATAAAATAATTCTTTAAAAAAATTTTTATGTATACATATTTAATTAAAATAGAATAGGTATAAACCAAAAAGAAGAAAAAAATCGGGATAAAGCATCACTACCATTTTGTTTGCAAAAGGAGTCAGGATATGAAACAAATTACCAGAAAAATACTCTAAGTTCATCCCAAAGTAGCTAGGTTACATAATCTTAAGAATCAAATACCATAATTAAGTATTATACCACTTAATCCACAAATGAACAAAAGAGGAGTCAAAAGTTTATCCTGGTTTAGGGTAATAATTTTTACATTAAATATATAGTGATTTGCTTCTCACAAAGTGGTACTGGCAACTTTTTTTTTTTTTTTTGAGATGGAGTCTCAAAAAAACTCCAGTCTGTTGCCCAGGCTGGAGTGCAGTGGTGCGATCTCGGCTCACTGCAGCCTCTGCATCCTGGGTTCAAGTGATTCTCCTGCCTCAGCCTCCCAAGTAGCTGGGATTACAGGCACGCACCACCACGCCTGGCTAATTTTTGTATTTTTAGTACAGACAGGGTTACACCATGTTGGCCAGGCAGATCTTGAACTCCTGACCTCAGGTGTTCCCCCCCGCCTTGGCCTCCCAAAGTGCTGGGATGACAGGCGTGAGCCACCACACCCGACCTCAAAGGCAATCATTCTAAATGTACTATGGTAGCATGTTAAAAATGGAAGTATGCTATAGAACTAAAGTAATATGAATAGCACTACTCACTACCTAGGAGAAAGGTACTGGTTCTCATGCAAAGCTAAGCCTGTATCAGTCATCCTAATCACAATGGCTTATAAAAGCATCAGGTTTCCAGTAGAGAAACTATTCTAGGAATGTCAGTAATCTCTTGAAAATTTCACATCTGTTAAACCAGGATAAGTCTACAACTATTTTGAAATCTGAACAAGGTATCACATGAAACAGTAAGATTCCCAGCCATAATGTAAGATAGAAAGGTCCTCATGCATATGCTTGCTGGCTCCAGGAAAGCTTCATGTGCATAATACAGAAGTTGCCAAAGAAGGAAACTGGAGCTACATTTCCGTGGTGCCGTGAATTTTAAACCTCAGGAATGGTGTGATCCATTAGGCTTTTCATAATGCTTGGTGCCATCCGCTTAATAATATGCTCACGGCTGGGTGCGGTGGCTCACGCCTGTAATCCCAGCACTTTGGGAGGCCGAGGTGGGCAGATCACAAGGTCAGGAGTTCGAGACCAGCCTGGGCAATATGGTGAAACCCTGTCTCTACTAAAAATACAAAAATTAGCTGGGCGTGATGGCAGATGCCTGTAATCTCAGCTACTTGGGGGGCTGAGGCAGAAGAATCGCTTGAACCTGGGAGGCAGAGGTTGCAGTGAGCCGAGATTGCAGCATTGCACTCTAGCCTGGGTGACAGAGTGGGACTCTGCCTACAAAAAAAAAAAAAAAGTTCAAAGATAAAAGGAGGCATGATTGTAATAGTAACTACAGTCCCATATGTTGACAGTATGTCTGCAATTTGAGAGTTCTTCAATCCAGTGACATTCTGTCTGTTGATTTCATAGATGTTATGTTCCGTGAGAAGACCATTTCTGGCTGCAGAGCTGTTTTTCACTGTGGATCACTGTGGACGTTATTTTTCCTTTTTTCTTTTCTTTCTTTCTTTTTTTTTTTTTTTTGAGATGGAGTCTTGCTCTTGTCACCCAGGCTAGAGTGCAATAGTGCGATCTTAGCTCACTGCAACCTCCACTCTCGGGTTCGAGCGATTCTCCTGCCTCAGCCTCCCAAGTAGCCAGGCACCTGCCACCATGCTCGGCTAATTTTTTTTTTTTTTTTTTTGAGACGCAGTCTCACTCTGTTGCCCAGGCTGGAGAACAGTGGCCTGATCTCGGGTCACTGCAAACTCCGCCTTCCGGGTTCAAGTGATTCTCCTGCCTCAGCCTCCTGAGTAGCTGAGATTACAGGCTCCCGCCACCATGCCCGGCTAATTTTTGTATTTTTAGTAGAGACGGGGGTTTCACCATGTTGGTCAGGCTGGTCTTGAACTCCTGACCTCGTGATCCACCTGCCTCGGCTTCCCAAAGTGCTGGGATTACAGGCATGAGCCACCGTGCCCGGCCTATTTTTCCATTTTTAAAGATAAAACCAACATGTCCAGTGCTATCCTTATGCTTGGTAATCGTCCGTTCAAAGGGCCTGTCACGAATTGTCATGTCATGGTAATCTTCTCTCCAAAAGCCTGTTTGAGCACCTTGTGCGCTTTATCAGAGCTCCACCCGGCAGTTTTCACCACTGATCTGGAGTACTTGGTCCCCAAATCTCAGACCAACCAATGAGGCTGGAGAATTAGCCTGGACTAGCTGAACAAATATATCATTATCTATTGATTTAAGCCTGAGTCCAATTTTTCCATCTTGATCCTTACACAAAATGACTTCGCGAATCCCTTGTTTAATTTCTGCTCTACGAATTCCAGCATCATTTTCAGTTACAGGAACCACCATACAGATCATACCGGAAGATCTTGCTACCAACTACCTCTGAATTGATGCACCAGAAACCACGGCCACATTTGCACGTATTTCTTCTTCATTTCAACTCAGGCCCATGTATTATTGAGAGAGCTCCGGATATAGTTTGGGATAGAGATTTCCATCTTGAGAGATGGGAGCAGCAGCTTCTGACAAAATTGCTGGGTTGGCAGGGTTTGCAGAAAAAGCAGTTTGAGCCTGAGTTACATTGTCTTCCTTCAAGTCTTCAAGAGATGGATAGAGAGACATTTTTGCAGGATTCTTCTAGCTCACAAGGACCCACTCGCTGCCGCTGTCGCCTCCGGTCACTGGCACCGACTTCTGAGGCCCGAGGGTAAGAGAGCGGCGCGCGCCGAGGACCGTTCCCGAGGCGCGTCACGGCGCCGCCTAAAAGAATTCTTCATAGCTGGCAATATTTTACGTATTTTTGGTGACTGTTCTAAGGGGTGGCTTGTTGGGAAGGGCTGTTGAAGCTGCAAGGATTTCTCTGGGCAATTGCACGCTATCTCCTCCTATGTAAGCATACCTTTGAATTCCTTCGGGCTTCCATTCTTGTCTCAAGCCCCTGTATACCAGTTCTGGAGCTAGCGAGGCAACCAACCTAAACCTCCGGATTTTCCCCAGGAGTGGCTGACTCTGCTGTTCTTTCTACTTATACCAGAGCGCCCTCTGCTGGACACGCCCAGAAGTAATTCTCAAATCTCGATGTTTGGAGTTGGCCCTCTCCCTCATTTGCCAGGAAAGTGACCCCTTTTCCTAGTGTGGGAGAAAGGCGAGTATTTCACTTCCTCCTATTTTCCCTCATCCCTCATCTCTCTCTTCCACCAAGACGGAGCTCTTCCCATGAAGCGAACATTTCTGTTCGTGAGGTGGCTCTGAGCAGGGGTGAGACGCTCAGTTTTGTCCTGTTGCTGAGCCCAGCTCCCAGGTGACCTTGTTCAGGGTGAAGTGACACTGTGCAGACCACTGGGCCCTTGGGAAGGGCACCTAGAAACTCTAACTTATTTGCATTGGGATGGAATCGTTACGAAGGATGAGGTTAGAGCCCAGAATATACAGTCAGAAGCGGGGCATAAAACTCTCTTTGAGCTTTTTAGCAACCAGCCCGAGGAGGATGGTGGAATCAGACAGGACAGTGTGGCGAAGAACAGTGACAGTCCCTCAGCACGTGTTGATGAACAGCAAAGCTGTCCTAACGTGCACTGAGATGTCAGGTTCACTCATTAGCAAGAGTTTCATATCACATCCTGGCTTTACAGTGGTTGTGAGTTAAGCAACTGACATGTCTCTTTTGAATAGCTGAACATGCAAAGATCAAATCTGCAAATGCCAAGAATCTATGGTTCATGGTGTGTATCTAAAAATAAACAGGCTGCTAAGGGGAAGTACAACTATCCCTGGGGCTGAAACCAAAGATAATTTCTACTGTCTAGTAGGAGACATCGTATTGTGCAGTGACCAACATCCTCTACAACATTCTTATGATAAATATGAATGCCATGTGGTTCTTTTAATATTTCCTTGTTGTAGATTGAAGTCATGCTACCAAAGCATAATTTACTAGAAAGAATTTGAGGGTGAGGCAGGGCTGTGTTTGGTATAAAAAGAATGGAGTCCAAAACACACATCAGGAGGAGGACTATTCTGGCGAGGTGGTAAGTCACTGGATGTTTGCCTGGGTACATTTTCTTCCATAGTGAACCTTCCAAGCTGATTGAGGGCACTATTTTCAGCAATGGATTATCCTCTTTCCTAGCTGCTAAATGATCATTTTTATTTCTTAATACTCAGCAAAGACCTACTCCATCCCAGTTAATGAACACAGGATTTTTCTGACCTTGAGCAGAAAATTAGATTCTTTAAAACAAAATGTAGAATGCTGAAAAATTTGTGGTCTTGCAGGGAATGCAGAAGACTCATTGGTCAATGGTTTAATAACTCTAAGCTATTATGTAGCATCACTTCTTAATCAGTTTTCATAATTAGATTGATTATATATCATATAATGGTGTGTTAAACTCATGGAAGGTCATGTCGATTTAACCCAGACAAGATAATTTGACCAGGCTCAACTTTTCAAAAATTATCAGTGACGGGGCTGGGCACAGTGGCTTATGCCTGTAATCCCAGCACTTTGGGAGGCCGATGCGGGTGGATCACGAGGTCAAGAGATTGAGACCATCCTGGCCAACATGGTGAAACCTTGTCTCTACCAAAATACAAAAATTAGCTGGGTATGGTGGTGCGTGCCAGTAGTCTCAGCTACTTGGGAGGCTGAGGCAGGAGAATCTCTTGAACCCGGGAGGTGGAGGTTGCAGTGAGCCGAGATTGCACTACTGCACTCCAGCCTAGCAACAGAACAAGACTCTGTCTCAATAATAATAATAATAATAATAATCAGTGATGGAGTCTCATTGTGTTTCCCAGGCTGGGCTGTAACTCCTGGGCTCAAGTAATACTCTCATCTTAGCTTCTGGAGTAGCTGAGACTATAGCCATGAGCCACCTTGCCTGGCATCAGTAATAATTCTTTTCTCTTTAACAGTGAAGGAAAGTCTGGGTGTGGTGGTTCAAGCCTGTAATCCCAGCACTTTGAGAGGCTGAAGCGGGATGATTGCTTGAGCCCCAGAGTTCAACACCAGCCTGGGCAACATGGTGAAACTCCATCTCTACAAAATTAGCCAGGCATGGTGGCATGTGCCTGTAGCATGGTGGTGCACACCTGTAGGCCCAGCTACTCAGGAGGCTGAGGTGAGAGACTCACTTGAGCCCAAGAGGTGGAGGCTTCAGTGAGCCAAGATCACACAACTGTACATCAGCCTGGGTGACAGGGTGATCCCCTCGTCTCAAAAAAAAAAAAAAAAAAAGTGAACTAAAAAAATAGGTGATCAATATATTTGCCTTAATTTGTGTATTTGTTTTTGTGGAGCTTTTACATGTCTGAATTGAGGCTGGGTTTTAAGTGGATGGTCCTGCATCTGCTTGTGGCTTGCCTTGGCAATATTGTATAGAGGAACCACATTAGGGTGTGGGTCTTGACATGGAAGACAGGCTCATCAGAGGATTTCCAGGTAACATAGACCAAGCCTTCTCAGGAGGGAGATTTGAGAGGGTGAAGGGGGAACATCATTACTAAGAGGTGGGAATTAATTCTGGGGAGAGAAGGGACAAAAAAATCACAGATATTTATTTCAACAGATATTACAATGGTTTGTGGCTTCCAAAGAGCCACAGTACATACAGAGATACATGGTATATCCGTAGTATTAAAATTTCATGGTGAGGCATGATTAGGAAAAAATGTCTGCTGGTATAGAACGGTGCACTGATATGCTGGGGCAGCTCTTGAGGTGTGTTAGAGGCCAGGCGGTGATGATGAAGATGATCAGGGTGATGCCATGCCTTTGTTGAGGGTGTATTTATTGTATGCTAGGCCTGTGTAAACACCACATGTGCATGATGTCATTTCATATTCAAAAGACCAAGTACGGAAAGTGAGATTTGCAGAAGCTGGGCAAGTTGTCCAGGGGAGGAGGTAATGTTTAGTGTTTGAGAATTCAGGCTGAGGTATGAGACCAGGCCTCCAACGATAGCATTTACTAGTCATTGGACCTCTGTTAGGCCTCACTTCCTCAATTATAAGTTGGAAATATTAATAGTAGCTTCTAAAGGGTTACTGGGAGAACTATATGACAAAATGCATATAAAGTGCATAGTAAAATGCTGAATAAAGGTTAGTTATTATAATTATTATATTAAATATAATAATATATTTAATACATATACTATTTTAAATACAATGACTATATATCATATCTATAATATAAATGTAAATATTATAATACATTCTATTTATAACATAAATATAACAATTATAATATTTTGCAATATATAATATAATAAAATTGTTATTATTATTATTAAAGTCTGCACCCTTCACCACTTCCTTTTTTGTTTCAGCTAGAGTGCTACACTTGGTTTCTTTTCTTTTCTTTTTTTTTTTTTTTTTGAGACAAAGTCTCGCTCTGTCGCCCAGGCTGGAGTGCAGTGGTGCGATCTCGGCTCATTGTAGGCTCCGCCTCCCGGGTTCATGCCATTCTCCTGCCTCAGCCTCCTGAGTAGCTGGGACTGCAGGTGTGTGCCACCACACCGGCTAATTTTTGTATTTTTAGTAGAGATGGGGTTTCACCATGTTGGTCAGGCTGGTCTCGAACTCCTGACCTTGTGATCTGCCCACCTCAGCTACCCAAAGTCCTGGGATTACAAGTGTGAGCCACAATGCCCGGCCCCTAGAGTTGGTTTCAATGTGTGTACTTTTTTTTGCTTGTCTCCACTTCTTTTGTGTTTGATTTCTTCTTCTATATATATATTTTAAATATAGAGACAGGGTCTCACTATGTTGCCTAGGCTGGTCTTGAACTCCTAGACCCAAGCAATCCTCCTGTCTCAGCCTCCCAAAGTGCTGGGATTACAGGCGTGAGCCACTGCACCTGGCCTCTTTTCCTATCCTCTTTTTTTTTTTTTTTGAGAGGAGGTCTTGCTGTGTTGGCCGGGCTGGAGTACAGTGGCATGGTCTTAGCTCACTGCAGCCTCTGCCACTCGAGTTCAAGTGATTCTCCTGCCTCAGTCTCACGAGTAGGTGGGATTACAGGTGGCTGCCACCACGCCCAGCTAATTTTTTGTATTTTTAGTATAGAGGGGGTTTCACCATGTTGGCAAGACTGGTCTTGAACTCCTGACCTCAGGTGATCCACCCGCCTCGGCCTCCCAAAGCGCTGGGATTGCAGGCGTGAGCCATTGTGCCCAGCCAACTTCTATTCTTGGTAAACATCAATAAATACGTCTTTAGGGATAATAAACTGACATTTTAGGGCATAGCCAAGCGCACATAAAATAATATTCAATTTCACAGATGCTATTTTATCTTTCAAATATATTTGATATTTGAAATGCATCTTCAATAAAAGACAGATGACCAACTCAAACATTTTTTCTACATATATGAAAGGATTGGTATAATTAATAATGAAATTGCTTTTAAAAATCACTAAGAGATGATAACTCTTCCAACAGAAATGGGCAAAGGACAAGATGAGGCAATTCATGCTAAAAAAGGAACAAAAATGGCTAATAAACAGGTAAGCAGTGTTTACTCTGGTAACAGTGAATTGTCTTTCTTTTTTTTTTTGGAGACTGGGTCTATCTTTTTTTTTTTGAGATGGAGTCAGGCTGTCACCCAGGCTGGAGTGAGGGTCTCACCATCTTGCCCAGGCTGGTTGTAAACTCCTGGGCCCAAGCCATCCTGCTGCCTTGGCCTCTCAAAGTGTTGGGATTATAGGTGTGAGCCACTGTGTCCAGCTGAATTGTCATTTTTGTTCATGAAATTGGTGAAATTTATTTTTTATTTTATTTATTTATTTTTTTTGAGACAGAGTCTTGCTCTGTTGCTGAGGCTGGAGTGCAGTGGCGCTATCTCGGCTCACTGCAACCTCCACCTCCTGGGTTCAAGCAGTTCTCCTGCCTCAGCCTCCCAAGTAGCTGGGATTACAGGCATGCACCACCCACACCCAGCTAATTATTTTGTATATTTAGTAGAGATGGGGTTTCACAGTGTTGGCCAGGCTGGTTTCAAATTCCTGACCTAAAATGATCCGCCCTCCTGGGCCTCTCAAAGTGCTGGGATTACAGGCATGAGCCACCGTGCCTGGCCAAAATTTAAAATGATCATTATATCTCTTGCTAGTGAGAATGTGAAAACATAAGCAATCATGCACTATTGTTGGCAGCATAAAATAATTTAACCTGTTAATAAAAAGCAGAGCTGTTTTTGGAGGAAAGTTTATATGTATCAAAAGCCTTACAAATTATGCAAGACTTTTGATCAGGAATTCCATTTCTAGGAGTTTATCTTAAGGAAAAAATATTTTCTTTATATTTTCATCTGAATGCAAAGATGCATATGTAAGGATTATTATTGCAGTTGTCTTTATAATAATAAACAATTAGAAACAAGTTAAATACAGGCCGGGTGCTGTGGCTCATGCCTGTAATCCTAGCACTTTGGGAGGCTGAGGCAGGTGGATCACTTGAACTCAGGAGTTCGAAACCGGCCTGAGCAAACATGGTAAATCCCCTTCTCTACTAAAAACACAAAAATCAGTTGGGTGTGGTGATGTGCGTCTGTAATCTCAGCTACTCATGAGGCTGAGGCACAAGGGTTGCTTGAAACCAGGAGGTAGAGGCTGCAGTGAACTGAGCTCTTGCCACTGCACTCCATCCTGGATGACAGAGTGAGACCCTGTCTCAAAAAAAAAAAAAAAAAAGAAAGAAAGAAACAGGTAAATTCTTAGTAATAGCTATTTCAGTTATTATTGTCAAAGACACTATTGTTCAATAAAATGGAAAGATTTTTCTTTTCTTTTTTTTTGAGAAAGGGTCACACTCTGTCTCCCAGTCTGGAGTGCAGTGGCACAATCATGGCTCACTGCAGCCTGGATCTCCCAGGCTCAAGGGATCCTCCTGCTTCGGCCTCCCGAGTAACTGGAACTACAGGCATGTGCCACTAGCCCACCTAATTTTCTTATTTTTGGTAGAGATGGGGTTTCACCATGTTGCCCAGGCTGGTCTGGAACTCCTGGGCTCTATTGATTCGTCTGCCTTAGCCTCCCAAAGTGCTGGGATTACGGGCGTGAACCATGGCACCTGGCTGATTTTTCAATTAATGTTGTCAAGGTAAAAAATCAGAGCATAGAATGGTACCTGTTCTATGATACTGTGCTTGCTTAAGTAGAAAAATGTGTCCATATGGCCATAGAAAAATATTGGAAGCACATAGCTCAAACTGTTAAAAGCAATTGCCTTTGCATATAGAATTACAGGCGATTATGTTCTTTTTTGAAGTTTCTGCAACAAGCAGGTTTTATGTTCTAGTTATTATTGCTGCATTATAAACCATTGTAAACTTAGTGACATAAAAGAACAATTATTTTATTATGTCAACAAGTTCTGGAATCAAGAATTTGGAAGGTCAGAGTGGGGATGGCTTGTTTCTGCTTCATCCTGTCTCAGATCTTAGCTGGGAAGTGACTAAACAGCTGGAGGCTGGAATAATCAGAAGGCTAATTTGCTCACCTGCCTGACACCTGGGCTAGGAGGACATTAAAGGCTGGTCTGATGCCAGGCGCAGCAGCTCACGCATGTAATCCCAGCACTTTGGGAAGCTGAGGCGGGTGGATCACTGGAGGTCGGGAGTTCGAGAGCAGCCTGATCAATATGGTGAAACCTGGTCTCTACTAAAAAAGATACAAAATTAGCCTGGATGCAGTGGCTCATGCCTGTAATCCCAGCACTTTGGGAGGTCGAGGCGGGCAGATCATGAAGTCAGGAGTTCGAGACCAGCCTGGCCAACATGGTGAAACCCTGTTTCTACTAAAAATACAAAAATTAGATGGGCGTGGTGGCGGGCGCCTGTAATCCTAACTACTCAGGAGGCTGAGGCAGGAGAATGGCTTGAATCCGGGAGGCAGAGGTTGCAGTGATCTGAGATTGTGCTACTGTACTTCAGCCTGGGTGACAGAGCAAGACTCCATGTCAAAAAAAAAAAAAAAAATTACAAAATTAGCTGGGCGTGGTGGTGCATGCCTGTAATCCCAGCTACTTGGGAGGGTGAGGCAGGAGAATTGCTTGAACCCGGGAGGCAGAAGTTGTAGTGAGCTGAGATCGCACCCTTGCACTCCAGCCAGGGAGGACAACAAGAGTGAAACTCTGTCTCAAAAAAACAAAACACAACAAAAAGATATATAGGATCTCTGACATCGCCTGTAATCCCAGTTCTTTGGGAGGCCGAGGTGGACGAATCGCCTGAGCTTAGGAGTTCAAGACCACCCTGGGCAACATGGTGAAACCCCTTCTCTACTAAAATCCAAAATCAGGCAGGCATGGTGGCAGATGCCTGTAGTCCCAGCTACTCAGAAGGCTGACGCATAAGAACTGCTTGAGCCTGAGAGGTGGAGGTTGCAGTGAGTTGAGATTGTGCCACGGCACTCCAGCCTGGGGAACAGAGCAAGACTTCATCTCAAAAAAAAAAAAAAAAAGACTGGTCTGCCTTCTGAAGCCCCTACCTGTGGCTTTTCCATGTAGCCTGGCTTCCTACCACCAGCATGCTGGCCTCGGTGTAGTTGGACTCTCATGACAGCTCAATAGAAGTTGAATTTCAGCAAGTCACAAGCCAGTCCATACTTCAAGTCGCAAACCTATCCATATTCAAGACATCCATATTCAGTTTGAACTTCTACAAGTCTTAAACCTGTCCATATTTATGAGGAAAGGGACACAGATACCACCTCTTGGTCACTTTGTGGAAAAGTGGGATGGGAGACATAGTTGCAGCCATCTTTGGAAATACATATATATTACTTTTGTATTTGGAAAAAAATCCATAAATATCATTGCAGTTAAAAAAAAAGTCTATAAAATACCTAGGAGCCTAATTATCTGAGGTATTCATTGCAGAATCATTTTGCATAATTGAGTTGAAAAGAACTTTCCTAGGTTTTGGAAGGAAAGACATCTGTGTGTTGCTCCTTGTGTCCTGGGTGAAGGTGTTACCTTTGAGATAATCCTGTGTGTGGGTGCCAGGGTAGATGTGGGGAAGGATGGGGGCAGGATTGCCAGACACAACACAGGACATCCCGTTACATTTTTTTTTTTTTTTGAGATGGAGTCTTGCTGTGTCTCCCAGGCTGGAGAGCAGTGGCACTGTCTCGGCTCACTGCAACCTCCGTCACCCTGGTTCAAGCTATTCTCCTGCCTCAGCCTCCCCAGTAGCTGGGATTACAGGTGTGCACTACCACGCCCAGCTAATTTTTGTATTTTAAGTAGAGACACGGTTTCACCATGTTGGCCAGGCTGGTCTCGAACTCCTGACCTCAGGTGATCCACCCGCCTCGGACTCCCAAAGTGCTGGGATTACAGGCATAACCCATCCCATTAAATCTGAATTTTAGATAAGTTACAAATGTTTTGTGTAAGTGTGTCCCATGTCCCAAATATTGCATGTGCCATACTTATACTAAACAAATTTTCTTTGCTTATCTGAATTTCAAATTTAACTGGTTATCTCATATTATTGTTTTTGCTAAATCTGGCAGTCATAATTGGGGGCAGTTCTGGAGATAAGCCCGAATGGGCCATTGCCACCTTCTTATAACTCTCCCACTGCCCGGCAGTGACGAGAAGAGCTCTGGCAGTGGTAGGGAGATTCTATTTTCAGCGTGGGCATCAACACAGTCTGAGAATAGAACAGGGCAAGGGATGGGTGAAGGAAAGAATGTTTTCCAGTATGTGAAGGGGGATCTGCCAGTAGGGCTGGAAACCTGGACTTGATTCCTGGACTAGTTGAAAACTCACTTTGACCTTGGACAAGTCACTAAATCCCTCTATGGCCAAGTTTCTTGTATAAATCCTACTAGTCCAATAGAGGGTTCTTGGGAAGATGAATATGAAATGAGTAAAGCTGCTGTGAAAGCCTTAAAAAGGAGCCCTAGGAAGGAAAATTCAAAGTATTGGTGCTAGTTCCCTCATTCTGAGCTGGCCAACACAGGACACCTGAAGGGCTTTCTCTACAAACTTTCTCTGGATGAGCTCACATCATTGTTTTTTATTTTTCAAAGTATTTTATTTTATCTTTTTTACAGATAGGTCTGTCTTCATCACCCAGGCTGCAGTACAGTGGTGAGATCATAGCTCAGTGCAATCTCAAACTCCTGGGCTCCAGCAGTCCTCCCACCTCAGCCTCCCAAGTAGCTGGGACCACAGGAATGAGCCACCACACCCTGCTAATTTTTAAATTAATTTTTTTGTTTGTTTGTAGAGACAGGGTCTCACTGTATTGCCCAGGCTGGTGTCTAACTCCTGACTCCTGGTCTCAAGTGATCCTCCCACCTCAGCCTCCCAAAGTGCTGTGATTACAGGAGTGAGCCACCACGCTTGGCTAACATTGTTTTTAAACAAAATATCAAGCCAAAGTGTTGTTGCTTTTTAAAATCTATCCCCTGGCCCACTTTGGGCTACATGAACTAGGACAACACCAGACGTTTCTGTGAATTAAAGAGGTAAATGTGCTGTGTCATTAAGTACTACTTTTTCTTCGTCTTCACTTATCTGCTATGACTAGTCTGCTGTGAAGTTCACACTAGTTAGATGCATAATGTGCTCTAAAAAGCTGTGTTCTTTTCCTTCTCTCTCTGCTAAGATGCAATTCCAGTAGCTAAAGTAAGGCTAGTGAATTTATGCCTATTTCCAAATAGAGATCTGGCCAATGACAAAGGGTTTTGTTTTTTTTTTTAATTTTTTATTTATTGGTTACTAGGTAGAAAAGGCTCCTGCATGGCTACAGTCCGACATAGTTCTGCACAGCAGGAGGGAGGCAGGCAGCCTGCTCCACTAACAAGAGGAAGTCATTTTTACATAATTTTCACAAAGATAGAAGGGTTTCCATTTTCTGGGGGGGGCGATTACAGGCACCTGCCACCACGCCCGTCTAATTTTGTATTTTTAGTAGAGACAGGGTTTCACCATGTTGGTCAGGCTGGTTTCAAACTCCTGACCTCAGGTGAACCACCTGCCTCGGCCTCCCAAAGTGTTGGGATTACAGACATGAACCACTGCGCCCAGCTAAAACCTCTATTAACTGGGAACCAGTTGTTTGGAATCTTCAAATTCGCCCCACTTCCAAGTCTGCATTTTAGCATTTAGTATATTTTTTATCAAATACTCAAATATTTGCTGAGTATTGATTTCGTAAAGCAAGCCACTCTTAAGAAAGTCACATTGTAAGTTTATTAAAAAGGAATAAATAAAAACAATCTTAAGTATCTCCTGAGGTGGCTATACATTCAGCTCTGTTCCTTATTTTTGTATTTTTTATTTTGAGTGTAGCATTGTAAACATACAATGCATAGTGAGACTTTGGGTCCAGCGCTATGGCTAAAGCCTGGCAAAATCCCCAGGATTAAGTACCCATGTATTTTGACTATATGGGTACTTAATCAGTCAAGGGGAAATGCTTTTGTTAAAAACAAGGTTTTTCCCTACAATTAAATAAATAAAAATGTAAAAAAATTCAGGATCTGCCGGGTGCAGTGGCTCACACCTGTTATCCCAGCACTTTGGGAGGCTGAGGCGGGCAGATCATGAGTTCAGGAGTTCGAGACCAGCCTGGCCAATATGGTGAAACCCTGTTTCTACTAAAAATCCAAAAAGTTAGTCAGGCGTTGTGATGGGTGCCTGTAGTCCCAGCTACTCGGGAGGCTGAGGCAGGAGAATTGCTTGAACCCGGGGGGTGGAGGTTGCAGTGAGCCAAGATCACGCCAATGCACTCTAGCGAAACTGTGTCTCCAAAAAAAAAAAAAAAAAAAAAAAAAAATGGGATCCAGGACATAGGCTCATTTCACAGAAATTTAAACAATTTAAACAATTGCATGAATAACATCTTCTTCATAATCATAGTTTTACCATATGCTAGGTAATACTAATATTAACTCACTCCTATTTCCATGACAACTATGATCCAGTAAAACACTCGCAAAAGTCATGTCTCATTGGAAATATGTATTGGATATTTGAAGGTTATTTGACGATGAGCTAGACCCGGCTTAGACTGTACCTAGAGTGCATAAATCCTGTTTGCACATTAGATTTCTATGGAGGTGGGACCTGGTTCACCTTATTCTCCAGGCACTGACAGATAATTGAATCTCACTAAATATTTGATGAACAAAGTAAATAAACTGAAGAATAGTATTTCTTTTTTTTCTTTTTTTTTGAGACAGAGTCTCGCTGTGTCACCCAGGCTGGAGTGCAGTGGCACAATCTCGGCTCACTACAAGCTCTGCCTCCCGGGGTTCATGCCATTCTCCTGCCTCAGCCTCCAGAGTAGCTGGGACTACAGGCTCCCGCCACCACGCCCGGCTAATTTTTTTTTGTGTGTGTGTTTTTAGTAGGGACTGGGTTTCACTGTGTTAGCCAGGATGGTCTCGATCTCCTGACCTTGTGATCCGCCTGCCTCGGCCTCCCAAAGTGCTGGGATTACAGGTGTGAGCCACCGCACTCAGCCCTAAGGGTAGTATTTCTTTCTTTCTTTTTTTTTTGTTTTTTTTCGCTCTTGTTGCCCAGGCTGGAGTGCAATGGAGTGATCCCAGCTCACTACAACCTCCGCCTCCCAGTTTCAAGCAATTCTCCTGCCTCAGCCTCCTGAGTAGCTGGGATTACAGGCAGGAGCCACCACGCCCAGCTAATTTTGTATTTTTAGTAGAGATGGGGTTTCTCCATGTTGGTCAGGCTGGTCTCGAACTCCCAGCCTTAGGTGATCCACCCACCTCGGCCTCCCAAAGTGCTGGGATTACAGGCGTGAGCCACTGCGCCCGGCCAAGAGTAGTATTTCTTAAACTTGGGTCTTATAACTAAGGCTTAGAGAGGTTAAGTAAATTCCTCAGGGTCACACAGTAAGTGATGGAATGGGGATTCCAAACCGAGGACCCCAGGTCCCATGGCCTTAACTGTTACTGTCAATTGCCTGTTATGGTTAATTGACTCCTTAAATTATACATTCATACATACATACATACATACATACATACATACATATGTGTGTGTGTGTGTATGCATACAGTCATGTGTTGCTTAATGATGAGGACATGTTCTAAGAAATGAGTTATTAGGCAATTTTGTCATTGTGTGAACATCACAGGGTACACTTACAAGCCTAGATGGTATAGACTACTACACACCTGGGCTCCGTGATATAGTTACATACCTGTACAGTATGTTACTGTACTGAATACTGTAGGCAACTGTGATGCAATGGTATTTGTGTATCCAAACTAGAAAAGGTGCGGTAAAAATACAGTATAAAAGACAAAAAATGGTACACCTGTATAGGGGGCACTTACCGTGAATGGAACTCACAGGACTGGAAGTTGTTCTGGGTGAGTTGAGTGACTTTATATATTATAATAAAGCATTTAATAATAACAACACATTATTACTATTATTACTACCAATACATTATTACTATTATTAATAACAAGAGATTATTACTATTAATAATAATAATTTTTTATTACTATTATTAATATAAAATTTAATTTATAAAGCAGCACTCTTCTTTCCTTTAAAGACTCCAGCACTCAGTAGTCCTAGGATTCTCCTATCCAAGTACTAACCAGGCCTGACCTGGCTTAGTTTCTGAGATCAGAAGAGACTGGCTACAGTCAAGGTGGTATGGACATAGGCAAATACTCTTCTTTCTTCAATAATAAATTAACCTTAGCTTACTGTAACTTTACTTTTTTTTTTTTTTTTTCTGAGACGGGATCTGGCTCTGTTGCCCAGGCTGGAGTGCAGTGGCTCAATCTTGGCTCACTGCAACCTCTGCCTCCTGGGTTCAGGTGATCCTCCTGCTGAGGCAGGAGGATCCCTGCCTCAGGAGGCTCCTGAGTAGCTGGGATTACAGCCAGCACCATGCCTGGCTAATTTTTGTATTTTTTGTAGAGTTGGGGTTTCACCATGTTGCCCAAGCTGGTCTCGAACTCTTGGGTTCAAGCAATCCACACACCTTGGCCTCCCAAAGTGCTGGGATTACAGGCATGAGCCACCACGCCCAGTCTAACATTTTACTTCATAATAAACTTTTTAGTTTTTAAATTTTCAACCATTTTGTAATAGCACTTTGCTTAAAACACAAACACATTGTATAGCTGTATAAAAATATTTTCTTTTTATTGTATTAAATAGCGATGAGGGGGTCTTAGCTTGTTGCCCAGGTTGTCCTTGAACTCCTGGACTTAAGCAATTCTCCCGCCTTGGCCTTTCAAAGTGCTGCGGTTACAGGTGTGAGCCAGTGTGCCTGGCCAGTTTTCTTTCTTTATATCCTTATTCTATAAGCTTTTTCTCTGTTTTAAAATTTTTACTTTTTAAACTTTTTTGTTAAAAATTAAGACACAAACACATTAGCCTAGGCCTACAGAGGGTCAAAATCATCAATATCACCATCTTCTACCTCCACACCTTGTCACTGGAAGGTCTTCAGGGTACCCTAGGAGCTGTCATGCATGGAACTGTCATCTCCTATGATAACAAAGGTATTCTTCCTCTGGAATACCTCCTGAAGGACCTGCCTGAGGCTGTTTTACAGTAAATTTCTTTATAAGTAGGAGTACACTCTAAGATAATAATAAAAAGTATATTATAACCGGGTGCAGTGGCTCACGCCTGTAATCCCAGCACTTTGGGAGGCCGAGGCGGGTGGATCATGAGGTCAGGAGTTCGAGACCAGCCTGACCAACATGGTGAAACCCCGTCTCTACTAAAAATACAAAAATTAGCCAGGTGTGGTGGTGCGCACCTGTAATCCCAGCTACTCAGGAGGCTGTGGCAGGAGAATTGTTTGAACCCGGGAGGCAAAGGTTGCAGTGAGTCAAGACGGCGCCACTGCACTCCAGCCTGGGTGACAGAGCGAGACTCTATCTCAGAAAAAAAAAGTATATTATAGTAAATACATAAACCAGTAACATAGTCATTTATCTTCATTATCAAGTATTATGTCTATACATAATTATATGTGCTATATGCCTCTACTGGCAGCACAGTAGGTTTGTTTATACCAACATCACCACAACACACATGAATAATGCATTGTGCTACAACATCGTTGTGCTATAATGGAGTTTTCAGCTCTATCATAATCTTATGGGATCACCATGTCCATGTTATGGGAACGTTATGGGAACAACATTTATATGTTTCACCACATTACTGAATACTGTAGGCAGTTGTAACACAGTGGTAATCATGTTTGTGTATCTAAACATGTCTAAGCATAGAGAGGTACAGTATAGAAATACTGTATTGTAATCTATGGGACCACCGTCATATATGCAGTCCCCTATTGACCCAAATGCTGTTATGTGGCACATGACTATACTTAGTTCTTTGGCCATTTTGCTGTTTCTAGTGAAAATACTTGTACAAACAGCATTAGTTAAGAGTATGGACATAGGCCGGGTACGGTGGCTCATGCCTGTAATCCCAGCACTTTGGGAGGCTGAGGCAGGCAGATCACCTGAGGTCAGGAGTTCGAGACCAGCCTGGCCAACATGGTGAAACCCCCATCTCTACTAAAGATACAAAAAATTAGCTGGGTGTGGTGGCAGGTGCCTATGATCCCAGCTACTCGGGAGGCTGAGGCAGGAGAATTGCTTGAACCCAGGAGGTGGAGGTTGCAGTGAGTCGAGGTCGCGCCATTGCACTCCAGTCTGGGTGACAGGGCAAGACTCCGTCTCAAAAAAAAAGACTGGAAAGGTAGGCTAGGGAAAGACCTTGTAAGAACTCCACAGAACTATATACACTTGAAAAAACCACAAAACAACGCAGAGTAATAAAAAGTAATATAAATACACTTAACAATAGTGCATTATCAATAATTATAACATACTAATCTCTCAAAAGTGTTCTGGGAAATAAAAATTCATTGTTCAGTTTTTTTTTTTTTTTTTTTTTGAGACAGAGTTTTGCTCTGTCATCCAGGCTGGAGTGCAGTGGCACGATCTCGGCTCACTGCAAGCTCCGCCTCCCTGGTTCAGGCCATTCTCCCGCCTCAGCCTCCCAAGTAGCTGGAAGTACAGGCACCCGCCACCAGGCCCGGCTAATTTTTTTGTATTTTTAGTAGAGACTGCATTTCACCATGTTAACCAGGATGGCCTCGATCTCCTGACCTCGTGGTCCGCCCGCCTCGGCCTCCCAAAGTGCTGGGATTACAGGCGTGAGCCACCGCGCCCGGCCTCTCAGTTTTTTAATCTTTGGGTCTGAACCATGTCAAGTGTTTTCTGTTACTCTCTGAAGGACAAAACTTCTTCCTCTCTGTCTTATGGTTGTTAAACTGTTCTGCGGCTCACTGAGAGATGGAAGGGACGCACGGCCTGCCCTGGCCATGTTTGCCTGGTGAGGCTGCTTCAGCTTCCTCTTGGTGGATCTGCCAGGGTCTCCCTTGATTTCCTTGGAAACAACACAGTGATGTGGGCTCCAGCTGTGACAAGAACGAGACTTTGTCTCAAAAAAAAAAAAATCAAACTGCATTTATTTTTATCTTATTTTTTATTTTTGAGACTGAGTCTCGCTCTGTTGCCCAGGCTGGAGTGCAGTGGTGCGATCTCAGCTTACTGCAACCTCCGCCTCTTGGGTTCAAGTGATTCTCCTGCCTCAGCCTCCCAAGCAGCTAGGATTATAGGTACATGCCACCACACCCAGCTAATTTTTGTATATTTAGTAGAGAGGGGGGTTTTGCCATGTTGGCCAGGCTGGTCTTGAACTCCTGACTTCAAGTGATCCCCTCGCCTCAGCCTCTCAAAGAGCTGGGATAACAGGCATGAGCCACTGCTCCCAGCCATGTTTTCTCTGTATTTTCTTTCTTTTTTAAAAAATTATTTCCTCTAGTGTTTAAACTTAACATGTTTTCTTCTTATACTTTTATGGTTTCTTCTTTTTTACACTTAAATCTTTGATTCATTTAGAATTTATGTAGGATAAGATAGGGATCTCTTATTTTTAATTTTAATTTTTCAGATGGCCACTCAATTGTCACAATATTATTTATTGGTTAACCTATCTTTTCTTTGCTTATTTGAAAGTCCACCTTTACCATATACTAAATGTCTATATAAGTCTGGGTTTATTTTTTACTTTTTTCTGTTCTATTGATGATTCCAAACAAATCTGACAACTTTTAAGGGATTTTAAAAATGATTTGGAATTTAATTGAAACGCAATATTTCCTATTATTTTAGACAATTAAAATAACCAAAAATTTAAGATATTTGATTTATTACTATTCCTCAATTAACCTTTTATTGTAGTCAATATTTTGAACCCAACCTTCATTAAAAAACGCCTCCATGTTGACTCTCTTAGTGAACATTGTGGGTTCCCATGGGAACATTATGCAAGAAAACGAACTATTTCAGATTTGTTTTACTCACTGTCCTCCTTGTTTGCTCTTTTGTCATTTAATATTAAAGCATACATATTTATGTAAAATTACTATTGTAAGCATAATGTCTTTGCACTTTATTGTTAAAGCTGAAACTTTCAAATATGTCTCCATCTACTTTTTCTTTCCCAAGTAAAACATTTTAAAATTATGGTAAAATATACATAAGAGAAAATTTACCATTTCTAGCCTTTTTTTTTTTTTTTGAGATGGAGTCTTGCTCTGTCGCCCAGGCTGGAGTGCAGTGGGGCGACCTCAGCTCACTGCAACCTCCATCTCCCGGGTTCAAGCAATTTTCCTGCCTCAGCCTCCTGAGTAGCTAGGATTACAGGCATGCGCCACCACACCCGGCTACATTTTTTGTATTTTTAGTAGAGACGGGGTTTTGCCATGTTGGCCAGGCTGGTCTCGAATTCCTGACCTCAGGTGATCTGCCTGCTTTGGCCACCCAAAGTGCTGGGATTACAGGCGTGAGTCACTGCGCCCAGCCCATGTCTAGCCATATATAGTGTATATAGTTCAGTGGTGTTAAGTACATTTTTAAAGTGTATATAGTTCAGTGGTGCTAAGTACATTCATACTGTTGTGCAACCATCAGCACTAACCATTTACTTTTTAAAATAAATTTAAAATTTGTCTTTAAAAAGACAGAGATAAGCTTAAAATGGCATGTTGAATTCTTGGGAAGCAAAAGCCAGTCAGTAATTTGAAGCCGACACGCACGGCATCTCCCTGGAACACAAATGCATTCTATAAAAGGAATTTGTTTCTTGGCTCTAAATGGCAATACATTAAATTTGCCCATTTAGAAATTGATCTGAAAGCTGGTTCTTAAACTCTCAGATTCAGCATGAGCTCAGAGGCCAAGTTGTGACCTCAGCTTCTCCTGTTCTTAGGACAACAGGACACACCAGCATCACCCACTCAATCACTGTAGCCTTTGTGAATTTGTCCAAGACCTGGAACTTCTCATTTTTTTTTTTTGATGAGGGTCTCTCACTGTTAGAGAAATGGAAAAATGCCTCTTTCACACATCCTGAATGCTGATCCCCTGCACCCTTCTCACCTTGCTGCATGTGTCACTCCTACCCGATGAGCCAGTTAATCTGGGAATATCTTTTTTCTTTTTCTTTTTTTCTTTTGCGTGTAGCCATATGCCATGGAGCTCCAGATGAAGAGGTGCTAGCACGCCATATTGCGGCGCACTGCCACGTAAAAGGTGTTATCCAGGCCAGACTCTAAGGGTTATCCTTCTGAGTGTAGAGGCACTTTTAAAAAAGGAGTGCTTTCCTTCTCGGTCTTGTAGAGTGACATATGTTAATGAACGGGGCGGAAGAGAGTCAATTAAAGGAAGCCGGGGCCTCGCTCAGCGGAGTCAGCTCTCAGGTGGTCCTTGCTTGGAGCCAGATTGGGAGCAGCTGTGTAGTTCTTTCCTGACAAAATCCTGACCCTCTGCACATTGAAGAGTCTGCTTTTCAACAGATTGCTGCAATAATGGAAAATGGAATGGGCATAATTTTCCCGTTTTCCTGTAGCTATTGCACTTTATTTTGTGCATCCTTTTTGGCTATGCTTATTGCATAACTTGTCTCACAAAAGTTAAAAATTGACATTATTACAAAAAATTATAGGACATAGTATATTATATGTATTACTGGAATTAATCTTTGAATGAGAAAGGAATGAAGATTTCCCCTCTCTCCGCTTTTGCAACCATGCCGAGAGAAGCTGGACAGAAAAAAGATTGGAATGAGCATTGATCCATCTAATGAAAGTCATAAAGTGCAAGAAACAATGTCAGTATCTTGGTCATTTTTTTTTCCTGTAGATAACTTGAAGCTAAATTGATCAGTTTTTCTTCCCTGTAAAATGAGGATAATAATAGTGTCTTTCTTATAGGGTTGTGTTGAGGATTAAACAAATTAGCAGACAGTGCTTAGGACAGTGCCTAGAATGGAATAATCTAAATGCTAGTTATTGTGATAGGCATTTTAATTCTTACATCATTTCTTATTCCATCTCTGAGTACATTTGGAGACATCAGCATTTTTGAGAAACTCTCATATTTTTCTTCTCTTTGAACATTGGTTCCACTTGTTCTTAGAGGAAAAAGTTACCACAACCCCCATCTCACCATAAAACAAAACAGCAACATTACTACAAATTATATTTTGATTTGGATCAGAGCTAGACATTATATTGCTTTTTTTTCTTTTTTCTTTTTTTTTTTGAGATGGAGTCTTACTCGGTCACCCAGTGCAGTGGTGCAATCTCGGCTCACTGCAACCTCTGCCTCCCAGGTTCAAGCGATTCTTCTGCCTCAGCCTCCTGAGTAGCTGGGATTACAGGCACGTGTCACCACACCTGGCTAATTTTTGTATTTTTACTAGAGACGGGGTTTCACCATGTTGGCCAGGCTGGTCTTGAACTCCTGACCTCGTGATCCACCCACCTCAGCCTCCCAAAGTGCTGGGATTACAGACATGAGAAACCGCTCCCGGCCTCTCTTTTTTTTAGACAGGTTCTCGCTCTGTAGCCCAGGCTGGAGTACAGTGGCATGATCTCAGCTCACTGCGACCTCTGCCTCCTGGGTTCAAGTGATTCTCCTGCCTCAGCCTTCCGAGTAGCTAGGATTACAGGCATGCACCACCATACCCAGCTAATTTTTGTATGTTTGGTAGAGACAGGGTTTTGCCATGTTGGCCAGGCTAGTCTGAAACTCCTGACCTCAAGTGATCCACCTGACTCGGCCTCCCAGAGTGCTGGGATTACAGGTGTGAGCCACTGTGCCTGATCTGCTTTCTTTTCTTTAATAAATACAGTAATGCTTTCTTTAAGTGTATTTGCTCATAGAAAGATATTTTGGAAGAGAAAATGGGTCCTGGAAAGTTAGAGTTGGAGAGTACCTTTTATTCATTCATTCAACTGCCAGGTACTGTTCCCTTAGCTGAGAAGACAGAAATGGGCAAGCAGATGTGGCTCCTGCCCTTAGGGAGCTTTCCTTATTGGGGGAAGATAGGCAAGAAACATGCAAAGACAATTTCAATTTTATAAATATGTGTCACAAGAAAACAAGAACAAAACTGTATCTCATTGATAAAGAGGGACTTGGGGTAGTGGCATGCACCTGTGGTCCCAGCTCCATGGGAGGCTGAGTGGGGAGGACTGCTTGAGCCTAGGATTTCTGGGCTGTAGTGCGCTATGTCCATTGGATGTCCACACTAAATTCAGCATCAATATGGTGACCTCATGTGAGCGGAGACTACCCAGTTGCCTAAGGAGTGGTGAACCAGCCCAAGTTGGAGACGGAGCAGGTTAAAACTCTTGTGCTGATCAGTAGTGGGATTGAATCTGTGACTAGCCACTGCACTCTAGCTGGGCAACATAGTAAAACCCTGTCTCTTAAAAAAAAATTATATATATATATATATATATATATGGGGAGGGGTAGGGGAGGGCTGCTTAAAGTCACATGGTCTTGTAAGACTTCTCTAAGGAGGTAACATTTGAGGTCAGAATGGTCAGGGGAAGGAATCAACCCTGGGAAGACCTGGGGGAAGAGCATTCAAATTAGAAGGAACAACGATTCCATATCCTAACACAGAGTCCAGGTTGCTGTGTTTGAGGGACTGAAAGGCCAAGGGGGATAAAAGGATAAACTGAGGCTGGTGTGGGAGGCAGGGCCAAGGTCTTGTAGGGCTCCTGTTATAGTAAGGAATTTGTTTTTTGTGTTTTTTTTAGACAGAGTCTTGCTCTGTCACCCAGGCTGAAGTGTAGTGGTGTGATCTCGGCTCACTGCAACCTGTGCCTCCCGGGTTCAAGCGATACTCCTACCTCAGCCCCCCAAGTATGGTGGTGCATGGCTGTAGCTGGGACTACAGGCATGCACCACCATGCCTGGCTAATTTTGTATTTTTAGTGGAGATGGGGTTTCACCATGTTGGCCAGGCTGGTCTCGAACTCCTGACCTCCGGTGATCCGCCCGCCTCAGCCTCCCAAAGTGCTGGGATTATAGGCGTGAGCCACCATGTCCGGCCATAGTAAAGAATTTGGATTTTGTTCTAGGTGGAATGTGAAGCTATTTGAGGGCTTCAAGGAGGAGATCATGACCTAATTTGCATTTGAAATTGGTCTAGTTGCTGAACAGAGAATGAATTACAGTAAGGGGCAAAGAGTGGAACCAGGGAGTGGGGTCAGGAACCTGTTGCACTGGTCCTGGTAAGAGAGACGATGGGGGCTAGGGTCATCATGCAGGAGAGAATGGTCACTTTGGAGACATGTTGTGGACATGGAATCAACATGACATGCTGATGGCTGGGTGTTGGGTGGAGAGAAGGAGAAGATTCAAGGATGACCCTTGCATTTTTGGCTTCAACAACTGGATCAACTCTGAGTTCATCTAGTCTAGTTCCCCAATTTGAATTCGATGAACCACTAACAGGACAAAATTGGTGTAGTCAGCATATTGATGCTATTGTTTCTTTTGTCAAGTCAGTTTATTACAAAAGCAATAGCTATCATCATTTCCTGCCACCATCATTTCCTAGAAGAGAGGATACTCTACCAATGAAAAAGTAGGAAAGGTTAATTTTGAATAATCTTAGAATTAAGAGAAATCCTTTCAATTCAATCAAGTGAGTTCTAGGGAAAACTCATGACTTTGTTCTTTGTTCTTTATTTTTTTATTGTTTTGTCATTGATCAGTAGAAATGTTGTCATACCTGGACAGGTACTTGGGAACCATTGGTCTATTTGATCCTTCTAATCCAGGCAGAACAATGATCTTCCAGCTTCTCCATGAATACTCTCCATGAAGGGGTACATCTCGCTAGGTAGCCCATTCTGTTGTGAAAGAGTCCTAATTAATAAATTAATACATGGTCCCCTGCCACCTCCATGTCCTTGCATTGCCCTCTGGATGTACAAGGAGTAACGCTAATCTCTGGCATCACAGTCTTTCTTTCTTTTTTTTTTTTTTTTTGAGACCTCCGTCTGTCTGTCTGACCTCTGTTGCCCAGGCTGGAGTGCAGTGGCACAGTCTTGGCTCACTGCAATCTCCACCTCCCGGGCTCAAGAGATTCTTCTGCCTAGCCTCTTGAGTAGCTAGGACTACAGGCACGTGCCACCATGCCCGGCTAATTTTTGTATTTTTAATAGAGACGGGGTTTCACCATATTGGTCAGGCTGGTCTTGAACTCCTGACCTCGTGATCCGCCTGCCTCGGCCTCCCAAAGTGCTGAGATTACAGGCGTGAGCCACTGTACCTGGCCTCACAGTCTTTCAAACCTACGAAGAGGTCAGTCATGTCCGCCTTCTGAAAGGGCAAACATTTCTAGCTCTTTTAACCAATAATTCTCCCTTGATACAAATTCAGAATATATAGATAACATGGTGTACTAGTTCGTTCTCGCATTGCTATAAGAAACTACCTGAGACTGGGTAATTTATTAAGAAAAGAGGTTTAATTGACTCACAGTTCTGCAGGCTGTACAGGAAGCATGGCTGGGGAGGCCTCAGGAAACTTACAGTCATGGTGAAAGGCGAAGGGGAAGCAGACAGAGACACATCTTCACATGGTGGAGCAGGAGAGAGAGAGAGAGAGAAAGAGGAAGTGCTACACACTTTTTTTGTTTGTTTGTTTATTTTTTGAGACAGAGTCTCACTCTGTCACCCAGGCTGGAGTGCAGTGGCATGATCTTGGCTCACTGCAACCTCCACCTCCCGGGTTCAAGTGATCTCCTGCTCACTGCGACCTCACTGCAAAGGATTTAAAGGCTGGATACCTGGATATTTATTCTGGAATTGAGGGAGGATGAGGAATTTGACTGCACACAGAGGTCTTGATCTCATAACCCTCTAGAATATTAACATCATTTGTTTAAGAGAGACCTGGATTTAGAGGACAAATTAGTTCATGTTCAAAGCTTTAGGGCTTAAAAAAAAATCTGGCCCTGCTCATTGTGATGAATGTCAGAGCGACTATTTCTGACTTAACAGGCATGTAATTTAGAACTCATATTTATGAAGCACCTGACATGGTGTCTTGCTACTTGGTGAAGGTTTATTTCTTTTTCCTTACTCCCTTCCTGACTTCTTTTCCTCCTTCCTTTCTTCATTCTTCTGATTTGAATCTGTTAAGAGAACACTGCTAGGCGTCGTTAAATATCTGAAGCATGTCAGAGCACAAGCTGAATTTGCAAATATCTGGCTTCAACTTGGCAGTCCTTTGACCCTTGTATGCTTAATGACGAATGAAAAAACTATGTTCCTTTAAGGTAGTTTTCTTTTCTTTTCTTTCTTTCTTTTTTTTGAGACAGAGTCTCACTCTGTCATCCCATCTGGAGTGCAATGGCGCGATCTCGGCTCACTGAAACCTCCACCTCCGGGTTTCAAGCAATTCTCCCACCTCAGCCTCCCAAGTAGCTGGGATTATAGGCACCTGACATCATTGACATCATGCCTGGCTAATTTTTGTATATATATATATTTTTTTGAGACGGAGTTTCATTCTCGTTGCCCAGGCTGGAGTGCAATGGCGTGATCTCGGCTCACTGCAACCTTGGTCTCCTGGGTTCAAGCAATTTTCCTGCCTCAGCCTCCTGTGTAGCTGGGGTTACAGGTGCGTGCCACCATGCCTGGCAAATTTTTGTATTTTTAGTAGGGACAGGGTTTCACCATGTTGGCCAGGATGGTCTTGATCTCTTGACTTCGTGATCTGCCTGCCTCGGCCTCCCAAAGTGCTGGGATTACAGGCATGAGCCACCGTGCCCGGCCCCAGCCAGGTAGTTTTCTAAGAAAGCTATTTCCTAGGTTGTATACATGTTGGACCTCAAGAATCCTAAATATATAGGTAGAGTTCTTCTAGTTTAGATATTTGTACTTAATAGTAAACAAACTCATAGGCAGAGGATGAAAAAAATTCCAGCTGGATGTAGTGGCTCATGCCTATAATCTCAGCACTTTGGGAGGCTGAGGTGGATGGATCACCAGAGGTCAGGAATTTGAGACCAGCCTGACCAACATGGTGAAACCTTGTCTCTAGGAAAAATACAAAAATTAGCCAGGTGTGGTGGTGCACACCTGTAATCCCAGCTACTTGGGAGGCTGAGACAGGAGAACCTGGGAAGTGGAGGCTGCAGTGAGCCGAGATCACACCATTGTACTCCAGCCTGGGTGACAGAGCAAGACTCTGTCTCAAAAACAAACAAACCCACCGCCCCAAACCCCCACAAACACCAAAAAGTTCCATGCAGGGGGCACAGAGAGCTCCCATAAAGTAATGGTGGGTCTTAATTTTTCCTTGTATTTGTTTGCTTTTTATTTTTGGATGCTGTGTAGTAGAGTTTTTAAAGGCCAGGGATGATTATATCTTCTACGTGGATGATACATTTTGCCAATATAAAGTGTGCCTTAAACCTTGTGACTGGAATTCCCCTTTCCTGATGTTAAACTTGAACTTCTTTTTCCTTTTCCGTAATAATGACCTGGCCTGTCTGTCCCAGTGTTCATGGTTAATGTTGGTGGGTGCTTGTTGGCATTTCAGAGGGGAGCAGGGCTTTGGGAGAGCGCAGTGGCCAGTGCCAAATTCACCTCTTCTAACAAAGCTTTCCTGATTTCACTCACCGTTCACCCTTTGCTCTGGTTGTGCTCTGCTGTCTGTCCCTGCTTGGTGAATATATACATATATATATGTGTGTGTGTGTATATATATGTGTGTGTGTATATATATGTGTATGTGTGTATATGTGTGTGTGTGTGTGTGTGTGTGTGTGTGTATATATATATATCTATATATATATATATTTTTTTTTTTTTTTGAGACAGAGTCTCGCTCTTTCGCCCAGGCTGGAGTGCAGTGGCACGATCTTGGCTCACTGCAAGCTCTGCCTCCTGGGTTCACGTCATTCTCCTGCCTCAGCCTCCCGAGTAGCTGGGGCTACAGGCACCCGCCACCATGCCTGGCTAATTTTTTGTATTTTTAGTGGAGACGGGGTTTCACCGTGTTAGCCAGGATGGTCTGGATCTCCTGACCTCGTGATCCACCCGCCTCAGCCTCCCAAAGTGCTGGGATTACAGGCGTGAGCCTACGCGCCCGGCTGGTGAATATATTTAACTGTGGACATTCTGTCACCTGACCTGAAGTTGTGAGTTTCTTGATGACAGGGTTTTTTCATACACACACTGCAGAAGACTGCAGTCCACACTCTGATTAACTTTCACGTGTAGGGAACATTTTCTTTGGCGAATGCTTCAAGTTTAACAAACTACCTCTCCTCTTGAATAATTTACTATTCTTTTGTGCTTCTTGTCCATGTAAAAATGCTAATTCTACAAATCAAATGCAGTATCAAGTGCATGATTGCTACAAAAAATTCCATCATAGAGAATTGGGGGTCCAGTTAACTACCAGTAGAATATTTACCATTATTTATACTTTTAAAATTAAAGTTATTATTATTATTGCCAGGTGTGGTGGCTCACACCTGTAATCCCAGCACTTTGGAAAGCCAAGGCAGGAGGATCTCTTGAGCCCAGGAGTTCAAGACTAGCCTAGGCAACATAGTGAGACTCCATCTCTACAAAAAAAAAATTAAAAAATTAGCTGGGCAAGGTGACATGTGCCTGTAATTCCAGCTACTCTGGAGGCTGAGGCAGGAGGATCACTTGAGCCCTGGAGATCAAGGCTGCAGTGAGCCGTGATTGTGCCACTAAACTCCAGCCTGGGCAACAGAGCAAACCTTGTTTCAAATAAAATAAAATAAAAAAGATATATTGACTCGTGAAAAAAATAACGGATTACAGCATGCTATATATAATATTATTATAGTTTTATAAAAAATTTTATATCTCCCTACAATTATTGAATAGGAATATTCCAAAAAATTAGCAGTGGTCATCTCTGATTATTTTTCCCTTCTTATCGCTTATCCATATTTCCTAGATTTTCTACTATGAGCACACATTTCATTGGTAATAAAAATAAAAATAAGCATTTCTTTAAAAATATTTTCTAGGTATTTCTGAAGCTCTACCAGAACACAGAAAAAAATTAATTAATTTCATTTTTTTTGAGATAGAGTTTCATTCTGTTGCTCAGGCTGGAATTAAGTGATGTGATTATGGCTCACCGCAGCCTCAACCTCCCAGGCTCAAGTGATTTTCCCACCTCAGCCTCCCAAGTAGCAGCTGAGACTACAGGTGCATGCCACAATGCCTGGTTAATTTATTTTTATTTTTATTATTTTTATTATTATTTTTTGAGACAGAGTTTTGCTCTGTCACTGAGGCTGGAGTGCAGTGGGATGATCTCAACTCACTGCAACCTCCACCTCTCAGTTTCTAGCGATTCTTCTGCCTCAGCCTCCCAAGTAGCTGGGACTATATGCCACCACGCTTGGCTAATTTTTGTATTTTTAGTAGAGATGGGATTTCACTATGTTGGCCAGGCTGGTCTCAAACTCCTGACCTCAAGTGATCCACCCACCTTAGCCTCCTAAAGTGTTGGGATTACAGGCCTGAGCCACTGCGCCCAGTCTATTTTATTGTTTTAGAGATGGAATTTCCCCATGTTGCCTAGGGCCTCTTGACCTCCCAGGCTGATTCGGATTTGAGAGGCCATGGAAGGGGCCAGGAAGCCAAGATGGTTCTGTTGCAGTTTGTCACAGACAACACTGTTAAAACACAGCATTGTGTATATAATCAACTGTTAAGAGAAATATATACTTATGAGGGCAAATCACAAAATAGCTTTCGGCTGGCTATGGTGGCTCATGCCTGTAATCCCAGCACTTTGGTAGGCCCAGGAGGGAGGATTGCTTGAGCCCAGGAGTTCGAGACCAGTATGGGCAACATAGTGAGACCCTATCTCTATTAAAAACAAAAAGGCAAAATAACTTTCAAAGCATGTCTAATAATGATATATATATTTTTTCTATTTAAAATGTATTTCACACAAATGTGCTTCTTATACCTCCTAAACCTCCCAGCTGGGGTCATTGATTTACACATTCATTTTACTAATATTTTTGAGTATGTAGCATGTGTTGGGCACTGTGCTTCATGCCCAACTGAGATACAGCATGGCACTTGGGAAGGTGTAATTCACTCTTGCTTCCTGCACTTTTCCTGTCACTCCTGTGACAGCATCTGGCAGGTTCTAGTCAGGTTTGCTTATCACCATCTTATTTTCCCTTCATCTAAGGAAAGGAATGTTAACTTACTTTGATTAAAGTCCTCCTTTTTATTTGAGTTCAACCTCCACCTCAGAGTGACCCACTCTAAGTAGTTCTGTGATTTGCCTCTTCTGTTCCTTCAAAATGTCATATCTTAGGTCAGGCTAAGATGCCACAGAGTGGGTGGCTTAAGCAATAGACATCTATTTTTCTCAGAGCTCTAGAACCTGGGGAGTCTAAAATCGTGGTCCAGCAGTGTCCAGTTTCTGGTAAGGGCCTGCTTCCTGAATTGCAGAAGGCTGGGGAGAGAGAGGGAGAGGAAGAAGGGGAGAGAGAGAGAGAGAAAGGGAGGGAGGGAGAGAGAGAGAGAGAGAGAGAGAGAAAGAAAAGAAAAAAGAAAGAAAAAAGAAAGAAAGAAAGGGGACTCTGTAGTGTCTCTTCTCTTAAGGGCACTAATCCTATCATGAGGACCTCATCCTCATGACCTCATCTAGACCTAATTACCTCCCAAAGGCCCCATCTCCAAGTACCATCATATTGGGGGTTAGGTTCTTATGAATATGAAGGGTTGCAAACATTCATTCCATAATGGTCAAGTCTGTATAATCAGATTGAAGTCAATAAACTTCTTAAACTGCATAAGAAGTCTCATACCTATTAATGTAGCGCTATATAGTGTCCCTCAAAAAGCATGTGTTGGAAACTTAATCCCCAATGCAACAGTGTTCGGAGGTGGGACCTAATGTGAGGTGTTTAGATCATGAAGGCCCCATCCTCATGAATGGACTAGTGATGATTTAAAAAGGGCTTGAGGCCGTGAGTTTGATCTCTTGCTCTCTTGTCCTCTCTTACTCTCTTGCCTTGTGCCTTGGGATGACATAGCAAGAAGGCCCTCACCAGATGCCAACACCATGCTCTTGGGCTTCCCAGCCTCCAGAGCTGTGAGCCAATGCATTTCTGTTCTTTATAAGTTACCCACTCTCAGATATGCTGTTATAGCAGCACAAAGTGTACTAAGACACATAGCATAATTTTCAGACACATTATGATGACTTATTTTTCTTTTCCTTTTTTTTCTTTTGAGATAGGGTCTTGCCCTGTCACGCAGACTGGAGTGCAGTGGCACGATTATGCCTAACTGCAGCCCTGACCTCTCAGGCTCTGGCGATCCTCTCACCACAGCCTCCTGAGCAGCTGGGACTAGAGGTGTGTGCCACCATGCCCAGTTAATGTTTTAATTTTTTTTTTGTAGAGATGGGGTCTTACTATGTTGCCTAGGCTATGAGACCTTAGTAATATTACTAACATACATTGTAAAATAAAACGCATATCACATAAAATTGACATTTTATTTTAAGACAAAGTCACAGGGCAGAGATTTTCGAAATTTTTCAGTTCACAGTGCCCTGAGTATTCACTTGTTAAGTAGTTAGGTCTAAGCAATAGTATTTGGTAGCCATTTGAAAATTAGTAAACTCATAAATGGAAATAAAAAATTATTTTATTCTTAAATAACCATAATTACTAATAATATGTGTGTACTTCTTGGGCCCGGCACAACTTCTCAAATTTTGAAATCAGACAAGATAGCCACCTTCATTTCTTGTACCACACTCAGTTTTATGTGATTATTATTATTTTTTTGAGAAAGGGTCTCACTGTGTTGCCCAGGCTGGAGTGCAGTGGTGTGATCTCAGCTCACTGCAACCTCCACCTCTTGGGTTCAAGCAATTCTCATGCCTCAGCTTCCCGAGTAGCTGGGATTACAGGCATGTGCCACCATGCCAGGCCAATGTTTGTATTTTTAGTAGAGACAAGGTTTCGCCATGTTGGTCAGGCTGGTCTCAAACTCCTGACCTCAAGTGATCCACCTGCCTTGGCCTCCCAAAGTGCTGGGACTACTGGCGTGAACCACCGTGCCTGGCCTGATTTTTATTTTTTTAAATTTATATAAAAGGAACTGGCAAAAATTTAGCTTTGCAAAGGCATGACATCATTGAAATGAATGTAGCTATCTTATGTTGAAGTTGTGAAATGCCTCAAGTTAGCAGCTTGCCTGGTGTCTGACAAATATCAAATGCCTTTAGAAAACTTTAAATATCCTGTTCACTGTGGTGCCACAGAATGTCTATGTTGTTGGAGAACAAGATCAATTCTTTAGAGATCCCTGTTCATGTAGGATTACTAATTCCATAAATGAGCACAAACTGCCATTATCCTTAGACTTGTTCAGTTAGGATAGTCGAAAGGTAAACCCTTGAACTAGTCTTTTATTTATTTCTTTATTTCTTTTTTTATTTATTATACTTTAAGTTCTAGGGTACAGGTGCACAAAGTGCAGATTTGTTACATAGGTATACATGTGCCATGCTGGTTTGCTGCACCCATTAACTTGTCATTTACATTAGGTGTTTCTCCTAATGCTATCCCTCCTCCTGTCCCCCACCCCATGACAGGCCCCAGGTATAATGTTCCCCGCCCTGTGTCCATGTGTTCTCATTGTTCAGTTTCCACCTATGAGTGAGAACATGCTGTGCTTGGTTTTGTGCCCTTGTGATAGTTTGCTCAGAAGGATGGTTTCCAGCTGCATCCATGTCCCTGCAAAGGACATGAACTCATCCTTTTTCATGGCTGCATAGTATTCCATGGTGTATATGTGCCACAGTTTCTTAATCCAGTCTATCATTGATGGATATTTGGGTTGGTTCCAAGTCTTTGCTATTGTGAATAGCACCGCAGTAAACATACATGTGCATGTGTCTTTATAGTAGCATGATTTATAATCCTTTGGGTACATACCCAGTAATGGGATTGCTGGGTCAAATGGTATTTCTAGTTCTAGATCCTTGAAGAATCGCCACACTGTCTTCCACAATGGTTGAACTAATTTACACTCCCACCAACAGTGTAAAAGCATTCCTATTTCTCCACATCCTCTCCAGCATCTGTTGTTTCCTGACTTTTTAATGATCGCCATTCTAACTGGCATGCGATGGTATCTCATTGTGGTTTTGATTTGCATTTCTCTGATGATCAGTGATGATGAGCATTTTTTCATATGTCTGTTGGCTGCATAAATGTCTTCTTTTGAGAAGTGTCTGTTCATATCCTTTGCCCACTTTTTGATGGGGTTGTTTGTTTTTTCTTGTAAATTTATTTAAGTTCTTTGTATATTCTGGGTATTATCCCTTTTGTCAGATGGATAGGTTGCAAAAATTTTCTCCCATTCTGTAGGTTGCCTATTCACTCTGATGGTAGTTCCTTTTGCTGTGCAGAAGCTCTTTAGTTTAATTAGATCCCATTTGTCTATTTTGGCTTTTGTTGCCATTGCTGTTTGTGTTTTGGTCATGAAGTCTTTGCCCACGCCTATGTCCTGAATGGCATTGCCTAGGTTTTATTCTAGGGTTTTTATGGTTTTAGGTCTAACATTTAAGTCTTTAATCCATCTTGAATTAATTTTTGTATAAGGTGTAAGGAAGGGATCCAGTTTCAGTTTTCTCCATATGGCTAGGCAGTTTTCCCAGCACCATTTATTAAATAGGGAATCCTTTCCCCATTTCTTGTTTTTGTCAGGTTTGTCAAAGATCAGTGGTTGCAGATGTGTGGTATTATTTCTGAGGGCTCTGTTCTGTTCCATTGATCTATATATCTGTTTTGGTACCAGTACCATGCTGTTTTGGTTACTGTGGCCTTGAAGTATAGTTTGAAGTCAGGTAGTGTGATGCCTCCAGGTTTGTTGTTTTTGCTTAGAATTGTCTTGGCAATGTGGGCTTTTTTTTGGTTCCATATGAACTTTAAAGTAGTTTTTTCCAATTCTGTGAAGAAAGTCACTGGTAGCTTGATGGGGATGGCATAGAATCTATAAATTACCTTGGGCAGTATGGCCATTTTCACGATATTGATTCTTCCTATCCATGAGCATGGAATGTTCTTCCATTTGTTTGTGTCCTCTTTTATTTTGTTGAGCAGTGGTTTGTAGTTTTCCTTGAAGAGGTCCTTCACATCCCTTGTAAGTTTGATTCCTAGGTATTTTATTCTCTTTGTAGCAATTGTGAATGGGAGTTCACTCATGATTTGGCTCTCTGTTTGTCTGTTATTGGTGTATAGGAATGCTTGTGATTTTTGCACATTGAGTTTGTATCCTGAGACTTTGCTAAAGTTGCTTATCAGCTTAAGGAGATTTTGGGCTGAGACGATGGGGTTTTCTAAATATACAATCATGTCATCTGCAAACAGGGACAATTTGACTTCCTCTTTTCCTAATTGAATACCCTTTATTTCTTTCTCCTGCCTGATTGCCCTGGCCAGAACTTCCAACACTGTGTTGAATAGGAGTGGTGAGAGATGGCATCCCTGTCTTGCACTAGTTTTCAAAGAGAATGCTTCCAGTTTTTGCCCATTCAGTATGATATTGGCTGTGGGTTTGTCATAAATAGCGCTTATTATTTTGAGATACATTCCATTAATACCTAGTTTATTGAGAGTTTTTAGCATGCAGGGCTGTTGAATTTTGTTGAAGGCCCTTTCTGCATCTATTGAGATAATCATGTGGTTTTTGTCATTGTTTCTGTTTATGTGATAGATTATGTTTATTGATTTGCATATGTTGAACCAGTTTTCCATCCCAGAGATGAAGTCGACTTGATCGTGGTGGCTAAACTTTTTGATGTGCTGCTGGATTCGGTTTGCCAGTATTTTATTGAGGATTTTCTCATCGATGTTCATCAGGGATATTGGTCTAAAATTCTCTTTTTTTTGTTGTGTCTCTGCCAGGCTTTGGTATCAGGATGATGCTGGCCTCATAAAATGCATTAGGGAGGATTCCCTTTTTTTCTATTGATTGGAATAGTTTCAGAAGGAATGGTACCAGCTCCTCTTTGTGCCTCTGGTAGAATTCGGCTGTGAATCCGTCTGGTCCTGGACTTTTTTTGGTTGGTAGGCTATTAATTATTGCCTCAATTTCAGAGCCTGTTATTGGCCTATTCAGAGATTCAACTTCTTCCTGGTTTAGTCTTGGGAGGGTGTATGTGTCCAGGAATTTACCCATTTCTTCTAGATTTTCTGGTTTATTGGCATAGAGGTGTTTATAGTATTCTCTGACGTTAGTTTGTATTTCTGTGGTATCAGTGGTGGTATCCCCTTTATAATTTTTTATTGTGTCTATTTGATTCTTCTCTCTTTTCTTCTTTATTAGTCTTGCTAGTGGTCTATCAATTTTGTTGATTTTTTCCAAAATCCAGCTCCTGGATTCATTGATTTTTTGAAGGTTCTTTTTGTGTTTCTATCTCCTTCAGTTCTGCTCTGATTTTAGTTATTTCTTGCCTTTTGCTAGCTTTTGAATTTGTTTGCTTTTGCTTCTCTAGTTCTTTTAATTGTGATGTTAGGGTGTTGATTTTAGATCTTTCCTGTTTTCTCTTGTGAGCATTTAGTGCTATAAATTTCCTTGTACACACTGCTTTAAATGTGTCCCAGAGATTCTGGTATGTTGTGTCTTTGTTCTCATTCGTTTCAAAGAACATCTTTATTTCTGCCTTCATTTCGTTATTTACCCAGTAGTAAGGAGTATTCAGTATTCAGGGGCAGGTTGTTCAGTTTCCATGTAGTTGTGCGGTTTTGAGTGAGTTCTTAATCCTGAGTTCTAATTTGATTGCACTGTGGTCTGGGAGACAGTTTGTTGTGATTTCTGTTCTTTTACATTTGCTGAGGAGTGCTTTACTTCCAACTATGTGGTCAATTTTGGAATAAGTGTGATGTGGTGCTGAGAAGAATGTATATTCTGTTGATTTGGGGTGGAGAGTTCTGTAGATGTCTATTTGGTCTGCTTGGTGCAGAGCTGAGCTCAAGTCCTGGATATCCTTGTTAACCTTTTGTCTTGTTGATCTAATATTGACAGTGGGGTGATAAAGTCTCCCATTATTATTGTGTGGGACTCTAAGCCTCTTTTTATGTCTCTAAGGACTTGCTTTATGAATTTGGGTGTTCCTGTATTGGGTGCGTATACATTTAGGAAGGTTAGCTCTTCTTGTTGAATTGATCCCTTTACCATTATGTAATGGCCTTCTTTGTCTCTTTTGATCTTTGTTGGTCAAAAGAGGGACCTGACTGTTAGGAGGAAAACTAACAAACAGAAAGGAATAGCATCAACATCAACAAAAAGGACATCCACACCAAAACCCCATCTGTAGGTCACCAGCATTAAAGACCAAAGGTAGATAAAACCACAAAGATGGGGAGAAACCAGAGCAGAAAAGCTGAAAATTCTAAAAACCAGAGTGCCTCTTCTCCTCCAAAGGATCGCAGCTCCTCACCAGCAATGGAACAAAGCTGGTCCCTCTTTTGATCTCTGTTTTATCAGAAACTAGGATTGCAACCCCTGCTTTTTTTTTGCTTTCCATTTGCTTGGTAGATCTTCCTCTATCCCTTTATTTTGAGCCTGTGTGTCTCTGCATGTGAGATGGGTCTCCTGAATACAGCACACTGATGGGTCTTGACTCATTATCCAATTTGCCAGTCTGTGTCTTTTAATTGGGGCATTTAGCCCATTTATATTTAAGGTTATTATTGTTATGTGTGAATTTGATCCTGTCATTATGATGTTAGCTGGTTATTTTGCCTGCTAGTTAATGCAGTTTCTTCCTAGCATCAGTGGTCTTTACAATTTGGCATGTTTTTGCAGTGGCTGGTACTGATTGTTCCTTTGCATGTTTAGTGCTTCCTTCAGGAGCTCTTGTAAGGCAGGACTGGTGGTGACAAAATCTCTCAGCATTTGCTTGTCTGTAAAGGATTTTATTTCTCCTTCACTTATGAAGCTTAGTTTGGCTGGATATGAAATTCTGAGTCAAAAATTCTTTTCTTTAAGAATGTTGAATATTGGCTTCCACTCTCTTCTGGCTTGTAGAGTTTCTGCTGAGAGATCTCCTGTTAATCTGATGGGCTTCCCTTTGTGGGTAACCCGACCTTTCTCTCTGGCTGCACTTAACATTTTTTCCTTCATTTCAACCTTGATTTCAACCTTGGTGAATCTGACAATTATGTGTCTTGGGGTTGCTCTTCTCGAGGAGTATCTTTGTGGCATTCTCTGTATTTCCTGCATTTGAATGTTGGCCTGCCTTGCTATGTTGGGTAAGTTCTCCTGGATAATAACCTGAAGAGTGTTTTCCAACTTGGTTTCTTTCTCCCATCACTTTCAGGTACACCGATCAAACATAGATTTGGTCTTTTCACATAGTCCCATATTTCTTGGAGGATTTGTTCATTTCTTTTTACTCTTTTTTTCTCTAAATGTCTCTTTTTGCTTTATTTCATTAATTTGATCTTCAGTCACTGATACCCTTTCTTCCACTTGATCAAATCAGCTATTGAAGCTTGTGCATGCGTCACGTAGTTCTTGTGCCATGGTTTTCAGCTCCATCAGGTCATTTAAGGTCTTCTCTACACTGTTTATTCTAGTTTGCCATTTATCTAATCTTTTTTCAAGGTTTTTAGCTTCCATGTGATGGGTTTGAACATCTTCCTTTAGCTCAGAGAAGTTTGTTATTACTGAGCTTGTGAAGCCTACTTCTGTCAGCTCGTCAAAGTCATTCTCCATCCAGCTTTGTTCCATCGCTGGTGAGGAGCTGTGATCCTTTGGAGGAGAAGAGGCACTCTGGTTTTTAGAATTTTCAGCTTTTCTGCTCTGGTTTCTCCCCATCTTTGTGGTTTTATCTACCTTTGGTCCTTAACGTTGGTGACGTACAGATGGGGTTTTGGTGTGGATGTCCTTTTTGTTGATGTTGATGCTATTCCTTTCTGTTTGTTAGTTTTCCTCCTAACAGTCAGGTCCCTCAGCTGCAGGTCTGTTGGAGTTTGCTGGAGGTCCACTCCAGACCCCGTTTGCCTGGGTATCACCAGCGGAGGCTGCAGAACAGCAAATATTGCAGAACAACAAATGTTGCTGCCTGATCCTTCCTCTGGAAGGTTCGTCCCAGAGGGGCACCTGCCTGTATGAGGTGTCAGTCATCCGCTACTTGGAGGTGTCTCCCAGTTAGGCTACACGGGGGTCAGGGACCCACTTGAGGAGGCAGTCTGTCCATTCCCTGAGCTCAAACACCATGCTGGGAGAAACACTGCTCTCTTCGGAGCTGTCAGACAGGGATGTTAAAGTCTGCAGAAGTTTCTGCTGCCTTTTGTTCAGCTATGTCCTGCCCCCAGAGGTGGAGACTAGAGAAGCAGCTGGCCCTCTTGAGCTGTGGTGGGTTCTGCCCAGTTGGAGCTTCCCTGGCTGCTTTGTTTACCTACTCAAGCCTCAGCAATGGCGGACACCCGTCTCCCTGCCAGGTTGCTGCCTTGCAGGTTGATCTCAGACTGTTGCTGTAGCAGTGAGCAAGGCTCCGTGGGCATGGGACCCATCAAGCCAGGCATGGGATATAATCCCCTGGTGTGCCATTTGCTAAGACCATTGGAAAAGTGCAGTATTTGTGTGGGAGTGTCCCATTTTTCTAGGTACCATCTGTCATGGCTTCCTTTGGTTAGGAAAGGGAAATCACCTGACCCCTTGTGCTTCCTGGGTGAGGTGATGCCCTGCCCTGCTTCAGCTCACCATCCGTGGGCTGCACTCACTGTTCAACCAGTCCCAATGAGAAGAACCAGGTACCTCAGTTGGAAATGCAGAAATCACCTATCTTCTGTGTCATTCACATTGGAAGCTGCAGACCAGAGCTGTTCCTATTCGGCCATATTGGAATGGAATCTATTTTTTTCTTTTGAGACAGGGTCCCACTCTGTCACCCAGGCTGGATTGCAGTGGTGCAATCTTGGTTCACTGCAGCCTCAATCTCCCAGGCTCAAGCAATATTCGTACCTCAGGCTCCTAAGTAGCTGGGAGTACAGGAACATGGCATTATGACTGTCTATTTTTGTATTTTTTGTAGAGACAGGGTTTCCCCATGTTGCCCAGGATGATCTTGAACCTCTGAACTCAAACAATCCTCCCGCCTTGGCCTCCCAAATGGACTCTTGAAAATGCTAAATGAGGCCGGGCATGGTGGCTCATGCCTGTAAATCCAGCACTTTGGGAGGCCGAGGTGGGCTGGTCACCTGAGGTCAGGAGTTCGAGACCTGCCAGGCCAACATGGCAAAACCCCATCTCTACTAAAAATACAAAAATTAGCCAGGTGTGGTGGTGTGTGCCTGTAATCTCAGCTACTCAGGAGGCTGACGCAGGGGAATCACTTGAACCTAGGAGGCAGAGGTTGCAGTGAGCCAAGATTGCGCCACTGTACTCCAGCCTGTGTGACAGAGCGAGACTCAATCTCGAAAAAAAAAAAAAAAAAAAAAAAAAAGAAAATGCTGAATGATTCTTAAACTGCAGGATGTCATTAAGTTTCACAGATAATTTTTTTTCCCTTTTCTTCAAGCTCTTAATACATTTGGAGAAATAAAACTCCAAATATTGGAGAAGGCTGTTTTTGAATTTGGCAGTCTGATAGGCATATGATAATAAAATGAAATAATATTGGAAAATTAACAAGGTTATCTTTTTTTTAGGGTCTTCACTCTTTACTGCCTCTGTCACAGAAAAGGAGCATTAGTCATTGAGAACCACGTTACACAGACTAGACAGACAGAATATAAGCATGTGCAGCCACTTACCTTATCGTACAGCACAGACAGCTCAGCACACACAGAAGCTGCTGTTCCTTGCAGGGAATGGCTTCCCCCAGATCAGGCAAGCCAAGCCCATGCCCCCTAAGTGGGTTTGGAGATGAGTCGGACTTGCAGGTCTTTATGGCCAGGCTGTCTGTGGTGGCTTGGGCTTCGCTGTTGAGTCAGTCCAAGAAGGATTCCCAAGCCTACTCTTGGGAAGGTAAGTTGGGTAAAGTTGGGAGTGGCCTAAAAATCTGGTCCTTATGGTAGGAGAGGGCTGTACAGAGGCTCTTCCTGAGTCTGGGGGACAGTATAAAGTCAGGCTGTGCAGAATGGGGCAGGTTTGGCTCTGTGGTGAGAACTCCTCCTTGTAGTGTCCTGCAAGAGACTCCAGAGGTGATCTGGTGGGCTAGGACCTCCTCACATTGCAGGGCTTGCTCTCTGGCCTTCGGGGTGGCCAAGCCTAACTTCGCGTTTCCCTGTCTCCCCTTCCTCACTATTCTCTGAGCCCTAATGGCCTTCTTTCTCCTTCTGCAGTAAGCCAATCTTGTTCCCACCTCAGGCCCTTTGCAGTTGCTTTCGCTGTAACTTTCTGCCTTTTAAATTTATTTTTCTATTTTTCTTCATGTTAATTATCTAAATTAATTTTATTTTATTTTTTTGAGAAGGATTTTCACTCTTGTTGCCCAGGCTGGAGTGCAGTGGTGCGATCTCAGCTCACTGCAACTTCTGCCTTCCAGTTTCAAGTGATTCTCTTGCATTAGCCTCCCGAGTAGCTGGAATTACAGGTGCCTGCCACCATGTCTGACTAATTTTTTTGTATTTTTAGTAGAGACGGGGTTTCACCATGTTGGCCAGGCTAGTCTCCAATCCTGACCTTGTGATCCGCCTGCCTTGACCTCCTCAAGTGTTAGTATTACAGCCATGAGCCACCCTGCTGGCCTATTTATTTATTTATTTATTTTTTGAGACGGAGTTTCACTCTTGTTGCCCAGGCTGGAGTGCAATGGCATGGTCTCGGCTCTCTGCTTCTCAGGTTCTAGTGATTCTCCTGCCTCAGCCTCCCGAGTAGCTGGGATTACAGGCATACGCCACCATGCCCGGCTAATTTTGTATTTTTAGTAGAGGCAGGGTTTCTCCATGTAGGTCAGGCTGGTCTTGAACTCCTGACCTCAGATGATCTGCACCCCCTTAGCATCCCAAAGTGCTGGGATTACATGTGTGAGCCTCCATGCCCACCTATTTATTTATTTTTAATTGACAAATAATAGTTATGTATATGTATGGGGTACAATGTGATATTTTGATCTATGTACACATTGTAGAAAGATCAATCAAGTTAATTAACATATCCATTACCTTACCAGCTTATCATTTTTTTGTCTTTTGGTGACAATGTTAAAAAATATTGTTTTAGCAATCTTTTTTTTTGAGACTGAGTCTTGCTCTGTCACCCAGGCAGGACAGTGCAGTGGTGCAATCTCAGCTCACTGCAATCTCCACCTCCCAGATTCAAGTGATTCTTCTGCCTCAGCTTCCTGAGTAGCTGGAATTACAGGCACATGCCACCATGCCCAGCTAATTTTTTGTATTTTTAGTAGAGACAGGGTTTCACCATGTTGGCCAGGCTGGTCTCTAACTCCTGACCTCAAGTGATCCACCCTCCTTGGTCTCCCAAAGTGCTGGGATTACAGGCGTAAGCCACTGCTCTTAGTTCTTTTAGCAGTTTTGAAATATACAATTATTAATAATTCTGGGCCAGCTAGGTGGCTCACACCTGTAATTCCAGCACTTTGGGAGGCTGAGGTAGGCAGATCACGAGGTCAGGAGATCGAGACCATCCTAGCCAACAAGGTGAAACCCCATCTCTACTAAAAATACAAAAATTAGCTGGGCGTGGTGCCATGTGCCTGTAATCCCAGCTACTCGGGAGGCTGAGGCAGTAGAATCCCTTGAACCTGGGAGGCGGAGGTTGCAGCGAGCCGAGATCATGCCACTGAACTCTAGCCTGGAGACAGAGGTGGACTCTGTCTCAAAAAAAAAAAAAAAAAAAAATTGTGGGCCAGGCACGGTGGTTCACGTCTGTTATTTCAGCATTTTGGGAGGCCAAGGCGGGTGGGTCACCTGAGGTCAGGAGTTGGAGACGAGCCTGGCCAACATGGTGAAACCCCATCTGTACTAAAGATACAAAAAAATTAGCTGGGTGTGGTGGCGTGTGCCTGTAATCCCAGCTAGTCAGGAGGCTGAGGCAGGAGAATTGCTTGATCCTGGGAGGAGGAACCTGGTTGCAGTGAGCTGAGATTGCACCACTCTGCTCCAGTCAGGGTGACAGAGTGAGACTTCGTCTCAAAAAAAAAAAAAAAAAAAATTGTGTTCAGGCTGGTGCAGTGGCTTATGCCTGTAATCCCGGCACTTTGGGAGGCAAGTGGATTGCTTGACCCTGGGAATTCAAGAGCAGCCTAGGCAACATAGCAAAACCCATCTTTATTTAAAAAAAAAAAAAATTAGCCAGGCATGTTGGTGCTTGCTGGTAGTCCTAGCTGCTTGAGAGGTTGAAGTGGGAGGATCACTTGAGCCTGGGAGATTGAGGCTGTAGAGAGGTGTGATCCTGCCACTGCACACCAGCCTGGGTGACAAAGCAAGATCCTATCTCAAAAAAAAAACCACAAAAAACAAACAAAAAAACCAACTGTGGTCATCATGCAGTACAATAGATTACTAAAGCTTATTTCTTCAGTCTGAGACTTAGTACCTTTTGATTAATACCTTCCTTTTGCCCATCCGTCCTCTTCCCCACCAGCCTCTAGTAACTACCTTCCTAGTCCCTTTTTCTATGCCTTTGATGTTTTTAAATCCCACATGTAAGTGAGATGATATAGCATTTGTCTTCTTGTGCTTGGATTATTTCACTTACCATAATGTCTTCCAGTTCCATTCATGTTGTTGTGACTGACAAAAACTTTCTTCTTCTTAAAGACTGTATAATATTCCATTGTGTATATACACCACATTTTCTTTTCTTTCTGTTTTTTTAGAGACAGGGTTTTGCTCTGTTGCCTAGGCGGGAGTGCAATTGTGTGCTCTCAGCTTACTGCACTCTTGATTCCAGTGGACTCAAGCGACCCTCTCACCTTAGCCCTCAGCCTCCTGAGTAGCTGGGACCACAGGCATGTGCTGCCAAGCCCCGCTCATTTTTGTATTATTTTGTATAGATGGGGTTTCACCCTGTTGCCCAGGCTGATCTTGAACTCCTGGGCTCAAGCAATCCACCTGCCTTGGCTTCCTAAAGTGCTGGGATTATAGGTGTGAGCCACCATGCCTGGCCTACCACATTTTCTCCATTCATCTGTTGATAAACACTTAGATTGCTGTCATATCTTGGCTATTGGGAATAATTCTGAAATGAACATAGGAATGCAGATATCTCTTTGACATTGTGATTTCAATTCCTTTGGGTATACACTCAGAAGAAGGATTCCTGATCATATGGTAATTCTAATTTTAGTTTTTTTTGAGGAATCTCCTTCTATTTTCAAAATGGCTTAAATGTAAGAGCTGAAATCATAAAACTACTAGAAGAAAAGCTCAACATTAATCTGGGCAGTGATTTCTTAGATAGGACTCCAAAAGAACAGGCAATGAAAACAAAAATAAACAAATGGGGCTGGGTACAGTGGCTTATGCCTGCAATCCCAGCACTTTAGGAGGCTGAGGTGGGTGGATCACCTGAGGTTAGAAGTTCAAGACCAGCCTGGCCTACATGGTGAAACCCTGTCTCTACTAAAAACACAAAAAATTAGCTGGACATGGTGGCAGGTGTCTGTAATCCCAGCTACACAGGAGGCTGAGGCAGGAGAATTGCTTGAACTGGGAGGTTGCAGTGAGCTTAGATTGCACCACTGCACTTCAGCCTGGGCGACACAGTGAGACTCGCTCTCAAAAAAGAAAAGAAAAGAATGCGCCGGGTGTGGTGGCTCACGTCTGTAATCCCAGCACTTTGGGAGGCCGAGGAGGGAGGATCACCTGAGGTCAGGAGTTTGAGACCAGCCTGGCCAACATGGCAAAACCCCATCTCTACTAAAAATACAAAAATTAGCCAGGCGTGGTGGCAAGTGCTTATAATCCCAGCTACTTGGGAGGCTGAGGCGGGAGAATCGCTTGAACCTGGAAGGTGGTGGTTGCAGTGAGCCAAGATCATGCCACTGCACTCTAGCCTGGGTGACAGAGCGAGACTGTCTCAAAAAAACAAACAAACAAACAGAAAAAACAAAAAGAAAAGAATGCTCAAAGGATCTACATAGACATATGAACGGCCAATATATATATGAAAAAAATGCTTAATAGATACATGAAAAAAATGCTTAACATCTCTAATCATTAGGGAAACGCAAATTAAAAACCACAATGAGATATCACTCCATGCCTGTTAGGATGACTGCTAACAAAAAGATATATAAGGCTGGCATGGTGGCTCAAACCTGTAATACCAGAACTTTGGGAGGCTGAGGTGGGTGGATCACCTGATGTCAGGAGTTTGAGACCAGCCTGCCCAACTTGGCGAAACCCCATCTCTACTAAAAATACAAAAATTAGCTGGGCTTGTTGGTGGGCACCTGTAATCTTAGCTATTCGGGAGGCTGAGGCAGGAAATCACAGGTTGCAGTGAGCCAAGATCGCACCATTGCACTCCAGGCTGGGTGACGAGTGAAACTCCGTCTCAAAAAAAAAAAAAAAAATAGATATATAAGGATTGGTGAGGATGTAGAGAAAAGGGAACCATTGTACCCCATAGGTGGGAATGCAAACTGGTTTAGCTTTCTGCCATTTTTAGATATTCATATGGTTGGCTCTATTATTTCACTCAAGTTTTGCCTCAAGTGACACTTTCTCTGAGAATCCACCTTGATATCTCCCATCATCCCTTCTAGGCACAACGTCCTGTTTTCTTGCCTTCAATGCACTTATTTTGCACATTTATATACTTGTTGTCTTTCTTCTTCCATTAAAATATAATCACCAGAACAGCAGAGACCACATCTGCCTCATTCAGTGCTGCATCCCCAGTGTCTAGAATATAAAAGAAGCTCAATACCTGTTGCATGGATGGATGAGTAGATGAACCTCCCAGGAGTTGAATTTCCCTAGAAGACTGTCCAGTTCCGTTTTTGGAAGAGAGGCACAAGAGGCTCTAGCTTTAGTGACTTCTCAGTGCCTAGTGAACTTCTCCATGATGTGTGGTAAAACAGGCCCTCTTTTCCCCTTAGGTGGAGGGGACTACTCAGCTGACTTAGCTTGTAAGTTCTTATTTGAGAAAATGGTCTAGTGCCCAGTGGGGCGTGTGTGTGAGCGTGTGTGGGTATCTGGCATCTCAGCTTTATCATGATAAGGCTTCTTTCTTCTTCCTAGTGAAGAAGAAAGGAAGAAGGGGAGGGAGTAGGAGTGGAAACTTTATTATAAGAAATCATCTTGGGGCCTGCCAAGGGAGGTGAAACAATATGGAAATACAAGATAGGCTAGTGTACAAGACCACAGTGTGGGTTCTTGGGGTACAGAGGGCAGAAGACCTCTAATCTTCCCTATTTGTACTCTGGGCTTTGTTCAATGGCAAACTTCTAGTCACATTTCTTGGTAGCCATAAGAAAAACCAATCATAGCTGGGCACGGTGGCTCTCGCCTGTAATCCCAGCACTTTGGGAGGCCGAGACAGGTGGATCACTTGAGGTCAGGAGTTCCAGACCAGCCTGGCCAACATGGTGAAACCCTGTCTCTATTAAAAATACAAAAATTAGCTGGACGCAGTGGCGTGTGCCTGTAATCTCAGTTACTCAGGAGGCTGAGGCAGGAGGATTGCTTGAACCTGGGAGGCAGAGGTTGCAGTGAGCTGAGATTGCACCACTGCACTCCAGCCTATGACAGAGTGAGATTCCATCTCAACAAACAATGAAGCAACCCAGAAAAACCAATCATAAGTAAGAAAATTATATTGGAAAGAGAAAGGGAATAAAAAAGTAAAATAGAGGTAAAAAGCTAGAGGAGTTAAAATTAAGAATCATAAGAAAAAAATTAAAAAAGAATACTAAGCACTTAAAGTTTAAGACATTTTGAAAATGAGAGTGATGTAAAAGAGTTAAAAGACATGGAAAGCTAGAACTACTGAAATGAAAAGGTAACTATGAAAGTGAGAAGGAAATACGTTAAAAATACAGCTAGAGTTGAGAATAAAGATTACAGGCTTGAGCCACCGCGCCCAGCCTAACATAACTCTTAAGTGGTTGAAGAGGAGCTGTCTCTTTTTATCAGTGGAAAATCTTTTCCAGAAACCCTCCTTCCTCCCACAGCCGACTTTCCCTCATGTCTCATTGGTCAGAATCATGCCACGTGCTCATATCTCAACCAATTATTGGGCGAGGGAAATAAGAGTATGATTAAACCAGTCACGGTTAGGAAAGAGTCTAGACTCATGTGAAATAATGGGTGTGTGTTACCCGAATGAAACTGAGATACTATTAGCAAGGCAGAAGGTGGAGGCATGACTGTGAATATAGGCAACCACCAGTGTCCGCTTGTATGTCTGACTATGGAATGTTTTCAGATCTGACAAGAAGTCAGGCTGTAAACATTTTGCCCAAAAACTTGGTGTTACAGATGTGATCTTTTGAGAGAACAGCTTATCAGGAGCCCAAGGAAAGAACACTTCATACAGTTGGAGATGGCTTTAATCATTTCTGCTTTACTCTGAATAATATTTGTCCTCTTAAATTGCTCTCCACATCTTTTTCAACCTTTTAAATCATAATTGTGGGTAAGCTGAGAATTTTTCTAAGTTTCAAATGGGAGGTAAGAACTTAGGAAATAATACATTCTGTGTGTACTGAATTCCAGGAGAAGAACGAAATGTGACTTCAAATTGCTGACATTATAAGATGTATCTGTAAACCAGAAAGTGGTAAAAATAATGTGAAGTTAGCCAAACTCTAGGGCTCACATCACGGGCAGCCGAGTGCGTTGTCATCATCCAAGGAGGAAATGGTCTCTTAAAGGAGACCCTGTCTTTATGCATTGCATTAGCCATTGTAATTTCATGCAAAAACCTTCATGCAGACAGTATGAATGCAGCAGATAGAATTAAATGGGACTTAGGAAATTGAACCGAAAGAGATTTTTCCCCCTATATGAAGTCATTTACATAGTTTTCTGGAAACTTTTTGTTTTTAGCTGTGTTTAGTTTCCAACTATATTTACCCAGCATAAAGTATGTTTATTTACGTGAAACCCATAGATTTATTTTGTTAAGAATTCTATGGGAAGTGTGTGTGTAATGTCGTATTCGTTTGTTCCAACATTGGTGTAGTGAAGCTATGAGGACTGGAATCTGAAGGCTTGGAGTGTGTCTCAATTTGGCCACATGTTGCCATGACTTAATCAGTTAGATGAGCTAATACTCCAAGGGCATTTATCTCAGGGCCTGTCATATGATGAATACTCAATCCCAACCACTGTTAAATCTCACACATTATATGGTAGGTAGTAGGGTTATCCTCACTTTACATATAAGGGGATTAAGGCTCATAGACAGCAAGTAATTTATTTAGTTAGTAAGTGGTGGAGCTGGGATTTGAGCTTTTAAGGTGACGCTAGGCAGATAACCCTCTGAACCTGTTTTCTTAGCTGCATGAATAAGATATTGCCTGAGTGCAGTGGCTCATGCCTGTAATTCCAGCACTTTGGGAAGCTGAGGTGGGAGGATTGTTTGAGGCCAGGAGTTTTGAGACCAGCCTGGGCAACATAGTGAGACCCTGTCTCTCCAAAAAATACAAAAAATAGTCAGGTGTGGTGGCACACACCTGAAGTCTCAACTATTCGGGAGGCTAAGATGGGAGGATTGCTTGAGTCCAGGAGGTCTAGGCTTCAGTGAGCCATGATCACACCACTGCACTCCAACCTGGGTGACAGAGCAAGACTCTGTCCCAAGGAAAAAAAAAAAGGAAGAAGGTACTAGTGAACCCCTATTTCCTCATGGTTACACTACCGTGGGTAACAATTGCAATGATGTTTAGAGTCCCAGTTCCCCTCTGGCTCCTTCCCTTCTTCTATTGGGGGCTCAAGCCCTTTCTTGGAGTTTGCAGCTTCAGATGTGGCTATTCACAGCCCTTCTCCTTGTATTTCCATAAAGGGCCCCGTCTTTTTGCTCTTATTTTTTAACTGCTTTTCTTACTTTTATTTATTTTTATTTTTTGAGATGGAGTCTCGCTCTGTCACGCAGTCTGGAGTGCAGTGGTGCAATCTCAGCTCACTGCAATCTTTGCCCCCCGGATTCAAGTGATTCTCCTGCTCCAGCCTCTTGAGCAGCTGGGACTACAGGCATGCGCTACGATGCCCAGCTAATTTTTGTATTTTTAGTTGAGAAGGGGTTTCACCATGTTGGCCAGGCTGGTCTCGAACTCCTTACCCCAAGTGGTCCACCCACTTTGGCCTCCAAAAATACTGGGATTACAGGCGTGAGCCACCAAGTCAGCCCTGTTTTTCTTTTATTTATTTATTTTTAATTTTTTTTCGCAGATGTATTTAGCTGCTTTTCTTGCAGTTGGTGGGATCGAAGGAAGTTCTTGTTCTATACTCACTGATTATATCCAGTTTCTAGGCCTTTGAAAGGTAACCCACCTCTTTTAGGGACAAAGGTTCTTGGGGCCAGTGACTGCAGGCATCTGAGGGACACCACTCAGTCTATAGCCTAATGCATTCCTTGCTGGCTATTTATTCGCTTAACAATTGTTTCAATGTGCGCATGTGTTCACCATGGTCTTTGTTATTTTTACCTTCTTGTATCCCAGATATTCCCTCTGGTATCACATTCTTTTTATTTTTTACTTTTATTTTTGAGACAGAGTCTCACTCTGTCACCCAGGCTGGAGTGCAATGGCATGGTGTCGGCTCACTGCAACCTCTGCTTCCTGGGTTCAAGTGATTCTCCCGCCTCAGCCTCCTGAGAAGCAGGGACTGTAGGTGCGTGACACCAATCCTGGCTAATTTTTGTATTTTTAGTAGAGACAGGGTTTCACTATGTTGGCCAGGCTGGTCTCCAACTCCTGACCTGATGATCCTCCTGCCTCGGCCTCCCAAAGTGCTGGGATTAAAGGTGTGAGCCACCGCGCCCAGCCTGGTATCACATTCTTTATACGTGGGAAGTAAAACTATGAGAACTTCCTTTAGTGAAGATTTGCTGGTGGTAAGTTCTGTTTTTGTCTGCCTGAAAATGTCTTTATTTTCTTCTTGTTAAGGCTACCTTTGGTCAGTATAGAACTCCATCTAAATTGATAGCTATACTTTTTCCATAACATTGAAGGGATTCCACAGCTTTCTGGCTTCCACTATTGCTGTTGAGAAGATGGCTGTCGGTCTAACTCTGTTAAAGTTAATTTGTCTTTATTCTTGGATAATTTTAAGATTTTTTTTTTCTTTTTCACAACAGAGCTTCACTCTGTTGCCCAGGCTAGAGTGTGGTGGCACAATCTCCACTCACTGCAAGCTCCGCCTCCCAGGTTCATGCCATTCTCCTGCCTCAGCCTCCCGAGTAGCTGGGACTACAGGCGCCTGCCACCATGCCCAGCTAATTTTTTGTATTTTTAGTAGAGACAGGATTTCACTGTGTTAGCCAGTATTGTCTCGATCTCCTGACCCCGTGATCCACCTGCCTCGGCCTCCCAAAGGGGTGAGATTACAGGTGTGAGCCACTGCGCCTGGTCAATTTTAAGATTTTTTGGGGTTTGTTTTGGCCTTCTATTTTATTATGATGTATTTATTGATGGATTTGTTTTTGTTTATTTTGCTTGGAATACATTGGGTTCCTTGAATCTGTGTATTGGTGTATTTGATTATTTTGGAAAATTACCAGCCATTCTCTCTTCACATATTACCTCTGTTGCATTTTTCTGCCCTTTTCTCCCAGAACTTTGATTAAATGTGGCTTAAACCTTCTCTCTCTATAGCCTCCATGTTTCTTCCCGTCTCTTTAATATTTTACGTATTTTTTTTTCTCCAAGATGTAGTCTGGCTTCTGAGGTACCTTCTAGTTCATTAATTCTCTATTTATTTTGCTTTAAAACATATCTAGTGTGTATTAAATACTATTATTGTGTTTTGTATTTCTAGAAGTTCAATTTTGTGTGTGTTTGTGTGTGTGTTGCTTGTGTTATTTATTTATTTATTGAAACAGGGTCAAAACATTGAAACATTCCCCAAGAATATCTTAAAAGAATTGTAGAGGGTCCAAGCCCCAATTTTTTGCTTGCATTAAGTGTTTGTTCTCAGCTTTGCACCTTATTGCCTCATGTGTTCTCTCTTTTTTATGTCGATACTATTCATATATTATACCAAAGAGACGTAATGCATCACCTTTTCCTTATGCTTCTCCTTACTCTATCATCCACATAAGCCTTATATGTAACTCATTTTATCAAAAGTTAATCACACCTGTAATCCCAGCACTTTAGCCGAGGAGGACAGATTGCTTGAGCCCAGGAGTTCAAGACCAGGCTGGGCAACATGGCAAAACCCTGTCTCCACCCAAAATACAAAAAATTAGCTGGGCATGGTGATGTGTGCCTGTGGTCCCAGCTACTCAGGAGGCTAAGGCTGAGGGAGGATAACTTGAGCCTGCGAGGCAGAGGCTGCAGTGAGCTGACATCATACCACTGCACTCCAGCCCTGGTGACAGAGTGAGACCCCTTATCAATTAAAAAAGAAAAGTTGGGAGCGTTAAAGAAGGGCTGCACATCAACGCTCCGAGAGCAGCAAACAATAACAAATTAGAATGAGTATCTCTACTCTTAAGAATTCCAGCAACTGGTCATTTCTTACTGGCCTATTTCTCACTGGCAGTTTTCTCCTAGGAACTTCTCTCATGCTTTTTTTTTTTTTTTCTTCATTCTCCTTTTGCATGAAGAGCCCTCAGCACCCTTCAAATTTATGTTCATTTCCCATGCTGTGCAGTTTTAGGCCCCCAGACTTCCTGCAAAGCACCTCCATCATTATCTTCAAATATCCAAGAATTCACTATGATGTTCTGTTGATTAAGTCTGTGCTGTGGTTTAAATGTTTGCCCCCTCCAAAACTCATGTTGATATGTAATCCCAAAGTGGTAGTATTGAGAGGTGGGGTCTTTAAGAGGTGATTGGATCATGAGGGCATTCATGGATTAATGGGTTATCATTAGAGGACTGGTGGCCTTATAAGAAGAGGAAGAGAGACCTGAGCTAGCACTTTAGCCCTGCATCACCCCTGGGACTCTGTAGAGAGTCTCCGCAATCAAGAACGCCCTCTCTAGTTGTAGCACCTAAACCTTGGACTTAGCCTCTAGAAATGTAAGCACCTAAACCTTGGACTTAGCCTCCAGAACTGTAAGAAATAAATTCCATTTTAAAATAAATTACCCAGTTTCTGGTATTTTATTATAAGCAAAATAAAACAGACTAGGAAAGTCGTTAATCTCTTCTTTAACATAATCAAAGTTTTAAGTAAGCTTTCCCTCCATCATCAGCTTTTGTTAACAGAAGGAAACAGTGTAAAGTTTATCTCCTAGACTGGGCATGGTGGCACATGCCTAAAATTTTAGCAATTTGGGAGGCCAAGGTGAGTGGATCACCTGAGGTCAGGAGTTCGCGACCAGCCTGACTAACATGATGAAACCCTGTCTCTACTAAAAGTACAAAAAAAATAGCTGGGCATGGTGGCATATGCCTGTAATTCCAGCTACTTGGGAGGCTGAGACAGGAGAATTGCTTGGGAAGCTGAGAGGCGGAGGTTGCAGTGAGCTGAGGTCGTGCCATTGCACTCCAGCCTGGGCAACAAGAGCGAAACTCTGTCTCAAAAAAAAAAAGTTTATCTCCCTAATGATGTAAATGGTGGTGTCACTCATCTTCACTTATAGGGATAATTATTGGCAATTGGATTTTTTTGTTGAAAATAGCCTATTTCCCCCTTCTGATCAAAATAAATAAATATGTACTTACGTGTGCAGGAATGTACATATACTTGTATACCCACACCCTTACACACAACTTCCCCCTCGGAAAGATAACCTAGTGATATATCTAAGGTTTTCCTAAAATCTCTGCTTTAGATTTACTACAACGCATGAATAAATAGGTGACAGAGACTGTCAAGTCCTAGGTCATGGATGAGTGATTTTCTTTTTTTTTTTTTTTTGAGACAGAGTCTCGCTTTGTCACGCAGGCTGGAATGCAGTGGCACAATCTTGGCTCACTGTAACCTCCACCTCCCTGGTTTAAGTGATTCTTGTGCCTCAGCCTCCTAAATAGCTGGGATTACAGGTGCATTCTACCATGGCTGGCTGATCTTTGTATTTTTAGTAGAGATGAGGCTTCCCCATGTTGGCAAGGCTGGTCTTGAACTCCTGGCCTCAAATGATCCACCTGTCTTGGCCTCCTAAAGTGCTGGGATTACAAGTATGAGCCACTCTGCCTGGCCATGGATGAGTGGCTTTCAAATTGCGTTCTAAGAAACCCTGAAGATTGGTGAAGCCCATTTAGGAGAAGGAGATGTGGGGGTGAGGGGTGAGGATAAAGAGGAGAAAAAGAAACAGATTAATTGGCAGGAGGATTCAAGCTCTCCTGCCTCTCTCACAACCAGATCAAATTTTGCCCCGTGTTACATATTTGGATATCGGTAAAATTTTGTTTGTATAGTGAGTTCAGAGGCTAGTAAAACATTTGCATTACTGCTATAAAACCTGGATCTGCAAACTGTGGCCCACAGGCCAAATGTGGCCTCAGTGAAGTTTGTCTTTGTAAAGCCTGTGAGCTAGGAACAGTTTTTACATTTTTAAGGAGGTGTAAAAACAAAACCCCCCAAAAACCCAGAAGATGAACATTTGAGAGACAGAGAGAAAGACAGAGAGAGAGAGAGAGAGAGAGAGAGAGAGAAAGAGAGATCATATGTGATCTGCAAAGCCTAAAAAATAGTTGCTGTCTGGCCCTTTACAGAGAAAGTGTTATGGAACATGGAACATGGTTATGGAACATGGCTGTGGCACTATTTGAGGTAAAAATGAAAATCTAGCTAAATACACAGTAAAGAAGTAATTAGATAAAGCATATGCATTGCTTAGGATTAGATTCAGCTACAAATAAAGGAGATCCTCAAATATCAGCAGTTTGGGAAAATACAAGTATATTTCTCAGTCAAGCATTTGAAAGGTCTTCAGTGTTATAAAATACCGTGGGTCAGAGATCTAGGCTTCACTTCTCTGTGGCTCTACCATGGATTACTTTCGTTCTCTGGGTCACTACTTGGTATCCAAGATGGTTGTTGGAGCTTCAGGCTTTTTGTTTGCATCCAACCAGCAGGAAGAATGAAGCAGGGCGGAAAATGAAGCATTCTACTTGTATTTTATTTATTTTTTTTGAGACAAGATCTCTCTGTTTCTCAGGCTGGAGTGCAGTGATGTGATCGTGGCTTACTGCAGCCTTGACTTCCTGGGCTCAAGTGATCCTCCATCCTCAGCCTCCCAAGTGTCTAGGACTACAGGTATGTGACACCACGTCTAACTAATTAAATGTTCCTTTCTTTTGGTAAAGATCGGGTTTTGCTCTGTGTTACCCAGGGTGGTCTTGAATTCCTGGGAAGCAATTCTTCCACCTTGTCCTCCCAACGTGATGGAATTGATCTCTACTTCTACTTTTTTGTATTTTTTTCTTTTTCTTTTGTAGAGATTGGGTTTCACCATATTGGCCAGGCAGGTCTTGAACTCCTGACCTCAGGTGATCTGCCTGCCTTGGGCTTCCAAAGTGCTGAGATTACAGGCGTGAGCCACCATACCCGGCCTTCTGCTTTTATCCCTTTGGGCAGAGGTTAATTATATGGTCACATCCAGCTTCAAAGGAGCCTGGGAAATATAGCCTTGATTCTAGGCATTCCTGTAGCCCGTTAAAAATTTGGCAATCAATTATATGGAAGAAATGGAGACTGGATATTAGAGTCTCTATTACACTATAGAGAGTCAACTCATTAATTAATTTATTTGTTCAGCCTCCTACCATGTACCAGGTGCCCTGCTAGACATTGGGAATACAAATTGGATACAACATGGTACATTTCCTGGAGGAATTCAAAGTCTAGAAATCTTCTTATATTTTGAATGGCTTCTAATGGCTTTTCCAAACTCTGTGGTCTTGATTCATTGCAATTCAATGTTAGCTTTTTTTTTTTAATTGGCTTGCTTAGAATGCATATTTTTGACCACTGTCAATTGTGCATTTAGATTGCATCTTTTACTTTTTTTTTTCTTAAAAAAAAAACTTAAGAGTTCTAATGCACAGGGTCTGAGCAATGAACATGGAGTTCTTTGTCCTTCTGCTATCATTGTTAGGATGTTTGAATTATTCTGTAGGTATCTATCATTCTGGAAGTAACATTGACATATCCACAGCAGTCCTGTACTGGGAAGCAAAACAAAAAGTCTCCATGAGGATTAAATGGGGCCCTTTATTTTTAACTTTATACAAATTTGCATTAGACCAGTATTCATTAAATGAGTAAAAACCCTGCATACTCAGTGATGACAGGATGCATTTATAAATGCGTTAATCTCTCAGTCGGATGAGTGATTTTCTGGGAATCTTTTGCCAAAACCCCTCAGGCTCAAATGTATGGTGAGTGAGCTCGGGCTTTTATCCTTTTCTAGGTTGACTCATGTAATTCTAAACTCTGATAACAACGGATATTCAAGGGAGGGGGTTGTTTAAAGTGAAAAAGCGTTTTTGTTTAACATATGTTTTAATCATGGGTTTGATCAAACTGGGATGCTTTCTCTCATTAAGAATTCCCTAAGCCAGTAAAATATTTGGGAATATCATTTATTGTTTATGAGTTCTACTTCGATTAAATAAATGCACATGCTACTAACATTCAGGCACTTTGTATTCACAAACCACTTTATGGCTGCTGCTGTAGTTTTACCAGTAAGTCTGGTTTTCAGTGATTTTTTTTTTCCCATTTCTTTTTTTCACTTGCCTTTGTTTCACTTTGCCTTCTGAAATGTTTTCTGCCAAAAATCAGGTGAGCTCCCAGATTAGAGGTGAGGGAGTTGGGAAGACAAGACATAACCAAGCCCTATACACCAATGCCAACTCAGTAAGTGACACTTTGACAACTGAAAAATGTAATCTCAGAAGTATCGTGTGTTCTTCAAAATGGCTAATGTATTTTGGAAGGCAAGGATATCAGGACATTAAAAAAAAAAAAACTAATTTAAAACATACTTAGGCTAGTCCTGTCATTTTTTTTTTTTTTTTGAGAGAGTTTTGCTTTGTCCCCCAGGCTGGAGGGCAGTAGCATGATCTTGGCTCACTGCAACCTCCACCTCTTGGGTTCAAGCAATTCTCCTGCCTCAGCCTCCCGAGTAGCTGGGACTACAGGTGAGGGCCACCATGCTCAGCTGATTTTTGTAATTTTAGTAGAGAGGGGATTTTACCATGTTGGCCAGGCTTTCCCCCTGAACTCCTGACCTCAGGTGATCCTCCTGCCTCAGCCTCCCAAAGTGCTGGGATTACAGGCATGAGCCACTGCGCCCAGCCTAGACCTGTAATTTTTAACATTCGTGGTGATATGTGATATGAAAAACACAAATCGGTTATTAAATACATCTTTTTAGAAATGATTTCTAGTTTCTTAAGAAATAAGAATAAAAGTAATATGAAATCATATCAAATGTTTCCATATGAGAAATCTTTTTATGATTCAGCACAAAGTAGCTTTGTTAACAAAAACAATACTATATAATATTCAATTCCAAGATTTAACCCTTTACGACCTGAATGTTTATTTTCTTTTCTCTCTCTCTCTCTCTTTTTGCTTTTTTTTGGAGACAAGGTCTCACTCTGTCACTCAGGCACAATCATAGCTCACTGCAGCCTCAACTTCCTGGGCTCAGGTGATCCTCCTGCCTCAACCTCCCAAGTAGCTGGGCCACAGATGTGCGCCACCATGCCCAGCTAAATTTTGTATGATTTATAGAGACAGGATCTCGATATGTTGCCCAGGCTGATCTTGAACTTCTGGATTCAACTGATCATCTCATCGTGGCATCCCAAAGTGCTGGGATTATAAGTGTGAGTCACCTCTCCCGACCTATTTATTTCCTTTTCTTAGGAAAGGAATAATGTCAACCTAATTTACAGAGTCTCTGTGAGCCCATACTTATTCTCTTTTGGAAGACTATGATAATATATATATATATATTTTGGAAGACTATAAGAATATATATGTAAATCTTTGATGTCTACTATGTGGTACCCTTGTGCAGGCAAAGGCTGCACAGTCTTCTGCTCTGGTCCTATGTGGAGATGCTCTTGCTGGAGCATATTTGCGTAGCCTCCGCAGGTATTGGCTGAAGAGCACCTGCTCCCCAGTTGCATAGGATAGTCTGTATAGTAGAGAATCTTAGTCCTGTAATAATTAGTATCACAAATGGGGAATTCTCTTCTTTTTCTTCTCTTTCTCTCTCTCCTACTTTAATTATGTCTACTTCCTTCTCTCTTCTCTTGTGTCAATATTTTTGCTTTTCTTAAAAACTCAAACGTTTAGCGGGGCACGGTGGCTTACACCTGTAATCCCAGCACTTTGGGAGGCTGAGGCGGGCAGATCACCAGGTGAGGAGATCAAGACCATCCTGGCCAACATGGTGAAACCCCATCTCTACTAAAATTACAAAAATTAGCCTGGTGTGGTGGCGTACACCTGTAGTCCCAGCTATTCGGGAGGCTGAGGCAAGAGAATTGCTTGAACCCGGGAAACAGAGGCTGCAGTGAGCCGAGATCGCGCCACTGCACTCCAGCCTGGGCGACAGAGTAAGACTCCTCCTCCAAAACAAACAAAACAAAACAAAACAAAAAACCAAAACAAAACTCAAACGTTTTTATTATGAGAATTAATTCTAATACACAGAATGTTGAAAGAGTATAATAAGGACTCATAGATCCACCAATTATCTTCAACAATTGTTAGCACTTTGTTATTTTGCTGCATATCTATCTTGGTTTAAAAACATTTTAAAATGTGATAAACTATACATTACATTAAACACTAACTCCATTGTCTGTCCTGCCAGCCCCTGTTAACAACTATTCAACCACTGTTGTACTTTCTTCCTTTATGAATTTGCTTACTCTAAGTACCTCAAATATTGAAATCATGCAATATTTATCTTTTTGTGTATGGCTTATTTTATGAAGCATATGTCTTCAGGTTCATCCATATTGTGGCATGTGCCACAATTTCCTTCCTTTTTAAGGCTGAATAATAGTCTATTGTACACACACATATTTTGTTTGTCCATTCATCTGCAGATGTACTTTTGGGTTGTTTCCACCTTTTGACAATTATGAATAATGCTGCTATGAACATTGGTGTACAAATCACTGTTTTTATTTTTTGGCTGAAACATTTGAAAGTTCCTGAAACATGGCATTTTCCCTTTCAGTTCTTCATTATGTCTCTTCTGATAATAATTGAATTCTCCTATATCACTATAGCATCATAGTCACATCTAAGAAAATTAACAGGGATTCTCTAATCTAATGTCATCTAACACTTATCACATATTTAAATTTCTCCATTGTTCCAAAAATGTGTCTTAAAACTGTGTTACCTTTGATCAGAGTTCAGTCAAAATTTCTGCATTTCAATTGGTATGTCTTGTTAGTTTTTCTTTTTCTTTTTTGATACAGAGTCTTGCTCTGTTGCCCAGGCTGGAGTGCAGTGGCGTGATCTTGGCTCACTGCAACTTCTGCCTACCAGGTTCAAGCGATCCTCCTGCCTCAGCCCCCCTAGTAGCTGGGATTACAGGCATGCAGCACCAGGCTCAGCTAATTTTTATATTTTTAGTAGAGATGGGGTTTCACCATGTTGGTCAGGCTGCTCTCAAACTCCTGACCTGAGGTGATCCAACTGCCTTGGCCTCCCAAAGTGCTGGGATTACAGGCATGAGCCACTGCACCCGGCCTTTTTTTTTTTTTTTTGAGACAGAGTCTCACTTTGTCACCCAGGCGGGAGTGTAGTGGCGTGATCTTGGCTTACTGTAGCCTCGACCTGCTGGACTCAAGCAATCCTTCCACCTCAGCTCCCTACATAGCTGGGACTACAGTGGCACACCGCCTTGCCTGGCTGTTTTCTTTTCTTTTTTTTTGGTATTTTTTATAGAGATGAGGTCTTGCTATGTTGTCCAGGCTGGTCTTGAATTCCTGAGCTCAAAAGATCCACCTGCCTCGGCCTCCCAAAGGGCTGGGATTACAGGCATGAGCCACGCTGTATGGCCACTTGCTATTTTTTTTTTTTTAACGTTTTTATTTGGAGCATTTCAAACATACCCAAAAGTAAGTATACCGAACATACACCAAAGTAGACATGATTGAACAGCGGCTGCTGGTTGGTGGAGCCTCTGATCCTGCATACCCAGCACTCAGCTCCACCAACCAGCAGCCACTGTTCAATCATGTCCATTCACACTCCTGGCTACTTAACCCTCCTGTAGAATTTTGAAGCCATCCCAAGCATCATATCATTTTCATCTGTAGCTATCTCCATATACATTCCTAAAAGATAAAAACACTTTAAAAAACATAATAACAATATCATTATTACACCTAAAAGCTTAACAATAATTTTTTTCTTTTTTTTTGAGACAGAGTTTCACTCTTTCATCCAGGCTGGAGTGCAATGATGCCATTTCGGCTCACTGCAACCTCCATCCCCCACATTCAAGCGATCCTCCCGCATCAGCCTCCCAAGTACCTGGGATTATAGGCACCTGCCACCACGCCCTGTTAATTTTTGTATTTTTAGTAGAGACAGATTTTGCCATTTTGGCCAGGCTGGTCTCAAACTTCTGACCTCGTGATCTGCCTGCCTCAGCCTCCCAAAGTGTTAGGATTACAGGCGTAAGCCACTGTGCCTGGCCAACAATAATTCTTTAATATCATCAAATATCCATCAGTGGGTGAATTTTACATGTATGAGACAATTTCCAGTTGTCTCACATATGTAAAAAACATTTTAAATAGTTAGTTTAATTGAACCAGGGTTTTTTTAATTTATAAGGCCTCCTTTATCTCCTTTTTCTTTTCTTCCAGTTTTTGAATAAATTAGATTGTTTGGCTGATGGTTTCCCATAGTGGAAATGCTTCTGATTGCATTTCTAAGGTATAATTTAACATGGTCCTTAGTCCTTTGTATTTGCTTTATTTATTTTATTTTATTTATTTTTATTTTATTATTATTTTTTACTGTTCCTTGCAGAGCAGGGCTACCCCATGGGCCTGTATTTGCTTTAAATTGATAGTTGGATCTCGAGGCATGCTCAGATTCATATTGGATTTGTCTTGGCAACATCATTCATAGCTGGTGTTGGTTTCTTTCATTAGAAGTCACTTAATAATTAGTTATCTATTTTTGGGGGATGTTAGCAGACTCTGATGCTCAATGGCTATCTATTAGTTCATTAGGGCTTTCAAAAGTATGAGATTCTAATCTAGCTTATAAAATTTATTAGCTGCAATACTTCCATAAAGATAATTTTCCCCTTATCTTCTATCTGGTTGTCCAATGCTATAATTCATATAGAAATAGCAGGAAAAATATTTGAGTCTTCTATCAGTTTTCAAAATAAGTTGGTTCCCTGGTATCCTTAAACAACACCTTTTAAAAAAAGTATCATTGTGAACTGAGAGATTGAAATATATCAAATATATTTCAATCTGTTGCAGTTATTTTTCTTATTGATTTTTACATTCTTCTTTGGCCAGTAGGAGCCTTTTCAAATTGGCTCCGTGTCTTTTTGACATTACCCTAGTAATATTTGACCACTTCTTTGCTATGTGGTAAAAGATGTTCCAAGAATAGATGTTATTTATTTCTTGCCCCAAACCTGGAATTAACATTTTTCTCCCCATGGAATGCTGGTTACTTATTGTACGTTAACATGCAATTTTAAGAATTAATACAGAGAGACTTGGTGTACCCTTTATCTAGTTTCCCCCAGTGGTAACATCTTACAAAACTTAAGTAAAATGTCACAACCAGGATTTTGAAATCAGTACAATTAGAATAAAGATGAGTTCTATCACCACATGAATCCTTCATGTTTCCCTTTTATAGCCACACCTACCCTTAACTCCAGCCCTCTGCCCATTTCTGACTTTTGGCAACAACTAATCTGTTCCTTATTTTCATAATTTTGTCATTTTGAGAATGTTATATAAATGGAATCACACAGTTTATAACCTTTGGGGTTGGATTTTTTTTCAGTCAGTGTAATTTCCAGGAAATTCATCCAAGTTGTTACATTTATCAATAGTTTGTTCTTTTTATTTATTTATTTATTATTATTTTTTGAGGCAGAGTCTCCCTCTGTTGCCCAGGCTGGAGTGCAGTGGTGTGATCTTGGCTCAGTGCAACCTCACCTCCTGGGCTCAAACAATTCTCCTGCCTCAGCCTCCCAAGTAGCTGGGACTACAGGTGCACGCCACCATGCCTGGCTAATTTTTGTAATTTTAGTAGAGACGGGGTTTCACCATGTTGGCCAGGCTGATTTTGAACTCCTGACCTCAAGAGATCTGCCTGCCTTGGCCTCCCAAGTGCTGGGATTACAGGTGTGAGCCACCGCGCCTGGCCAATAGTTTGTTCTTTTTAAATTGCTGAGTAGTATTCCATGATATGTAGTTCGTTTAACCATGCACCTGTTGAAAGACAAATGGGTTGTTTTCAGTTTTTGACAATTATGAATAAAACTGCTATGAACATTTGTGTACAGATTTTTGTGTATACATAATTTTTCATCTCTCTGTCATACATGTCCAAGTGTGCAATTGCTGGATCATAGGGTAGTTGCTTGTTTAGCTTTACTAGAAAGTAAATGCACCATGTTACATTCCCACCAGCAGTGTAAAAGCCTCAGCTTTAGACATTCTAATAGATGTGTAATGATATCCTATCAAGGTTTTAACTGAATTTTTCTAATGACTAAGGATATTGAACATCTTTTTTATGTGCCTTTAAAAATTTATTTATTTTTTGAGATGGAGTCTCACTATGTCGCCCAGACTGGAGTGCATTGGTGCCATCTCGGTTCACTGCAACCTCTGCCTCCTGGGTTCAGGCAATTCTCCTGCCTCAGCTGCCAGAGCAGCTGGGATTACAGGCATGTGCAACCATGCCCAGGTAATTTTTGTATTTTTAGTAGAGACAAGGTGATGGAGTTTCACCATGTTGGCCAGGCTGGTCTCGAACTCCTGACCTCAAGTGATCTGCCCACCTTAGCCTCCCAAAATGCTGGGATTATAGGCATGAGCCATTGCACTTGGCCTTATGTGCTTTTTCCCCCCTTCTTCTTCTCTTTTTTTTTTCCATAAGCAGGTCCTCTTTGGTAAAATATCTTTCCAAATATTTTGCCAATTTTATTATTGGGTTGTTTGTTTTCTATTATTGATTTTTAAGAGTTCATTACATATTTTCATAGAAGTTCTATACCAAATATATGGTTTGAAAATATTTTCTTCTGGTCTTTATGTTTTTATTCTTTTTAATCAGTGTCTTTCATAGAGAAGATGTTTTTCTTATTGAAATGCAACTTTACCAGTTTGTTTTTTTATGGATTATGATTTTGGTGTTACATGTAAAAAATGTTTGCTTAACCCAAGGTCATGAAGGTTTTCTCCTAAATGTCTTGTAGCTTTAGATTTTATGTTTAGGTCTATTACATTAGTCTGTTCTCACATTGCTATAAAAAGCTACTTGAGACTGTGTAATTTATAAAGAAAAGAGGTTTAATTGACTCACAGTTCTGCAGGCTCTACAGGAAGCATGGCTGGGGAGGGCTCAGGAAACTTACAATCATGGCAGAAGGCAAAGGGAAGGCAGACATATCTTCATATGGTAGAGCAGGAGAGAGCAAAGGGGGAGGTGCTAGACACTTTTAAACAACCAGATCTTGTGAGAACTCACTCACTATCACGAGAACCACCTCCATGATTCGATTCAATCACCTCCCACCAGGCCCCTCCTCCAACACTGAGGATTACAATCTGAAATGAGATTTGGGTGGGGACACAGAGTCAAACCATATCATCTATGTTGTATTTTGAATTAATTTTTGTATACGGTACAAGGCATAAACAAAGCTTGTTTATTTATTTTTGAGACAAGGCCTCACTCTGTCGCCAGCCTGGAGTGCAGTGGCACGATCTCAGCTCAGGGCAGCCTCAACCTTCTGGGCACCAATGATCCTTCCACCTCAGCCTCCAGAGTAGCTGAGACTACAGGTGCACACCACCATACCTGGCGAATTTCTGTATTTTTTTTTTTTTTTTTTTTGTAGAGATGGGGTTTCACCATGTTGCCCAGGCTGGTCTCAAACTCCTGGGCTCAAGTGATCCATCCGCCTTGGCATCCCTAAGTGCTGGGATTATACTCTGGAGCCACTGCTCCTGGCCCAAAGTTTATTTTCGTGCATATGGATATCCAATTATTCCATCAGCATTTGTTGAAAAGACTATCCTATCTCTACTAAATTACTTTTATATCTTTGTTGGAAAGCATTTGTTCATTTAAGTGTGTGTCTAGTTCTGGACCCTCTATTCTGTTCCATTGATTTGTCTGTTGTTATGCTAATACTACACTGCCTTGATTAGTCAAATTAGATTGTAATCTATAATATATATTCTTCTTTTTCTAAGTTGTTTTGGCTATTTTAGGTTCTTTGCATTTCTACACTTGATCTTAGCCAAAAGGCCGAGAAGCGATTATTCTTTGCATTTCTATATGTGTTTTAAAATCAGTTTGTTAATCTACATAAAAGCCTGCTAGGATTTTGATTGGGATTACATTGAATCTAAAGATCAATTTGGGGAGAGTTGACATCTTAACAATCTTGAGTCTTTGGACCAATAAACAAGTTATATCTCCCCACTTATTTAGGTCTTCTTTAATTTCTCTCTGAAATGTTTTGTAAATTTTCAGTGTACAGGTAAAAATTTTGTCAGATTTATCCCCAAATATTTAATTTTGAAGTGCTATTGTCAATGATATTGTTTTAAAATTCTAACATCCAATTACTCATTGCTAATATAAATAATATTGACTATTGTAAATACATCTTGTATTTTACAGCTTTATTAAACTCACTTATTAGTTCTAGCAGTTTTTTTTGGAGATTGCATCAGATTTTCTACATAGACGATTATTGATATGGTTTTGCTATGTCCCCATGCAAATCGCATCTTGAATTGTAATCCCCATAATTCCCACATATCTAGGGAGAGACCTGGTGGGAGGTGATTGAATCATGGGGGCAGTTTCCCCCATGCTGTTCTTGTGATAGTGAGTGAGTTCTCACAAGATCTGATGGTTTTGATGGTTTTATAAGGGGCTCTTCTCCCTTCACTCCTCACTCTTCTCTCTCCTGGTGCCATGTGAAGGAGGTCCTTGCTTTCTCTTTGCCTTCCACCATGATTGTAAGTTTGAGGCCTCCCCAGCCATGTGGAACTGTGAGTCAATTAAACCTCTTTTTTAAATAAATTACCTAGTCTTGGGTTTTTTGTTTTGTTTTGTTTTTTTGAGACGGAGTCTTGCTCTGTCGCCCAGGCTGGAGGGCAGTGGCGCGATCTCGGCTCACTGCAAGCTCCACCTCCCGGGTTCACGCCATTCTCCTGCCTCAGCCTCCCAAGTAGCTGGGACTACAGGTGCCCGCCACCACGCCTGGCTAATTTTTTGTATTTTTAGTAGAGACGGGGTTTCACCATGTTAGCCAGGACGGTCTCGATATCCTGACCTCATGATCTGCCCGCCTCGGCCTCCCAAAGTGCTAGGATTACAGGCGTGAGGGTTTTTCTTTATAGCAGTGTGAAAACAGACTAATACAATCATTTTGCCTGCAAATAAGACCATTTTACTTCTTCCTTTCTAATCTGGAAACTTTTAAATTTCTTTTTTTTTTTTGAACTATTTTACAGGTTAGAATTTCCAGGGAGTGTTGAATAGAAATAGTAAGAGCAGACATTCTTGCCTTGCTCCTCATCTTCGGAGGAAAGCATTCAGTTTTCCACTATTAAGTATCGTGTTAGCTCTAGGGTTTTTTTTTTTTTTTTTTTTTTTTTTTTTGTAGATGCAGTTGCCTGTGCTGCTAGAGCCTGGGTACTGGGGGAGCTGCATATGTTGCAGTAACCTGCTCAGCAAGCACACCTGATCCAGGAAAGAAAGCACTTTCTCCCTGCAATGTCTCTTCTATGCCCTCCACTGACAAAACTTAACATTAGTCAGCTGACAAAGCAAAACATATAAAGGGCCTACGCCCATTTTTGTAGATTACACAAGGAAGGGCAAATATGGAACCAAGAGGCAATAAATTCAAAATTGGAATACTGTCTTTCAGGGATTACTATCTGTCATTACCTCATGTTCAGTATCTTGCAAACTGTCGTTTTGTGTATTTTGTCCGCTGTTTGGTTGCTTTAGGCAGGAGAGTAAATCTGGTCTTTGCTATCCATCTTGACTAGAGGCAGAAGTACCCCCTTTACTACTTTTTTGAATAGTAATTTCAGCATGCCATCTGTTTCCTTCTAGAACCCTGATGGATGCATGTGTATTTCTTCTATATTTGTATATGTAGTAGTTAGGTTGAATCGTTTGTTCAGACTTAGGTTAAACGTTTTTTTTGCAAGAATTCATTCATAGATCATGTTGTGTATCTCATATTGCCTCATATCAAGTTGTTTCACTTCTAGCCATACTAACTTTGATCACCTGGTCAAGGTGATGATCATCAGATCTTACTGTTATAAAGGGACTTTCCCCTTTACGTTTAGAAAGGAATATGTGGGGTGACACTTTTGCACCTTGTGACTGTCCTATTGCAGAAACATTTTCACCTTACATTTTTTAGTATGCACTGGTGATCCTTGCTTGAATCAGTGTCTTTATTAGGGTTTGGAAAACAGTGAATTTCCAATTGTTTCATTCCTCCTACATTTGTTATCTGGCATTCTTCTGTAAAAGAGAGCTTTCCACCATCAGTTGGGGATGAAATGTTGATTTTCTTGAAAAGATAGGGTAAATACTTATTTTTCCACATTAATTACTGATTTTTAGAGAAATGAGTTAGTTTAACAGTCACCTCCAATGGTGAATGAGTTCTCTTCTCTCTCCCTCCTTTAGTGTTACTTTGGACTCAAGCATTTGATGTATCCAATATTTATAATAAGCTATAGTTATAATTTAAGAAAATTCTTGTATTGTCCCAAATTTGGCCACAGATATGCTTCCAGTGGTATCTGATCCTTTGCATGTGTCCCCTCAACCCTTTCCCATTAGTCTTTAGTAGCATCTTTGCTTTCTGGAATTGTATACCCATCTTGTTCATTCCTTGACCTACAGTTGGAATCACTGTTTCTTCAAGGAGTCTTGGGGAAGTTTTTGGAAAAGTATCTGTGTGTTAGGCGGATGTGTTAGAGTTTTCCAGAGAAACAGAACTAGTAGGATGTGTGTGTGTGTGTGTGTGTGTGCATGTGTGTGTATTTATTATGGGAACTGGCTTACATAATTGTGGAGGCTGAGAAGTCTCATGATCTGCCATCTGCAAACTGGAGAAAGAGGAAAGTTGCTGGTGTAGTTCAGTCTGAGTCCGAAGGTCTGAGAACCATGGGAGCCAACGGCAAGCCTCTGTCTCAGGCCAAAGGCTTAATATTTGGGGGGAGGAGGAGTCTGGTGTTAGTCCTAGAGTCTAAAGCCCCCAAAACCAGGAGCTCTAATGTCCAAGGAAAGGATAAGGTGGACGTCTCAACTCAAGAAGAGACAATAAATTTGCCCTTCTCTGCCTTTTTGTACCATTCAGGTGCTCGATGGATTGGATGATGCCCACTTTGCTGAGGGTGGATCTTCTTTCCTCAGTCCACTGATATGAATGCTAACCTCTTCTGGAAACACCTCACAGACACACCCAGAAATAAAATTTTACTGCTATCTGGGTATCCCTTAACCCAGTCAAGTTGACACAAAATTAACCATCACAGTGGGTTCATTTTCACTTGAGTCTCATTGACTTTAGGCTCTAACTATGAACAGGGCTACCAAATATGTTAACGGGAAGAAATCATGAGTTTATATTAACTTTCAATTCTGTTTCACATTATCAGAAAATATTTATAAATCATATTTGATAAGAAACTTGTATCAAGAATATATACATATATACAATTCAACAATAAAACTCAATTAAAAAAATCTAATTAAAAATGGGCAAGAGGCCAGGTGCAGTGGCTCATGTCTATAATCCCAGCACTCTGGGAGGACAAGGTGGAAGGATGGCTTGAAGCTAGGAGTTCTAGAACAGCCTGGGCAACAAAGCAAAACTCTGTCTCTACATAAAACAAAAAAATTAGCCAGGCATGTGGTTCATGCCTGAAATCCCAGCTACTCAGGTGGCTGAGGTGAGAGAATCACTTGAGCCCAGGAGATAGAGGCTGCAGTGAGCTATGACTGCACCACTGCATTCCAGCCTGGGTGACAGACCGAGAACCTGTCTTAAAAAAAAAAAGAGCAAAGGATTTTGTAGGTTGCCTGTTCACTCTGATGGTAGTTTCTTTTGCTGTGAAGAAGCTCTTTATTTTAATTAGATCCCATTTGTCAATTTTGTCTTTTGTTGCCATTGCTTTTGGTGTTTTGGACATGAAGTCCTTGCCCATGCCTATGTCCTGAATGGTAATGCCTAGGTTTTCTTCTAGGGTTTTTATGGTTTTAGGTCTAACGTTTAAATCTTTAATCCATCTTGAGTTAATTTTTGTATAAGGTGTAAGGAAGGGATCCAGTTTCAGCTTTCTACATATGGCTAGCCAGTTTTCCCAGCACCATTTATTAAATAGGGAATCCTTTCCCCATTGCTTGTTTTTCTCAGGTTTGTCAAAGATCAGATAGTTGTAGGTATGTGGCGTTATTTCTGAGGGCTCTGTTCTGTTCCATTGATCTATATCTCTGTTTTGGTACCAGTACCATGCTGTTTTGGTTACTGTAGCCTTGTAGTATAGTTTGAAGTCAGGTAGTGTGATGCCTCCAGGTTTGTTCTTTTGGCTTAGGATTGACTTGGCGATGCGGGCTCTTTTTTGGTTCCATATGAACTTTAAAGTAGTTTTTTCCAATTCTGTGAAGGAAGTCATTGGTAGCTTGATGGGGATGACATTGAATCTGTAAATTACCTTGGGCAGTATGGCCATTTTCAGGATATGGGTTCTTCCTACCCATGAGCATGGAATGTTCTTCCATTTGTTTGTATCCTCTTTTATTTCTTTGGACAGTGGTTTGTAGTTCTCCTTGAAGAGGTCCTTCACATCCCTTGTAAGTTGGATTCCTAGGTATTTTATTCTCTTTGAAGCAATTGTGAATGGGAGTTCACTCATGATTTGGCTCTCTGTTTGTGTGTTGTTGGTGTATAAGAATGCTTGTGATTTTTGCACATTGATTTTGTATCCTGAGACTTTGCTGAAGTTGCTTATCAGCTTAAGGAGATTTTGGGCTGAGACACTGAATAGACATTTCTCCATGGAAGACATACAAATGGCCAATAAGCGCATGAATGGGTAGATGATCAACAGTATTAATAATTAGGGAAATGCAAATCAAAACCACATTGAGATACTACTTAATCCCTACTGGGATGGCTAAAGTAAAAGACAGACATTAACAAGTACTTACAAGGATGTAGAAAAATTTGAATGCTTATACATTGTTGGTGGTAATGCAAAATGATATACCAACTTTGGAAAACAGTTTGGCAGTTCCTCCAAATGTTAAACATAGTTGCCATATGACCCAGCAATTCCACTTTTAGTTATATTCTCGAAGAAATGAAAATATATATCCACAAAGAAACCTTATACATGAATGTTCATAGCAGCATTATTTATAATAGCCAAAAAGTAGAAACAACCCAGATTTCCATCAATTAAGGAAGATTTATATATATATATATATACTCGGGAGGCTGAGGCAGGAGAATCACTTGAACACGGGATATGGAGGTTGCAGTGAGCCGGGATCACACCATTGCACTCCAGCCTGGGTAACAGATTGAAGCTCCATCTCAAAAAATATGTATATGTAGTATTCTCATTTCACAGGCCCACAGATGGAGAAGGATTTTTCCACAGGATGGTTCATATGCAGAGTCTCACTCATACCTGACTTAGATACCAAGATTTGAAACTTTTGAGCTGATGAGATTTTGGACTTAGTGTTGATGTTGCAATCATTGAGATTTTTTGAGGATTTTGGGATGGATGAATGTATTTTGCAAGTAGGTTAGATGTGAACTTTTGAAAGTCTGAGGATAGACTGTAGTGGATTGAATGAGCCCCCCTCAAAAGATATATTTATATCCTAATCCACCATACCCGTGTATGTTACCTTATTTGGAAAAGAGGTCTTTGCTGATGTACTTAAATTGACTATCTTGAGTTGAGATTATCCTGGATTATCCAAATAGGCCAGAAATTCAATGACAAGTGTCCTTATAAGAGTCACACAGAGGACAGAGAAGAGGAGAAGGCAATGTGACCACGGTGGCAGAGATTGGAGTGATTTGGCCACAAACCAAGGAATGCCTGGAGCCACCAGTAGCTGAAAAGCAAAAAGGAACAGATTGTCCATCTATTTGAGCTTTTGGAGGGAGTGCAGCCCTGCTGACACCTGATTTTAGACTTTATTTTTTTTTTTTTATTCAGGGCCTCCCTGTGTCACGCAGGCTGGAGTGCAATGGTGCAAACATGGCTTACTGAAACCTCAACCTCCAGAGTTCAAGCAGTCCTCTTGCCTCAGCCCTCCTGAGTAGCTGGGACCTTAGGCGTACACCACCACACCTAGCTAAATTTTTTTTTTGGTAGAAATAGAGGTTCACTGTGTTGCTGAGGCTGGCCTGAAACATCCGGACTCAAGGAATCTTCCTGCCTCATCCTCCCAAAGTGCTGGGATTACAGATATGAACCACCATGCTCAGCTCAGACTTTTGGTTTTGAAAACCGAGAGAAAATAAATTTCCATTGTTTTAAGCCACCCAATGTGTGGTGGTTTGTTACAGCAGCAACAGGAAACTAGGACAGATTTACTTTGCAAAGTCAAAGTAGCCAGTTACAAAAGTCTAAATATTGTTTGATGTTATTTATATAAAATGTCTAGAATAGGCAAATCTATAGAGACAGAAAGTAGGTAAGTGGGAGAAAGAATGGGAGAGACTGCTGATTGGTATGAGATTTTCTTTTGGGGTGATAAAAAGTGTTCTGAAATTAGATAGTGGTGATTGTTGCGTGATTCTGTGAATATAACAAAAATCAGTAAGTTTTGTACTTTATTATTTATTTTTTTAGAGATGGGATCTCTCTGTGTTGCCCAGGCTTGTCTTGAACTCCTGGCCTCAAGCGATCCTCTTGCCTCAACCTCCTGAAGTAGCTGGCTTACAGGTGCAATCTACCACACCCGGCTCTGAATTTTGTACATTTTTTTTGTCTTTTGACAAAACCAAATGGGTTGTGGAATGAATTTTGTGCTTTAAAAGATTAATTTTATGGTGTGTGAATCATATTTTAACAAAGCTATATAAAACATTTTGGCCAAGTGTGGTGGCTCACACCTGTAATCTCAGCACTTTGGGATGCCAAGGTGGGCTTGCTTGAGGCCAGGAGTTCAAGACCAGCCTGGGCAACATAGTGAGACTCCAGCTCTATAAAAAACATAAAAACTTAGCTGGGCATGGTGGGGCGCACCTGTGGTCCCAGCTACTTGGGAGGCTGAGGTGGGAGAGGATCACTTGAGCCTGGGAGGTTGAGGCTGCAGTGAGCTGTGGTTGTGTCATTGTACTCCAGCCTGAGTGACAGAGTAAAACCCTATCTCAAAAAAGAAATCAATGTGGTTTTCTTAACTTATTGATTTTATATTTATATCTTTTTAAGTTGGAAATTGAAAAAATAAGATTAACATATTTATTTGCTTGATCCTAGTAGACACATAAAAGGGCTTCAAAATTACAATGTCAATATTATCACATCATTACAGCAATAAAAATATGAGGCGAATTTTGAGAATTTTTTAGGTAGTTCTTTATTTTTAGACTACATCCCACTAAAGAAGGAACTGTCCAAAAGGTGTCTAAAACTCACTTGAAATAAATTTTTGCTTTGTGTCAGTATGTTGCTCACTGGATATAGAATTAAGTTTTCTTTTTCCCAATTTTAGGGTTTCTTTCCCTTTTTGATGTAATTTTACCTATTTCATGAACATTTAAAACATTTAAGTAGGTAAAAACTCAAAATTATATAAAAAGGCATATTCAGAAAAGTCTTACTACCATCTCTATCCTTCTCCTTATTCCCCACTTTCTAACCCCCATACAACTAGCTCTATTAGTATTCATTTCTGATTTATCTTTCTAGAGTTTCTGGAAAAATAAGCAAAACTAAAAACACACATATATAGTGTGTATATATAATACATATATTGTGTATATATAGTCTTATTTTACCTATTTTCTTCCTTCCTTCCTTCTTTCCTTCCTTCCTTCCTTCCTTCCTCCCTCTCTTTTTCTTTTTTTCTTTCTTCCTATATTTAAAAAAATTTCATAGAGTTCCTGTGTCACTCAGGCTGGTCTTGAACTCCTGGGCTTGAGTGATCCTCCTGACTCAGCCTCCCAAAGAGCTAAGTTTATAGGTATGAGCCACTGTGCCCAGTCTACCTCCTTTCTTATATAAAATATAGCATTTTATGTATACTGTTGATATGATTTGGCTGTGTCTCCATGCAAATCTCATCTTGAATTATAGTTCCCATAATCCCCATGTGGGATCTGGTGGGAGGTAATTGAATCATGGAGGGAGGTTCCCCCATCCTGTTTTCATGCTGGTGAGTTGGTTCTCATGAAATCTGATGGTTTTTATAAGGGGCTTCCCGCTTTGCTGGGCACTCATTCTTTTCCTTCCTGCCATCATATGAACAAGGACGCATTTGCTTCTCCTTCTGCCATGATTGTAAGTTTCCTGAGGCCTCCCCAGCCATGCTAAACTTTTAACCCTTTTTCCTTTATAAATTACCCAGTCTTGGGTATATCTTTATTAGCAGTGTGAGAACAGACTGATGCAACTGTAGTGCATTTTTTTTTCACTTAATATGTACTGGAAACTACCCCTTATCAATACATAGAAATCTTACTTATTTTTTCCATGACTGCCTATATTTCATTGTGGGGGTAGTTTATTCAGTCATTTTTTAATTGGTGAAACATTTGGGTTGTTTCCAGTCTTTTGCTGTCACAAACAGCTCTGCAATTACTATCCCAGTGAATATTTTGTTTAGTATTTATGTAGATTCAGGATAGATTCCTAGAAGTGAGATTGCTGGGTCTAACGGTAAATGCTTCTTTAATTTATTCCTGTCAGCAATGTATGAGAGAGCTGGTTTTTCCCCAGGCTTATCAGCCAAATGAATTGTCAACCTTTGGATTTTTGCCAATCTGACATGTGAGAAATTATATCTCACTGCATTTTGAATTTGCATTTCTCTTATGAATTGAGGTTAAGCATCTTTTCCACATGTTAACAAGCAAATGACCTGTCTTTTTCTGAGATTTCATTATATTTTGTTTTTTAGAGATGACGTCTCACTGTATTACCTGGTCTTGAACTCCTGGCTTCAAGCGATCCTCCCGCCTCAGACTCCTGAGTAGCTGGGACTACAGGCTGGTTATGTTTTTAAAACCTTTTTCTATAGGTATCTTTGTCTTTTTTAACCCTGAAATTCTAAGAGCTTTTGTATGTTAGTTCTTTGTGATGTAAGTTGTAAATATTTTCTTATAATCATTTATCTCTTAACTTTTCCTTGTCGCTTTTGAAATGGCAAAAATAACATAACAAAAATTAAAGAAAAAGTCATATTATTCCATGGCCTCAACATAACTATTTTTACTTTGCGAATGCCCTCCTAGATATGCCTAGATTTATGTTTAGGTCTAATCAATTCTAATCACTGGTCACATCTTTTGGATTCTGCTTTTATTACTTAAGATTAGGGGATAACTCGCTTGGATGGGTCACATTCTAACTGATTAATTTGTTGACACGTGGCAATTACTTAAAATCAGCGTGCTCAGGTGTCTGGAGTCCTGATTCGCTTCCACACTTCTCAAGGTCACTGGAAATTGCAGGAGGGAATCAAATCCTCCCCAGCACTTGGAAGGCTGAGTCAGTTCTGTGGCCAAAAACAACTGGATGCCAGACTGCCATTTGGAGTTTTAGGACTAGTTAATTCCAAGGCTTTTATGTCTGTCCTCAGTCACCACCCCCAAGTGCCAGCGGCTGGAAGACTCAGTCCGTCCTCCCCTGTTCCCTCATTTTAATAGGCTGCTGCTTCCGACATGTACACAGTGATCTCTCTTTCTCCCCGTCTCCTCTCTTCCTCCTCCCCTTTCTGAGTCTTGGCCTTTTATAAAGAACATCACATTTATAGTTGTTAGTGTGGAGATAATTTACTAAGTGTTTAAATTGCGTCTAATCTAATTTTTCTCCTGGTAGCGGAGGAGGTTAGCGTTTCTATCTGCATGTACCCCGACCCCCTACAACCTTGCTTTCAATATTTTTCTTTGGCAAGTGCAAGGTGACCAGATTCAGAATTCTGAATAAATAAACAGCAAAATTTTATGATTTCTTTTTTTTAAAGCTTAAAAGCTTTTTTTGGGCCAGGCACGGTGGCTCACGCCTGTAATCCCAGCACTTTGGGAGGCTGAGGCGGGCGGATCACGAGGTCAGGAGATCGAGACCATCCTGGCTAACACGGTGAAACCCCGTCTCTACTAAAAATACAAAAAATTAGCCGGGCATGGTGGCGGGCAACTGTAGTCCCAGATACTCAGGAGGCTGAGGCAGGAGAATGGCATGAACCCGGGAGGCGGAACTTGCAGGCGGAGCTTGCAGTGAGCCGAGATCGCGCCACTGCACTCCAGCCTGGGCGACAATATGAGACTCCGTCTCAAAAACAAACAAACAAACAAACAAACAAAAAACCTCTTTTTGATGTACCATAAACACCTTGGGCATCTAAATTATCTGTAGAAAATACATCGAGCGGCCGGGCGCGGTGTCTCACGCCTGTAATCCTAGCACTTTGGGAGGCCGAGGGGGGCGAATCACGAAGTCAGGAGATCGAGACCATCCTGGCTAACATGGTGAAACCCCGTCTCTACTAAAAATACAAAAAAATTAGCCGGGCGAGGTGGAAGGCGCCTGTAGTCCCAGCTACTTGGGAGGCTGAGGCAGGAAAATGGCGTGAGCTCGGAGGCGGAGCTTGCAGTGAGCCGAGATCGCGCCATTGCACACTCCAGCCTGGGCGACAGAGCGAGACTCCGTCTCAAAAAAAAAAAAAAAAAAAAAAGAAAATACATTGATCTTGTTTTTAAGTCTTATTTTTAGAACGACAGTTACAGAAGGATTATAACCATATTTTAATTTGAGTGCATTTCTCATTGCCCCGTTTTTTTCTTCATATTAAATAGGAGAATATTTGTATATATACACATGTGTATGTATGTATGTATGTACGTATGTATACATATATTTTGGGGAGGTAGTTTTTTAAAGATGACCGTATAGGATACACCTCTTCTCCCCGTGCCTCTATTTCTTCTTCAGTCCCACTATTTCGGAAGAACTTTGAAAGCTATGGGACTATTAACAGTGGGGATATCTCTCTACAGTATGCTATGGTTCACAAATGCTTGAGTACATTATTTTGTTGGACTCCAGACAGTTATTTCTCTGATAGCTTAATTAACAGAATTTGTCAAACTTTAGAAAACTCTGAAGAGCTTGTCTAAAGTGTTTGCAAAGACTTTAAATTTTAACCTTCACTCAAAATCTTCATGAATTGTCTCAGTAGGTAGTAAAGATAATGAACCGAAAAACAGCCTGTGTCTGGCTTTGCATCTGGCACCATTTATCTGTACTTCTACATGTCCAGGAACTGCTTTACATATGGACCTAAGCATTTGCAAAATCTTTTCACAATTTTGCTTTTCAAGGTCTAAGGTGTTAATTGGGAGATTACTATGGTAATCCAGTAACGATAATCATTATCCTGAAAAATTAGGGAAGACTTTTCTTCTAACCTGCTTACAGTGCTTTTAATTAAAAGGAAGAGCAGATGATGTGGGCTATTTCTATCTTAATGAAGGTTCATTCATTAGTACCATTGAACAGCTTTGTTTTAAAAATGGTTGGGCCTACTTGCCAGTTTGTTAAATGGTGGTTTTTATTTCTGTCTATGCTGTATAAACTATTCACTGTGATTTTTATAACCTAAACGTAGTATGTTTTTCCACTGATGTTCTTGCCTGGGGCATTCTCTTCCCTGTATTATAACAGCTTCCTATTTTTGCCTCTGCAAATTGATGTAAGAGTGGATGAAGAATGGAAAATAGGGCTCTTTTGTTTGAGGCTACTTAGCAGTTATCATGAGTGTGTAATTTCTGGAACTAGACAGAGCCAAAGGGCACCCTAAGCCCTTTAAAAACACCCAAAAGAGATCGTTTTCCTTTGTTGCTCTATCATTACCGTGCGGTCGTGACATTTTCTGCTCACATGATTCAAAAACAGATCTTCACAGCTGCCTGGGAAGTCCACCTGCCACGGAAAAATGATTTTGAGACAGTGCATGACTTCACTGCTTACTGTGTGCAGTGTAACCAGCTCTCACTTTTCCAGGCTAATGAATGTTAACCGAGAATCCTCTGGGGTCTATTTGAGCCACGAGTTTTAGCCTTCTCCTCCCTTCAATGTCTTATGAGCTCTGCTCACAAGGATGGGTCACAATGAATGAAGTTGAGTTTAATCTCTTTCATTTCCCCTGCCCTCACTCCTAACTGGGGGATTCAAAGGATATTTCCCCATGTTATCATTGATCTCCTCGCCCATTTGAAAAATATGGTAAGAGTTTCTTCCAAAAGCTTCCTCCTCTCTCCCTTCCTTCCTTCCTTCCTTCCTTCCTTCCTTCCTTCCTTCCTTCCTTCTCTCCTTCCTTCCTTCCTTCCTTCCTTCCTTCCTTCCTTCCTTCCTTCCTTCCTTCCTTCCTTCCTTCCTTCCTTTTTCTTCTTGCTCTTGTTGCCCAGGCTGGAATGTGGTGATCTTGGCTCACTGCCACCTCTGCCTCCCATGTCCAAGCAATTCTCCTGCCTCAGCCTCCCAAGTAGCTGGCACGCCCAGCTAATTTTTTTTTGGTATTTTTAGTTGAGACAGGGTTTCACCATGTTGGCCAGGCTGGTCTGGAACTCCTGACCTCAAGTGATCCACCCACCTCAGCTTCCCAAAGTGCTGGATTACAGGAGTGAGCCACCATGCCCGGCTTGCTCTGGTTCTTTAGGACTTGTTAATCAACTAATTTCCATTTTATTCTTCTGGCTGCTACAATGTCTACTTTGTCAATGTCTCCTTGATCAACAGCTTCTAGTGGTTGAAAATCCCAGGGGCTCCTTGATCTCCTTGATACTCTGTGGGAGTTTGGACAATGGGATCAGTTGCCATCAATGCAGGAACTACTTGTGACAGTCGAATCGGCTTGCCTGCATTTCTCTCCCACTTTGTGTACCTCCCTGATTTAGGCAGAGCTCACCAACGATCTCTAAGCTGTCCCCTGGTTGTCAGGGCCATAGACTGCAGTTCCCCATTCAGGTCTTCCCGGGCTGTATTCCACGTGAAGTCTTTCTCCAGCTGAAGTCTTCCCAATCATTGAATCTCATTTCCTTGGGGCCTTGCTCTACGGAAGGCCAAGGCCATCCCTCACCATGCCACCACCTGCCAAGTCCTGACTTAGGCACTGTGGACACAGAAATGAATAGGATGCAAACTTTGTCCTCAGGAGCTTTCCCTTGAGGAAGAGGATGTGGACCACAAACAAATGAGAAAATCATGTTCTGCTGAGGATGCGGAGTGCCTGGTGGGGGAATAAGCAGGGTGTGTGGTCAACTCCTGGTGGTTGCAGAGAGGGCTGTGGTCAGGTAAACTTCGGAGAGGAAGTGACTGCTGTGCTGTGTCTTAAAGGATGCTAGTGGGTTAGTTAAGCGGACAGTGGGGAGAAGGATAGTCTAGGCAGAGCAATGCTTATAAGAGAGTTTAAAGAACTGCCAATAGTTTAATATGGCTGTGGCATAGGAGGTGTAAGTGTGTGAAACTTTGAGAGTTGCTATTGAAGCAGATAGAGATCACGTGGTGGACAACTTTATATTTTCCGGTGGGCAAATGGGAGTCATGGAGGGAGGGCAGGAGGAAGATGGAAGGGACATTTTGATGAGAAGATGTTTTTATTTTAGAAAAACGTATCTAGCGGCATGTAAGAAGATTGGAGAGGAGCTCAAGGAGAATGGAGGGATTAGAAGTTATTCTAGTGGAACAGGAGAGAGACCATGAGAGCCTAGATATGGCAGCAGTAGTAGGAAAGGAAAATAGCGGTGGGTAAGAGAGATATTGAGGATGCAGAGCACTGTGAGTGTAAGGATGGGGGTAGTTAAGGAAGAGTAAAAATCAACCATAACTCTCACATGACCAGATTAGTGGTCCATTAATGTAGACTATGTTTCACTTTGTGAGAATAAATATCTTAAACAATTGCCTGCAGAGAGAATTTTATAAGTAGACTTCTTTTGGTAAAAAATTAAGCTTTTCCTGTAATCTCAGCACTTTGGGAGGCCGAGGTGGGTGGATCACCTGTCAGGAGTTTGAGACCAGCCTGGCCAATGTGGGAAAACCCCGTCTCTACTAAAAATACAAAAATTAGCCAGGTGTGGTGGGGGGCGCCTGTAATCCCAGCTACTCAGGAGGCTGAGGCAGGAGAATTGCTTGAACCTGGGAGGCGAGATTGCAGTGAGCCGAGATAGCACTACTGCACCCCAGCCTGGGTGACACAGTGAGACTCTGTCTCAAAAATAAAAAGTTTTTATTTATTCAATTGACAAATATTTATAGACAGTTTATTAGGTGCATAATACTTTGGTAGATGCAAAGCTGAAGATGGATACTCTCATTATGCAAAAACGCATACATACATAAGATTTCCAGACTGTGAAATGAGACAGCATGAGATTAATTATTAAAATGCGATGTATGGCCGGGTATGGTGGCTCACGCTTGTAATCCCAGCACGTTGGGAGGCTGAGGCAGGTGGATCACTTGAGGTAAGGAGTTCCAGACCAGCCTGGATAACATGGTGAAACCCCATTTCTACTAAAAATAAATAATTAGCCAGGTGTAGTGGCATGAGCCTGTAATCCCAGTTACTCAGGAGGCTGAGACAGGAGAATTGCTTGAACCTGGGAGGTAGAGGTTGCAGTGAGCCAAGCTTGCACCACTGCATTCCAGCCTGGGCAACAGAGCAAGACTTCATCTCCAAAAAAAAAAGCACTATATATTAAAATTTTTTAAAAAAATTGCTATGTACAGTAAAGGGACGATTTAAAACCATTTACAGAATACTGTTACAAAAAACCTAACTGTGCTCCATCCACTGCAGACTCCCATTAAAAATTAAGTCATAATAACAACACCGAGGAAATGATAGGCTTGCCGTACTTTATAGAACAAAACAGTTTTTATGCTGGATAGGGTATTGAAAATCACTGGGGTCTGGTGATTCCCAGCCTTGGAAATTCAGAGAGGGAGAGGCTGTTATGATTTCTCCTTCAACATTTAAATGGAAATTAGTCCTAGGATGTGCTAGTGACTTTTTTCCATCTAAATAATAGGGCCTAAACAGGGCCTTAAAAAAATAAAATGTGTAGAACAAACTTTACATGAAGCTATGGAAACAGAATAGACTATTTTGCTTAAAATAGAACGCCTATATTTAGGAGCTTTTAGTCTGGAATGACCTTAACATTTAAGGCAACACAGTAGTTTTAAGTCTGATCATAAACCTTCACGTTCTATCTTTTGTCTCTAAACCACTCCATGGGCTTAACTGTGTTGCCAGAGAAGAATGAAAATTGAATGTAAACAATATATTTTCTGCTTCAGGATTTGAGAACATCCCTCTTCCTCTCTCTGGCCAGCAAACCTTTGAGAGTGTGCACTACTAGTAATCTACTGAAATACTGTTTGTGATCATTCCTAAAACTGAACAGGGAAGGGACTATTGTCATGTTCTGGTCTGAGTGTAGGACATTCCTGGTCTCAGGTCAGTTTTACCTCACACCCACTGAGACTTGTGACAAGCTCCAGCCTCTCCCTGGTCTTTAGGTTCAACATCTGTAAAATGAAGAGATTAGGCTGGAACAGCAATTTTCTACCTTGGATGTACAATAGAGTCAACTGGGAAACGTTTAGAAAATACTATGGCAGGCCCCATTTCCAGAGATCCAAGGGCCTTCAGCTTGAAAATCTTATTCTATGAAATGATGTAGGCCTGTCGAGAGACTAACTTCATGGGCCTTAAGCAACGTCAGGGACCATCTTTACTAAAAAGAATACAAAATTTAGGCCAGGTGCAGTGAGTGGCTCAAGCCTGTAATCCCAGCACTTTGGGAGGCCAAGGAGGGTGGATCACCTGAGATCAGGAGTTCGAGACCAGCCTGGCCAACTTGGTGAAACCCCCTCTCTACTGAAAATACAAATTAGCTAGGTGTGGTGGCAGGTGCCTGTAATCCCAGGTACTTGGGAGGCTGAAGCAGGAGAATCACTCGAACCCAGGAGGCGGAGGTTGCAGTGAGCTGAGGTTGCGCCATTGCACTCCAGACTTAGTGATAGAGCAAGACTCCATCTCAAAAAAACAAAACAAAACAAAACAAAAAGACAAAATTACAAACACAAAATTCAGTATAAAAAAGATTTATTTAGAATGAAAAAGAAATCCCAATAAATTACAAATTTTTAAAGAGTCAACAGATTTATCAGACATAAAAAATCCAGAAATATAAGATAATATTTTTATTAATTAACTACCAGACATGTCTTGTATCCTTTTTTCCTTTATATTTCTTGACTGCTTACTCTTCAGTTATTTCTTCATTTAACAGCAATTTTGCAGTATTTTCTTATTTATTTGTTTTTCATCTTTGGCTAATTCTCTTTGAAATTTTTGCAATATTTTCTATGGAGACAATAAAAAATTTAGTCTTTTGTGGTTGATTAATTTTTAAAATTATTGCTAGCTTAGAAAAGTTTATTTCATCTGGTTGCAGTGGCTTATGTCTGTAGTCCCTGCTACTCAGGAGGCTAAGGCAGGAGGACCTCTTGAGGCCAGGATTTTGAGGCCAGCCTGAGCAACACAGTGAGACCCTGTCTCTTTCTCTCTATATTTTTTTATTATTATACTTTAAGTTCTAGGGTACCTGTGCACAATGTGCAGGTTTGTTACATAGGTATACATGTGCCATGTTGATTTGCTGCACCCATCAACTAGTCATTTACAATAGGTATTTCTCCTAACGTTATCCCTCCCCTAGCTCCCAGCCCCCAACAGGCCCCAGTGTGTGATGTTCCCAACCCTGTGTCCATGTGTTCTCATTGTTCAACTCCCACTTATGAGTGAGAACATGTGGTGTTTGGTTTTCTGTCCTTGTGACATTTTGCTGAGAATGATGGTTTCCAGCTGCATCCATGTCCCTGCAAAGGACATGAACTCATCCTTTTTTATGGCTGCATAGTATTCCATGGTGTATATATGCCACATTTTCTTTATCCAGTCTATTATTGATGAACATTTGGGTTGGTTCCAAGTCTTTGCTATTGTGAATAGTGCCGCAATAAACATACATGTGTGTGTGTCTTTGTAGTAGAATGATTTATAATCCTTTGGGTATATACCCAGTAATGGGATTGCTGGGTCAAATGGTATTTCTAGTTCTAGATCCTTGAGGAATTGCCACACTGTCTTCCACAATGGTTGAACTAATTTACACTCCCACCAAAAGTGTAAAAGCGTTCCTATTTCTCCACATCCTCTCCAGCATCTGTTGTTTCCTGACTTTTTAATGATCGCCATTCTAACTGGCATGAGATGGTATCTCATTGTGGCTTTGATTTGCATTTCTCTGATGACCAGTGATGATGAGCATTTTTTCATATGTCTGTTGGCTGCATAAATGCCTTCTTTTGAGAAGCATCTGTTCATATACTTTGCCTGCTTTTTTGATGGGATTGTTTGCTTTTTTCTTGTAAATTTGTTTAAGTTCTCTGTAGATTCTGGATATTATCCCTTTGTCAGATGGATAGATTGCAAAAATTTTCTCCCATTTTGTAGGTTGCCTGTTCCCTTTGATGATAGTTTCTTTTGCTCTGCAGAAGCTCTTTAGTTTAATTAGATCCCATTTGTCTATTCTGGCTTTGTTGCCTTTGCTTTTGGTGTTTTAGTCATGAAGTCTTTGCCCAAGCATGTGTCCTGAATGGTATTGCCTAGTTTTTCTTCTAGGGTTTTTATGGTTTTAGGTTTAACATTTAAGTCTTTAATCCATCTTGAGTTAATTTTTGTATAAGGTGTAAGGAAGGTATCCAGTTTGAGCTTTCTACATATGGCTAGCCAGTTTTCCCAGCACCATTTATTAAATAGGGAATCCTTTCCCCATTTCTTATTTTTGTCAGGTTTGTCAAAGATCAGTGGTTGTAGATGTGTGGTGTTATTTCTGAGGCCTCTGTTCTGTTCCATTGGTCTATATATCTGTTTTGGTACCAGTACCATGCTGTTTTGGTTACTGTAGGCTTGTAGTATAGTTTGAAGTCAGGTAGCATGATGCCTCCAGGTTTGTTCTTTTGGCTTAGGATTGTCTTGGCAATGTGGGCCCTTTTTTGGTTCCATATGAACTTTAAAGTAGTTTTTTCCAATTCTGTGAAGAAAGTCTGTGGTAGCTTGATGGGGATAGCACTGAATCTATGAATTACCTTCCACAATGGGCAGTATGGCCATTTTCAGGATATGGGTTCTTCCTATCCATGAGCATGGAATGTTCTTCCATTTGTTTGTGTCTTCTTTATTTCACTGAACAGTGGTTTGTAGTTCTCCTTGAAGAGGTTCTTCACATCCCTTGTTAAGTTGGATTCCTAGGTATTTTATTCTCTTTGTTGCAATTGTGAATGGGAGTTCACTCATGATTTGGCTCTCTGTTTGTCTGTTATTGGTGTATAGGAATGCTTTTGATTTTTGCGCATTGATTTTGTATCCTGAGACTTTGCTGAAGTTACTTGTCAGCTTAAGGGGATTTTGGGCTGAGATACGGGGTTTTCTAAATATGCAATCATGTCATCTGCAAACAGAGATAATTTGACTTCTGCTTTTCCTAATTGAATACCTTTATTTTTTTCTCTCGCCTGATTGCCCCGACCAGAACTTCCAACACTACGTTGAATAGGAGTGGTGAGAGAGGGCATCTTTGTCTTGTGCCAGTTTTCAAAGGGAATGCTTCCAGTTTTTGCCCATTCAGTATGATATTGGCTGTGGGTTTTTCATAAACAGCTCTTATTATTTTGAGATACATTCCATTGATACCTAGTTTATTAGAGTTTTTAGCATGAAAGGTTGTTGAATTTTGTCAAAGGCCTTTTCTGCATCTATTGAGATAATCATGTGGTTTTTGTCATTGGTTCTGTTTATGTGATGGATTACGTTTATTGATTGCGTATATTGAACCAGCCTTGCATCCCAGGGATGAAGCCAAATTGATTGTGGTGGATAAGCTTTTTGATGTGCTGCTGGATTCAGTTTGCCAGTATTTTATTGAGGATTTTCACATTGATGTTCATCAGGGATATTGGCCTAAGATTCTCTTTTTTTGTTGTGTCTCTGCCAGGCTTTGGTATCAGGATGATGCTGGCCTCATAAAATGAGTTAGGGAGGATTCCATCTTTTTCTATTGATTGGAATAGTTTCAGAAGGAATGGTACCAGCTCCTCTTTGTACCTCTTGTAGAATTTGGCTGTGAATCCATTTGGTCCTGGGCTTCTTTTGGTTGGTAAGCTATTAATTATTGCCTCAATTTCAGAACCTGTTATTGGTCTATTCAGAGACTCAACTTCTTCCTGGTTTAGTCTTGGGAGGGTGTATGTGTCCAGGAATTTATCCATTTCTTCTAGATTTTCTAGTTTATTTGCGTAGAGGTGCTTATAGTATTCTCGGATGATAGTTTGTATTTCTGTGGGATCAGTGGTGATATCCCCTTCATCATTTTTTATTGCATCTATTTGATTCTTCTCTCTTTTCTACTTTATTAATCTGGTGAGGGGTCTATCTATTTTGTTGATTTTTTCAAAAAACCAGCTCCTGGATTCATTGATTTTTTTGCAGGGTGTTTTGTGTCTGTATTTTTGTCAGTTCTGCTCTGATCTTAGTTACTTCTTGTCTTCTGCTAGCTTTTGAATTTGTTTGCTCTTACTTCTCTAGTTCTTTTAATGGTGATGTTAGGGTGTCGATTTTAGATCTTTCCTGCTTTCTCTTGTGGGCATTTAGTGCTATAAATTTCCCTGTACACACTGCTTTAAATGTGTCCCAGAGATTCTGGTACGTTGTGTCTTTGTTCTCACTGGTTTCAAAGGACATCTTTATTTCTGCTTTCATTTAGTTATGTACCCAGTAGTCATTCAGGAGCAGGTTGTTCAGTTTCCACACAGTTGTATGGTTTTGGGTGAGTTTCTTAATCCTGAGTTCTAATTTGATTGCACTGTGGTCTGAGAGACAGTTTGTTGTGATTTCTGTTCTTTTACATTTGCTGAGGTGTTTTTTTTTTTTTTTTTTTTTTTTAAGGCAGAGTCTCGCTCTGTCACCCAGATTTGCATGTGGTGGCGCAATCTCGGCTCACTGCAACCTCCGCCTCCCGAGTTCAAGGACTGCTCCTGCCTCAGCCTCCTGAGTAGCTGGGATTACAGGCATTTGCCACCATGCCCAGCTAACTTTATTTGTATTTTTAGTAGAGACAGGGTTTCTCCATGTTGGTCAGGCTGGTCTCGAACTCCCGACATCAGGTGATCCACCTGGCTAAGCCTCCCAAAGTGCTGGGATTATAGGCATGAGCCACCACGCCTGGCCACTGAGGAGTTTTATTTCCATTTATGCGGTCAATTTTAGAATAAGTGCGATGTGGTGCTGAGAAGAATGTATATTCTGTTGATTTGGGGTGGAGAGTTCTGTAGATGTCCAGTAGGTCTGCTTGGTCCAGAGCTGAGTTCAAGTCCTGGATATCCTTGTTAGTTTTCTGTCTTGTTGATCTGTCTAATATTGACAGAGAGGTGTTAAATCTCCCATTATTATTGTGTGGGAGTCTAAGTCTCTTTGTAGGTCTCTAAGAACTTGCTTTATGAATCTGGGTGCTCCTGTATTGGGTGCATATAGATTTAGGATAGTTGTATTACCTTTACCATTATGTAATGGCCTTCTTTGTCTCTTTTGATCTTTGTTGGTTTAAAGTCTGTTTTATCAGAGACCAGGATTGCAAATACCGCATTTTTTTTTTTGCTTTCCTTTTGCTTGGTAGATCTTCCTCCATCTCTTTATTTTGAGCCTATGTGTGTCTTTGCACGTGAGATGGGTCTCCTGAATACAGTACACCAGTGGGTCTTGACTCTATCCAATTTGCCAGTCTGTGTCTTTTAATGGGGGCATTTAGCCCATTTACATTTAAGGTTAATATTGTTGTGTGTGAATTTGATCCTGTCATTATGATGCTAGCTGGTTATTTCACCCGTTAATTGATGCAGTTTCTTCCTAGCATCGATGGTCTTTACAATTTGGCATGTTTTTGCCGTAGCTGGTACTGTTTGTTCCTTTCCATATTTAGTGCTTCCTTCAGGAGCTCTTGTAAGGCAGGCCTGGTAGTGACAAAATCTCTCAGCATTTGCTTGTCTGTAAAGGATTTTATTTCTCCTTTACTTATGAAGCTTAGTTTGGCTGGATATGAAATTCTGGGTTGAAAATTCTTTTCTTTAAGAATGTTGAGTATTGGCCCCCACTCACTTCTGGCTTGTAGGGTTTCTTCTGAGAGATCCACTGTTAGTCTGATGGGCTTCCCTTTGTGGGTAACCCGACCTTTCTCTCTGGCTGCCCTTAACATTTTTTCCTTCATTTCAACCTTGGTGAATCTGACAATTATGTGTCCTGGGGTTGATCTTCTCGAGGAGTATCTTTGTAGTGTTCTCTGTATTTCCTGAATTTGAATGTTGGCCTGCCTTGCTAGGTTGGGGAAGTTCTTCTGGGTAATATCCTGAAGAGTGTTTTCTAACTTGGTTCCATTCTCCCTATCACTTTCAGGTACACCAATCAGACGTAGATTTGGTCTTTTCACATAGTCCCATATTTCTTGGAGGCTTTGTTTGTTCCTTTTCATTCTTTTTTATCTAAGTTTATTTCTTCTGGGCGCAGTGGCTTATGTCTGTATTTCCCATGACTCAGGAGGCTGAGGCAGGAGGATCTCTTGAGGCCAGGATTTTGAGGCCAGCCTGAGCAACATAGTGAGACCCTGTGTCTATATTTTTAAAAATCTTAGAAAAGAGTTTGCTTCAGTTTCACACTTCATTATTCGTAATATCACATACGTTTTTAGGATTGTTGCCAAATTTGGGAAAATCTCTGCTAAGATTTCATCATATGTGAACTGTAACATTTGGAAGGATTTTCTAGCTTAGTACACTTAATGGTTAATTCTGTGTGTCAACTTGACTAGGCCATTGGACTCCTAGAAATTTGGCCGAACAGTATTCTCAATATGCCTGTAGGATGTGTCCAGATGAGATTAACCTTTGAATTGGTAAACCAAGTAAAGCAGGTTGCCCTCCCTAATGTGAATGGGTCTCTTTCAACCAATTGAAGACCCAAATAGAACAAAAAGGCTGAGCAAAAGGAAATGCTTCTGGCCTGACTTCTTGAACTGGGACATTAGTCTTTTCCTGCCTACTACTTGAACTAAAAATTCAGCTTTTCTTGGGTCTTGAGCTTGCCAGCTTTCAGACTTGGACTTACACGGTCAACTCCCCTGGTTTTCAGGGATTTGGTCTCTGACCAGAACTACACCACCAGTTCTCCTCAGTCTTCAGTTTGGCAACTATAGATCTCAGCACCTCTAGGCCTCCTTAATCATGTGAGCCAATTCATCATAGTATATCTCCTTATATAAATTGTATATCTCTATCTCTATCTCTTTGTACCTGTATCTGTATATCTATATCTCCTTTAGCTCTGTTTCTCTGGAGAACCCTGACCAATACAGTAGACTTGAAACCTTCTTTTTTTTTTTTTTTTTAATAGATGGAGTCTTGCTCCATCGCCCAGGCTGGAGTGCAGTGGCATGATCTCAGCTCACTGCAACCTCTGCCTCCTGGGTTCAAGCAATTTTCCTGCCTCAGCCTCCTGAGTAGCTGGGATTACAGGCAAGTGCCATCACTCCCAGCTAATTTTTGTATCTTTAGTAGAGACCGGATTTCACCATGTTGGCCAGGCTGGTCTCAAACTCCCGACCTCAGGTGATCTGCCCGCCTCGACCTCCCAAAGTGCTGGGATTACAGGTGTGAACCACCATGCTTGGCCTTAAAATTACTTCTCTATGCATCTGTAAAGAGAAATCCATAACCTGAAAAGAGAACTAAGTCTGAATTCTGAGTAAGGTTTTGGATCTTATCCAAAATTTTGTATTGTCAGAGCAAAATCACACAAGTTCTAAACACTGTCTAAGAATATGCAGTGGCTTGTGTAAATTAAAACTTAATTTGGCTTGCCCGATGGGTCGGCCGTTGGGGGTGGGAAGCACTTCAGGGCAGCGGAGCCCATGTCGGCCCTGAGGCGCTTGGGCTACGGCCCCAGTGACCATCTGTCCTACAGCCGCTACTACGGGCCTGGGGGTGGAGATGTGCCGGTGCACCCACCTCCACCTTTATACCCTTTTCACCCCGAACCTCCCCAGCCTCCCATTTCCTGGCGGGTGCGCGGGGGCGGCCCGGCGGAGACCACCTGGCTGGGAGAAGGCGGAGGAGGCGATGGCTGCTATCCCTCTGGAGGCGCCTGGCCAGAGCCTGGTCGAGCCGGAGGAAGCCACCAAAGTTTGAATTCTTATACAAATGGAGCATACGGTCCAACATACCCCCCAGGCCCTGGGGCAAATACTGCCTCATACTCAGGGGCTTACTATGCACCTGGTTATACTCAGACCAGTTATTCCACGGTAGTTGCAAGTACTTACCGTTCACCTGGCACAGCCCAACTCCAGTCTCTGGAGTCTATCCCCAGCAGGACTGTCAGACTGAAGTACACCCTCTTAGGGGGCAGGTTGCAGGGTATCTAGCTTCACAGAACTCTGGAATGACCCTGCCCCATTATCCTTATGGAGATGGTAATCGTAGTGTTCCACAATCAGGACAAACTGTACGACCACGAGAGAATGTGTGGGCTTCTCCTGGTGCTTATGGAATGGGTGGCAGTTATCCCTGGCCTTCGTCAGCGCCCTCAGCACCACCTGACAATCTCTACATGACCTAAAGTACTTCACCATGGCCTAGCAGTGGCTCTCCTCAGTCACCCCCTACACCCCCACTCCAGCATACACCCCCACTCCAGCAGCCCAAGGATTCTTCATACCCCTATAGCCAATCAGATCAAAGCATGAACCGGCACAACTTCCCTTGCAGCGTCCATTAGTACGAATCCTCTGGGACAGTGAACAAGAATGATTCAGATCTTTCGGATTCCTAAGTCCAATATAGTGCTGAGCCTCAGCTGTATGGTAATGCCACCAGTGACCATCCCAACAATCAAGATTAAAGTAGCAGTCTTCCTGAAGAATGTGTACCTTCAGATGAAAGTACTCCTCCGAATATTAAAAAAATCATACATGTGGTGGAGAAGGTCCAGTATCTTGAACAAGAAGTAGAATAATTTGTAGGAAAAAAGACAGACTAAGCATACTGGCTTCTGGAAGAAATGCTAACCAAGGAACTTTTGGAACTGGATTCAGTTGAAACTGGGGGCCAGGACTCTGTACGGCAGGCCAGAAAAGAGGCTGTTTGTAAGATTCAGGCCATAGTGGAAAAATTAGAAAAAAAATTATGAAAGGATTTAGAACAAAGTGAAAGCCTGTTACTAACTTGACCAAAGAACACTTGATTTGGTTAATTACCCTCTTTTTGAAATGCCTGTTGATTACAAGAAGCAATACATTCAACTTTCCTTTGATTTTAAACTTGAAAACTGGCAAAGGAATGGAAGAATATTTCAGTCATGAGTTGTTTTCAGTTTTCAGACGAATGAATGTAATAGGAAACTATGGAGTTACCAATATTGCCGAGTAGACTCACTCCTTAAAAAATTTATGGATATCTGCAAGCTGCTTCTTATCAGCAGGAGGGAAACACACTTTACATAACAGGCTTATCAGAAACCTACAAGATGAAACTAGATATAATCTGAGACAAACAGGATGTGTTTTTTTAAACATCTGGATATCTTGTCACATTTTCGTACATTGTGACTGCTTTCAACATACACTTCATGTGTAATTACAGCTTAGACTTTAGCCTTCTTGGACTTCTGTTTTGTTTTATTATTTGCAGTTCAAAAATATAGTGTTATTCGCTACTTCTTGGTACCTTTTGTAGTAATATGTTTAATATAATTATTCAGGAGACTATATTGACAGCCAGAGAATATGGCAGTTCTGAAAGAATTTATATCTTTTCACCACTTGAATATACTGCAATGTGTAGAGAGTAAATTGTCTCCCTTTTTGTATAGATCATTAGGTTAGAGGTTTTTTTTTATACCACTTCTGCTGTTCATTGTAGTAGTGGAAGGTGAATTTGGAAATGGCATTGACATAAAATGAAAATGTTTACGGACATTTTTCTTTTTTGCTTTTTTATTGTATTTGGATAAAGATCTACTTAAAAATTACCTATTTTTTTTTCCCCAAAGTGTAATTATGTTTTCACTATTGCTGCTTCTATAGAGGGCATTGTGATAGAGAGATACAGATGAAACATTAAATGCCACAGCGAGTAGAAATGATGACTACAAAAAGTAAAAAATATTACTTGGTAATGTCATACTCCATCTAAAATATTAGTTTCATCTATGAGCAGATTTCAGCTCAGTTTATAGTTAAAAACAATGAGGGTAAAAGGGGATTCATGCTCAGGGAATGAATCAGCCATAGTTAGAGGGGGAAATTATTATTTTCTTCATTTAAAGGTAGATTTTGTGTTTATCTTTACTTCCCTGAATTGCATAAGATAAAATTGCCTTTTTAATAAAAAGACATTTATTACCATTATCAACAGTCATTTTAGAGCCTAATTTAAGAAAAGGATATTGAAAGAGTCTTTGTTGGCCTTGCTTGGGTAGCTCTATGCTGTTAGATAGAAGAGACTTTGGTAAATAACTTTTTATGTCTCAGGTGAGTACACAATATTGGTTCTTGGAAAAACAGCTGTTTCTTCATAAGATACCCAAGTGATAATTGTTTTCCCCTAGACTGTCAGGCCTATGATTAAATACTAAATCTATTAGCTGTATCCACTCATAAACCAAACCAAACCAACACAAACATATTAGATGAGGAGAGGAAATGCAGTAAAAATACTGGCTGGGTCTTATGGTTGGGATGAGTAATTTTATAAGATAATATGGTGATAGTTTTATTCTAGGATTTTATTTTTGGCCTAATACAGGAATGTTTTTTAAAAAGGCTTTTCTATGAAAATTAGAAATTTATACTTGAGATTAAAAGTCTAGAAGGGGGAGGACCTTAAAGCTAAGTTACCAGTAAGACAATGAATAATTCGGAAGAGAACACTACTGTTTTACTGACTAAGTGCCCAAGATGCCAATTTCCATGAAGTCTTGATTATATATATGTACACATGTTATGCACATATATACATATATGTGTGTTTTTTAACAGTTATTTTTTAAGTTTTTGAGATAATTTTAGACTTACAGAAGAGTTGTAAAAATAGTAGAGTTCTTGTATATTCTGCACCCACCTTGCCCTTATGTTAACATCTTACATAACAATAGAATATTTGTCAAAATTAAGAAATTAACCTTGATATAACACTAACTACAGTATAAAGTTTAAAAAGTAGAGAATTTAGTCTTTTCACTAATGTCCTTCTACTGTTCTAAGACCCAGCCTTGCATTTAACTGTCATGTCTATGTTGTGTCTTCCAGTCTGTGACAGTGTATCATAACAGGGGATACCTGATGTTGTAATGCATTTCTGGTGTTGTTAACCTTGATCACTATGCTAAGGTGGTGTCTGCTAGGATCCGCTACTGTAAACTTATTATGTTTTCCTTGTAATTATTGAATATTTGCTGGAGATACCCTGAAACTATGCAAATGTCCTGTTTCTGCTTAAACTTTCACTCATTTTACTATCCATTGGCAGATCTTGCTTGTGGCAATTACTACTGTGGTGCTCTAATGGTGATTTTCTATTTCTCTGAATCCTTCTACACTTATTAATTAGAATTCTTCTGTAAGGAAGAGTTGTCACTTCTGGATTTATATTTTTAATTATAATAAGATATTCAAGATAAGTATAGATTTAGAACTTAAAGATGTTAAACCATGTTAAAATTATTCCAAATACCAATATCAAAGAAAACTGAGTTGGTAATCTATCTCAGAAAAGATATGAACTTAAGAAGGAAAATAGTATTTATGATTTGTAGAATTGGTTCAACTTTTGACTTAATATTGACTTAGGACTGAATTCAAAGTTTTCTTGAAATTTCACATCTGGACTTTTTTTTTTTTTTTTTTTTTAGTATTTATTGATCATTCTTGGGTGTTTCTCGGAGAGGGGGATGTGGCAGGGTCATAGGATAATAGTGGAGAGAAGGTCAGCAGATAAACATGTGAACAAAGGTCTCTGGTTTTCCTAGGCAGAGGTCCCTGCGGCCTTCCGCAGTGTTTGTGTCCCTGGGTACTTGAGATTAGGGAGTGGTGATGACTCTTAACGAGCATGCTGCCTTCAAGCATCTGTTTAACAAAGCACATCTTGCACTGCCCTTAATCCATTTAACCCTGAGTTGACACAGCACATGTTTCAGAGAGCACGGGGTTGGGGGTAAGGTTATAGATTAACAGCATCCTAAGGCAGAAGAATTTTTCTTAGTACAGAACAAAATGGAGTCTCTTATGTCTACTTCTTTCTACACAGACACAGTAACAATCTGATCTCTCTTTCTTTTCCCCACATTTCCCCCTTTTCTTTTTGACAGAACCACCATCGTCATCATGGCCCCTTCTCAATGGTCGCTGTCTCTTTGGAGCTGTTGGGTACACCTGCAGAAAGCCTGTCACTTCACACTTGGAAGATTGCACAGCGGCCAGGCAGAGGTGCTCCTCACTTCCCAGACGGGGTGGCCGGGCAGAGGCACTCCTCACCTCCCAGACGATGGGCGGCCGGGCAGAGACGCTCCTCACTTCCCAGACGGGGCGGCCGGGTAGAGGCGCTCCTCACATCCCAGACGATGGGCGGCTGGGCAGAGACGCTCCTCACTTCCCAGACGGGGAGGCCGGGCAGAAGCGCTCCTCACTTCCCAGATGGGGGCGGCCGGGCAGAGGTGCTCCTCACTTCCCAGATGGGGTGGCCGGGCAGAGGCACTCCTCACTTCCCAGACAGGGCAGCCGGGCAGAGGCGCTCCTCACCTCCCAGATGATGGGTGGCCGGGCAGAGGCGCTCCTCACTTCCACATCTGGACTTTTTAAAGTGTCTACATTTATATTACTTTGGGGATCATTTTGTCAAGGTCTTGAATAAAGTTACCCAGTCCTAGCATGGTAAAACAAAACAAAAGAACAAAAACAAACAAAAACCCCCAAAAACCCTTAATTTTGGGTAATTAGAATCTTACAAAAGAGGCCAATTCAACCAAAGGGGAACATGGTCATTGTTAAGACAATATGATTTTTTGAAGCATACTTGTTTTATGGGAGGATTTCTGTGTAAGTATTGAATAATTACAGTGCTTTTGTTTGCCAGATCCACTAATCAACCTGTTTTGAAAGGTTGATGGTGGTAAGAATTCTGGCAGGAAGTCAAGATGGTAATGGCTTTGCTCACCATCAGGTGTTTGGCTATCTTCCTTGGAGGAAGCTGGAGGGTAACTCCAGTGAGGTATGTCTGTGACTAATAGGGCTGATTAAAAAGCAAACATTTTAGAATGTCTCTATCCTAATGAGCGCTGTCCCTTTCAAAGTAGGATGCTAAATGCTACTTCCAATATTGCTACTGTTAAGCCCAATTTTTTTGGAATCTTTTGGAAGAAGGTTCAGATCTTATGGCACAATCTTTAGAATACCATCAGTGGTTGACACTATCTTTGGGGTTGGATTTTATTTTTTGGGGATTAAAAAGATTTTCAGAACCAACAACACAAATAAAGTATCTGATCAAATCTACTCACAGTGCTTTCTCTCAAAAAGCAAAATGTGAACATAAAATAATGAGATACAGTTTTCTTCTATGGCTGACAAGCTGGTTCTTAGGGCAATTTTGTGACAGATGCAGATGACTGGTCCACCTTTCTTGCATGCTTTTCTGTATCAAAGGGGCTAGGAAGCTATAAACTATATTTTCTGGGTCCTTTTGTAGTGTGGGCCCAGATGTTGCTGGTTTTGCCAAACAGGAACACTGGCAAGGAAAGTAGAAGGAGGAGTGAGACATGGGGCGCATATGCCTCCATCCCTGTCTCTTATGTGAGAGTTCTACTGCCAACACTGCTACTGTTACCTCTGATTTTTTTGGAATCTTTAGGAAAAAGGTTTAGATCTTATGGCACAATCTTTAGAATAGTATCAGTGGTTGACACTGTCTTTGGGGTTAGATTTTATTTTTTGGGGATTAAAAAGATTTTCAGAGCCAACAACACAAATAAAGTATCTGATCATATCCATTAACAGTGCTTTTTCTCAAAAAGCAAACTGTGACTGTAAAATAATTAACATGTGTTAATTGCTGTTAGACACATGCTCATTTCAGTCTGAAAACCAAAAATGTGAAGCTCAGACAGGCTGAGTAACATCCCTGCCATCACACAGCCAGTCAATGACCAGCCTCGATTTTAAGCAGGTTTGTCCGGTTTCAGAATCTTACACTAATTGTGTAATAAGAAAGACCTGGAAAGATCTAGGTTTGAACATTGTCTCCACCGCTGACCAGCTATGTGGCTTTGGGGAAGTTACCTAATCTTTCAACCCGTTTCCTCTTCTACAAAATGGGGATAATGATGTCTACTCTTAAGGGCTTATGAGGAACAGAGATCATATATGTCCAGTTGCTGTAAGGAATGGGACAGGCATTATGTCACATCATCCTTGCAGACTTTGCCAACAACTGTCAGTGAAACTTTGGGAAAATTCCTTACCTTCCTCGGGTTTCAGTGTCTTCATCTTTAAGATTGGGGTATGAATGGCAGGACAGGAATGGGACTAAATGAAGCTTAAGAGGATTATGCAGGGTGAGGGTCAGGTGAAGGCTTTGAGCCCAATATGACAATGCCAAATTTCAAAAATCCAGAAATCTGGGGTTTTCATCTGAAATCTCCCAATTTTAAAACTTGGGTAACTAATTCAGAAAACTAAAAAAATTATATATATATTTGTATACATGTTTATACACACACACACACACACACACACACACACACACACGTGCACTTTACCACCAGTCTGATTTTGCCACAGGTTTGTGAATTTTTGGCAAAACAATTCCTAAATTCCCTCCAATCTAAAGTCATTGATTTGACATTAGAAAATAACAGTGGTCCAATACCTAGTCTTGACTTACATAGCTGAGCCCAAGGTCATGGTTCAGTCTTTTGCCTGCATTGTTCTAATAGCTTTGAGAGTGGTCTTTCTACCTGCAGTTTCCATCCTATTTCAGTCCCTCCCAGCTTTTCCTGAAAGATCAGTTTTCATAAAGTCCTGCTTTATCCTGTCACTGCTCTGCATAGAAACCTTTGATGAGTTTCTATTGCCTACATACTAGAGTCCAAACTTCTCAGCCAAGGGAGACGATCTTTTCTATCTTCCTGCCTGTTTTTCCCCTTCACATGCCCCAACTTTCCCAACAATTTGAGCATCCCTGAGACATCCTGCCCAGGGTGCTTCTGTTTTGGTCTCCTTTATCAGGGGTTGCTCTGTCTCAGAGGCCGTGGGTTCTATTCACAGATATGAAAATTCTGCTTACTCTTCAGGGTCTAACTCAAGTCTTTCTTCATCTATAGAGTATTTCTCTCCATGGGTTTTGCACCTGGCAGAAGTCAGAGTCTTGGTCTTAAAATTGCAGAGGGCTGATAGCATTCTGTCTTGGAGGCATATGAGTAAGCTGATCTTATTAGGTTTTCAATAGCTTGGATTACTTTGCTTGTTCATGTTTTTGCATATTTGTTATACATATTTCTAAGACTAGTAAAAATAATTTCCAAGGTTTCAGACCTTTCTTCCTAGGGGATATTTTCTTTAGGGAAGATTGGGGAAGAATGCACATAGTACAGAGAGAAAATGCATGTTTTTGTTTACCTATAAATCTCTTCTTTTAATTTATTTATTTTTAAGGCAGAGTCTTGCTCTGTCTCCCAGGCTGGAGTGCAGTGGCACGATCTCGGCTCACTGAAACCTCTGCCTCCCAGGTTCAAGCGATTCTCCTGCCTCAGCTTCCTGAGTAGTTGGGATTACAGTTATGCATCACCACACCCAGCTAATATTTGTATTTTTGGTAGAGACGGGGTTTTGCCATGTTGGCCAGGCTGGTCTCGAACTCCTGACCTCAAGTGATCCGCCTGCCTTGGCCTCCCAAAGTGTTGGGAATACAGGCTTGAGGCACTGCACCCGGCCTCTTATTTCTTCTTAGAGCACATTTCTTTTTCTTTTCTAGAGTTGAAGATTCATCACAGGTCTAATACGAGCTAATTTTCACAATCTTTCTGGTTCAAAAAAAATCACAATTGTCTTCTGGTGTGAAATTTCACAAATAATGACAACTAAAGGAAGGGAAAAAGATCTTGACTTTTAGATGTTATATTTCTACTGACATGACTATTTGCCTGGCCATTTCTCAGTTTAAGCAAGCTAAACCTAGACTTTAAAAGCTCTAATTTTCACAAAGGGATTGACATGAGACAGTTCATTTATCATTCAAATCCCATTATCTGATGACAGGTTCTGCAGCCCCCAAATGGAATGCTAAATCCTGTAAAATCACTTTCTTGATGTTCCAGGTGGTACATTCTACTACGGGGTTATTTTGTATTCATCAGTTACAGCAAAAGAACTAGAACAATTGTCATGTATCCCTGAAATCCAAAGAGAATGGAGCATAGATGTCAGGCCAAAAATACAGGCACCTGTGTATGCATATGCTGAAACCAATAGCAGTGATGAGTGAAATAATACAGCACTTTGGATGGGCGCAGTGGCTCACACCTGTAATCCCAGCACTTTGGGAGGCCAAGGCGGGTGGATCACCTGAGGTCAGGAGTTCGAGACCAGTCTGGCCAACATGGTGAAAACCCAGCTATACTAAAAATACAAAAATTAGCTGGGTGTGGTGCCAGACACCTGTATTCCCAGCTACTTGGGAGGCTGAGGCAGGGAGAATCACTTGAACCTGGGAGGCGAAGGTTGCAGTGAGCCAAGATTGCACCACCGCACTCCAGCCTGAGTGACAGAGTGAGATTCCATCTCAAAACAAAACAAAAATCAGCACTTCTTCCTGGCTTTTTGGAGTTTTTCTATAATCAGATAATTATCAAAAATGTCATCAATAATAAAGGACAGCAGAGAGGAGAGAAGGGAATTCGAGTGGATTTTGTAAAGAGCCCTTTTCAGGTATCTCAATATAAAGAAAAGGCTGTTCAAAAAGATATGCTAAGGGAAGTGAGGCTCAATAGTGCACACCTGTGGTCTCAGCTACTTGAGAGGCTGAGGCAAAACAATTGCTTGAGCCCAGGAGTTCTGAGCTGTAGTGTGCTGTAGCAATTGGGTGTCTGAACTAAGTTTGGCATCAATATGGTGACCTCCTGGAGTGGGGTCCACCACGTTGTTTAAGGAGGGGCGAACTGGCTTAGGTCAGATATGAGCAGAATCAGTAGTGGGACTGGGCCTCTGAGTAGACACTGCATTCCACCCTGGGCAATATAGTAAGACCCTAGCTCTCTCTCTCTCTCTCTTTTTCTTTTTTTGGAGATGGAATCTTGCTTTGTTTCCCAGGGTGGAACGCAGTGGCACAATCTTGGCTCACTGCAATCTCTGCCTCCGGGGTTCGAGCGATTCTCCTGCCTCAGCCTCCTGAGTAGCTGGGATTACAGGTGTGTGCCACCATGCCTGGCTAATTTTTGTGTTTTTAGTAGAGACAGGGTCTCACCATGTTGGCCAGGCTGTTCTTGAACTCCTGAGCTCAGGTGATCCACCCACCTCGGCCTCCCAAAGTGTTGGGATCACAGGAGTGAGTCACCGCGCCTTGCTGTCCCTGTCTCTTAATTTTGAAAAAAAGAAAGAAAAAGACAATGTGGGACACTCTGAGTGAGTTCCCCACCTTTCTATGATATTTATTTAGACAAGGTCTCCCTCTGTCACCCAGGCTGGAGTGCAGTAGTGCAATCCTGGCTCATTGTAGCCTCCAGCTCCTGGGCTCAAGCGATCCTCCTGCCCCAGCCTCCCAAGTAGCTGGAACTACAAGTTCATGCTACCACATGTGACTAATTTTTAAATTTTTTGTAGAAGTGCGTTTCCCTTTGTTTTCCAGGCTGGTCTTGAACTCCTGGCCTCAAGTGATTGTTCTGCCTCAGCCTCCCAAAGTGCTGGTATTACAGGTGTGAGCTACCACATCTGGCCCCATGATTTTATTAAAAAAAAAAACTAGTATGTGATGTTTGTGATTTGGAATCTCAGGAAGCCAGGTTTGATTTCATCTCTCTTTTGCAAGACAGGCCACCAGAGAATGAGGCTAGGTTTTCTCTCTCATCACTAACAATCAGATATTTCTCAACCTTACAGTGGAATGCAGGCTGGAGAGGGGCCGTGGCGCTCAGAGGGTGAACTTCAAGGGAAGCTTGTTCCAGGAGTGCGGCTCACTGTGTAGTAAAGGAAAGGCGGGCAGAGAAGGATGGCGAAAAATTCATGAGTTGGAAATGAAACCAGGGGTAGTTACTCTCAGCTTCGGCAGTCCTGTAATAAGCCAAATCCTAGTCATTAGAGATTTTGGTTATATGGGGTAGCTTATTTTGTGTCTTTATTCAAAACTACAGCATGTATTATTTGCATTTGGATTGCTTCATCGTACTTAAATATTGCACTACAGAGAAATGTTTTATCTTAATCAATACACAAGCTCCTAAAAGGATCACAGCATTTTTTGGAGAAAATTGAGCAAGATGGCTAGGAGTGTAGATTCTGGGGTGTAGATTCTGGAGTACAGCTGGTCTGCATTTGACTCTCTCTCCACACTTTCTATGCTGTGTGAATTTGGGCACGTTGGTGATCATCTCTGATTCTCAGCTCCCTCCTCTATTAAAGGGTTTGGTAATACCTCCCTGATAGTGAAGATGAAATCATGTTTGTGAAATATGTAGTGCTAATATGGTAAATGAGAGAGATCATTTTTGTTTTAATTTTGTGAATTCTTGAGCGGTGGTGGAATTATTGATAAGAAGGGGATTCTGGTGATTGAAAGGTGAACAAACAAAATCAACCAAATATTGGACCCCCAAAGATAGGATGTTTTATTGGCCTGGCAATAATTTTCTAGTCTGGAGCTAATCCTGGAGAAGTGTGTGACCCCCATGAAACAAAAGATACAGGTTCCCCTGCCCTCTAACAAGCAGAGAGAACAAATAATACTATTATTTTTTTTTCTATCTTATTCTTTGCCTATATATATATTTTTTATTATACTTTAAGTTCTAGGGTACATGTGCACAATGTGCAGGTTTGTTACATGTGTATACATGTGCTATGTTGGTGTGCTGACCCATTAACTCGTCATTTACATAGGTATATCTCCTAATGCTATCACTCCCCCCTCCCCCCACCCCATGACAGGCCCCAGTGTGTGATGTTCCCCTTCCTGTGTCCAAGTGTTCTCATTGTTTAATTCCCACCTATGGGTGAGAACATGAGGTGTTTGGTTTTTTATCCTTGCGATAGCTTGCTGAGAATGATGTTTTCCAGCTTCATCCATGTCCCTATAAAGGACATGAACTCATCCTTTTTTATGGCTGCCTGGTATTCCATGGTGTATATGTGCTACATTTTCTTAATCCAGTCTATCATTGATGGACATTTGGGTTGGTTCCAAGTCTTTGTTATTGTGAATAGGGCCGCAATAAACATATGTGTGCATGTGTCTTTATAGCAGCATGATTTATAATCCTTTGGGTATATACCCAGTAATGGGATGGCTGGGTCAAATGGTATTTCTAGTTCTAGATCCCTGAGGAATGGCCACACCGACTTCCACAATGGTTGAACTAGTTTATAGTCCCACCAGCAGTGTAAAAGCATTCCTATTTCTCCACATCCTCTCCAGCACCTGTTGTTTCCTGACTTTTTAATGATTGCTATTCTAACTGGTGTGAGATGGTATCTCATTGTGGTTTTGATTTGCATTTCTCTGATGGCCAGAGATGATGAGCATTTTTTCATGTGTCTGTTGGCTGCATAAATGTCTTCTTTTGAGAAGTGTCTGTTCATATCCTTCACCCACTTTTTGATGGGGTTGTTTGTTTTTTCCTTGTGTGTCTGTTTGAGTTCATTGTAGATTCTGGATATTAGCCCTTTGTAAGATGAGTAGATTGCAAAAATTTTCTCCCATTCTGTAGGTTGCCTGTTCACTCTGATGGTAGTTTCTTTTGCTGTGCAGAAGCTCTTTAGTTTATTTAGATCCTGTTTGTCAATTTTGGCTTTTGTTGCCATTGCTTTTGGTGTTTTAGACATGAAGTCCTTGCCCATGCCTATGTCCTGAATGGTATTGCCTAGGTTTTCTTCTAGGGTTTTTATGGTTTTAAGTCTAACATATAAGTCTTTAATCCATCGTGACTTAATTTTTGTAGAAGATGTAAGGAAGGGATCCAGTTTCAGCTTTCTGCATATGGCTAGCCAGTTTTCCCAGCACCATTTATTAAATAGGGAATCCTTTCCCCATTGCTTGTTTTTGTCCAGTTTGTCAAAGATCAGTGGTTGTAGATGTGTGGTATTATTTCTGAGGGCTCTGTTCTGTTCCAAGATCTATATATCTGTTTTGGTACCAGTACCATGCTGTTTTGGTTACTGTAGCCTTGTAGTATAGTTTGAAGTCAGGTAGCGTGATGCCTCCAGCTTTGTTCTTTTGGCTTAGGATTGTCTTGGCAATGCAGGCCCTTTTTTGGTTCCATATGAACTTTAAAGTAGTTTTTTCCAATTCTGTGAAGAAAGTCATTGGTAGCTTGATGGGGATGGCATTGAATCTATAAATTACGTTGGGCAGTATGGCCTTTTTCAGGATATTGGTTCTTCCTACCCATGAGCATGGAATGTTCTTCCATTTGTTTGTGTCCTCTTTTATTTTGTAGAGCAGTGGTTTGTAGTTCTCCTTGAAGAGGTCCTTCACATCCCTTGTAAGTTTGATTCCTAGGTATTTTATTCTCTTTAAAGCAATAGTAAATGGGAGTTCACTCATGATTTGGCTCTCTGTCTGTTATTGGTGTATAAGAATGCTTGTGATTTTTGCACATTGAGTTTGTATCCTGAGACTTTGCTGAAGTTGCTTATCAGCTTAAGGAGATTTTGGGCTGAGATGATGGGGTTTTCTAAATATACAATCATGTCATCTGCAAACAGGGACAATTTGACTTCCTCTTTTCCTGATTGAACTCCCTCTATTTCTTTCTCTTGCCTGATTGCCCTGGCCAGAACTTCCAACACTATTTTGAATAGGAGTGGTGAGAGAGGGCATCCCTGTCTTGTGCCAGTTTTCAAAGGGAATGCTTCCAGTTTTTGTCCATTCAGTGTTATATTGGCTGTGGGTCTGTCATAAATAGCTCTTATTATTTTGAGATACATCCCATCAACACCTAATTTATTGACGGTTTTTAGCATGAAGGGTGTTGAATTTTGTCAAAAGCCTTTTCTGCATCTATTGAGATAATCATGTGGTTTTTGTCTTTGGTTCTGTTTATATGCTGGATTACGTTTATTGATTTGCGTATGTTAAACCAGCCTTGCATCCCAGCGATGAAGCCCACTTGATCACGGTGGATAAGCTTTTTGATGTGCTGCTGGATTCAGTTTGGCAGTATTTTATTGAGGATTTTTGCATCAATGTTTATCAAGGATATTGGTGTAAAATTCTCTTTTTTGGTTGTGTCTCTGCCCGGCTTTGGTATCAGGATGATGCTGGTCTCATAAAATGAGTTAGGGAGGATTCCCTCTTTTTCTATTGATTGGAAGAGTTTCAGAAGGAATGGTACCAGCTCCTCCTTGTACCTCTGGTAGAATTCGGCTGTGAATCCATCTGGTCCTGGACTTTTTTTTGGTTGGTAGGCTATTAATTATTGCCTCAATTTCAGAGCCTGTTATTGGTCTATTCAGGGATTCAACTTCTTCTTGGTTTAGTCTTGGGAGGGTGTATGTGTCCAGGAATTTATCCATTTCTTCTAGATTTTCTAGTTTATTGGCATAGAGGTGTTTATAATATTCTCTGATGGTAGTTTGCATTTCTGTGGGATTGGTGGTGATATCCCCTTTATCATTTTTTATTGCATCTATTTGATTCTTCTCCCTTTTCTTCTTTATTAGTCTTGCTAGCAGTCTATCAATATTGTTGATCTTTTCAAAAAACCAGCTTCTGGATTCATTGATTTTTTGAAGGGTTTTTTGTGTCTCTATCTTCTTCAGTTCTGCTCTGATCTTAGTTATTTGTTGCCTTCTGCTAGCTTTTGAATGTGTTTGCTCTTGCTTCTCTAGTTCTTTTAACTGTGATGTTAGGGTGTCAAGTTTAGGTCTTTACTGCTTTCTCTTGTGAGCATTTAGTGCTATAAATTTCCCTGTACACACTGCTTTAAATGTGTCCCAGAGATTCTGATATGTTGTGTCTTTGTTCTCATTGGTTTCAAAGAACATGTTTATTTCTGCCTTCATTTCATTATTTACCCAGTAGTCATTCAGGAGCAGGTTGTTCAGTTTCCATGTAGTTGAGCAGTTTTGAGTGAGTTTCTTAATCCTGAGTTCTAGTTTGATTGCACTATGGTCTGAGGGACAGTTTGTTGTGATTTCTGTTCTTTTACATTTGCTGAGGAGTGCTTTACTTCCAACTGTGTGGTCAATTTTGGAATAAGTGCAATGTGGTGCTGAGAATAATGTATATTCTGTTGATTTGGGGTGGAGAGTTCTGTAGATGTCTATTAGGTCTGCTTGGTGCAGAGCTGAGTCCAATTCCTGGATATCCTTGTTAACTTTCTGTCTCGTTTATCTGTCTAATGTTGACAGTGGGGTTTTAAAGTCTCCCATTATTATTGTGTGGGAGTCTAAGTCTCTTTGTAGGTCTCTAAGGGCTTGCTTTATGAATCTGGGTGCTCCTGTATTGGGTGCATATATGTTTAGGATAGTTAGCTCTTCTTGTTGAATTGATTCCTTTACCATTATGTAATGGCCTTCTTTGTCTCTTTTGATCTTTGTTGGTTTAAAGTCTGTTTTATCAGAGCATAGGATTGTAACCCCTCCTTTTCTTTGTTTTCCTTTTGCTTGGTAGATCTTCCTCCATCTCTTTATTTTGAGCCTATGTGTGTCTCTGCATGTGAGATGGGTCTCCTGAATACAGCACGCTGATGGGTCTTGACTCTTTATCTAATTTGCCAGTCTGTGTCTTTTAATTGGAGCATTTAGTCCATTTACATTTAAGGTTAATATTGTTATGTGTGAAATTGATCCTGTCATTATGATGTTAGCCGGTTATTTTGCTTGTTAGTTGATGCAGTTTCTTCCTAGCCATCGATGGTCTTTAGAATTTGGCATGTTTTTGCAGTGGCTGTTACCAGTTGTTTCTTTCCATGTTTAGTGCTTCCTTCAGGAGCTCTTTTAGGGCAGGCCTGGTGGTGACAAAATCTCTCAGCATTTGCTTGTCTGTAAAGGATTGTATTTCTCCTTCACTTGTGAAGCTTAGTTTGCCTGGATTTGAAATTCTGCGTCAAAAATTCTTTTCTTTAAGAATGTTGAATATTAGCTTCCACTCTCTTCTGGCTTGTAGAGTTTCTGCCGAGCAATCTGCTGTTAGTCTGATGGGCTTCCCTTTGTGGGTAACCCAACCTTTCTTTCTGGCTGCCCTTAACATTTTCCCCTTCATTTCAACTTTGGTGAATCTTACAATTATGTGTCTTGGAGTTGCTCTTCTCGAAGAGTATCTTTGTGGCATTCTCTGTATTTCCTGAATTTGAATATTGGCCTGCCTTGCTAGGTTGGAGAAGTTCTCATGGGTAATATCCTGCAGAGTGTTTTCCAAGTTGGTTCCATTCTCCCCGTCACTTTCAGGTACACCAATCAGATGTAGATTTGGTCTTTTCACATAGTCCCATGTTTCTTGGAGGCTTTGTTCATTTCTTTTTACTCTAAACTTCTCACTTCATTTCATTAATTTGATCTTCAATCACTGATACCCTTTCTTCCAGTTGATGGAATCAGCTATTGAAGCTTGTGCATTCATCATGTAGTTCTTGTGCCATCGTTTTCAGCTCCATCAGGTCATTTAAGGACTTCTCTACACTGGTTATTCTAGTTAGCCATTTGTCTAATCTTTTCTCAAGGTTTTTAGCTTCTTTGCGATGGGTTCGAAATTCCTCCTTTAGCTTGGAGAAGTTTGATCATCTGAAGCCTTCTTCTCTCAACTCGTCAAACTCATTCTCCATCCAGCTTTGTTCCATTGCTGGTGAGGAGCTGCATTCCTTTGGAGGGGGAGAGGTGCTCCGAGTTTTAGAATTTTCAGCTTTTCTGCTCTGTTTTTTCCCCATCTTTGTGGTTCTATCTACCTTTGGTCTTTGATGATGGTGACGTACAGATGGCGTTTTGGTGTGGATGTCCTTTCTGTTTGTTAGTTTTCCTTCTAACAGTCAGGACAGTTAGCTGCAGGTCTGTTGGAGTTTGCTGGAGGTTCACTCCAAACCCTGTTTGCCTGGGTATCAGCAGAGGAGGCTGGAGAACAGTGAATATTGCTGAACAGCAAATGTTGCTGCCTGATCGTTCCTCTGGAAGCTTTGTCTCAGAGGTGTACCCGGCTGTGTGAGGTGTCAGTCTGCCCCTACTGGAGGGTGCCTCCCAGTTAGGCTACTCGGGGGTCAGGGACCCACTTGAGGAGGCAGTCTGTCCATTCTCAGATCTCAAACTCCGTGCTGGGAGAGCCACTACTCACTTCAAAGCTGTCAGACAGGGACATTTAAGTCTGCAGAGGTTTCTGCTGCCTTTTGTTTGGCTATGCCCTGCCCCCAGAGGTGGAGTCTACAAAGGCAGGCAGGCCTCCTTGAGCTGCTGTGGGCTCCACCCAGTTCCAGCTTCTGGGCCGCTTTGTTTACCTACTGAAGCCTCAGCAATGGCAAGCGCCCCTCCCCCAGCCTCGCTGCCGCCTTGCAGTTTGATCTCAGACTGGTGTGCTAGCAATGAGCGAGGCTCCATGGGCGTGGGACCCTGGGAGCCAGGCGTGGGATATAATCTCCTGATGTGCCATTTGCTAAGACCATTGGAAAAGCGCATATTAGGGTGGGAGTGACCTGATTTTCCTGGTGCTTTCCGTCACTGCTTCCCTTGGCTGGGAAAGGGAATTCCCTGACCCCTTGCACTTCCCGGGTGAGGTGATGCCTTGCCCTGCTTTGGCTCACCCTCGGTGGGCTGCACCCATTGTCCTGCCCCCACTGTCTGACAAGCCCCAGTGAGATGAACCCAGTACCTCAGTTGGAAATGCAGGAATCACCCGTCTTCTGTGTCGCTCAAGCTGGGAGCTGCAGACTGGAGCTGTTCCTATTCGGCCATCTTCGAACCGCCCCTGAGAAAAAATATTATTAAGATGAATGCAAAAGATAGCATGGCATAAGTATAACTATGGCTAACATTTAAGCACCTACCTTGGTCCAGGCACTGGTCTGCGTGTATGTTTGAAGCATATGTTGCATGTGTTATCCCATTTGATGCTTTGAAATAGGTATTGTGTTTAACCCCAACTTGGAAACTGAGTAAAAAGAGCTTTAGGGAATTGCCCAAATCCATACTGCCGTAAGTGACAGAGTCAGGACTAGATTTATGTGGTTTGGCAACGAAGTCCTCTTTTCTCTGTTTAATCATTAAGGTGTGTGCCATTTAATTGGCAGCATTTTTTCCTTCTTAGTGGTCCATGAAATAATGGTGCATCTTAAAATTGATGATGTCTTTCTTGTAATTAAAGTTGGTATAGTGACACCCACACACTCACCACAAAGATTTAATCATGTTGGTTTGCTATGAAGTCCTTTACAATTTTTTTTAAATTAATGTATTTTTTAAGAGATAGGAGTCTTGCTATGTTGCCCAGGTTGGTCTTGAACTCCTAGCTTCAAGCAATCTTTCTGCCTCAGCCTCCAGAGTAGTTTGGATTACAGGCTTCAGCCACTGTACTTAGCTGGGATCTTTCTTTGTCATCATTCTATTCCGTCTGTCCTACAAATGAAGCAGGCCTTCTGAAGAGGGGTGGGGAAGTCAGGAAGGATAACAACAGGTCTAAAGTGATACATTTAGAATTGTTAGAGTATCTGTTCTTTTCCATAATGTAAGGAAATGATAACCTGGTGCCATCCCACCTGCTTCGTAGAGGGGCTTCAGCAGTGTGTCATTGCAGTGATTGTGTTGTTTTGTATCATCTTGTGTTAATTATACTTCTATGCTCTGGGATAAGACCACTACCTTTAGGTTCCCCTGAAACATAGATCTTTCTATGGATCTAGGAAAGAAGCATGTCCTCAGATAGGCAATGGAAACCCAGAAAGTAGGATGGAGAGAGAAATTCCAGCTTTCTCTGGGCTTTGCTCTCTGGATCTAGATTTTTTGAGAAGGCTACAATTCAGGGTTGTCCTTGAGTAGATCCTAAAAGGGACTTCGTCTACAGAGAGGCAAGCTAACAGCAAGGCAGAGGGACCCCAGAGTGTGACTGATAAGCTGTAATTTTCTAGTTGATGACCTAGTATTTTGATACTTGTCCAGGGACAGGATAGAGCAACCACTTTGCATTTTTAGGCAGAAAGGGATTCACTATAGGAGGTTAGGGGCTTACAGAATATCCAGAAGATCTGGATACATGGTCTCTAGGGTGGGTCACCAGGAGTGATGCTATAACACTGCAGATCCATCCTGCCAGGAAAGCTGGTACTTCTGCTACAATCTGCAGGATGAGGAGTCAAAGGCATTCACTGGTCTCTTGACTTCAGGGCATCGTGTAGTGGCTGAAACCAGAAATCAGAAAGCAGCCAATACTGCAGCTGCCTCTCAACATCTAGAAGCTGGAATTTGGACAAAAGAATACCAAAGCAGAAAAATATCATGTCTCCATGAACTGCTTGCTGGCATAGACAGCCACAAAGGATATGGCCTGTGCCTCACCCTACCTTCCCAAACGTGCCAGAGTACATCAATTCTTATCTAGAACCTGATACAGAGGGAATCTGGAAAAGGTAGTTTTATAGCTTTTCCAAACTCTGCCATTTTTTTTTTTTTTTTTTTTTTTTTTGAGACGGAGTCTCGCTCTGTCGCCCAGGCTGGAGTGCAGTGGCGGGATCTCGGCTCACTGCAAGCTCCGCCTCCCGGGTTCACGCCATTCTCCTGCCTCAGCCTCCCAAGTAGCTGGGACTACAGGCGCCCGCCACTACGCCCGGCTAATTTTTTGTATTTTTAGTAGAGACGGGGTTTCACCGTTTTAGCCAGGATGGTCTCGATCTCCTGACCTCGTGATCCGCCCGCCTCGGCCTCCCAAAGTGCTGGGATTACAGGCGTGAGCCACCGCGCCCGGCCCAAACTCTGCCATTTAAGAAAGAACAGAAAAGTAGGGAGTGCACACTGACTGCCAATCAACCACATCTAACACAGTTACTTTTGTTTTATCACATGAATTTATTTTCCTTTATTAGCCTTTAGCCTTGAGGAAAGACCTGTTTAAAAGTTCAGACCTTAGATCAGCTGCACCGTAGAGTATAAGTGAAGCTAATGTCTCAGTGGCAGCATCAAATTAGGCAGTGCTGGTCAAGAATTGTGTAGGGTCTAGGATTTTCACCTTCTTCCAAGATGACAAGTTATCCTGTTAGGGTTTCATGGATACTGGGGAGAAAAGACTCCAGGGTCAGAGACAAAGGATATTATCACTTATGGCAAAGGCAGCAGCCAGAGGGTGAGAATGATGCTTGTGCCAGTTCCCCATGCCCCACAAGTCCCACAGGGTGATGCAAAGAGCTCACTATAGATGCCTGTGCACATGATGGGTTGCATCATGGGAGAGAAGCACTGAGCTTAGAGGATACATTACTTTTCAATAAGCAGAAGCAGCAAGGCTGCTCTTTGCCCAGGGGAAAATATTACCTCATCCCTCCAGGTTGCTGGCTGCAAACACAACTCTGAGAAACGGCCTGGGTAAAGAGTGGTGTGACATTACTACACATACATGCACACACATCCATATACACATATAGGTTTTCACCCATGGCTCCTGACTTATAACAGTCATCTGTTCTGATGTTGGGGCACTGTAGGCCTCAGAAGCAGGCCTCAGGAAACACAATTTCTTTTTGACCCTCCTCTGTCCTCTCTTCTTCTGCCCAGGACAGTCTTTCTTTCTTTCTTTCCTTCCTTCCTTCCTTCCTTCCTTCCTTCCTTCCTTCCTTCCTTCCTTCCTTCCTTCCTTCCTTCCTTCCTCCTTCCCATCCTTTCCCTTCCCTTCCCTTTCCTTCCCTTCCCTTCCTTCTTTCTTTCTTTCTTTCTTTCTTTCCTTTTTTTTTTTTTGACAGAGTTTCACTCTTGTTGCCCAGGCTGGAGTGCAGTGGCATGATCCTGGCTTACCGCAACCTCTGCTTCCCGGGCTCAAGCGATTCTCCTGCCTCAGCCTCCCGAGTAGCTGGGATTACAGGCGTGTGCCACCACACCTGGCTAATTTTGCATTTTTAGTAGAGATGGGGTTTCTCCATGTTGGTCAGGCTGGTCTTGAACTCCCGTTCTCAGTTGATCCACCCGCCTCGGCCTCTCAAAGTGCTGGGATTACAGGCATGAGCCACCGCACCCGGCTCCAAGGTAGTCTTTCTGATCGGAGGTCATAAGACCCTCATCCCAGAGGCAGTCCTGCCCCATACCCTGAAGGTGCAAATGCAGCACAGAGAGGCCAAGGAGAATATGGTCAGACAGGGCTTGCTGGGTTTCCCCCACTCAGTCTATCAGTATTAGAGCCTCTGCTTTTTGTCCAATCACCGTCTGACATGTTTGTCTTCAGTCATGTCTATCCAAGGAAGTCTCCAAAAAAGGCCCAGGAGGACAGGGTTCAGAGAGCTTCTGGGACAGCTGAACATGTGGAGGTTTCTGAGGGGTGGCGCACCTAGAGCGAGTATGGAAGTTCTGTGCACCTCCCCGCATACCTCCCCTGTGCACTTCTTCATCTGTGTTCTTTCTGATATCCTTTGTATTAAACTGGTATATGTAAGCGTTTCCCTGAGTTCTGTGAGCCTGTCCAGCAAATTAATCAAACCCAAAGAGGGGTTGTGGGAATCCCAAATTGAAGCTAGTTGGTCAGATGTTCTGGAGGCCCAGACTTGACTCTGGGTCTAGGGGAGAGAGGAGGCAGTTTTGTGGGACTGAGCCCTCAACCTCTGGGATGTGATGCTATCTTGAGGTAGATAGTGTCAGAACGGAGTTGAATTGGAGGATGCCCAGCTGGTGTCTTCTGCAGAACTGATTGCTTGTTGGTGTAGACTGCCCACCAACATCTGGTCACAGAAGTCTTTTGTGTTGATTGTTGCGGTATGAGAGCAGAGGACAATGCAGTTTGAGTTTCTCTGCATTCAGAAGTGGTTAGGGCTTTGCATTCTAGGTGCACCCAAGAGAAACATGTAGAGATGCTCACAGCCCATGGAGGACTGCCTCTTCTAACCTGCTTCCTTCCCCTTCCCATCCGACCACTTTCTTTTCCAGGCCAAGGTGGCAGTGGTGGTAATTATGAAACATCTTTCAAGGGAACATGATTTTTTTTTTAAGACAACTGTCTCCTCTTCACAGGGAAGTTTCCCTCCATTACTAGCCTTGGAGTATCTGGCTTTATTATTATTATTATTATTGTTGAGATGGAGTTTCACTCTTGTTACCCAGGCTGGAGTGCAATGGTGCGATCTCGGCTCACTGCAACCTCCGCCTCCCCAGTTCAAGTGATTCTCTTGCCTCAGCCTCCCAAGTAGCTGGGGTTACAGGCATGTGCCACCACACCCAGCTAATTTTGTATTTTTAGTAGAGATGGGGTTTTTCCATGTTGGTCAGGCTGGCCTTGAACTCCCGACCGCAGGTGATCCACCCACCTCGGCCTCCCAAAGTGTTGGGATTACAGGCATGAGCCACTGCACCTGGCCTGGCTTAATTATTTTTTGTTGTTGTTGGTTTTTGTTTGTTTGTTTATTTTTTGAGACAGGGTCTTGCTCTGTTGCCCAGGCTGGAGTGCAGTCGCGCAATCACAGCCTACTGCAGCCTCTACCTCCTGGGCTTAAGTGATCCTTTTGCCTCAGCCTCCTGAGTTGCTGAGACCACAGGCATATGCCACCATGCCTGGCTATTTAAAAAAAATTTTTTTTTAGTGGAAATGTGTTCTCAAGGGATCCTCCCATCTCAGCCTCTTAAAGTGCTGGGGTTACAGGTGTGAGCCACAGTACCCAGCTAATCTGGCTTAATTATATTAAGGGAGGTGGCAGTTTCTTTATAGGGAGCCAAGCCTCCAGGTGTTCATGGAACTGTGGTTTCTTGGGGGTGTGGGACTTGCAGTGCTAAGTCTCTTTGGACACAGTTGGTCACTATACTCCTTTAGCACTTGCAGGGCCCTCAAGCCACCAGGGCTGGAGTGATTGCCTGCATTCATTGTACCCCAGGGCCAGATCTGTTCCTTCTCAGGTTTTACCCAACCTGAAATTCACTTCTAAGGAAGGATATACATGCCAAGTTCTATTAAGGGGCTACCTTAAAGATACAATGTGTCTCCTCTTAAACAACCAACACCTAATTCAATTATGTTACTGGCAACTATGTATTATGTTTTGCACCCACAAAATATTCTGAACCAAAAACTCAGTTCTTGTTGTATCTGGGAGACCTCTGAAGTGAACCTTCTTTAAGAAGGAAGGGAAGGGCTGTGGGAAAAGGCTCCCTTCAGCTTTCTTCTGCCCATTCTCCAGGACGGCCAGATTTTAAACCTGTAGACTGCCCTGGAAATTGCAAAGGCTACATACTTGTTATATGAAGATCAGGAAAGAAATCATTTATTTATTTATTTATTTATTTATTTTTAAAAAGAAGTCATTTATGTATAAAGTCGATGGACTTAGAAGAAGCAAACGTAAGTCTGAAAGTTTGAAGAGGGTTTACAGTCATATGCTTCCTCTCCCAAAATGCCAAACAAGGCAGGCATTCTGGTTAAAGTAACTGTAATTATTGAGTGAAATAAGGATAGTAAACACTACCATAGGGGTAGTAGAACCCCGTGATATGAGTCCATTTCTTTGTATTAATCAGACAATTACGGCTAATGAGGTGTGCTCTTCTTTTTCAAAGTCATATTTAACTGGGAAAGATAAAGCAAAAGAAATGCTTCTTGCTGAATGTTTTCTTCTTGTTTCCTATGTGAGTAAAATTGGACCTTTTAAAATTTTGTCTTTTTTAAAGTCATATTTAACTGGGAAAGATAAAGCAAAAGAAATGCTTCTTGCTGAATGTTTTCTTCTTCTTTTGTGAGTAAAATTGGACCTTTTAAAATTTTGTCTTTTTTAAAGTCATATTTAACTGGGAAAGATAAAGCAAAAGAAATGCTTCTTGCTGAATGTTTTCTTCTTCTTATGTGAGTAAAATTGGACCTTTTAAAATTTTGCTGTAAATCATGATCTATTAGTGGCAATAAAAAAATCCATAGGTTCTTAGAGTTGCATCTACTTTACGGTAACTGAGCATGAATAAAGACAGAGTGTTTCAGGGACACGATTGCTTGATTTTCAAGTAGGGAAGTCCTGTGATGTCCCCTGATGTATCACATTGAATTCACTGATGTCTGGAGCTGAGACTGAAATGAGAGAATGGGACACAGAGCTTGGAAGGAGGTAATAGGAGGTAGGTTGATTCTGTGTGGATTTAGAATCAGCTCAGAAGAGTATTTGGGTTCAGGAAGTGCCACGTATCTTTGCTCACTTTATCAGCAGTAGAGGACTAAAATCTGGGCAGGGTGGCAGCGGGAGTCCTATTGCCTGTTTGTAGAAAAGTGACTGTGCCTGATGGCGATCTCAAGAGGAGGAGACAATGGCAGGGAATGAAGAAATGCCTCGGTTGATAGGTCAGTCTTGCAGCTGCCAGAAGATTGATGCTCTCTCAGCATGGACTTCAAATACACACTGATTGTTCTTTACTGTCAACTGGCCTTAATTGTTCTCTAAGGATCGCTGTAGATACGACGGTTGTTGGACTAAAGGGAGATAATCAAAAGAATCAAGGTGCATTGACGAGTCAGGATGTTATTCAATGGCAGGAGAGAGGGTAGAGAGTCAGGGTTAAGAGGTTAAGTAAGAACATAGTCTTTTGGAGCACATTGGTTCATATTGTCTACAGAGCAGCTGTGTGCCTATATAAAGTTACTTAACCTCTCTACACTTATCACATCTGTAAAATGGAGACAATGCTTTCATTGGGCAAGGCCAAGGGCCAGTGGAGGGGCTTCGACCTGGCAGCAATGGCCAGCATGGTCACTGGTACTTGTGAGCAACCTCCTTTCCTCCATTAGAGCACTATCCTGCTCTGTCAATGGTCACAAGTGCCCTCAGATACTCTTTTTTTTTTTTTTTTTCAGTTATCATCCTGTTTGTCTTCCCTGCAGCCTGTACACATCTGACCCTTCCCTTCTTACAGTCGTCTGCTCTTTTGGCTTTTCTGATGCGTCCCACACCTCTCTGACCCTTGCTTCCAGTCTCCTTCCTTTGGCTGTACGCTGTCCTCCTAGATTCTTCACAATTTGGATGATCTTCCCTATTCATTCCATCCTTTCTCATGCCACCTTTGGGCTGATGACTACTGATCAATATTCCTAGTCCAAACCTCCTGTGTGTCCAGTGGCTTATGGGACACGTACACTGGGATGTCCCCCAAACATTTCAAACTCAACACATGTAGATGAGAACAATCTTTCTCCTAAAGCATGTTTCTCCACCTGTGCTTTTATTGGCTGTCAGGCACGTAGTCACCCAACTTGGTGCTAGAAACTTGGGAGTCATCCTACCTCGGCTGGTTTTCTTCTCTTGCAGATTGCATCAGCTGCCCAGTTCCCTCCTCTCCATGCCCCCTGCCAATGCCTCATCACATTTTGCTTTCAGACTGCCTCCCAACTCACTTCTGTGCCCGCAGTGTGGCCTCACATCTGTCTACCTGTCACTGCCAGAGCCAGCTCTCTGGTGAGGAAGTCAGAACGTCATTGCCCCCACATTATTGACAGTACACAACTTAGGAAACCCGTAGTGCCCCTTTCTACTCAGCCACTCTTGCAGTCTGGTCCTCTGCCCCATCCCTGCAATCTTCTAGGAAGCTTATCTACCTATTGACTGGCAGCACCATGCCCCCGTGCCTCTGTTCTTCCTGCTGCGTGGAAATGAAGGCTAATGGATATTGGCTACTCCAGTAGCAGGCTGCATAGATGTACCACGTTGTTTTAAGCCATTTACATGAGTATTTCCCCCACAAGCCAGAGGTTTCCTCCGACCAAGTATCTTGTCTTGTTTATCTTTGGTCCCAGAATCTACTATGGTGAATGAGACATGGTGTGTGCCCAAGGCACGGAATAAACGATCAGAAATGATTTATTTATTCAGAGTGGGCTGTCAGCTTCAGCCGCTGACTTTTCTAGAGACCGGCTCCCTCGGGGCTTCAGCGCTCTTGGGCCCCCGCAGCCACGCAGGTGAAGGGCAGCGGGGTGGCTGGCTGTGGGAGGGCTGGGCTGGGTGGCTGCCCTCGCGCCTGCGCCCTCGGCTGCTCCTCTCCGGGCGCGTCTCTGTGCGCGTGTGTCTGTTTGGAGCGGAGGAGAGGCTTGGGTGACAGGCGAGGGGTGGGGGGAAGAGTTCAGCCTGAGTCACAGTCTCATTCACTGATTTCTCTTCGGCTGGACGGAGGCTGCCTCCTCACGCGGCTCCCAACTATTCCCGTAGCTCAGTGCCCCCCTCCCGCCGCTCTACTCAGCCAGGCAGACAGACTGACAGACTCGCTAGTGAGTAGCGGCGGCTTGAGCGCCCGGGCAGCGCGGCGGGCTGTCGCCGGCGGTCTTGTCTTCCCACGGGCTCTGTGTGTGTGTGTGTGTGTGTGTGTGTGTGTGTGTGTGTGTGTGTAGGATGTGCGTGTATGTGATGTGCGCGCAGGGGGTGTCCCTGGGATTCCACGCCTGCTCCAAGAGCTCCCTGCCGGGATCCGCGTGTCCATCCGAGTCTGCGATGCTGTGAGGGCGCTCGCCTAAGCAGGGGGTTCGGACGCCCCCCGCGAGCGGCGAGAGTTTGCTGGGATTCCCCGGCTCCTCACGCAGCGGCTGGTGGGGTTCCCCGGGAAGGCGCCTGGGTAAGGCAGCGGCGGGGAAGCCCGGGATTGTGAGTGGCTGGCAGGCCGGGAATCTGGGAGCGGGTTTGGCCCAGCACAGCCGAGGGAGATGCCGGAGCGGCCACCCTTGGCCGCCCAGCCTCTCTGCCTTTCTCCCTTGCCCTTCCTCCTTTCTTTTCTCAGCAGCATCACAAAGGCGCGCTGCAAAATGAAACCCAGTGTAGTGAAGCTCGGCTGTCTCCCACCTGGTGCATATTCCGCCCCCCGTCCTTGCCCCAGGCTGGAGGAGTGGAGTGGGGGTCCCCAAGATTAGGGGCGGGGTCTTACCACGGGGGCACACCTGTTTTCGATTCTTGCTGAATTCAAGCTGGGTGCGGGATCGCGAGAGAGGTTCCAGTACGCCGGTGTGTGTGTGTGTGTGTGTGTGTGTGTGTGTGTGTGTGTGTGGCCGCGCACGCGCACACGCTCCCCAGGCCCACGCTAGCGGGGTGCGCTCAGTCAATAGCACACCTCCCCGCCGGCCCGCGTGCGCCCAGCCGGCTCCGTGGGCTCCTCGCGCGCTCTCTGACAGCGTGCCGGGATCTCTTTGTTTGGTTGTGGCTTCCCTAGCTCTCGGCAAAGCAGACGGATTTTCGGTTTCGTTTGATACCGCGCTCTGGGACTTAGTGCGGGCCACAGCCTCGAATGCCCCTGGTATTTGTAATTGAAGAGTTCTTTCGGTCAGGGGGTTATTTTTGGTGTTGGGAATAAAGAGGCAAGCATGTTGACCTTTTTGCTGCTGCCTTCGGCTTTGAATGTGTGTCTCTGGTGGAGCAGACAGATTCAAATCTAGTCGCGCACACGTGCCAACGCACACCAGTGTGCACACACATTTCTACACACGTAGTTTACCCCCACCTTCTTTTTTCCTTTTAGAAAAATTGGGACAGGGAATACATTGTGTGTCTGTGAAAAAGTTTCCTTTGTTCTTTTGGGCATTTTCTATTTTGAGTAATGGAGTAGGAGTACGGAAAGGCTGCAGTTAGTTCACTCGATTAAAAGACACTGCCTCTGAGTCAGAGCTGCCAGGTTGATAATTATTAACATATAAAAGCAAACGCAATGTTTAAGGCAGAAGGGGCGGGACGGGGGCAGGTCCGCGGCAGACAATGAGGGAGAGTCTCCGCCGACCGCCTGCTGCTTATTGTTCCGGGACTGGAGACTGCAGCCGGCTGCTGCCTAGTCCTCCGGGGCTCCGCTCCTGACTAGCTCCTCCGTCCCTCTAGGGACGGTTCGGGGTCACCTAACCCTGGTCCCCGGGGCGCTGGGACGCTAGCCCCAAGCCGCAGCCGCTCTTCGCTGACCGCCCTCTTTCTGCTTTGCAGGTCGGCAGCTTCACTCCCGAGGGTGCCGCGAGCCCAGGCGGCGAACACCCGGTACCCCTGGCGCAGCGAGGTGGGATGCTGTACGGACAGCAGCGCTAAGTGCCCCCCCACCCCCGGCGCAGGGTGCACTCGCTCCTGGCCGCGGGCCCAGCGGCGGCGGCGGCGGCGGCGGCGGAGGGGATGAGCCCGGGACGCGCGAGGCGCCTGCCTCAAGCTACCGCCCGGAGAGGGACGCCGAGTAGGGCTCATCGCAGTACCGCGCGGACCCCTGCCCCCTGTGGCACGCGGCTGCGGAGCCTTGAAGCCGTGTCTGTGATCAGGATGCACTGGGCGCCTCGCAGCTGGTGAGGATGCCCTGCTGCGCGGCCCTGCGCCCCCAGCCCCAGTCCCAGGTGGGCAAGACTGACTGGGCCCGGCTTCGGCCCCTCGTGCCGGTGGATGAAACGTGCCGGAGTGCTTGGGTGCCATCAGCTATCAAATCTGAATTCTAAGCGCCATGGACGAAGGCACTGGACTGCAGCCCGGGGCGGGAGAGCAGCTGGAGGCGCCGGCCACTGCAGAAGCTGTCCAAGAGAGGTGCGAGCCGGAGACCCTCAGGTCTAAGAGTTTACCGGTCCTCAGCAGCGCCTCCTGCCGGCCAAGCCTCAGTCCCACTAGTGGAGACGCCAACCCGGCCTTTGGCTGTGTGGATTCTTCGGGCCACCAGGAGTTGAAGCAAGGCCCGAACCCGTTGGCCCCCAGTCCCTCTGCCCCGTCCACTTCGGCGGGGCTCGGGGACTGTAACCACAGGGTGGACCTCAGCAAAACCTTCTCGGTGTCCTCCGCCTTGGCCATGCTCCAGGAGAGAAGGTGCCTCTACGTGGTCCTCACGGATTCCCGTTGCTTCCTGGTGTGCATGTGCTTTCTGACCTTCATCCAGGCGTTAATGGTCTCTGGGTACCTGAGCAGCGTAATTACCACCATTGAAAGGCGCTACAGTCTGAAGAGTTCCGAGTCGGGGCTGCTGGTCAGCTGCTTTGACATCGGGAACCTGGTGGTGGTGGTGTTCGTCAGCTACTTCGGCGGCCGGGGTCGGCGGCCCCTGTGGCTGGCCGTGGGTGGACTCCTCATCGCCTTCGGGGCAGCCCTCTTCGCCTTACCTCACTTCATCTCGCCCCCCTACCAGATCCAAGAGTTGAACGCCTCGGCCCCCAACGACGGCCTGTGTCAGGGTGGCAACTCCACCGCCACTTTGGAGCCTCCGGCCTGTCCGAAGGACTCGGGAGGAAATAATCACTGGGTCTACGTGGCTTTATTCATTTGCGCGCAGATTCTCATTGGAATGGGCTCCACACCTATTTATACCCTGGGACCAACCTACTTAGATGACAATGTCAAGAAAGAAAACTCCTCCTTGTACCTAGGTAAGACTTTCCTGTTCTCTCAGATATGTTTCACTCACACTGAAACTTACTTTCCTTACAAAAATCAAAAGGAAACATGTTCTTTCACATTTTCATGTATATTATAGATTAAAGTTCACTTTATTTTACGTTTTAGCCTTGCTGTAGTGTGTTTTCAGTTTGGGAGAGAATCAATTAGTTGAGAGTTCTTGAAACTAATTTTCAGACTCATACTTCATGTTTGTCTTTTCCCAAGTAACATAAACTTTAAACTGTGGGGTGATGCTTCTCTCTGTTGCTACCTACCTATGGAAAAGCTCCAATTTGTCAAGTTTATATTCTAATACACTTGTTGAGGAAGGAATAGCAGTACCTCATGTGTAAAGTTTTGATGATTTTCTGCTTCTATCTGCTGCTGCTTCTGATTTCTGTCCAGAGCAGCAGGGATGGTGGCGTGGCCAGACTACATACATCATGCTTTATTGCCTTCATACCTGTGTTTCTTTTCTTTTTTTTTTTTTTCTTTTTAAGATGGAGTCTTGCTCTGTCACCCAGGCTGGAGTGCAATGGCATGATCTCAGCTCACTGCAACCTCCGCCTCCTGGGTTCAAGTGATTCTTCTGCCTCAGCCCCCGAGTAGCTGGGATCACAGGTACCCATCATGCCTGGCTAATTTTTGTAGAGATGGGGTTTCACCATGTTTGTCAGGCTGGTCTTGAACTCTTGACCTCAGGTGATCCACCCTCCTTGGTCTCCCAAAGTGCTGGGATTCATACCTGTTTTTCTTATACGTCACCTGCACCACTATCTAAAAACAACAACAAAAATTTGAATAATGTCAAATGACTGGCTTACCTTTATGAAGAAGCAACACCACAGGTTATAAGGTTTATCCAAAGCTATTTTTATTGCTGTCAAAAACCCTCAATTGTATGAACTTGGGAGAAGAATCCATTCCTATTTTTCTGAAAAGCCGTGGCTGTGGGATTTGGTGTGTTGACTTGCATAAGTCAGCATCAGTGGACAGGGGTGCTTGAGTTAAGTACAGGGGGCTCATCTGAGGCCAGGCAGCAGTTGCAGAGGGTATGAAAATTTACATCCTAGAAATTTGAGGTTGTTAGCACCTCCCTGTAGTAGCTGGTTCTTAAAAACTGAACTTCTAAGGGATGGATTTGAACCCATAAGAAGGATCAATGGCTGTCATACCAGATGAGATTTTTGTTTTTCTATTTCTGTACTGGAGTGCAACCTAAACAAGCTAAAGGATTTTACTTTACTGAAAAAACTGAAATGGAAGCTGGGTGTGGTGGTGTGTGCCTGTAGTCCCAGCTACTCGGGAGGCTGAGGCAGGAGGATTGCTTGAACCCAGGGACTTGAGACCAGCCTGGGAAACATAGTGAGACCCCATCTCTTAAAAAAATTAAAATGATAAATAAGCAAATACTAGCTATATTTAGCAATTTATTAGCAATGTGCTGATAGGATTCTTGATTTGGGAATAGTAAGATTTTCAAAGGACGGTGTAAATGATATCCAATATAAGAGGGCTATGCTTTGTCCTCAGTATGTTTACTGTCCCCAAAAGCTGTTATAGAGGGGTGTTTGAGTCCTCAGTAATCCCCACTAACTGGTTCAATGGGTCAGAAAAAGAGTTTTATAACTTATTTTTATCACTACATGCAAGAGAAAGAAATTTCCTTTCTGGGTAGAGAAGAATAGCTTGCTTACCATCTTGCCTCTCTGTTTTCTAACATTTATTAAGACAAAATTTTAAACATACAGAAAAGTTGAAACAATAGTATAATAAGCACCAGTATACCCACGACACAGACCCAATGATTGTTTATTTTGTCATGCTTGCTTTATCAACCTGTGTGTGAGTGTATATATGTATAGAAATATATTTTGGGAGATGGGAGGCTAAGCCTTCTAAAAGTAATTGCAGACACTGCCAGAGCATCTTCTAAAAATGAGGGTATTCTTTTACATAACTGAAGGAACATCAACATCCTAAGGAAGTTCATAATCATTCCCTAATATCATTAAATATTCAGGCCATATTCAAATTTCCTCAATTGTCCTCTGAAAGTCTTTTATACTGATTGATTGATTGAGACAGGGTCTTTCTTTCACCCAGGCTGGAGTGCAGTGGCACAATCTCAGCTCACTGCAACTTCTGCCTCCCAGATTCAAGCAATCCTCCCACCTCAGCCTCTCAAGTAGCTGGGACTAGAGACCTGTGCCACCGTGCCCAGCTAATTTTTTGTGGAGATAGAGTTTCATCATGTTTCCCAGGCTAATAATAATTTTTTAAATGAGGAACTAATCAAGATTCATTCATGCATTGCATTTGGCTGTTAGCCACTTTAGCCTTCTATAATCCAGAACTGTGCCTCAACTTTTTTCTTTTTCCATGGCATAGACTTTTTGAAGGGGCAAGGCTAATGTTCCACATTCTAGATGTATCTGATCATTTCCTCATGGTGTGACTTACCTTGTTCCTCCATTCCCTATATTTCTTGTATACTAGAAGATCAGTCTAGAGGCTTGATCAAATTCAGACAAAACATTTTTGGTCTGACTATGTCAGAGGTAATGCTGGGTGTTTTATATTACATGCACCTTGCTGTTCATTAGTGACGTTAAGTTTAATCATTTGGTTGGGTGAGTGATTGGTGGGTCTTTCCATTGTAAAGATACATTTCTCATTTTGAAAATAATGATCAATCTGTACAGTGATACCTGGGCTCTGTGTAAATATCCCAGTTGTTTTTCATATTCTTGCTGATCTTTGCCTCTATTTACTTTGAAAACTTGGATCTCTCTTTCATCCCACTTTTGGTAGCATCAATACAGACTTGCTTTGTCAAAATTACAGGCAGAACCCTATCGAAAGGGAGAACATCCACTAACAACAGCCCTGAGATTTAACTTTTCTGGTAGTGGTTGCCCATCCAGAAGAAAAATAGCAAGTGCATATGAAATGCATATTCTGTGCTAGGTACTCTGCTAGTTTTGGGAAGACCAAAAGTGAGACACAGTCCCAGCATTTGAGGTGTTTTTAGTGTAAAGCAATACCGCCAGTGCAAGGTAGGGGTGGAAAGTGACATGTGCAAGGGAAGGAAAAGAATAGAAATGGTATTCATTTTCTTTCCTCCTTCTTTTCTTTTCTTTTCTTTTTTTTTTTGAGACGAGTCTCGCTCTGTCGCCCAGGCTGGAGTGCAGTGGAGCGGTCTCGGCTCACTGGAAGCTCCGCCTTCCAGGTTGACGCCATTCTCCTGCCTCAGCCTCCCGAGTAGCTGGGACTACAGGCGCCCACCACCACGCCCAGCTAATTTTTTGTATTTTTAGTAGAGACAGGGTTTCACCATGTTAGCCAGGATGGTCTCAATCTCCTGACCTCGTGATCCACCCGCCTTGGCCTCCCAAAGTTTTGGGATTACAGGCGTGAGCCACTGCACCCGGCCCTTCTTTTCTTTTTTAAAGATACTGATTAAATTGCTTTTTTTTTAAAAAAAAAAAAAATGATGAATGCGTTAGAACACATTCTTTAAGAAACCTGGGAGAATTCTGCTTTCTATTAAATGGATCTCAGTAGGAGCTACAGTAGTTTGAGTATCAGAAATCTTAGATATATTATTTCACTTAATGTTCTCAATGACCTTATAAGATGGAGATTATTTTCCCTATGTTACAGATGAGGAAACAGTCTCAGAGAGTTTAAGTGACTTACTAAGGGCCTCAACCCCATGACTTTCTGACCCCAGGGCCCTCGAGCTTCCTTCTACAGTGCATGGCTCTTTGGCAAGAAGCCCTGAGAACCAACTGTAACCGCAGGATGTGCCACGTTCAACAGAGTTTTCCAACAGCGCAGAAGAATGCAGAATGTAGAATTGCCTTAAAGTCATCAAAACATGATCAAAATAAGATTATTCTCTAAACCGTTTAAAGTAGGTTTGATAGACTACCTCTGTACAAATTAGAGACTATTATATCCTTAGAACATGAGCAGTATTGACCAATTATGATGTGAGACCTTTCCCAATAAATAACGAATTAAAATGTCTTTCTTATTTTTCATAAAGCTGTTCTATTGCATTACATTTTTTGCCACCCACCCCTTCCTTAATCTTCCTGTCCGTTTTTCTAACTTCTCATTATAACCTCAGAGGAAAGAAAAAAATCAGGTAGTAGGTTAGTAATTACGAGCAGAAACAAATATCTGCAGCAACGTAAAAACCATTGAAATGGAATGTAATTGTATATCTTAATCTTTTGAAAGTTCTATGTTAACATTCTGGCAGCTTTAACTGTAGAAGAGATGTGGTCGTAGATGAGATACGGCAGCATTTATAGCCACTAAATGCCTTAACTTCTGCAAGGAGAGAGGCTTAGAATTGACTAGGAGCATAGAGAAAGCTTTGTAGGTATTAATAAGAAGCAAGGTTAGCAACTAGACTATAATTTTTTTTTCTCTTTTTTTAAATATTATTATACTTTAAGTTTTAGGGTACATGTGCACAATGTGCAGGTTAGTTACATATGTATACATGTGCCATGCTGGTGTGCTGCACCCATTAACTCGTCATTTAGCATTAGGTATATCTCCTAAAGCTATCCCTCCCCCCTCCCCCCACCCCACAACAGTCCCCAGAGTGTGATGTTCCCCTTTCTGTGTCCATGTGTTCTCATTGTTCAATTTCCACCTATGGGTGAGAATATGCGGTGTTTGGTTTCTTGTTCTTGCGATAGTTTACTGAGAATGATGATTTCCAGCTTCATCCATGTCCCTACAAAGGACATGAACTCATCATTTTATATGGCTGCATAGTATTCCATGGTGTATATGTGCCACGTTTTCTTAATCCAGTCTATCATTGTTGGACATTTGGGTTGGTTCCAAGTCTTTGCTATTGTGAATAGTGCCACAATAAACATACATGTGCATGTGTCTTTATAGCAGCATGATTTACAGTCCTTTGGGTATATACCCAGTAATGGGATGGCTGGGTCAAATGGTATTTCTAGTTCTAGATCCCTGAGGAATCGCCACACTGACTTCCACAATGGTTGAACTAGTTTACATTGGTTGGTTGAACTAGTCCCACCAACAGTGTAAAAGTGTTCCTATTTCTCCACATCCTCTCCAGCACCTGTTGTTTCCTGACTTTTTAATGATCGCCATTCTAACTGGTGTGAGATGGTATCTCATTGTGGTTTTGATTTGCATTTCTCTGATGGCCAGTGATGGTGAGCATTTTTTCGTGTGTTTTTTGGCTGCATAAATGTCTTCTTTTGAGAAGTGTCTGTTCATATCCTTTGCCCACTTTTTGATGGGGTTGTTTGTTTTTTTCTTGTAAATTTGTTTGAGTTCATTGTAGATTCTGGATATTAGCCCTTTGTCAGATGAGTAGGTTGCGAAAATTTTCTCCCATTTTGTAGGTTACCTGTTCACTCTGATGGTAGTTTCTTTTGCTGTGCAGAAGCTCTTTAGTTTAATTAGATCCCATTTGTCAATTTTGTCTTTTGTTGCCATTGCTTTTGGTGTTTTAGACATGAAGTCCTTGCCCATGCCTATGTCCTGAATGGTAATGCCTAGGTTTTCTTCTAGGGTTTTTATGGTTTTAGGTCTAACATATAAGTCTTTAATCCATCTTGAATTAACTTTTGTATAAGGTGTAAGGAAGGGATCCAGTTTCAGCTTTCTGCATATGGCTAGCCAGTTTTCCCAGCACCATTTATTAAATAGGGAATCCTTTCCCCATTGCTTGTTTTTGTCCAGTTTGTCAAAGATCAGATAGTTGTAGATATGCAGCGTTATTTCTGAGGGCTCTGTTCTGTTCCATTGATCTATATCTCTGTTTTGGTACCAGTACCATGCTGTTTTGGTTACTGTAGGCTTGTAGTATAGTTTGAAGTCAGGTAGTGTGATGCCTCCAGCTTTGTTCTTTTGGCTTAGGATTGACTTGGCAATGTGGGCTCTTTTTTGGTTCCATATGAACTTTAAAGTAGTTTTTTCCAATTCTGTGAAGAAAGTCATTGGTAGCTTGATGGGGATGGCATTGAATCTATAAATTACCTTGGGCAGTATGGCCATTTTCACGATATTGATTCTTCCTACCCATGAGCATGGAACGTTCTTCCATTTGTTTGTGTCCTCTTTTATTTCATTGAGCAGTGGTTTGTAGTTCTCCTTGAAGAGGTCCTTTATGTCCCTTGTAAGTTGGATTCCTAGGTATTTTATTCTCTTTGAAGCAATTGTGTATGGGAGTTCACTCATGATTTGGCTCTCTGTTTGTCTGTTATTGGTGTATAAGAATGCTTGTGATTTTTGTACATTGATTTTGTATCCTGAGACTTTGCTGAAGTTACTTATCAGCTTAAGGAGATTTTGGGCTGAGATGATGGGGTTTTCTAAATATACAATCATGTCATCTGCAAACAGGGACAATTTGACTTCCTCTTTTCCTAATTGAATACCCTTTATTTCCTTCTCCTGCCTGATTGCCCTGGCCAGAACTTCCCAACACTATGTTGAATAGGAGTGGTGAGAGAGGGCATCCCTGTCTTGTGCCAGTTTTCAAAGGGAATGCTTCCAGTTTTTGCCCATTCAGTATGATATTGGCTGTGGGTTTGTCAGAGATAGCTCTTATTATTTTGAGATACATCCCATCAATACCTAATTTTTTGAGAGTTTTTACCATGAAGCATTGTTGAATTTTGTCAAAGGCCTTTTCTGCATCTATTGAGATAATCATGTGGTTTTTGTCTTTGGTTCTGTTTATATGCTGGATTACATTTATTGATTTGCGTATATTGAACCAGCCTTGCATCCCAGGGATGAAGCCCACTTGATCACGGTGGATAAGCTTTTTGATGTGCTGCTGGATTCAGTTTGCCAGTATTTTATTGAGGATTTTTGCATCAATGTTCATCAAGGATATTGGTGTAAAATTCTCTTTTTTGGTTGTGTCTCTGCCAGGCTTTGGTATCAGGATGATGCTGGTCTCATAAAATGAGTTAGGGAGGATTCCCTCTTTTTCTATTGATTGGAAGAGTTTCAGAAGGAATGGTACCAGTTCCTCCTTGTACCTCTGGTAGAATTTGGCTGTGAATCCATCTGGTCCTGGACTCTTTTTGGTTGGTAGGCTATTGATTATTGCCACAATTTCAGCTCCTGTTATTGGTCTATTCAGAGATTCAACTTCTTCCTGGTTTAGTCTTGGGAGGGTGTATGTGTCCAGGAATTTATCCATTTCTTCTAGATTTTCTAGTTTATTTGCGGAGAGGTGTTTGTAGTATTCTCTGATGGTAGTTTGTATTTCTGTGGGATCGGTGGTGATATCCCCTTTATCATTTTTTATTGCATCTATTTGATTCTTCTCTCTTTTCTTCTTTATTAGTCTTGCTAGCGGTCTATCAATATTGTTGATCTGTTCAAAAAACCAGCTCCTGGATTCATTAATTTTTTGAAGGGTTTTTTGTGTCTCTATTTCCTTCAGTTCTGCTCTGATTTTAGTTATTTCTTGCCTTCTGCTAGCTTTTGAATGTGTTTGCTCTTGCTTCTCTAGTTCTTTTAATTGTGATGTTAGGGTGTCAATTTTGGATCTTTCCTGCTTTCTCTTGTGGGCATTTAGTGCTATAAATTTCCCTCTACACACTGCTTTAAATGTGTCCCAGAGATTCTGGTATGTTGTGTCTTTGTTCTCGTTGGTTTCAAAGAACATCTTTATTTCTGCCTTCATTTAGTTATGTACCCAGTAGTCATTCAGGAGCAGGTTGTTTTGTTTCCATGTAGTGGAGCAGTTTTGAGTGAGTTTCTTAATCCTGAGTTCTAGTTTGATTGCACTGTGGTCTGAGAGACAGTTTGTTATAATTTCTGATCTTTTACATTTGCTGAGGAGTGCTTTACTTCCAACTATGTGGTTAATTTTGGAATAGGTGTGGTGTGGTGCTGAAAAAAATGTATATTCTGTTGATTTGGGGTGGAGAGTTCTGCAGATGTCTATTCGGTCTGCTTGGTGCAGAGCTGAGTTCAATTCCTGGGTATCCTTATTAACTTTCTGTCTCGTTGATCTGTCTAATGTTGACAGTGGGGTGTTAAAGTCTCCCATTATTATTGTGTGGGAGTCTAAGTCTCTTTGTAGGTCACTCAGGACTTCCTTTATGAATCTGGGTGCTCCTGTATTGGGTGCATATATATTTAGGATAGTGAGCTCTTCTTGTTGAATTGATCCCTTTACCATTATGTAATGGCCTTCTTTGTCTCTTTTGATCTTTGCTGGTTTAAAGTCTGTTTTATCAGAGACTAGGATTGCAACCCCTGCCTTTTTTTGTTTTCCATTTGCTTGGTAGATCTTCCTCCATCCTTTTATTTTGAGCCTATGTGTGTCTGTCTCTGCACGTGAGATGGGTCTCCTGAATACAGCACACTGATGGGTCTTGACTCTTTATCCAATTTGCCAGTCTGTGTCTTTTAATTGGAGCATTTAGTCCATTTACATTTAAAGTTAATATTGTTATGTGTGACTTTGATCCTGTCTTTATGATGTTAGCTGATTATTTTGCTTGTTAGTTGATGCAGTTTTTTCCTAGCCTCAATGTAGACCATAATTTGTAATTATATCTTACATATAAGGAGAGAGAGAAAATGTGATCCTTTGGAGGCAAGACATTTGTAATTCAACAGGGAAAAGAGTAAGAATGCCGAACTAGGTAGGAAAAGGAAGAGAAGGATGCATATCTAGAATACAAAGCCACAACTCTGATTGGGTGATATTCAGGATCAATAATGATTGGCATGGTTCAGCCATCAGTTAAGCAGGGTGGGTGCTGGCTCTTCCACCTCCCTAGTGTGTCCCACTAATTGCCAGCCCTGACTTCACATGACAGAGAAGGGCTAGAATTGGCCCCATGCCTTAGAAAGAGCACCGGAAAAGAGGCAGAAAAATTGTATTTTAGTTTCACTCTACCAACAACTGGTCATGGGACTTCAGACAAACCCCTTGGCTTCTCCCAGCCTGTTTCCACCTGGGGATTACTACATTTGTTTCTCTTGCTGTAACATTTTGAAGACCAGGTGGGATTCCATGTGTGCGAGTGTTCTGCAAGCTGTAAGGGACAGTGCTCTGTTCTGTCAAAGTAGAATTCAAACTTATCCTAGGGTGTGGGCAGAGAGGGGAGTGAGAGATAGTTTGCTCTTTCCAAGTATGAAAACCCTTAAATGTATCTATTCTAAAATTGGAAAAAAGAAAAGAAACATTGCATGGGAAATTAAAACATTGTATAGGAGAGCACTCCTGGGAAACATTGAACAGGAACATTTTGATCAGTGTTTTCGTAATGTTATAACCGGTTTAATTAAATTTTCTCAGGACTCAAGGTTTTATCATGAGAACTTTCTCCATGCCAACATTTGATGATCATCTTTCTTTAATGTATGAACATTTAAGTAATGCATATTTGCACCTAGTATAAGACAGTAAAAGCTCCTTTGAAGTTTGAGGGGCTTGTGGTGTGCCATTTCACCACTGTGGGTCTACATTTGTCCTCATGGACTGTGGCGGAATGTATGGTGAACAAGGACAGGCCTCAGGACATACTTGGAAGTAATTATTATTGCTTTTATTTTTATTTTTTATTTTCTATTTTATTTTATTTTGAGACAGAGTCTTGCTCTGTTTCCCCAGGCTGGAGCGCAATGGCACTGTCTTGCCTCACTGCAACCTCTGCTTCCCTGGTTCAAGTGATTCTCCTGCCTCAGCCTCCCAAGTAGCTGGGATTACAGGCACCTGCCACCACGCCTGGCTAAGTTTTGTATTTGTAGTAGAGATGGGGTTTGCCATGTTGATCAGGCTGGTCTCTAGCTCCTGTCCACAGTTGACCCACCCACCTTGGCCTCCCAAAATGATGGGATTATAGGCATGAGATACTGTGCCTGGCCATATTGTTTTTCTTTTCTTTTCTTTTTTTTTTTTTTTTTGAGACAAAGTCTCACTCTGTTGCCCAGGCTGGAGTGCAGTGGTGTAATTATGGCTCACTACAGCCTCAAGTTCCCTGGGCTCAGGTGTTTCTCCCACCTTAGCCTCCCTGAGTAGGTGGGACTACAAGTGTGCACATGTGTGGCTAATTTTTGTATTTTTGTAAATATAGGGTTTTGCTATGTTGCCCAGGCTGTTCTTGAACTCCTAGCCTCAAGTGATCTGCCCTCCTCAGCCTCCCAAAGTGCTGGGATTACAGATGTGAGCCACTGCGCCTGGTCTATTCTGGCCTATTTTCTTCTTCTTCTTCTTTTCTTCTTCTTCTCCTTGTCCTTCTTCTCCTGCTCCCTCTCCTTCTCCTCCTCCTCCTCCTCCTTCTTCCTCTTCTTCTTCCTCTTCTTTATCCTCTTCCTGTTCTTCTTCATTTTGCAAATTTTATTTTATTTTTTGAGACGGAGTCTCACTCTTTCACCCAGGCTGGAGTACAGTGGGCTGATCTGAGCTCACTGCAACCTCCACCTCCCAGGTTCAAGCGATTCTCCTGCCTCAGCTTCCCGAGTAGCTGGGATTACAGGGGTGCGCCACCATGCCCAGCTAATTTTTTTTTTTTAACATTTCTTCAGTCTTCTAAAAGTAGAGTGAGCTTCAAATCAGTTGAGTTGTATTTCTTCAAGATTTTATAGTAATATAAACATTATATATGTGTATATATGTCTATTATATGTCTATTAACTGCCAGCCCTGGCTTCACATGACAGAGAAGGGCTAGAATTGGCCCCATGCCTTAGAAAGAGCACCAGAAAAGGGCAGAAAAATTGTATTTTAGTTTCACTCTACCAACAACTGGTCATGGGACTTCAGACAAACCCCTTGGCTTCTCCCAGCCTGTTTCTGCCTGGGGATTACTACATTTGTTTCTCTTGCTATAACATTTTGAAGACCAGGTGGGATTCCATGTGTGCATACATACACATGCATATATACACATATATGTGTGTATATGTCTATGTACACATATATGATTTTAATATATGCATAGATATATTTTGCTCTTTTTGATTTTTTTCTCTGAATATGAGAAATATTGTACGGAAAAATATTTTTTTAAACTTTATTAATTTTTTTAAATATATTTTTTTGTAGAGACATGGTCTCATTATGTTGCCCAGGCTGGTCTAGAACTCCTGACCACAGCAATCCTCTTCCCTGAGCCTCCTAAAGTGATGGGATTACAAGTGTGAGCCACTGTGACTAGCCTATGGAACAATCTTGATCAGTATTTCTGCAATGTTGTATAGAGCAATCTACAGATCAATATCTATACAATTTTATTTATAGTGATATATACAATGAAAGATACATATATGTATCTTTCAGTTCAGTGTTCTCTGGAACCATATAACCATGTGTACCAGTGGTTTGACAAGTTAGGGGTTTCTTTGTCTTGAGTTATAAGCCAGCTGGGGTGGGCAGTCAGGGGCTGGTACAGCCTTGAGTGCTGCCAGGTCCCTGGGCTCTTCCTCCTGGGCTGTTCTTAGTGACAACTGCTGTGTCTCAGTTATCACTCACCTGTTCCCACAGAAGAAGGGAAAAGTGGAGGAGGCAGTACCTGTTTCCTCTAGAGGATGTCCTATTGGCCAAACGGAGTCACCTGGCCTATTCCAGTTAACGTGATTTTGAGAAGGCAGATTTTAGATTTTCCAGGCTATATGGGAGAGGAAGACAGGTGAGAGGAGGGTGGAGTGAGTGCTGAATGACTCCCGTCATATCGACCACACCAGTCATGTTCACACGGTTGCCCTAGTACGCAGAAAATACAGAACTGTTTTGTTTTGTTTTGTTTTTGAGATGGAGTCTTGCTCTGCCACCCAGGCTGGAGTTCAGTAGTGCAATCTTGGCTCACTGCAACCTCCACCTCCCGGGTTCAAGCGATTCTCCTGTCTCAGTCTCCCTGAGTATCTGGGACTACAAGTGCCTGCCACCATGCCTGGCAAATTTTTGTATTTTTAGTAGAGATGGGGTTTCTCCATGTTGGCCAGGCTGGTCTCAAACACCTGACCTCAGGTGATCTGCCCACCTCGGCCTCCCAAAATGCTAGGATTATAGGCGTGAGCCACTGCGCCTGGCCCAGAACTGTTTTTTTCTGACCAGTATTAGCAACTATTCTAAGCACTCTGTAGCATTAGTTTTTCTGATTCTTTTTGTTGGGATTTTAAAGAGGCTCAGTAAATAGCACCTCTTTCCCCACCTTGAGTTCTGAGTTAATTGAGAAATATGACAAAGGGAGCACATGGAGGCCAAAATATCACTTTTAAAAACCGATAGAAGTGAGGTTGCAGAATGTAGCTCATATCTTTGTGCAAGTGGACTTTCTAATAAAAGCAGAAATAAATAGGCTTGGCCATCTAGCCATGGGCAATGCTGGACCCAAGCAGTGTGCCTGCCTGGGGTCTCCCATGTGGAGTAGGGGGTGGCGGTGGTGTCTCGGTGGTACTTATGCCAGGAATGAGCAGGACTAAAGTTTCACTCCCTGCGTGCATACTTACTCCCAAGAGGCAAAAAAGAGGAGCTGTGCTGAGCATGCCCGGTTTATTCCAAATTCATCAGTCACATTAATCCCCTTCTTCCTTCCTGAGGAGGAGCAGTGGCGGCAGAGAGAAGGTAAGAAAGGAGACATTGAGAGTGGGAATACACATTGCCTCCTAAGACTTGTAACCCATTTTAAAATGCTGCTTTAATTTTGCTTGTCTTGTTTACAATGTGTTTACCTCTGTAAACCACAAAAAATCCTTTTTGGAAGTAGTGTCTGTGCAAATCATGAATAAATAAAAAATAATCTCCACTGAAAACTAACATGAGGCTGAATGATGATTGAGGGATTTGAGGGGTTGATTCCAGGACACACAGATCACATTGAATGATGTGGCGCCATGAGTGGAAGACCACAGAGCATCAGCTTCTTGTTAGGATGCTCATGAGTTTTGTGTGTGTTTGAGACAGTTAATTTGTGCCACAGATATGTCTTCTGTACAACAGTAATGATTGAATTTTGATCAGCTGTGTGGTGGTCATTTTTGGCCTCTAAGACAAATTCATCTACCAGGCTGGGAAACAAACCCATTTTGGGTCTAACTGCAAAACAAAGGGTTTTAGTGCCTCACTGTGGAAAAGACAGTGGGTGCATATTGATTTATTCAGCCCACCCACAAATAACAGAGATCAGCCTTTTTAGTAGCATTTATGGTAGAGTTTTCAAATAGGGTTTTATTGATCTCTCCTCTCACATTGCTGTGAATTCTGTTATCTATGTGGTCTGAAACAGTCCTTCTGAAACCTGAATGTGTGTGAGACTCTCAGGGGATCTTGTCAAGATGCAGATTCTGTTTCTATAAACCTGGCTTTGAACTGAAAGTTTGTGTTTCTAATATGCTCCCAGGGGAGTCCATTGCTGCTAATCCAAGGGCCACATTTTGAGCAGCAAGGATCGAAAGACCAGAGATATTTGGCCCTTTTCAGTGGCAAGAAGTCTCTCTCTCTGGGTTTGGGGTTGGAGCCACTGTTGGTAAAATCAGGGGCTAATTGCAGTTCTACTTCATCAGGAAAAATATCTTACTGCATTTGTGAAAGTAGATGTCAGTTTTGGGTATTTCATAAACTGTGGCTACTTCTTAGAATTTCACAGTTGGGTGATATGATCACTAATAAGTTCAGTGAGAGAAATGATGTGAGATGAATGGTATCCATTTTGATATTCACCAAAAGAAGTGCCACTTTCTATTTTCTCCTGACTCAGAAGGCTCTGTGCAGTTGAGTTTCTCCCTTTTGGTAGAACTCTTGATATCGGAGGTGAGTCTGCAAGCCATGTAACCCCAGGTGAGCTCACCTTCTAAGGCCCCTTGGTGGGGAAAAAGCAATCAAATCCACACATTTGGCTCTGCTTTTTTCTTTAAAGACAATCTAGAAATGTTAGCAGTGAATTGGGAGTTTGGTGACAGACAAATGTAAGATCTATATTGAAAATCGTTTTGGAGAATAAGGATCAGAAGTTTTTCCATTGCAAAGACTTGATCATACGGAGAAGGGGGCATACTGGCCTGGTTGGCTGAGGTTCTCTCCAGGGGTACTATTCAAGCCAAGATGTTTCCTAGAGATCATCTCATTTAACCTCATTTGTGAAAATGATAATTTGGCAGGCAAGGAAGCCCAGATTCCAAAGGATGAAAGGATTTGGGCAAGAGAAAACAGTATGATAGTTCCTTAAAAAATTAAAAATAGAGTTATCATATGATCCAACAATCCCAATTCTGGTATAGATCCAAAATAATTGAAAGCAGAGTCTTGAAGAAATATTTACACTCCAGTGTTCATAGCAGCATATTCACAATAGCCAAGAGGCGGAAGCAAGCCAAGTGTTCATCAGCAGAAGGATAATCAATATGTGATATCTATATATCTATATAATATTATTCAGCCTTAAAAAGGAAGGAAAGTCTGACACACAACATGAATTAGCCTTGAGGATATTATGCTAAGTGAAAATAAGCTAGTGGCAAAAAGACAAATACTATATAGTTCCACTTATATGAGAGTCAAATTCATAGAAACAAAAAGTAGAATAGTTGTTGCCAGGGGCCAAGGGAAGGGGAAAATTGGGAGGGGGTTGTTCTTTAATGGATTTAGAGCTCTATTAATACTTTAGCAAAAGTTCTGAGAGATCTGTTGCACGATGATGTGAATATACTTAACACCACTGTATACATTTACACATGATTAAGATGATTTAAAAAATTAAGAGATCTGTCCAGGTTATACAGTCAAATTGCCTTGAGTCTGAATGGATATATGGACTATAAATCCATCTGAATTAAAAAAATAATTATGATACAAATGGAAATTCTAAAAAGTTCAAGTCCTTGAATGGTAAAGTCACTTCTCCCAGCCTATGCAGCATTCTAGCACATGTTAAATAATGTGAGTCTGTACTTCAGTTATGAGAATTGTTTTCTCAGGTGTGTGGGAATTTCAAGTCATTTCTTTTGGGCATAATTTTAAAAAGAAGAAATAGGGACTTGGGAAGAGAAAAATAAAGGGAAAGTGGATTTTAGAGTAGGCACGTTAAGATTAAAGCCTTCAGGGAGAGAAATGAAGGTGAAGAAACATACCTGTGGATTTGAGTTGTTCTACTGTGTGTTTCTGGGGAAAGAGATTGGAATACTTGGAGGTAGAGACTATGGGTTCATGTCAATGTGTTCTGCTGTGTTGGGTGCTCCTGCAGTAGCCAGTGCTTGCACCCTGTTTCCTGTGTTTTCAGTTTCCTTTTGCTGGAGAAAAAGAGATGGGGGTCCCACAGCTGCCCGATCCCCCTCTTCAACTACCATTGGCAATTTTACAATACTCAGGTGGTGCAGGTTCTTCACTTCAGTTCCTGTGGAAAACTTTGTAAGTTTCAAATCATTCTAAAACAGTGGTTTTCAATCAGGGATGATTTTGGCTCTCTGGAGACATTTGGCAATGTCTAGAGTAATTTTTATTGTCACAACTTGGAGAGGGTCTGAGGTATTTCATCGTGTTTAGGACAGGGATGTTGCTAAACATCCTACGATGTCCAGAAGAGCCCCCAGTATCCAATAATTATCCAATAAAGCATTGCCAATAGTGATGCTCTAAACTCTTTTTCATCTTAAACTTTCAAGTTACTCAATATCTTGAGTTCCTTATATCTTGGAACTAGAAGTCAAAAATCTCTAGATCATAGAATCAGAGAAGTATTGAATATATGGATGGAGGAGACTTAGGAAAAAGATCTTTGTAAGTAAGGAAGTCTTCTAACAAGCAAGGGATAGGAAGTAGAAATTAACTGTGTGTTACTCATTGCTACATTGTTGCTCAGTAGATACTGTAGTATCTATAATATACTGTGCTGTTAATAGTTTAGAGAAGTTACTATGGTGTGCTCCAGTGGATTATTTTTAGTGGGTGCAAAAATATTAGGGCTTTCATGGTTTCTTTAGTTAATTTAGTTCCCATCAGCTTAAAAAATTTAACCATGGGAATTTCCTGGACCATATTATTGGAATTGGGAATACTGTAATCCTTGAAGAGGGAATGATGTAATTTTGTGTGTGTGTGTGTGTGTGTGTGTGTGTGTGTGTGTGTGTGTTGATATTTTACCTCTCTTTTAGTTGTGGTGCCTTTAGGAAAAGAAAACATCAAGACAAGGAATTGTGGAAAATTAGAAAGCAGTTAATCAGCATTCTAAAGCAGAGCTCATCAATGAAGTAACTGGACATCAAGAGGAGCTGTAGGATAGATTTAATGAGGAGTTATAAGACCTAGAGTTTTTCTTAAAAACAAATGAGAGCTTAACTAAAATAAACAAATGGACAAAAAAACCCAACAACTGTGATATGGTTTCATAGGTGGAGGTCTAACAAGGACTATTTTTACAGAAAATATTTTTGAGTGTTTAAAATATGCCAGGCATTGTACTAAACACTTTATTTAATTTTTAAAATTGTAATTTGATAATTTATAACAGCATAAATTTATGGGTACAAAGTGATGTTATGATTTATGAATACAATGCAGACTAATTAACTCAGGCTAATGAACATATCTATCATTTCAAATACTTAACCTTTTTATGGTGAAAACCTTTGAAATTTACTTTTAACAATTGTGAAATGTACCACACTCTATTAACTATATTCACCATACTGTGGAATAGAAATTAAAAACATTTCTCCTCCCTGAAATTTTGTACCCTTTTAATCATCATCTCCCCACTTCCCCCATCCCGCAACCTCTGTAACCATCAGTCTACTCTCTGCTTCTATGAGTTTGATTGTTTTAGATTTCACAAGTGAACATGATTTCATAAGTGAGAATATGTGATATTTGTCTTTCTGTGCCTGGCTTATTTCACTTAGCATAATGTTCTCTAACACCATCCATGTTGTCAAAAATGACAGAATTTCCTTCTTTTTTTTAAGGTGGAATAGTTTTCTATATCCATTCATTTATTGATGGACACGGGCTAATTCCATAACTTGGTTATTGTGAATAGTGCTGCAGTGAACATGGGAATGCAAATATCTCCTTGACAAAGTGATTTCAAATCTTTGGTAACTCACTTTGGGTATTTTGGCAAACACCCTGCAGTGGGATTGCTGGATCATACGGTAATTCTATTTTTAGTTCTTTGAGAACCCTCCATACAGCTTTCCATAATGGCTGTACTAATTTACATTCCATTAGCAGTGTACAAGTTTTCCCCTTTCTCCACATCCTCATCAAAACTTGATGATAATAGCTGTTCTGACAGGTGTGAGTTGATCTCTCATTGTGGTTTTAATTTGCATTTCCCTAATTCTTTGCAATATTAAGCATTCTTTTCATGTCTGGTGGTCATTTGTATGTGTTCTTTTGAGAAATGTCTATTCAAGTCCCTTGCCTATTTTTTAATTGAATTTTTTGTTTTCTTGCTATTGAGGTATTTGAACTTGTATATTTTGAATGTATGGCTTGCAGATGTTTTCTTGCGATCTGTGGGCTGTCTGTGCACACTGTTAATTGTTTCCTTTGCTGTGCAGAAGCTTTTTATTTTGATGTAATCCCATTTGTCTACTTTTACTTTTGTTGCCTGCACTTTTGGGGTCATATTCAAAACATTATTCCTAAGATCAATGTCATGTAGTCTTTCCTCTATGGCATTTCCAATGTCATGTTTTTTTCTTGTAGTTTGTTACAGTTTCTTGTCTAAATATTATTTTGTTTTATCCTCAGAACAACTATGTAGTAGTTATCCTACTTCTCACATTTTATAGATGAGGAAATTGAAATTAAATAATATGCTGAAGGTCATCTAAAAAGTGACAAAACCACAATTCAGGTCTTCCTCCAAAGCCGAGGATCTAACCACTGGCGTTACAAAGAGGGGAGGGAGAAGTCCATAAACTTCTGGTGTGACTTTGGCTGAGTTTTTTATATTTTAACAAAGGAGTAAGGCTAGTGGTTTCTTAGATTCCTGTCGCCTCTTAAGTGTTCTAGTACTTTGGTTCTGTGCTTTGTTCAGTCCGACTTGATGTGGTCTTTTTCTGCAACTTGAGACTCAGGTCTCCAGAGGAGTCCTTGAGCCATTAGAAGCCCATCCCTTGAGCATGTTCTCCACCTCCCGGCGGCTTGAGAGATGTCGTAGGACAGCTGTCCCTGGGGAGTTAGGTAGTCCTTTTGCTCCTTTTTCCCAGCAGCTGTGTATTACCTGATGGTAAATTCAGAGTCTACTTCCCCTCTAGGGAATTATGACTGCTCGTTAAACTGTCACCCTGCAAAAACGCTAATCCTTGTTCCCTAATATAACTTAGAAAGACAGGGGCAGGTTACCCCTGCTTAAAAATAAAGAGCATATTTATGTAATTAATATTCTCAGCAGAATGAAATTATATAATATGCAAGTGTCTGAAATGGAATGGTACAGCTCCTGGCATTCTAGCATGTGGGAATTCTTAGCAATAATACTTTAATGAGTCTTGGTTTTGTCAGGTGTTTTCCTAATTTTTTCACTTTAAATTCTTACAAAGGTCATAGAAGTTTTAAGATACTTTTTTTTTTATAAAGAGAACTGAGAAATTTAAGTGAGTAAGACTGCATAGAGTAAGTCCCTGATCTTAGACTTCCTGGCTGTAAATCAATTTCTGATCAATGTGTAATGACGGACCAACAATCCTCATTTGCAGAATGTCTTTACATTTTTTTGGGAAAGATATTTGCTAGTATTTTGTCTAGAAATTTGCTTATGTCTCTGGTGTTTTATTTCAGCTGGAAAGGGAATGTGTCCTGATTTGAACTTCATTTTAATGGCTTTCCCTTAGATGGAGGACAGCAGCAACTTTTAACAAGATGAAAAATCTTCGTAGAGAAATCTGAAAAATTACCTATGAGAAAGACTTCCTTAAAGATATACATAAATCTAACAAAATGGTTCCAAAAGTTGGTTTTGCTGCTAAGATGTCTCCAGTTATTTTGTTATTGTTAAACTCTCAAAAGAAATTAGTTTGAATTTCTTCACTTAGGATTGGTGGAAGGCAGTGGTAGTGAATGCAAGTCATGAAGAGCGATGGGTAGTGTTACTCTAAATTGCTGGCTTCAGTTTTTTGGTTGTGCAAAGTTCTCCTCTGTACACACTTTCTTTCCTTTTAGGTTCTAGAGCCATTGTTGTCAGGGAGAGGTCTGCAGGGCCCTCACGTGGATTCTGGTGGGGCACTTATTTATTTACTTATATGAGACTCATACTATACTTTGGAAATTATTAATTTAGGACATAAACCTTGCAGATCATCCAGTTTTGTAGAAATGGTAAATTATACATAGATGACTAATGTGCAATTTGACACAAACTAGTCCACAATTACTGACATGACTTTGACCAGATCACGTAATCTTTCAGGACCTCAGTTCCTTTTCTGTAAAATGTTTGACCCATGTCTGCTCAGATGGTTTCTAATCTAAGCTGTGATTTTTTTGAAAGCTTGCTTAGGGTTAGGAAGAGTGGGAGAGGGGAGTTGCTATACCGTATATACTGTATTTCTGAAACTAACGTTAAGAAGTTGCTCCTGATCCCCAAGGGCTTTAAAATCTAGTTTTAGGGTTTCTTTAACACCATTTATTCTGGATAATTTAAGGTTATCTGTGAGCTTCGTGACCTCCAGCAAGTTACTCGACAACTCTGGGTTTCAGTTTTTGCATTTGTAAATTGATGGACTCGAATGAGAGGGGTTGCAAAGGGTCTTCTCAAAACTATACTCTGGTTTCTTCTAAACCTACTGTGGCCTAGATCCAGATGCTAGCATACTCGAAGTAGTTGTTTGTTAAGAGAGTGGCCCCTGGGGTCCAGCTGCCTCGGTTTGAATTCCCACTTTGTCCTGGCCAGTGGTGCAAACTGGGGCAGCTTCTGTGGCCTCTCTGTGCCCAGTCCTGCCTCTGTTAATGCAGGGATCATGTGGGCCAATGCCCAGGATGCACTTAAAACACAGCCTGGCCTGGCACATGGTTAAACACTAAAAAATGTGGGCTGTCATTACTTTTAAAATTTAATTCCGTTCAGGAAGAGAGTGGTGTTAGCTTTCATTTTAGCGGGCAGGGTACAGCTCTTCTTGTGGCTTTTCTGAGCGGGTTGCCTGCCTCACACAGTAAGCTTGCTCAGCCCGTCCATGTTGACGACTCTTGCTTGGGTGCTGTGTATTTGGTTGACCCTGAGCCAAGAGGCATAAGAAATGTGGGCTTCATTACACCAGAGTGTTCTTGGCTGGGCTGAGCCTCTCCATTAGGCATCCACCCCATTCCCCATAGCGATGAATGGAATCTCTGCTTCCTTGTGTCTGGAGAGTCTGTTGAGAGCTCCCCTACGAAGCAAAGAGTGACACGGGAGAAAGAAGACGAAGCTTTCAGGTTATAAATAGCTTCCTCACAAGATGCTCTTGCTATGGGCTTCTGGTAATTACGACAGGCGCTGTTGGTTATAATCAAGTTTAATTGCTGAGGAGCGTAGGGAGGTAGCCCCAAACACGTAAGCTCACGGGCTATCTTTATGCTTTCTCTATCCAGTTCTGGACCTTAAAATCTCTGATTATGTCTCCAACCAGCAAGATCTGGTTGTGTATGGGAGTAACTCCAGAGCCCTTTGTGGTTCCTGGAGTGGGTCTGGAACTTTCATGGATAGTCTGCCTGCTGAGACGTTGGCTCATGCACTTTACTGCATGTGGGAAGGTGGGATGGATTGAATAAAGGAGCAGAGAGCCAATGCCCTGGAAATGCAGATATGGGCCTTTTTGCCTAACTTCTCTCATAGAGGCACAGTCTGTGTTCGTGGGTGTGCATGTGAATGTCTGTGTACTGTGTTTGGGGATGTAGACCGAAACAAAAAACCAGCAGAAGACATGGCCACAAAGCATTTTCAGGGGTTGTTTCATAGTGTCTTCCAGAAATGTGACCCAATCTTGCTGCAGCTGAGCAGGAAATTTTAGATTTCTTTTAATTCTTGTTTATCCAAGGTCAAATTATACTTTGTAAATTATTATTAAAGTCTCTTGTTCTTCCTTCTCTAACTGCAGTGAGTTTATTGTCTATTGATGCTCCATTCAGAGTTTGTATGGGCAAAGAAAGGAAATTAAGACCTCATTAATTGATTTTTCTACTTAATTACTTTTATAAAATATTTTGCCTGAAAAGTTGAAAGTGATGTCTGAAATAAAGTTTGGATTCCTGAAATTGGCCAACATCACTCACGCCATGATATCACATACTTGCTGAGTGGTCAGTGTTTGTTAGAATTTGGCTTTCTTCTGTCTTTACTGTGGGAGCTGGAACGGCACTCCTCCAGCTTCCTTTCTGTCCACTTTTAGGCCTCAGGCTATGATAATAGCTTTAAAGTGGCTAAGAAGACCTCTGTAGGCTCCGCTTCTTACCCTCACTCCTCCACCATCTTGCTTTGCCCTGCTGCTTATGCCCACTGCCTGGGACCTGGCTTCCTTCTCCCAGCCCAGTCCCTGCAGATGCTAGTGCACTATTTCCTTGGATCTTAGCTGCGACTTTTGCAGGATGCTGTGGTTTGATCTCCATTGGCTCTACCCTCCAGCATGGCCAGTTCCACTAAATGCGGTGCCTCCTCAAGCTCTCAGAACCCCCACCTGGGCCTGGGGCACTGGAACCTTTTTGTCCTGGCATGGAAATCAGATGTTTAAGCCATGCACTGGTGCTTTGCTGTACACAGCTATAATTCTCAGTGGGGGTTATCTTGCCTCTGTAGCTGGAGAACTCACTGGGTTAGGCATAGTCCAGTGTTAGTGAGACTTGTGATCATGACCATGAGTTATGTGTGAGTCATTCACCATTGTTGTGCTCCATATTCCCCTGCTCTCGTCTTGTCTTGTCAGCTTGCAAATGATGCTACCGATCTCCAGGAGGCAGGTAATAGAGCAATGCTCACCCATCCTAGCAAAGAACAAAACACAACCAAAGCAAAAAAAGTACTCCTTCCTTTTCCCCTCCTCACAAAACACACACACACACACACACACCACACTCCTTAGATCGGTAGCTGTATTTCCATACATGAAAGATAGCATAATAATAATAATCATAATCATAATAATAATAAAGTTGGCATAATAATGATGATATGGTAATTATAATAATCATCTTGTAAGTAGCCTTGGGGAGTCAGGGTGCTTAAATGTTCTAACCAAGCTGCTTTTAAATGACTCAAAGGATTCTAAATCTTTTCAAATTTTCTTTTGGAAAATTTGACTATATTCTAATGACTTACTTGTCCTTCTTTCTTTTTAAAATTTAGGTGCCATACAAAACATTTGCACATTTCATTGGCAATTGTATTTAAGTTAAAAAAGAAATATTTGTTTTCCTCTTCAGTGATGATATCTTTTCAGATACTTAAAAGATAAATTGTCACTCTATCTGAGTTACTAGGCTAAAAATACATGTTGATTATTGTGCATTTTTATTAATCTGTTGATTTCAGATTATGCTGGTTCAATTTTGAACCTTTAAGCTTGTCTTGCTTTAAGAAAAACTGATAGATAAAAATGAAAACTTAAAATACATACTTTTTTGGGGGAGGAAAGGTAAACTTTTTACATTGTAACAAAGTCTTTTGCTTTATTATGAATTCTTTTATTTATTTATTTATTTTGAGACAGAGTTGCTCTCTTGTCCAGGCTGGAGTGCAATGGTGCTATCTCAGCTTACTGCAACCTCTTCCTCCTAGGTTCAAGTGATTCTCCTGCCTCAGCCTCCCGAGTAGCTGGGATTATGGGCGCCCACCACCATGCCTGGCTAATTTTGTATTTTTAGTAGAGACGGGATTTCATCATGTTGGTCAGGCTGGTCTCAAACTCCTGACCTCAGGTGATCCACCTGCCTCGGCCTCCCAAAGTGCTGGGATTACAGGCATGAGCCACCACGCCTGGGTCCTTTAGTTATGATTATCAAAATTTAGACTTGGTATGTAGCTTTCAGGAGAATATTTATCCATTAAAATCTCACACATCATGGCGATTCTTTAAAGACTTAAAGACAGAAATACCATTTGACCCGGCAATCTCATTACTGGGTATAAACTCAAAAGAATATGAATTGTTCTATTATAAAGACAAATGCACTTGTTCGTTCATTGCAGCACTATTCACAATAGCAAAGATGTGGAATCAACTTAAATGTCCATCAATGATAGACTGGATAAAGAAAATGTGGTACATACACACCATGGAATACTATGCAGCCATAAAAAAGAACAAAATCATGTCCTTTGCAGGAACGTGGATGGAGCTGGAGGCCATTATCCTTAGCAAACTAACACAGGATTAGAAAACCAATTAGCACATGTTCTCACTTATAAGTGGGAGCTAAACAATGAGAACACATGGACATAGTAACAACACACACTGGGGCCTTTTGGAGGGTGAAGTGTGGGAGGAGGGAGAAGATCAGGAAAAACAACCAATGGATACTAGGCTTAATACCTGGGTGATGAAATAATCTGTACAACAAACTTCCATGACACAAGTTTACCTGTGTAACAAACCTGCACATGTACTCCTGAACCTAAAATAAAAGTAAAAAAAAAAAAAAGCTTTCATTACAAAAAAAAAGAAACCTCGCACATCTATTCACAATAGCCAAGACATGGAAACAACTAAGTGTTCATCAATGGATGAATGGATTTTAAAATGTGGGACAGTGTATAAATACACAATGAAATGCTATGCAGCCTTAAAAACCAGGAAATTCTGAGCTGGGCGCGGTGGCTCAAGCCTGTAATCCCAGCACTTTGGGAGGCTGAGGCAGGCGGATCACCAGGTCAGGAGATCGAGACCATCCTGGCTAACATGGTGAAACCCCGTCTCTACTAAAAATACAAAAAATTACCTGGGCGTGGTGGCGAGTGCCTGTAGTCCCAGCTACTCGGGAGGCTGAGGCAGGAGAATGGCATGAACCCGGGAGGCAGAGTTTGCAGTGAGCCGAGATCGCACCACTGCTCCAGCCTGGGCGACAGACCGAGACTTCGTCTCAAAAAACAAACAAACAAACAAACAAAAAACAGGAAATTCTGTCATTTGCGACAACACGGATGAACCTAGAGGACGTTACATTAAGTGAAATAAGCCAGGTAAAGAGAAACACATACTACATGAGCTCACTTAAATATGGAATCTAAAAAAGTCAAACTCATAGCAGTAGAGAATAGAGTGTGGTTTCAGAGGCTGTGCGGGAGAGGGCCAGAAGTGGATGGGGAAAAGGGAGGCGCTGGTTAACGGATACAAAACTTCGATTAAACAGAAGGAATAAGTTTTGGTGTCTGATTGCACAGCTCGATGACTGTAGTTAATAATAATGTATTGTATATCTGAAAATAACAAAAAGAAAGGATTTTAAATGTCTTACCACAAAGAAATGATAAATATTTGAGGCAATAGGTATGCGAATTATCCTTACTTAATCATTCCACAATGTGTACATCCATTGAAACATCACATTGTACCCATACATGTATACAATTATTATGTCAATTAAAAATAAAATAAAATGTAAAAAACCCCCTCACACATGTATATTCTAATTCCAGATGTTTATTTCTCACTGATCACAGATGTGGCCAGTAAATGGTTCTCTCTGTGTTTTGAGTTTCCGTTGCCCTGTAGTACAGTTTGAAATTGGGTAATATGATGCCTCCAGCTTTATTCTTTTTGCTTAGGATTGCCTTGGCTAATCGAGCTCTTTTTTGGTTCCATATGAATTTTAAAGTGGTTTTTTCTGGTTCTGTGAAGAATGTCATTGGTAGTTTGATAGGAATAGCATTGAATCTGTAAATTGCTTGGGCAGTATTAGCCAAGATTTTCTAATTAACTTCTGTTTTCCCACTCTACATCATGTTTATTGTTTCTTTGTTAAATGCATAGAATGTGTTCAAGGTTTGTCCAGAAGCTCCCGAGGTCTTATGCTTCTGAGTTGCACAATTGTCTGCCATGCAAATAAATATAAGACCTTGAGACATAGGCACCAGCTCTTCAGTGAGTTTGATATTAATAAACTGGAGCCAAGGTTTGATATTCTGTAAAGGGAGGTGGGTGAGACAGTGGGAAGGGAGTGGAGGTGGATCTGGAAGCCTGAGCCTGGATGTTAGGCTTGCTCCTGCACGTGTTCCTCTGCGGTCTTGAGCCACTCAGCTGTTCTGGTTCATCTTGTTAATTTAGGCATAATAACTTCTACTCCACCTATGTTATACACGTGGAGATAAGATGTAACAAGATCAATGGCTACAGTGTACTTTCATTCAGCAAAGATGATATACACATGCTCTGTGTTAAATGCCGGGTCCTAGCAGGAAGCAGGACTGCCTTGTTGGAACTTAGACTCTTATGTGAAGACAAACAATAAACAAGTAAACAATAAGGAATTACAAACCAAGGCAAGTGCTATAAATCAAGGAAACTATATATTGCATTTGGGGAGGGGTGCTTAAATAGGAAGATCATTAAGAGGAATTGATGTGTAAGCCAAGGCTTAAAGGATGCTTGAGAACTGTAATGTGTAATGTGTAATGTTAGTTCACGATTCTGATATCAAAAACCCTAGAGTGGAAGTTTACACATGTGTGAACATCATAATCATCTCAGGCACATCCTTCAAATTGCAGATTCATGGACCTTCCTCTGGCGGGGGTTGGGGGAGTCTAATTTAGTAGTACTGTGGTCAGGCTCTAGAATCTAGAATCTGCATTTTTTAAAAGCATCCAGATGATCCTGTTGATCTGTTAAGTTTGGAAACTATTGTCTTGGAGAAATCCTAGTGAGAAACAAGAGTTTCCTTTCAAAGGAATGACTATGGCTTAGTCTTCCTTAATTATGCTTCTCATCTGCCACGCTTTGCTTCTTACACCACCTTCACGATTTGGAAACTTCTGTGATCTAGGACCCTGAGCCTCCCCAACGCTGCTATGGGACTTGTTCCCTTTTTCCCAGCAGGTGTATTATATGAAGAGAAACTTCCAGACGCTGTTAAGTGGGAGAAGGGGCTGTATTTCTAGTGCATATATTGGAATTCTGGTGTATACCATTGTATGTTGAGTTGACTGCTGTGGCCTGGTTTGGCAATCTAAGTCTTTTTGTAATTTTATACCCGCAGGAAAAATGTTTGGAATTCCATAAAAGTAGGCATGAAGAATTCTCCCACCATAATTCATTGTATCTTTGCCCTCTGCCTAGTTTTAATATAACTTTAATATGCTTTGTGTACATATTTAATATATTTAATGTAATTGAGTGGTTTCAAATTGAGTGGTTTCTTGAGTGGAACTAGAAGTAGCTCTTATCTTGGGATCATAGGTTCTACCGAAGCCTATTTGAGTCTTGGGGAAAAGGAACCGAAGCTGCTTCCTCTCTTCTCTCTCCCTCCTGGGGGATTTCAGGGGATTCAGTAGCAATTTATTTGAGAACATTAGAGTGGCCATTGGGATTTCCCTGTGAGAGTTTTTGGTTTGTTTTAGAAATCCTCCTTTGCTCCAAGCTATGTTTTAAAAATGTCCAGTAGGCTAGTGGCTGGCAGGGTGTGGCTCGTGTCAAACAATCTTTTGGAACACAGCCTGTCACCTTCTGCTTCAATGGAGAATGGCCTGAATAGTGATTCTTAGTTATCTTGGATGTGCACTCCATTGCTTTTTATGCTCAATCATTGCTGCCTGTAGGACCACCCCAACCTGAATGATGACTGTCATTCTCTGATAAGAGGAAGGAGTTAACACCTGGTTTGTGAACATATTTATCTTAATAAATCACAGGGAGTTGTTAGAGCTCACCCTTTTCTTTCATCCAGGAGAATCCAGAAGTGTCAAGGTTTCTCTGGCAGGAGCCCGGCCTGCAGGTTGGGTGAGAAACTCACGAATAGGACTCTGACATGTGTGTTCAACTCTCCCTTGGAATGTCTCACTTTTATTTCAGCACAATTCCCATGTTCACCTCTGAGGTGTAAGGTGGAGTGGGTAGCCTCCTGCTTGGTGTGCTAATAACCAAAACAGATTACCAATCACCTTCCCTTTGTTTTCCTTGGCATGCTGAAAAAGGCATACAAAAATACTAATATGAGCATCAGAGAAATAAATAAACTCAGAAAATACAAGAAGCAGCTGGGCACGGTGGCTCATGCCTGTAATCCCAGCACTTTGGGAGGCCAAGGTGGGCGGATCACCTGAGGTCAGGAGTTTGAGAACAGCCTGGGCAACATGGTGAAACCCCGCCTCTACTAAAAATATAAAAATTAGTCAGGGGTGTGGTGGCCTGTGCCTGTAATCCAAGCTACTTGGGAGGCTGAGGCAGGAGAATTGCTTGAACTCGGAAGGTGGAGGTTGCAGTGAGCCGAGATTGTGCCACTGTACTACAGCCTGGGTGACAGAGTGAGTGAGACTCCTTCTAAAAACAAAAAAACAAAAACAATAAAAAAGAAATACAAAAAGCTTAGAACTTGGGTAATTTTTAAGGTATAGATTTTAGATTTTAGCAAAAATGTCTTGCTTCTAGGACTGGTTTTATCTTATGCCCTTTCTTGAGAATTCTAATGTCTAGTCTCAGAGGACAGTGAAAAACTCACATATATCTAGTCAGACTTAACTTTTGCATGGTCTCTCGCTTGCTCCCACAAGGAAGGCAACTCTTTCCTAACCTGCTTTTCCTATAGTTAGAATTCTTATTTTTCAAGATTTTTTCTTGGCTGCTGTTTCAGATTTCTTCCTCTCCTTTCCCTCTCCCCAGTGGTGAGGTGAGGAAGGGGGTGTGGAACTCAAACTTTATTTTATTTTTTAGAGACAGAGTCTTGCTCTGTCACCCAGGCTGCAGTGCTGTGGCATGATCATAGCTCACTGCAGCCTCAAACTCTGGGGCTCAAGCGACCCTCTGGCTTCAGTGTAATTTTTCAGTTTTGTGGAGACAGAATCTTGCTATGTTGCCCAGGTGGTCTTGAACTCCTGGCCTAAGCAGTTTTTCCACCATGGCCTCCCAAAGTGTTGGGATTACATGTGTGAGGCACCACACCCAGCCATACACTTTAGTGAGTTTCAGAATCACATAAAGGGCTTGTTCAAACCCAGATTGCTGGGCTCCACCCCTAAGAAGGTAGAGGGGAGCTGAGAATTTGCATTTCTAAAAAGGGTCCAGTGACGCTATGCTAATATCCCTGGTTTGGTAACAAGGCTCCGTGTTTTTTTGTTTTTTTTTGAGACAGAGTGCAGTGGCGTGATCTCAGCTCACAAGCGATTCTCCTGCCTTAGCCTCTCGAGTAGCTGGGATTACAGGAACCCGGCACCATGCCGGGCTAATTTTTGTTTTTTGAGACAGAGTCTCAGTCTGTCACCCAGGCTAGATGGTAGTGGCGCAGTCTTGGCTCACGGCAACCTCTGCCTCCCAGGTTCAAGTGATTCTCCTGCCTCAGCCTCCTGAGTAGTTGGGATTGCAAGTGTATGCCACCATGCCCAGAAAATTTTTTGTATTTTTAGTAGAGATGGGGTTTCACCATGTTGGCCAGGCTGGTCTTGAACTCTCAACCTCAGATGATCCACCCGCCTTGGCCTCCCAAAGTGCTGGGATTACAGGTGTGAGCTACTGCGCCTGGCCAATTTTTTGTGTTTTTAGTAGAGACGGGATTTCACCATGTCTCCCAGGCTGATCTGGGATTACAGCTTTGAGACACTGCGCCCAGCCAATAATACTGTATGTTCTATAGAACATGATGTTCACAGACTTCATTCATTGGTTCATTAATTAATTCATTCAACAAATATTTACTCATTCCTGCTGTTCTCAGACAGTGCTGTGGGTGCTAGAGGTTATGCTGATGCACAAGATGAAGTTCTCGCCTCTGGGAGCCTCTGTGCTGGTGCAAGAGGCAGACATATATCATGTAATGTTTGTCTGGTATAAGGGCTATGAAGAAAAAGCAAATAAAGTAGGTCTCTTTGTAGGAGAGTGGTGGCTAGGGAGGATTTCTTTGAGGAGATGAGGCCTCCAGGCAGAGGAGTGGCAGGGGTAAAGGCCTGAGGTAGGAAAATGTTTGGTGTGTTGGAGCCTCAGCAGGAAGAGGCTGGTCTTACTGGGAGTTGAGGGAGGGAGAGTGGTCAGAGCAGGCGGCACAATGTTGGTAAGAGTCACACACACAAATATTCCTGTGACCAGATACGTTCAGGAAATATTCGTTTCAACAACACTAAAACTTTTTTTTTTTTTTTTTAGTGTTTTTTTGAAATAGGGTCTTGCTCTGTTGCTCAGGCTACAGAGCAAGCTTAAGTGCAATCCCAGCTCACTGCAGCCTTGACTTCCGGGGTTCAAGCGATCCTCCCACCTCCGCCTCCCGAGTAGCTGGGACTGCAGGCATGCGCCACCACGCCTGGCTAATTCGGTTCATTATTTTTGTAGAGATGAGGTCTCACTATGTTGCCCAGACTGGTCTTGAACTCCTGGACTCAAGCGATCCTCCCACCTCGGCCTCCCAAAGTGCTGGGATTACAGGTATGAGCCACTGTGCCCAGCCCACATTAAACGTTTTTCTTTATTGAAGAATTTTCTAAGCCCTTTTATCGTGCTGATCCCCATTATTAATCTCCAGGAGAGAGATAAGGTATTTTTTTCTCAAATTTACGTGACCATGAAAATTTTACTCCCACAATCACCTCGTAGACTGATGTTCTTTGAAATGCATTTGGGAAATCTCAATCTAGCAAGTCCTACTCTCTCATTCTCTAACTGGGAAAACTGAGGAGCAGAGAAATAAAATAGGCTGTTCCAAATAATAAAGCTTGAGGCGACATGAGGTGGTGGAAGGAACACAGAGTTTGGAGGTGGAAGATGACGTTTGAGACTTTGCTCTTGCATTTTGTGAATGTGGGACCTGGCCTCTGTTGCCTGAACTCAGCGGGTCTTAGTTTGCTCAGCCAAAATGAGAGATTGCACTGTTTGCTCTCTGAGGATCCTGGAGTCACTCTGGGTGAGTGACTACTGATTTTTTTGACCAGGGAGCCTTGTGTCAGCTAAGCCAAAGGAAAGCACTGGGAGATGCACATAAATACATTCATCAAATACCATCATCTAGGTTATTTTTGCATTCAAATGAATATACTTCCCAGGCAAGTAATTAAAATAAAATCTGTCAGAGAATGTAAAACTCTAAATCATAAAATGTTCGTTAAAAAAAAAGAAGCAATGGAGAAAGACTAAGATCTATAGTAATGTACTTTGCTGTAAAATATTTTAGCATTGATTTCCATTTTTATGAAATTCATAGTTGATTTGAATACAAACAGTAAGTCTCATCACAGGTGAAACCTATCTTTTTCTTGTTTGCTTTCCGAGGAATTGTTGAGGAAATAATTAGGAAAAAAAAGACTCTTGGATTTTAGTTTTTTACTAGCTGTAAAAGCTACTTTGAGTTGATGTTTCTTTATCTATAGGAGGGATCCAAATATTCCTTAAGGTCTTTACAGCTCTACTAATTTAAGATATCTGTATTTGACAATTTTTGCCTTGAAGAGATGTTAGCAATAGAATCTTGGTCAAGGTGTGGCTGGGACCTGAGGGTTCTGAGGACTTAGGATGTGAGCTGTGTACAGGTAAGGTAAAGTCATGGTAAATAATTATGTTAAAGAGAAGATGCCAGTTGGGAGCTCTTTGGTGAGATTTTCCTAAGGAATTCTGCTGTTCCTGCAGAGCAGCAAAGTTTGGGATTGTTTAAAGAAAGAATGAGGGTGTGTAAGTTCCATTATTATCTGTTCACAAGTGTGGGTTCTCCTCATTCTGGGCCCAGGGTAGGAATGTACTTTCTGGCACCTTTGGCGTTGGATGGGGCCATGTGACCAATTGTGGCCAAACAGTCCCATGTAGTTCTGCAAGGTATATATCCAGGCTGGAACACTTAACTGCCAGGGGAACACCCTTTTCCTCTGTCAAAGGGGTGGCAACGTTCTGGTGCCATCAGCCTGGGTTCTGGAATCAGAAGTCATGGAGCAGATATCCCAGATGACTCTTGAATGGATTATGAATTGTGACCGAGGAATAAACCTTCGTGATTATAAACCCTAAGATATTTAAGACTGCTTGTTACTGCAGTGTAATGTAGCCTGTGCTGACTACTGGATTCAATAAGTTGAGAAATCCCAATGAATCAAAGGGAGAACAGCTATCTGGTAAATAATTATGTAAAAGAAAAGATGCCAGTTGGTATCCCTTTGGTGAGATTTTCCTAGGAATTCTGCTGTTCATATAGAGTAGCAAAGTTTAGAGACTTGGCTAAAGAATGAATGAATGAATGTGTTCCATTGTTATCTGTTCAAACTGGTATAAGCTATAAAGCACATCATGCAAGAGGCAGTATGCTAGTTTGGGCAGGCCTCTTCTCCTCCTCCTCCTCCTGGGAGGTCAAAGCTGCAGTGATTTGTGATTGTGCTACTGCATTCCAGGCTGAGTGACAGGGCAAGACCTTGTCTCAAAAAAAAAAAAAAAAAAAAAAAAAATTCAAGCGTCTGTGAATTTTCAAAATGTAAAATACCAAGGCTTTTCCGAATCAGATAAATCAGGAATGTTCACCTTTACATCCAAAAAAGAAAAATGACAAAAAGTTCAAGTAGAAGTTCAGCAGAATAATGTAAAATCTGAAATAGGTGACCAAAATTTCAAATTATCAACAGATAGTTCAATTTGGTGGATCTTTCAGTAAACTTTAGTTTGAAACAACAGCAAAAAATACCATTTACCAAAACATGAAAAATATTTTCAGGAAATTATTATCTAATTTGAAAAATAAAAAATGAAATCCATAGTAAATAAGAAAAATACAAAAAAGAAAATCAACCTTTGATATGGTTTGGCTGTGTCCCCACCCAAATCTCATCTTAAATTGTAGTTCCCCTAATCCCCACATGTTGTGGGACAGACCCAGTGGGAGGCAGTTGATCATTGGTTATCCTCATGCTGTTCTTGTGATAGTGAGTTCTCACAAGATCTGATGGTTTTATAAGGGGCTTTTCCCCCTTTTGCTCAGTACCTCTCTTCGCTATTGCCATGTGAAGAAGGACGTTTTTGCTTCCCCTTCTGCCATGATTGTAAGTTTCTTGAGACCTCCCCTGCCATGTTGAACTGTGAGTTAATTAAACCTTTTTCCTTTATAAATTACTCAGTCTCAGGTAAGTCCTTACAACAGTGGGAGAATGGACAAATACAACCTTTATAGGAATCAAGAGAATATTATGGACAAATAAAAACTTCCTAGATCAATAGCATATCGTGCATTACTGTGTGTAGAAAACTGTAATTAATATAAGGTAGTTTTTGTTAGTTGCATATTCTAAAAGCATGAAAAAAAATTGATTATATCTCTAACAAGACCACAGAGTTGTCATTGAAATACACATTTCTTGAGACAATGGGCAAAGTTCCCATTTGTGGGATATTTCTTTTTATTTGTGGGAAATATCTTCTTCTTTTCATACAGTGAAACAAAGAAAAATTGTACCAGATGAGAATTCTTTTTCTCTAAAGTAAGCTTCTTAAATACCTCCAATAACGTAATACTTGTAAAATATAAATTTTCAAAACTCAGACTTGAAACAGGTTATTATTAAACAAACACACACAAATCTCATTGCTTGGCACCAGATTTTTCAAAAGTTAAAGAATTATTTAAACCACCAAATTGTGCTTAAATCATATTTCAAACTTTTATACTTAGTGCTTTTATGTTCTGAATGTAGACTCTCAATCTAATGACAGTCTAGTCTGAGCCCTGCAATATATAGACAAGCAAGTAACATTTCACTTCAAACCAAAAGAAAAGATTAATCTTCTATTGTTGTCAAAATCATAACATTAAGATAACTATAAAAGTTAGGATTTATCCATGGCCAATGTATAGCATTCTATGGAAAGCCTTTCTTTAATCCTTCTTTACTTTCAGCTTCCTCTTTGGAAACTTCTTCATCCACCTCGTGTTCCTCCTCCACATTGTTCAAAGGTTGAGAAGATTCTGGTAATAATTTTTTGGACTGGTGCTATGGCTTGGATCTGTGTCCCTGCCCAAATCTCATGTCGAATTGTAATCCCCAGTGTTGGAGGTGGAGCTTGGTGGGAGGTGATTAAATCATGGGGGTGGTCACTCATGAATGGTTTAACACCATCCACTCTGTGGTGTTCTTGTGATAGTGAGTGGGTGAGTTATCATGAGATCTGGTTATTTAAAAGTGTGTAGCACCTCTTCCCTCTCTCTCTTCCTCTTGCATTGGCCATGTGAAGTGCCAGCTTCCCCTTTGCCTTTCACTGTAATTGTAACTTTCCTGAGGCCTCATCAGCAGCCAAACAGAAGCCTTCATACTTCCTCTACAGGCTGTAGAACCATGAGCCAATTAAAGCTCTTTTCTTTATAAATTACCCAGTCTCAGGTATTTCTTTAGAGCAGTGCAAGAAAGGACCAATACAGAAAATTGGTACTGAGGAGTGGGGCATTGCCATACAGATACCTGAAAATGTGGAAGTGACTTTAGAGCTGGGTAATAGGTAGAGGTTGAAAGAGTGTGGAGGGCTCAGAATAAGACAGGTATTGGGAGAAATTCAGCCAGATATCAGGTGAAATTCACCCCCGATATTTCATGTAGGTTCTTTTCTATTTTCCCTAAGTGTCGGCTGGTCTGAGAAGTAAAGGGAAAGAGTACAAACGAGAAATTTTAAAGCTGGGTGTCCGGGGGAGACATCACATGTCGGCAGGTTCCGTGATTCCCCCTGAGCCATAAAACCAGCAGGTTTCTATTAGTGGTTTTCAAAAGGGGAGGGAGTGTACAAATAGGGTGTGGGTCACAGAGATCACATGCTTCACAAGGTAATAAGATATCACAAGGCAAATGGAGGCAGGGCGAGATCACAGGACCACAGGACCGGGGCAAAATTAAAATTGCTAATGAAGTTTTGGGCACGCATTGTCATTGATAACATCTTATCAGGAGACAGGGTTTGAGAGCAGACAACCAGTCTGACCAAAATTTATTAGGTGGGAATTTCCTTGTCCTAATAAGCCTGGGAGTGCTACGGGAGACTGGGACTTATTTCATCCCTACAGCTTCGACCATAAAAGACGGCCACCCCCCGCCACGAAGTGGCCATTTTAGAGGCCTGCCCTCAGGGACGTATTCTCTTTCTCAGGGATGTTCCTTGCTGGGAAAAAGAATTCAGCAATATTTCTCCCATTTGCTTTTGAAAGAAGAGATATATGGCTCTGTTCCGCCCAGCTCACCGGCAGTCAGAGTTTAAGGTTATCTCTCTTGTTCCCTGAACATTGCTGATATCCTTTTCTTTTTTCAAGGTGCCCAGATTTCATATTGTTCAAACACACATGCTCTACAAACAATTTGTGCAGTTAACGCAATCATCATAGGGTCCTGAGGTGACATACATCCTCCTCAGCTTACGAAGATGACGGGATTAAGAGTTTAAAGTAAAGACAGGCATAGGAAATCACAAGGGTATTGATTGGGGAAGTGATAAGTGTCCATGAAATCTTCACAATTTATGTTCAGAGATTGCAGTAAAGACAGGCATAAGAAATTATAAAAGTATTAATTTGGGGAACTAACAAATGTCCATGAAATCTTCACAATCCATGTTCTTCTGCCATGGCTTCAGCCGGTCCCTCCATTTGAGGTCCCTTACTTCCCGCAACACAGGAAGATGAAGGAAAGTTTGGAACTTCCTAGAGACTTGTTAAATGGTTGTGACCAAAATGCTGATAGTGATATGTACAATAAAGTCAAGGCTGCTGAGGTCTCAGATGGAGATAAGGAACTTATTAGAAACTAGAGTAAAGGTCACTTTTGCTATGCATTAGCAAAGGTCTGGCTGCATTGTGCCTCTGCTCTAGGAATCTGTGGAACTTTGAACTTGAGAGAGATGATTTAGGGTATCTAGTGGAAGTCATTTCTAATCAGCAAAGTATTCAAGATATGGCCTGGCTGCTTCTAACATTTTATGCTCATATGTATGAGCAAAGAAATGACCTGAAAGTTGAAAAAAATATATATACATACACACGTATATATACATATATAATATATATACATGTATATATGTGTGTGTGTATATATATATATATAAAATGTTTGAGACAGAATCTTGCTTTGTTCCCCAGGTTGGAGTGCAGTGGCATGATCATGGCTCACTGTAGACCTCTGCCTGCCAGGCTCAGGTGATCCTCCCACCACAGCCTCCTGAGTAGATGGGTTTATAGGCATATGCCACCACGCCTGGCTAATTTTCTTGTATTTTTAGTAGAGGCAGGGTCTTGCTGTGTTGCTCAGGCTGGTCTTGAACTCCTGTTCTCAAGTGATCCTCCTGCCTCAGCCTACCAAAATGCTGTGATTACAGGTGTGAGCCACTGCACCTGGCCCTGGAATTTATATTTAAAAAGGAAGCAGAACACAAAAGTTTGGTAAATTTCCAGCCTGGCCATGAGGTAGGAAAAAAAAAAAACCAACTCTCATTTTCTAGGGAGGAATTCAGTCAGGATGGATAAATTTTCATAGTTAAAAGTAAGACAAATACTAATAGATAAGACAATGGGAAGAAGGCCTTGAAGGCACTTCAGAGACCTTCATGACAGCTCCTCCCATCACAGGCCCAGAGGCCTAGAAGGGAAGAGTGATTTCATGGGCCAGACCCAGGGCCCCCCCTGCCCTGTGCAATCTTGGGACACTGCTTTCCACATCCCGGCTGCTCCAACTTCAGCCATGCCTCAAAGAGTCCCAGGTACAGTTTGGGCCGATGCTTCAGAGGGTGTAAGCTGTAAGCCTTGGAGGCTTCCATGCAGTGTTAACCCTGTTGGTGCACAGAGCACAAGAGCTGAGGCTTGGGAGCCTCCACCTAGATTTCAGAGGATGTTTGGTAAAGCCTGAATGTCCAGGTAGAAGCCTGCTGCAGGGTCGGAGCCCTCATGGAGACCATTTACTAGGGCAGTGCAGAGGAGAAATGTGGGGTTGGAGCCCCCACACAAAGTCCCCATTGGGGCACTGCCTAGTGGAGCTGTGAGAAGAGGGCCACCATCCTCCAGACCCCAGAATAGTGGATCCACTGTCATCTTGCACCCTTAGCCTGGAAAAGCCACAGCCACTCAATGCCATACCATGAGAGCAGCTTTGAGGACTGAATCCTTTAAAGTCACAGGGCAGAGCTGCCCAAGGCCTTGGGAGCCCACCCCTTGCATCAGAGTGCCTTGGATGTGGGACTTGGAGTCAAAGGAGATTCTTTTGGAGCTTATGATTTAATGACTGCCTTGCTGGATTTTGGACTTGTTGGACTTGTAAGGGGTCTGTAGCCCCTTTTGCTGAATTTATCTCTTTTGGAATGGGAGTATTTACCCAATTCTTGTACCCTATTGTGTCTTGGAAGTAACTAACTTGTTTTTGATTTTACAGGTTCATAGGCTGAAGGGATTTGCCTTGTCTCAGATGAGACTTTGAACTTTGGACTTTTGAGTTAATGCTGGAATAAGTTAAGACTTTGGGGGGACTGTTGGAAAGGGATAATTGTATTTTGCAATGTGAGAAGGATGTGAGATTTGAGAAGGGCCAGAGGTGGAGTGATATGGCTTGGATTTGTGTCCTCGCCCAAATCTCATGTCAAATTGTAATCCCCAATGTTGGAGGTGGGGCCTGGTGGGAAGTAATTGGATCACAGGGGTTGTCCCTCATGAATGGTTTAGCACCATCCCCTCAGTGCTGTTCTCATGATAGTGATTGAGTGAGTTATTGTGAGATTTGGTTTTTAAAAGTGTGTAGCACCTCTTCCCTCTCTCTCTTCCTCCTGCTCTGGCTATGTGAAGAACCAGCTTCTCCTTTGCCTTTTGCCACAATGGTAAGTTTCTTGAGGCCTACCCTAAAGCTGAGCAGAAGCTGTCATGCTTCCTTTAGAGCCTGCAGAATGGTGAGCCACTTAAACCTCTTCTCTTTATAAATTACCCAGTCTCAGCTATTTCTTTAGAGCAGTGCAAGAATGAACTAATATAACAAGTATGGCTGCAGTCTGCACCTTTTTGAAGGACAAAGGCAATCTGCCACAAATATCATAAAGAGTCCTAAAAACAGCCCTGAAAGCAGAATTGCTAAAGCAAAAACTGTATACAATTTCCAAACCGGTAATCTAAGGTCTTCAATAAAATAGTTATGACAAATCCTGATCCACATAGAGAGCTGAAAGAGTGCTGACATACTGCTCATCAGAAAAGAACCTGAACCAAACCATGATGGAATTGGTTCAATACTCTTCCACTTTTCATCACTTATAAAGTTTCTGAAGTCCTTCTTAGTCCTTGGACCCTGATGGTGTCTAAATTCACCATCTTTACAATGATAAATAGTAGGAGAGCAGTTATGATGAACTGTCTACTCAGTCCTGGCTGCCCTGTGACATCTACTTTTGCTACATTAACCTCAAGAACTTCTCCCCATTCAGCAAAACTTTCCCATTCTGGTGGAAGCTTTTGACAAGCAGGGTACCACAGGGCACAAAATTCTATCATCCAGTCTCCTTCCAGCAACTGTCTTCAGTTCTCATCCATGGTAATGCATACATCTCCCTGCCACCTGTTCTGTTTCTTTCCATGCCCTCTAAAGCAATAGCACCAGGACTGCCAGGGAAACCATGACTCCCAGAAAGTGCCATGTCTGCTGCTTGCCCACCTCACAAGTGAGGCAGCCTCAGCAGACTTGATCTCTCTGGGCCCTGGTTTCTCCATCTGCATAAAGGGATAGTAATATTATCTAGCTCATAGAGTTGTTGCAAAGAATAACTGTTAAGATATGTCAAGACCTTAGACTAATGCTTGGAATGTAATAGGCAGTCAATAAATCTTAGCCATTCTTCTCTCTCCTCTACTCCCTTTCCCTCTCATTTTTAAAAATTTTATTTTATTTATTTATTTATTTATTTATTTATTTATTTATTTAGAGACAGAGTCTCACTCTGTCACCCAGGCTGGAGTGCAGCAGGGCAATCTCAGCTCACTGCAACCTCTGTCTCCTGGGTTCAAGTGATTCTTGTGCCTCAGCCTCCCAAGTAGCTGGGATTATGGGTGCGAGCCACCACACCCGGTTAATTTTTGTATTTTTAGTAGAGAGGGGTTTTGCCATGTTGGCCAGGCTGGTCTCAAACTCCTGACCTCAAGAGGATAGGCCAAGGCTGATCCATCTGCCTCAACCTTCCAAAGTGTTGAGATAACAGGCGTGAGCCACCATGTCAGCTCTATTATTATTATTATTTTTATTGACATAGGAAAAAAAAGACTCAAAGGATAAACATGTGTGAAAGTAGCCATCTCTGGGTAGTAGGGTTCTGAATGACTTTTATTTCTTTGGATTTTTTTTTTGATACCAAATTTGTGTGCACTGAACTTAAGTTACTTTATAGTTAGAAAAAAAATATTATTTAAAAACAGTTTATTGGCTGAGCACAATGGCTCACGCCTGTAATCCCAGCACTTTGGGAGGCCCAGGCAGGTGGATCACTTGAGGTCAGGAGTGTGAGACCAGCCTGGCCAGTATGGTGAAACCCCGTTTCTACTAAAAACACACAAAAAGTGGCTGGGTGTGGTGGTGTGCACCTGTAGTCCCAGATACTTGGGAGGCTGAGGCAGGAAAATCGCTTGAACCCAGGAGGCGGAGGCTGCAGTGAGCTGAGATCATGCCACTGCACTCCATCCAGCCTGGGCAGAGAGTGAGATTCCGTCTCAAAACAAAAAACAAAAAACAAAAAAACCAAACAACAACAACAACAAAAACAAACAAACGAAAAAAAACCTTAAAAAAACCCCAAAACAGTATATTTACTATGATTTTTTTTCCAAAGAGTATACCACTCACTACATTAAGTCCTATGATTAGTGCTTTTACCTCCGTTTTATGACCTATTTCCATTAGCTTTCATCTACTTTGAAACGTCTTGCATCTTGACTTTAATTTCATTAATGATATTTTTTCCCTAGGCCACCTATTGTTGAGACCAGTGAATCTCCTGGTCTCTAATAACTTATCAAGTCTTATGAATCTTTTCTCCTAAACCTCTCACACTACTGTCCACTGTCCCAGCCTACTTCTGATCCTTACCACTTCATGTCTGGACTATCGAGTTTTCTTATCCATCGGGTTCCTTTTAATTCTTACATAGTAAAGCCAGACAAATGCTCTTAAAATACCACCTTATATCATTCCTTTGCTCAAACACTGGCATAGGCTCCTTATATTCCCCATTGCCGAGGACAAAATCCAATTTCCTGGCTCGACATTGAAAGCTGTCCACATTACTCTATCTCTGCTATTTCAAATAATTCACTCCTTACCTTATTTACGGTCTTTTCCTACCATATTTCTGTACAGGAGCACTTTTGCCCTCCTGCCCCCTTTATGCCCAAATTTTACTTGTCCTTCAAGATCTTGCCTTAATATACACTTGTCTGAAATGTTCATTTTTTTTTTCCTTTGTGAATTGCGATAGCACTGCTCTGTTTGGCCATTAATCACACACTGGCTTGAGATTTTCTTATGTTGAAATGGTATTAATCTATATCTTTTAACATTTCTGTTGTCTGTTTCTTCTCTCCAACTAAATTATAGTATTTCTAAGGGTGCTTACATTTTCTAACACCCCAGTGCTCTACAGAAGAAGATGGGTAATAGCTAGGATATTGGCAGATGGATTAATATATCTAATATTTGATAAAAATAGATGCTAGAATAAAAATACTTCATTTTATTTAAAAGCAAAGACAGAATTTTGACTTGGATCTTTTCCTTGTTGACTTTGTTTTGACTTTACTATTTATAATGTTGTTTATCCTGATAGTCTGAGCTTCTTTTAATGGTTAGATCAATATTTGCTTGAATATCTTCCAAAGCAAGCCTTCTGTAATTCACTTATTAGAGAAGGTCTTTAAATTCTTGGGTATAGGATTTTAAAAATGAAATAATGCTTCAGTTAGTAAAATCCTAGTTTCAGAGCAAATGCTTCTGTTGTTAATGACCTGGATGCTGTCACACTGGACTCTGGGCTTCTTGAGGGAAGTTACTATTTCTCAGTCGTCTCCATGATCTCAGTGCCTAACACAGCCTCTGGCACGTGTGTACTTGCTGTGTCAAATGAAAACTGCGGAGCAGCACTGCAGACTTGGAAGGAGAGAAACATTACATCTCAGATATTTTTAAATGTATTAAATATTTGTCATGAATTTAATATTTTTCTTCTAAACAAACAAAGCACAATTTTTAATGACTGTAATTTAACAATATAGTGTCCCTCCCTCAAATCTCTTATCTCCTGACTCAGTACATCCATGTCTTGGATTTACAGTGTCTACTCATTTTATCATGATTGCTGCCATTCTGGTTTTGCAGAGGTTTCACGTTTCTCTGTCCCTGCAGAGCGATCATGCTGGGATGGCTCCGTGCATGTTCTTGCCCCCAGTTTCTGCTCCTTTGAAATGTACCCTAGAACACCCAGGTGGTGGGTGGTGATGGGAGCTCAGCTAGCCAAGAATGAGGGAGGAAGGGGATGTGATCAGAGGACCTTTAGGCTGCAGGAACAGAGGGACAGTTACAAGAAGCCTCAGCTCTGCACCCTCTGACAGCCTGGGGAAATTCCAGCCCTTTATTCTTTTCCCTCATCCCTTCCTTCCTTTCTTCCCTCCTCCCTCCATTCCTCCCTCCTTTCCTTCTTTCTATGTAAGTAACATTGGAAGGGAATATGCTGTTTGTACAATGGCAGTCCTGGCAACAGCTCTCTGTTCTCTTCAAATCCCCTGAAGTCATGGTATGCCTCTGGCCTTTTTTCTTTCTGGTTCTACTCACTCAGTTGTTACTCAGTCTTCCTGGGCAGCAGTTGTGTTTATGATGCCCTCAGAATGTCAGCAGTCTCCCTTTACCAATCCCATGTGACTGCTGATCTTCACCTTCACTGTCCTTGATTCTTTTTGTTTTTAGTTCATACTGCTCTTGTTCATTGTAGTTTAAAACCGCATATTATTCTGATGTGTGCACGTATCACAGTTTCTTTCCTCAATTATTATTCTTTTTTTTTATTTTAGAGATAGGGTCTCATTATATTGCCTAGGTTGGAATGCAGTGGCTATTCACAGGCACAAGCATAGCTCACTGCAGCCTCACACTCCTGGGCTCAAGTGATTCTCCCAGCTCAGCCTCCCAAGTAGCTGGGACTACACGTGTGTGCCACCACACCTGGCTCTCTTTCCTCAATTTTAATAGTTAAAATTTATTAGGGATATTAAGTGTTTAGGTGAGATAAATGTTACAAATATGTTTCTCCCACTTTTTAAGTATTTATTATTATTATTACATTTTTTAATTTTTAATTTTTGTGGGTACATAGTAGGTGTATATATTTATGGGGTACGTGAGATGCTTTGGTACAGGCATGCAGTGTGAAATAAGCACATCATGGAGAATGGGGTATACATCCCTTCAAGCATTTATCCTTTGAGTTACAAACAATCCAATTACACTCCTTTTTTTTTTTTTTTTTTTTGAGAAGGAGTCTCGCTCTGTTGCCCAGGCTGGAGTGCAGTGGCATGATCTCGGCTCACTGCAACCCCGCCTCCTGGGTTCAAGTGATTCTTCTGCCTCAGCCTCCCGAGTAGCTGGGATTGCAGGCATCCACCACCATGCCCAGCTAATTTTTGTATTTTTAGTAGAGACAGAGTTTCACCATATTGGCCAGGCTGGTCTCAAACTCCTGATCTCAGGTGATCCACCCGCCTCAGCCTCCCAAAGTGCTGGGATTACAGGCTTGAGCCACCGTGCCCGGCCCAATTACCCTCTTTTAGTTATTTTAAAATGTACAGTTAAGTTATTATTGACTATAGTCACTCTGTTGTACTGTCAATATTTTTATTATTTTAAAATAAATTTTATTGTATATATTTGAGGTTTACAACATGTTGTAGGATACATATATTAATAGAAAAGTTACAGTAGTGAAGGATATTAACATATCTATCATCTCAGATAGTTAATTTTTGGTGATAAGACAGCAGCTAAAATCCACTTATTTAACAAAAAACCCTGACATACAATATAATTTTATTAACTTTAGTTCTCATGTTGTACGATAGATGTCTAAACTTGTTCATCATACACATCTGCTGTTTTGAATTCTTTGACCTGCATTTCCCATTCCCCGGCCACTCCCCCACCCAACAGGTGGTAACCACTGTTTCATTCTCTTTCTGAATATTTGAGCTCTTTTTATGATTCCACATAGAAGACCCTTACTGTCTTTGACCACTTACTTGATGATGCCTCAAGGGAGATAACACTTCTTGCCTAGGAAGCTAAAACATCTTGCCTATCAATGTTCAGGTTTATTCTCCTAGGTTTTAATTTTTGTCACACATCCAGCACTATTACTTGCATACTGATTTTTGGGACAGTATGGGTCAAAATTGTTCACAAAACACAAAATAAATGGATAAAAGAGAAGCCAACAATATGGAGACATATTTGCTTTGGTAGATTGGCTGAAGGTGATGGTGCTCTATAGTAGCTGAGGCCCATTAGCCAAGAGGCACAGTGTTGTGTCCTGGGTCGGTTTTACTGCTTGAGAATGCGTTCTGTTTCTTGGGGGATGAACACACACACAATACTGAAACAGATGACTATATGTGTGGAAATAAATACATATGTTTGGGGATATTTCAGAGACAGATAGTATTTAGAAGAATCAGCACAGGGTGTGGTATCCTTAAGCACAGTAGACGTGGATTCCAGAATCATGCCAAATTACTTGCATTCAAATCTTTTAGGTTTGGCTTCTGAAGGAACTCAACCTAAGACATTTGCAATAGCAAAGACTTTCATATTTGTGAGAAGATAATTTTAGATTATACTAAGACTATAAATTTAGTTGGGATGCTTTCCTTGTTCCTTAATTAAGGTACACAGTAGGGAAGCATCTTAAAGAATAAAATGCTAATGCATTATATTGTTATAGTATCTAATTCATTGTTTGAACAAGATGAACATTAAAAATGATAATTATATGTATAATCAGTTTATACCAAGGTTGTTAGAGTGAATTGTTTACTGGAGATATGAGGGGTGATTATCATATCACTCTAGCCTCATATACTATGATGTTAGTAATTCTTAGAGTAATATGTTTATAAAAACTCCACAAGATGTAATCTGGGTGAGGAGTTTGCAAGCTGAGTTGGCATGATTTGGATAAGACCGAATCCAAATTAGTAAGTTAAATGTAGAATACACAGCTAGGAAGACTGAGGGTCACTTGAGCTGCATATGGAGACTGTGGGCTAAGATAGGTAACGAGATTTTCACAGGTCTCAGTATACAAGTCCTAGACTCAGCAGATTACCATCCAATTCCGTATTAACACCTTGAGCTCTCGTACAGTCTTTTGTTTTTTTTAAATCAAGTTTTCCCTTGTAATGGTAGAGTAAACATAAATTTCACACTTATGGGATGAGCATACTTCACAAAAGGAAGCAAAGCTCCTTAATGGGGTAATTGTTAGTGTGTAATTTTGGTTTGAGTTGCTGAACTAGTGAATAATCTCAGGGTTGCCCTCCTGAAATAATTTGAAATTGTGTGATTTTTTTCTTTTAAATCTACCTCTGGATTTGTTATGTAGGACTCTAATGAGATTAAAATCCTATAATCAAGAACAGAAATGTCATTCAAAATGAGAAAGCCGGTAAAAGAATGGGCTAATAACAATATTGGGTTTGATTCATGATTTGGGAGAGGGGTTTAAAACATTTATATATCATGTACATTGTAAAAAGAGTGTTTTTAAGTCAGTTTGTGTAGAACACCCTCTTGAAAGTAGTTTTGACCTCAAGGTTGTTGGGGAGATTAAGGAGATCATGTATAGCTAGTGCCTGGCATCTGTTTGCATATACCAGTTCTCATAATGGTTTTCCACTGCTACTATTCCTCTGCTATGACTTCTATATTCTGCTAAAAGCTTTGAGATCCAATAGTTAGTTCATAACTCACATGATGGCAAAGCCTAACCTGACCTGATTTGAGGCTATTTTCAAAATCATACTTAGTGTGAATACTTGTTCGTTTGTTGCAGAAATGTTAGTGTGCTTGATTTTGGAATGCCATTCCAGACTTCATTGGGATGTTACATAACATACATCCTCAGGCACCATTTTACTTTTGTAAAATGTGAAAAATTCTTAATTCCAAGACACATCCAGCTTTAAGGGTTTAGGCTGAGGGATTGTGGACCTGAAGTCATGTTATCATCCAAACCGGGCAACCTTGATTCATTACCATGGTGCATAAGCACATGAGGATGCTGATAACTAGGGCTGTCTGCAAAACTAACAGCTTCTTTCGGGTCAGTGGCCGGACACTACTCAATTGCAACGATCATGTGGCATAAAGAGAAAGTTATATATTTGAAGCACTTCCAATGCGGGAAAATCATTTGTCAATTTAGGCCACGTATAGGTCTGAATCTTGATTGGTCAGAAATGTATCAGAGGTTGGAAAGAATAAAGTTACTTTTTGTAAGAAGAGGTTGATATGTCAGTGCTAGATGCCACGAGTTGAAATGACGTAAGGCTCCTTCTGATTTCATGCTGTGGGTGATGATGTGAGACTCTGGCTGCATTCATGGGGAAGGGATGAGGACAAGTCAGCAGGGGGCAGCTGCTCAGCCCTGGGTTACAAACAGGTTTCCTTGCCTTCTGCCATGCAGACAGCTTTGCAAATTCAATCTACTAACATTTTAAATGCATCTTCACTCTTTCTTCCAAAATTATTGGAATGGATCCTTAACTATTCCCTATTTTGTTAGGCTGAGTTGTCAAGGCTTTTACTTAATTTCTTTCAGGCTGTTTAAGTAGTCAAAGTATTCATTAATTTAGAGCTTTCTCCAAATATTTGACATAGACATCATTTTCCTCAATTACCTAGACAGTTCTACGCAAGATAATTTTTTGAGGGATTCTAGATGACCAAGTATGTACTTTAGCTCTCCATTTTATAGATGACTACAAAAACAACTATTAAGTTGTTGTTGTGTGTGTGTGTGCCCACATTTGCCAAATCATGAAAAGATCACTTTCTTGGGGAGAACAAAATCATGGATTGTTTCTAAGGGTTCTTACTAATGAATAGTATTACCCAAACTCCATTAGATGAGCTGCTAAGATGCATTGCACTTGTGAAAATTTGGTACATCACATTAATTGTTGTAGCTTAAGCACTGAAGCCTGCTAGGGACAGCATATAATTATTTTTTAAAATGCTCCTAGTATTAGTTTTTTTGTCCCTCAGCATATTTGCCTATTGGTGAAACTTCCTGAAAGTAGTTAAAAATTGAGGGATTGGATGGATCATGAGGTTTATAAGATCATGATAAATCTGTATCATTGACAATAAGCTAAACAGTTGTCACATATGAAATAATGTTACTTATTCAGGCCATCCCTGATATGAAATGCAGAACTCTTAAAGAGAGTATGAGATAGTTAGATACATCTAGAAGCAATTTTTGGTGATCACAGTTGACATTTTTATATACAAGTTTCTTTGGTATTTTTAGAAGTATATTAACTTTCCATTTTGAACTATTAAATATTACATAATAACTATATCATCTGTGGTCAGGCATCAGAATTAATGCTCTATAACTGATGAGATTACTCCAGAAATGTCCTTGAGAATTTGATAAAATGTATAAGTGAATTTGAAAATTTCACATAGTGTATTTATGCAAACATCTCTATAATAACTTTGCTCTGAATATTATAATAGCTTCTATGACTATTCAGGATTCTCTATTTAAAAGATTAGGACTTGGTGTTGAGATTTCTTATGTATTATTTGGCTGTTGCACATATTAATATCCTTCTGCTAGGAGAGCAGCAATGGTGGTTTGATTTCTTTTGGATGGTTTGCTCTTGATATTTGTTGGGTTAAAGTGTGATTTCATTTGTGGCTGTATTTAAATTACTTGGGAAGCCATGTGGTATAGTGTAGTACTTGGATTTCAAAGTCAGACTTGGGTTTGAATCTACTGCTTACTAGTTTTGTGACTTGGGTACATTTCTTACTATTTCAAAGATCAGACAGCTTCTTCAAAGTGCAAACTAACTAAACTTATATTTCAGATAACTTGTTGGCAGGATTTACTATTGTGTTTAGAAAGCACACAGGAAGCACTTTATAAGTATTCATTCTCTTCTTCCTTTTCTGTCTCCTGAAGTCTATAGTTATTGGGACCACTGTTAGGCATTTATCATAGAATAACTTATGTCAATAATTATATTTTTTTGCATCAATTTTATTGAGATATGATTTTAAATTACAATAAGATTTACTAAATTTAAGTATAGAATTTGGTTGCTTTGACAAATATCTATAGTCCTATATTTATCACTACTATCATGATAATGTTTCCATCACCCAAAATGTCTGCTTGTGCCATTGTGCAATCTCCACCCCCTTTTTGCCTCCAAAACCACTTGAGATGCTCTCTAGCACTAGTTGTGTGAACATGTATTTTAATTTGTCTTGGGTAATCTAAGAATGGAATTGCTGGGTCATATGGTAAATTTCTTTCTTTCTCTCTCTCTCTCTCCGTCCTTCCCTCCCTCCTTCCCTTCCTTCCTTCCTTTCTTCCTTTCTCTCTCTCTCTCTTTCCCCTTCCTTCCCTTTCTTTCTTTTCTTTTCTTTCTTTCTTTCGCTTTTCTTTCTTTCTTTCTCTTTCTTTCTTCCTTCCTTTCTTCTTTCTTTCTTTCTTTCTTTCTTTCTTTCTTTCTTTCTTTCTTTCTTTCTTTCTTCCTTTCTTCTTTCTTTCTTTCTCCTTCCTTCCCTTTCTTTCTTTCTTTCTTTCTTTCTTTCTTTCTTTCTTTCTTTCTTTCTTTTTCTTTCTTTCTTTCTTTTTTTTTCAGACAGAGTCTTGCTCTGTTGCCCAGGCTGAAGTGCAGTGGCACACTCTTGACTCACTGTAGCCTCTGCCTGCCAGTTTCCAGCGATTCTCCTGTCTCAGCCTCCTGGGTAGCGGGGATTACAAGCACACACCACCATGCCTGTCTAATTTTTGTATTTTTAGTAGAGATGGGGTTTCACCATGTTGGCTAGGCTGGTCTCAAACTCCTGACCTCAGGTGATCCACCCGCCTCGGCCTCCGAAAGTGCTGGGATTACAGGCGTGAGCCACCGCACCTGGCCTGTATGTTTAACTTTCTAAGAAACTACCAAACTATTTTCCATCATGGCTGTACTTTTATGCATTCCCACCAGCGATGTATGAGAGTTCTAGTTGCTCCACATCCTTGCTACTACTTGATATGGTCAGTCTTTCTAATTTTAGTCATTCTAGTGATAGTGGTATCTTATTGCTTTTATTTGCACTTATCCAATGATCAATGGTGTTAAGTATTTTTGCATAGATTATTTTCCATCTTGATACCTTCTTTGGTGATACAACTGTCCAAAATTTTTGCCCTTTCTCCATTAGTGTTTTAATCTTCTAATTATTGAATTGTAAGAACTCTTTAGGTATTCTGGGTATGAGTCTTTGCAAATATTTTCTCCCAAACTTTGGCCTTGCCTTTCTAAAAAATAGACTTTAATCTAGGTGTAGCTTTTTAGGTTAAAAAAAGATCTTATTTTTTAGAGTTTTAGGATCACAGCAACATTGAGAGAAAGGTACAAAGATTTCCCGTGTATTCCCTGCCTCACACATGCATAGCCTCCTCCATTATGAAGAGTCCCACCAGAGAAGTAGGTTCATTACAAGTGATGAACTTACATTGCCACATCCTTGTCATCCAGGGTTCATAATTTACATTAGGATTCATTCTTGGTGTACATCTTATGGGCTTGTACAAATGTATAATGATGTATCTCCACCGCAATTATCATTTCATTCTCCGTATAGGTCACACACTCTTTTTAGGAAGGGGCATGGCCCTCTTTTTCACTCATAATATTTAACATAAGATATTTTAAAAGTATAACTTCACCAAATAACTACTGATTGATTAATGATTAGGGAATGGGGTGTTTTGGGTAATTCCAATTATCTGACAACCAGATATGCAAATTCCATTTTCAAAGACTTTGGTACAAAAAAAATACACTTAACCATAAAATTGACATCATCATCATCATCCTTTTATGAAGATACCTTTTTTAATTTTTAAAATTTAAAAATTAAAATTTAAAATTAAAATTCAAAATTTTTATATTTTAAAAATCATTTAAAAAATTTTTCGTAGGTACAGAGTAGGTGTATATATTTGTGGAGTACATGAGGTGTTTTGCTACAGGCATGCAATGTGAAATAAGCACACAATAGAGAATGGGGTATCCCCTCAAGCATTTATCCTTTGAGTTACAAATAATCTAATCACATTTTAAAAGTTATTTTAAAATATACAATTAAGTTATTATTGACTATAGTCATCCTATTATGCTATCAAATAGTAGGTCTTATTCATTCTTTCTATATTTTTTTGTACCCATTAATCTGAAGACATTTTAAAGTCTGGCAAGGTCTCAGAATAATAATTTTAACTATAAAGTTATATATAATAATAGAAGTAACAATAATGATCATTGTTATAGCTGACATTGATGAGCATTTAGTGTGAAGGGCTTTATGTACATTGTTTCATTTACTCCCCTCAATAACTCTTGGAAGTAGATAAATTATGATCTACTATTTATAGATGAGGAAGCACATCTAGTGGGATTAAGTAACTTGTCTAGGATCACAGAGCCAGTCCCTGATAGAGACCTACACAGACAGCTGATGCTGAAGCCAATACTCTTACGAACCTCTTGAATATGAGTTGAGTCATAATTGCCCTGAGGAAACTGAATATTACTTTAAAAATTTTTAAAACAAAATGCCTGGTATTAGATGGGTCATTTGGCACTTTTGTCTTTTTCATAAGAGTAGACTGTAGACGACTACACCTTCCAAATGAGAATTTTTTTCTACTGCTATAAATTGAAGTGTTGTGTGATAGAAAAAATACAAAAGGCTTAGGCATGTTAACTTAGTAAGTAAAACTGTATTTATAAGTTCTCTTTCTTATTGTCAGATAACAAAAATAAAGGGATTACTTTTTTTTTTTTTTTTTTTTTGAGACAGGGTCTTGCTCTGTCTCCCAAACTGGAGTGCAGTGGCAAGAACATGACTCACTGCAGCCTTGACCTCCTGGGCCCAAGATATCCTCCCATCTCAGCCTCCTGAGTAGTTGAGGCCATAGGTGCATGCCACCACACCTGGCTAATTTTTTAATTCTGTAGAGATGGGGTCTTGCCATATTGCCCAGGCTGGTCTTGAACTCCTGGTCTCAAGCAATCCTCCCTCCTTGGCCTCCCAAGGTCTTGGGATTACAGGTGTGAGCCGCTGTGCTAGGCTGGATTATCTATTTTTTTAACCTTTTTATATAACTTATAATTTTTGATGTTTATTTATTTATTTATTTATTATACTTTAAGTTCTGGGATACATGTGCAGAATGTGCAGGTTTGTTACGTAGATATACATGTGCCATGGTGGTTTGCTGCACCCATCAACCCATCATCTAGGTTTTAAACCCCACATGCATTAGGTATTTGTCCTATTGCTCTCCCTCCCCTTGCCCCACACCCGCTGACAGGCCCTGGTGTTTGATGTTATCTATTCTTAATTCAGATGAATTTATTATATTATTTCATTGATGAAGTGGTGACAAAGAAAAATTCTTTAAGTTAGGATAATAGGCCGGGCGCAGTGGCTCATGCCTGTAATCCCAGCACTATGCAAGGCTGAGGCAGGCAGATCGCCTGAGGTCGGGAGTCCAAGACCAGCCTGACCAACATGGAGAAACCCCGTCTCTACTAAAAATACAAAATGAGCTGGGTGTGGTGGTGTATGCCTGTAATCCCAGCTACTTGGGAGGCTGAGGCAGGAGAATTGCTTGAACCTGGGAGGTGGAGGTTGTGATGAGCCGAGATCGCGCCATTGCACTCCAGCCTGGGCAACAAGAGTGAAACTCTGTCTCAAAAAAAACAAAAAACAAAAAACAAAAAACAAAAACAAAAAAGGATAATAATAGTATCTACTACATAAGGTTGAAGTGAAGATTAAATAAGAAAATACATATAAAGGCCTTAGCACAGTATCTTACAGACAACAAATGCCCAATGTTATCTTATAGTAACAGTTCTATTCTCAATGACTGTTGACTTTGACTACTAATATGTCTCTGAATTCAAGAATAAACTTTACAAGGAACCCTAGTGCAGGCAGCCTTACTTAAAGTGTACCAAGACTAACTCCTGTGGATTGATGCAAAAAACAGGGTAGTGTTAAAGGTGTCCTAAAGGGTTTATATCACTCAAATGTCTATAAAATCCAATGGATGGCCATGGTGATGCCAATGACTGCAGGGACTTTGCACAAGACATTGTTCCATTTGTGCTTTGGTGTTGCTCTGAGCCTGGATCTTTCCAATGGAAATCATGCTTCTTCAAGTGCCTGGAAAGTACAGTGTGTCACACAGATGCCTGTTGACCTGGAAGGTGCTTCCTGGCAGTGACTCAGCCTTCCCAGGAGGTAAGTTGAAGCTGCTCTTAACAGCTGGTATGCTCTTCTGAGGCTTCACCGTAATTACTGAAGTAAATGGTATGCAACATATTTGGCATGTATTTTCCAGATAATGTACATTTCCCTGCCATCCTTATGGAAGCCTATTAGTGATGAAACTGGAAAAGGAAATCTAATAATGAGCTTCTTTTTCATTTAGAATGCTTTTAAGCCTCCTGCTACTAACAGCTCCAAAAATATTTTGAGATTTTCCGCTCTGATGTGATTTTTTTTTTTCAGTAGCAGAGCCCTGTATGCTTCTTTTTTATTTGTATAAATTTATGGGTTACAAGCATAATTTTATGGTGTCTTAGGTAATTGGGTAATACCATGGATAGATGGCATAGTGATGAAATTAGGCCTTTTAGGGTATCCATCACCCAAATACCATACATTGTACCCATTAAGTAATCGCTCATCATCCACCATCCACCCTTACCCTTCCAAATCTCCATATTCTATCATTCCACAGTCTACATCCATGTGTACACATTATTTAGCTCCCATTTGTAAGTGAGAACATGTGCTATTTGTCTTTCTGTGTCTGGCTTGTTCCACTTAGGATAATGGACTCCAGTTACATTCATGTTGCTGCAAAAGATACAATGTTATTTTTTATGGCTGAATAGTTTTCCATTGTGTATATGTACCACATTTTCTTTATCCAGTCCTCCATTGATATGCACTTTGGTTGATTCCGTATCTTTGCTATTGTGAATAGTGCAATGATAAGTGTGTGAAGGCAAATATCCCTTCGATATACTGATTTCCTTTCCTTTGGGTAGATACCCCAGTAGTGGGATTGCTAGGTCAAATGTTAGTTTTATTTTTAATTCTTTGAGAAATCTCCATACTGTTTCCCACAGTGGCTATACTAATTGACATTCCCATCAACAGTGTATAAGAGTTCCCTTTTCTCTGTATCCTTGCCAACATCTGTTATTTTTTGTCTTTTTAATAATAGCCATTCTGGTTGGTGTAAGATTATATCTCATTTTTGTTTTAAATTGCATTTCTCTGATTATTAATGATGTTGAGCATTTTTTTCATATGCCTGTAGGCCATTTATATGCCTTCTGTTGAAAATTATCTATTCATGTCCTTTGCCCACTTTTTAATAGAATTATTTTTGTTGTTGTTGGGTTGAGTTCCTTATAAATTCTGGATATCAGTCCCCTGTTGTATATATAATTTTGCAAATATTTTCTCCTATTCTGCAGGTTGACTGTTCACTCTGTTGACTCTCTCTTTTGCTGTACAGAAGCTTTTTAGTTTAATTAAGTTTCTTATAATTAAAATTTTGATACCTTTTTGTGTTTTGGAGAAATGTGCCCTTAAATGAAAAGAGGACAGGCTTTGGGTTCAGACAGAGTTAAGTTCTAATTTGGGTTCTACCACTTACTAATTGCCTATCTCCTTAACTTCTCAGGGACTCAGCTTTCTCATCTGTAAATTGAAAATGACAGTATGCTTTTTTCCATAAGGTTGTTAGTGTTGATGGCACAAGTAATGTGAAGTACCTAGTGTAGTTTCTGAAAGGTAGTCATTAAATAACAGTTATGATTCTATTTTACTTCAGCATGAATTAAGGTTCAATTAAAATACTGCTTTGGGTTTATGCCTTTATAAGTTGAACCTCTGAGATACTGCCAGCTCTGGAAAAATTGATTTTACAAATAAATTTTCTTTTTATGCAAATAGTCTTCTGATTTCCTTGCATAATTTTATTCTACATAGTTAACATGTTAAAACTATAAACTTTATAGAGAAATGGCTTTTTCAGATATGCGTCTAAATAAAAATTTACCCATACTTGTGTGGTTTATAGTCATAGCTTAAATAATTATAACTACCTTAGGGGTGAAAATTAAAATAATGTATGCAAACATTTTGCTGATACCTGGAACACAGTAAATGCTTAATAAAAGACTGCCACGGTTTATTATAAGGGCCGGCAAACTTTTTATATAAAGGGTCAGATAGTAAATATCTTAAGCTTTGTGGGCTGTACCATGTCTGTTGCAGTCGCTCAACTCTGCCATTTTGGTGTAAGTAGCCATACACTATACATAAATGAATCCATATAGCTGTTTTCTAATAAAACTGTATTTACCAGATCTGCTGGTAGTTTGTTAACCCTTGAATTGTTATAATAGTTTGGCCTATAAGAAGTCATCTTGAAGTACTAGGCAGATCAATCTTATAGAAAATGGGATGGTTGCTTTGCAAATACTGTCCTGTACATACATTCTTCAGAGATTATTGATGTTCAGGATGTGTCAGGTGCCCCTGCAAGAAATGCTATAGACATAAGAACAAATAAAACAAGTCCATTGTCCTGTAAAGGCCTTCTTCAAGGTAAAAAAATACTGATTTGTCCTAACTTTACACAAAGATAGCACATTTGATGGCTGGAGTATTAGCAGCTGAATAATATAAAGCTACTACTAATTCCCAAAGATATGTTTAATTTTTTTGCTTATTTTAATATGTATTCAATTAGAGAAAACTGAAAATATGAAAAGTTATAAGGAAAACACCAAAATCCCACATTGTAATTTCACTAACCTGAGCTAACAACTTTTAACACATGGATGCATTTCCTTCTATTCTATTTTTTTTTAATGACTTTTTGGAAGCCTATTTTACATACCATGTTTACCTACTCTAAGTATACAACTCAATGATGTAAATGTATAGAGTTGTGCAACCACTTCCAGAATCCACTTTTAGATCTCTGGTCCTTCCTTTTATTCCTGAGATAAAATTGACATAAAATAAACTGTACATAATTAAATATACAATTTGAAAAGGTTTAACACATATATGCACACACACACACACACACACACACACACACACCCCATACATATATGTAAATATGCAATAGTCCCCCATTGTCTGCAGGGGATACCCCCGAACCCTTGATGCATGCCTAAAACCTCGTATAGAACTGAACCCTATATATACTGTCTTTTCATACGTATACATACCTATAACAAAGTTTAATTTATAAATTAGTCACAGTAGGAGATTAACAACAACAATAATAAAATGGAACAATTGCAAGAATATACTATGATAAAATTTATGTGAATGTGGTCTCTCTCTCAAAATATCTTATTGTACTGTGCTCACCCTTCTTGTGGTGATGTGAGATTATAAAATGTCTGTGTGATGAGATGAAGGGAGATGAATGACGTAGGCACAGTTGACAGTTGTGGAGTTGACCTTCTAACGACACTCAGAGGAAGGACCGTCTGCTTCTGGCATCCAGTCACGACGACCTCGACGGCTGGATGTCAGGAGCAGATGATGTTGATGACTAACGCGTGGGTAGCATAAACAGCGTCGGGACGCTGGACAAAGGGAGGATTCACATCCCCGGTGGGGACAGAGCTGAACAATATGAAATTTCACCAGGCTACTCAGAACAGCATGCAATTTAAAACTTAAGAATTGTTGATTTCTGGAATTTTCCATTTAATATTTTTGGACTGCAATTGGCTGTGGGTAATTGTTATATTGGAAAGTGAAACCAAGGATAAGTGGGGACTACTGCTACCACCCCACCCCCCACCCACACACACCCCAGTGAAGCCATCACCACAGTCAAGATGGCAAACAGATCCAGATCCAACATTGCCAAGAGTGGTTTTGGGCCTCTTTTGAATCCCTCCTTCCGCCTGACCTCCTCAGTCCCCGGGTAACATTGCTCTGGTTTCTTATTACTATGGGATAGTTCACGTTTTCTAGAATTTCATAAATTGAATCATCCAGTGTGTACTCTTTTATGTCTGCTTTCTTTCACTCAACATAATTATTATGAGATTTCTCCACATTTCAGCAAGTATCAATAGTTCATTTCTTTATATCGCTAAGTAGTATTCCATTGTATGACCATACTATAATTTGTTTATCTCTTCATCTCTAGATAGATGTTTTGGATGTTTCCAGTTTTTCACTACTACGAATAAGGCTTCTATGAACATTTGTATGGACATATGTTTTTATTTCTTTTGTGATCATACCTGGGTGTGGAATGGTTGAATCAAGTGATATGTATATGTTTGACTCCTTAAGACACTACTGAAATGTTCTCCAAAGTGGTTGTACCAATTTTACATTCCCACTAGCAGGGTATGACAGTTCTAGTTTGCATCACATCCTCAAGAACACTTGGTATGGTCTGTCTTTTTAATTTTAACCATTCAAATAGCTGTTTAGTGGTATTTCACTGTGGTTTTAATTTGCACTTTACTGATGACTAATGATGCCGAATATCTTTCATGTGCTTATTTGCCATTTATGTATCTTTTTTGGTAAAGTGCCTGTTCAGAAATATTTTCTACAATTGTTTCCTGCTAGATATTTTTTTTTCTTTGGTTGGTTTGTTTTTTTGAGACAGGGTCTCACTCTGTCGTCCAGGCTGGAGTGCAGTGGCATGATCACGGCTCACTGCAGCCTGAAACTCCTGGACTGAAGTGATCCTCTCACCTCAGCCTCTTGAGTAGCCGGGACTACAGATGCATGTCATCATGCTCAGCTAATTTTTGTATTTTTTGTAGAGATGGGTTCTTGCTATGTTGCCCAGGCTGGTCCTGAACTGAGCTCAAGCAATCCGCCAGCCTTGGCCTTGCAAAATGCTGAGATTACAGGTCTAAGCACCCAGCCCAATCTTTTTTTGAAGGTTTATATAATCGTGACCACATTATTAAAAGAATTTTGTATCCTTCATTTTCACTTAAATTTTAAAATAAGTATTTCTTCAAGCTATAAAAATTCTTCATAAACATTAAAATTAATAGCCACATTGTATCTCAAAATTTAGTTAACAATCACTTTATTATTAATGTTGTTTCTATTATATACATAATATAGTGATAAATGTTACCATGATATATATATGGGAATTAGTGTCCAGAAGCTTGATCGTGTGACTTTGTACCAGCATTGGACAAGAATAACTAACTCATTGATTTTGTTTCTGCACTGAGTGTTATTTCAGTCTTTGTGAGTTTATTAAATTAGAACTGTATCTCATTGTTTGCAGCTTTTTTTCTTTTTCTTTTTCTTTTTTTGAGACAGGGTCTTGGTCATCCAGGCTGGATTGCAGTGGCACAATCATGGCAAACTGCAGCCTAGTCTGCTGGGCTCAAGCCATCTTCCTGGCTCAACCTCCCAAGTAGCTGGGACTACAGGCATCCACCACCACACCTGGCTAATTTTTAATTTTTTTGTAGAGAACTAGGTCTCACTATGTCGCCCAGCTTGGTCTCCAACTCCTGAGCTCAAGTGATCTTCCCGCCGTGGCCTCCCAAAGTGCTAGGATTATAAGCATGAGCCACTGTGTCCAGCTGCAGCTTCTATTTCTTTGATAACTTGTGAGGTTAAAGTTTTTCATGAGTTCCTTTATGTTTTGATAAGTCCCATCCATTTTCTGTTTGTGTTCTAAGGGGATTCATCCTTAACTTTTTATGAAAAATTTTTTGTTCCAAAATATACTTTAAAAAATTTGGCCTAATATTTTACATGCCTTCCTGATAACACCCCGTACTCCTTCCTGAAGATCTGATGAAGTGTATAAACAGTGGTCACTCACAGGTGGCAATCTGATTTTTTTTATTATTATACTTTAAGTTCTAGGGTACATGTGCACAATGTGCAGGTTTGTTATATATGGATACATGTGCCAATCTGTTGTTTTAAAGCCACAGCATGTTAAACCCATTCCCCTTCCATGCCCCAGATACTAATTAAGCATAACTGGCTGCTTCTTATACATTTGTATGTTCCTTTTTAGGGAACACATTATTCTCTAAATAATTTTCAAATTACTTTGAAAATATTTCTAAAGGAAGTTAGTGAATTACAACCAATGATTTCTCTCTATGGCAGCGAGGAGAAAGCTCTCTAAATCTACTGAAACCCTCTTCCCCTCTCATTTGTGACCTGAGATGCTCTCTGGATGTTTCAGCAAAGTGATAGACTATTCCCTGACTGCCGTGGCAGCTGTTCTTTTGCTGTCAGGCCTGTGTCAAAATAATGGAATCACTTAAAATAAAAAAAAAATTGCTGCACAAAATAACTGAGATCAAAGGCCTCTTATCTGCCTGTGCTTGTGAGTGGAAGGAATGAGTTGGAATACTTTTCTTTAAATACAGTGCTCTGGTGCTTTAAAGTACTTTGGCTATTTTTCAGGGAATATGTAAGTTGAAAGAGAGTTGGTATCACTGTTGCAGTATCATGGCGACGTGGATTGTTCTTCATGTCCTCTGTTATCTGCAGTGCTGTGTCACCAAACACATACAAGAGGGTGGCCTCCTATCATTATGCCCCACACCAGGGTTAATAGTCATTTGAGGACTTAGGCATGTGCATAAAATGTTTTTCTGTGGCACCACCCTGGGTGCAGTCCCAGACCCTGAGACTGGACCTATATTAAGCTTGTAACCTTAAACCACTGTGGGCACAGCTCTAAGCAGGGTTCACTGCCATGTGTGGCAGCTGAGAAAGTGGGTTACACACCGGAGGGAATATGGGGGAGCCATGGGCAATGAGCAGTGAGCTGGGGGTGGGGTGTGACTTGGAATCAGAAGGTGACAATTTAGAGACCGAGTTCAAATGAGGGAACAGTAAATCCAGGTCAGTTATAAGGAAGCTCTGAGGACCCAGCAAACCCACCTTGGGATGGTAGTGGCCTGTGGAGAGCCTGGAGAAGGTAAGAGTCAGGGATCTGTGACTGTAAACCATAGGGACCAACTCTGTAAATCAAGGACTCTATTGGGGTGGGATTGGCGGAGGTAGAGATGCTCACTGCAACAGGGCAGCCCTGAGGGCCTAGCACCAGGAGCCTATGGATGATTCTTCAAGGCTCTGATGTAAGGACGAAGCTGCAGCTGCTTCTGTTATTTTACCCAAGATTCAAAGTCCATGTCTTCATCCCTTCTCCATTCAATAAAGGCTTATTAGTGCTTACAGTCAACACTGCTTAGGCACTGATAATGCATCAGTGAGAAAAACAGTCCTTGTTCTCATTGAGCTGACATTCCAGTGGGAGAGGCAGATAATGAACAAATATATAAATGTATGCAGTGCAGTGATATGCACCTTAATGAAAACTGCAGCAGGGTGGGTGACAGCAGAATGGAAGCAGGTGGCAGGTGCCATGTGTAGATGTGTGGAACACTGTGGCTTCTGTAAGGGGTAATATTTGGGCAGAGATCTGGAAGAAGTAAGGGAGTGAGTGAGCCATGTGCATCTGAAGAAAGATCTTCCAGGGAGAAGGGTATCTGAGTGGCCTGGGTTGGTCACCTGTCTACTGATGAATCATGGAGGATGGGGCCCCATGAATGACAGGCTATCAGGACTGTGTGCAATAGGGGTGACCCCCAAAGGAAAATGGAATTGCTTTTACTATAGAAATTCAATAAGCAGAAAGAAAAGATGTCCACCACAGTTGAGGGTGGTGTTTCTTTCACTGAATTCTGCCCCAAAACAGAGAGAATGAATGAGAAGGGGAATTGTTTCCACTTCCAAGAGATGGGGACAACAGGAATGAGGTGGACAGAGAGGCCTTGGACAGCCTCTGGTACTCTGGACTCTCAACTGAATCCCAATGACTGGTGCAAAAGCAGAGAGGGAAGAGGGTGTGGGAGGAAAGATACAAGTGTTCAGGAGACCCGAGGATGAGCGCCTGGACTCCCCATTCTAGATGCTGGAGCCTGCCCTCAATAGCACAGTGGACGTGACTTGTTCTTCTACTGCCATCTGGGAAACAACAGAAGACCATTTCCAAATGCTATTGCATGGTAGAGGGAGCCAGTTCTGTACTGCCGTCACCCTCTAGGGCACGCAGAGAAGAGGGACTGGCAGCCTGCATGCAGCTGTGTGTGCATCAAAGCCACAGGATGGGCCTAGGGTGCAGGCGATGGTGGTCACTCTTCTCTGCCTCTCCCTGAGTGTGGCCAGTTGCAATTCCCTGAATACACCATGCACGTTCAAATCTGTGTGCCTTTGCCCATGTGTGCTGCTCAGCCTTTAGTGTCTAGCATCCATGAAGCCTTCTCTGTCCTCCCTCCCCAACTAATTATAACGTATCATTCCTTTCCCACAGTCCACAGCATATAATTGGTGCTTGTTGCACCCACTCACTGAACCTTGGATCATGGTGAGTTTTACATGTGTCTTTCCTGGAAGAAAATGCATCAGTTTTGTTCACCTTTGCAGTGAGCCCTCCCTGTCCCAGTGCCTTGCATCACAGAGTGCATGGATGAGTGGGTGATCTCTGACCTTTTAGGGCATAAGGCCAGGAAGGAGGTGACTATGCAGCCCTACATGATGCTGGTTTTGATTGGGCCCCTCAGTTTCCCACGTCCAGGGAGGCCCATGGCTCCCTGGCTGACCACGGTTAGGAGCTCCAGAATCATTTCTTTTCCTTTCCTTTCCTTTCCTTTCCTTTCCTTTCCTTTCCTTTCCTTTCCTTTCCTTTCCTTTCCTTTCCTTTCCTTTCCTTTCCTTTCCTTTCTCCTCCCTCCCTCCTTCCCTCCTTTTTTTTCTTTTCTTTTTTCTCGCTCTGTCACCCAGGCTGAAGAACAGTGGTGCAATTATAGCTCACTGCAGCCTCAACCCCCATCACCCCACGGGCTGGAGGGATCCTTCCACTCCAGCCTCCCAAATAGCTGGGACTACAGGCATGTGCCACCACACCTGTCTAATTTTTAATTTTTTTTTGTAGAGATGAAGTCTCACTATGTTGCCCAGGGTGGTCTTGAACTCCTGGACTCAAATGATCCTCCTGCCTTGACCTCCCAGAGTGCTGGGATTATATGCCAGAATTATTTCTTGTGATTCAGGGGCATAGATTTCCAGGCAGGTTGAATTATTCAATATAGATTGTAGAGTTCAGAGAGTTGTTCCCCGAGGTTGCAAGTGATCCCATGGAACAACGCTGTTTGAGATAATCCCTGATGCAGCCCTGTTGGGTTTTTGTGATGAAGAAGGAGGAGCATCTCTGAATTCTGCCAGGAATGAGGGCAGCAGTCTTGATGAGTGGTGAAGTAGCTCCCAGAGAATGTTGCAGGGTGCAATTTCTCCCCATCTCTAGAGAAGCCATTGGGAAGGTCAACCCATAGGACCCTCCCCAGGGCCAGGCTGGAGCTGAATAAAGAGCCCTCTGGCTCGTCTTAGTGTCAGCAGTTATTCATCAGAGAACTTGAATTAGAACTCACATTTCTCATTACTGGATAATGTGAGAGAGCAAGCATGGGTTCCAGCTAATCAAACATGCCATGTGCCAAGTGAGCTTGAGTCCTGGAGAGAATTAACTCTAAGCCTCTTAGGCTACCATCCTTTACCCACTGGATGAGCCCGAGGGGCATCTGGGGCAGCAGTGACAGAGACCTCTGGGCAAGATATGCCCAGAAGAGGTGTGATGCTGCGCCCAGCTTCTCATGAGCGATCACCAAAACTGATCACAAAATATGCACCACATAAGAGAAGAGTAAGATAAACACTGTTAAACAAGATCATGTAAGAAGACTAAAAAAGGAAAGAAAAAGCATTCAACACTAAAAATAAAGTAAAATTAAGGAATATAACAAAGGTTTAAAGTTCTAAAATCAAGATAATTGCTACAAATAAATTTAGCCTAATACAAACAGCACTAAAAAAGTAGGCAAACTTAAAAGTATAGGAGACAGAAAGTAACAACACATTCAAAAGAAAAACATGAAAGTTAATTTTTAAAATATAACACCCCAAGAAATGTTTTAAAAGATAAAATACATTTAAAATGATGTAAGATCAGGTGGGGCGTGGTGGTTCACACCTGTAATCCCAGGATTTTGGGAGGGTGAGGTGGGCAGATCACTTGAGGTCAGAAGTTCAAGACCAGCCTGGCCAACACGGTGGAACCCCATCTCTACTGAAAATACAAAATTAGCCGGGCGTGGTGGTGGGCACCTGTGATCCCAGCTACTCAGGAGGCTGAGGCAGGAGAATCGCTTGAACCCGGGAGGCGGAGGTTGCAGTGAGCCAAGGTAGCACCACTGCACTCCAGCCTGGGTGACAAGAGTGTAACTCCATCTAAAATAAAATAAAGTAAGATCAAAAGCTAAAAGTGAAAGAGAGATTAGAGTATAATAAAGGTTAAATCTGCAGGAGAAAGTTAAAAATGTGATGGTAAATGGGATTAAAAATAGCAGTTAATGTGCTTTAATGTCAAAAGCAGAAGTGATCATAGAATAAGGGGAAGAGTAATTTAAGAAGAAAATGAAATGCAAGTTCTGAAGGTCCAGGAGCTTGGGGCAGATCAGTGCAGGAAACACTGGCGGGGGCAGTGAGGAGGCAGCTAGGAAGCTGTGGCAGGGCCAGGCTTCTTGAGAGCCACCTCTCGGCTGAGGCAGCTGTGATGTCCAAGGCCAGGGTGAGATGGAGAGCTGGCTTTCCCTGTTGAAGGTGGCCTTTTTGGAAGGGTCTGAAAAGATCAGAAACCCTTCCCATCATAAGTGGCTTCTTAACTCCACGAAAGTACACAGCTGAGCTGGGAATGGATTTGCGACAGGGGCGGGTGTGTATATGTGGGTGGGTGTCGCAATCTTTACGTTGGGGTCTGCTTCATTAAAAAAATTTAATTAACTAATTAATTAATTATAAAATAATAAAGATGGGTCTCACTATGTTGCTCTGGCTAGTCTTGAACTCGTGGGCTCAAGTGATCGTCCCACTTCGGCTTCCCAAAGTATTGGGATTACAGGTGTGAGATACCGTGCCGGGCCGGGATCTGGTTCTTTGCAGCATATACATAATAAAGCTTCAAATAGGTCATACAATCTTCAGAGCAATAATCTCAGCTAGATATTTGTAACAGCATAAAGCTGGCGTCCATAGGGGATTGACTATGAAGTATAAGATAACCACCCGATGAGGCACCATTTAGACATAGCAAATGTTATGGAAGAATATTTATTGACATAGAAAAAGCTGGAGATAGCTACATGAAAAAACATAATTACGGAACAATAATTACTGTGTAATCTAACTATTTAAAAAGTTTATACAGTAGATGAATACATGAATAGTATGAAATATTTATTACTATTGTTATTGTCACTGTGGTATTATTTGGGTAGTAGAGATTGTGGTGATTTTTTAAAAATTATTTTTTGTGCTCTTGAGAGTTCTCCCTAAATAAATCCATCTTATATTTAGTAATCATTAGGAAAAACCCTAAAGTTTAATTTAAAATAATTATAGCAACAGGCATAGACACACACGTGTTCAACTCCAGAAAGATACCCTACACTGGCCTTTCTGCAAGGAAAGAAAGGCCAGATGTTCTCTTTCCCAACTCCCATCTCCCCAGCCTGTCACAAAAACCAGTTCCTGGATCAAAAATAATGAATCCAGAAGAGATAACTTACTAAGATAACATAAAGGTGTTAAGTATGTCATGTATTAAATAATGTATGTATGTTATCTATACAAAATTAATATGTAATAATAGTTATTAGAGAATTAATAGGTAATTATTCAACATAAAAATCCAACTTAATATTTCTTCTATGTTTATTATATTAAGCAGGTTATATGCATAATCTTATTAGGGCTCAGAGAGAGTGACTTTTGACATGGCACAGGTGTGGGGGCTGGGGTCTGATCTGAGGATGTTCACTTCAGTGCTTCCTATGTCAATAGTTCAGTATTTTAGGTTTTGGGGCAGATTCAGAAAAGTGTGATTCATGTTGCCTGCCCTCAAAGTCTGAAGTCTGTCTAACCTAGCTGGAAAGATGGAAAAAAGTGATGAATGGGTGTGTAGTGATAATACACAACATAATAAAGTGGGCAGTGCAGATAATACTTGATGTGAGCACCTAGGACAGACATTCCTGTGGCCTGTGTGGGTCAGGCGAGTCCTCAGTGAAGCAGTGGGCTCTCAAGGATGGGGAGTGTAGCCCATGTGGGTCACTGAGCTAGCTCTAGGTCAAGTGTACACAGGATGTTCTGGAGAAAGAATGACCATGCGACCAGCACATAGACAGCAGACTCTGGGGACTAGGTCAAGCCTGAAGGGATGGTACCAGAAGATGTCAGTGTGCCGACTGAGTGAACGGGGTGGAAGCACAGTCAGGAGAGAAATCATGTCCAAGGCTGAGGGAGGCAGGCTGTGGTCAAGGTGAGGACAGACATGTTAGACGAGCAGTGAAGTAATAGCAAGAGAAGGGAAAGAGGAATGATATGGCTTCAGTTGGGTTGGTATCTGCTAGGGACTGAATTGTGTCCCCCAAGGATTCATATGTTGAAGCCTTGACCCCCAGTGTGATTGTATGTGGAGAGGGAGCCCTTAGGGAGGTTGTTAAGGTGAGATGAGGTCATGTGCCTGGTCCCTAATCTATGAGGTCCTTATAAGAAGAGGAAGAGACACCGGAACGCTCTCTTCCTGCTCGTGTAGAGAGAGGCCAGGTGAGGACGCAGCAAGAAGGTAGCCAACCACAAGACAGGAAGAGAGGCCTCCTCAGAAGCCAGTGCCGATGGCACCTTGATCTCAGACTCCACCCTCTTAAACTGAGGAAATCAATGTCGGTTTCTTAAGCCACCCAGCGTGTGGCATTTTGTCATGGCAGCCTGAGATGACCAATACAGTCTAAATCTATATAAGTCTAAGTCTGTGACTATGGGCAAGTGATGGGCATTCCTTTGATGTGTAACCTGTACATCTTGCCAAGGTTGGGAGGAGGTACACCCAGAGAAAGGAGGAACCAGAGACATAGGATAAGAAATAAGGGTCATGGTCATTCTTTTGATCATGATATGTAATCAATCTATAAAAAATTCATATTGAATGCCTCCCATGTCCAAAGAGGCAAGGTCTTACTCTGTTGCACAGGCTGGAGTGCAGTGGCATGATCATGACTCATGCAGCCTTGACCTCCCAAACTCAGGTGATCCTCCCACTTCAGCCTCCCGAGTAGCTGGGACTACAGGTGCGTGCCACCATGCCTGGCTAATATTTGTATTTTTGGTAGAGATGCAGTTTTGCCATGTTGCCCAGGCTGGTCTTGAGCTCCTGAGCTCAAGCAATCAGCCTGCCTCAGCCTCCCAAAGTGCTGGGATTACAGGCATGGGGATTACAGGCCACAACTGGCCTAAAACAGCTTATTCTTTTTCTTTTTCTTTTTGTTTTTTTTTTTTTTTTTTTTTTGAGATGGAGTCTCATTCTGTCACCCAGGCTGGACTGCAATGGCACAATCTTGGCTCACTGCAACCTCTGCCTCTCGGGTTCAAGTGATTCTCCTGCCTCAGCCTCCTGAGTAGCTGGGACTACAGGTGCCTGCCGCCATGCCTGACTAATTTTTGTATTTTTAGTAGAGATGGGGTTTCACCATGTTGGTCAGGCTGGTCTCGAACTCCTGACCTCATGATCTGCCTGCCTTGGCCTCCCAAAATGCTGGGATTACAGGCATGAGCCACCATGCCTGGCCTAAAACAGCTTATTCTTATATAGCCTGTGTGCCAGGCATTCCACATGCTTTACAGGTATTAACTCCTTTCATGCCTATGATAACCTGTGAGTAAATATTTCTATCATCTCAGCTTTACAGATGAGGAAACAGGCTCAGAGAGCTTAAGCAACTTGCTCAAGGTCCTAAGATTGTTGAGAATTGGAGCTGAGATTTGAACACATGATTTTGGAGTCTGTGCTTTATCCACTATGTAGTACTATGTAGGATGTGATTCCTGCTGTCAAGGATGCAGAGTTTCTTGAAAAGATCAGATATAAATATTTGACAGGATAAATAGAAATAAAAAGTAGGGCACATTTAATCTCAGATGAATGGAATGATTTAGCGTGCTCTCAGAGGGGAGTGGGCACTCCATTGCCTGTAAGATAATCCAATGGGGTGCAGGAAGGACAGATTGGGACTTCTATTTGTGTTTATATTACTGGTTCATTGAATAGCCCAAACTTCCAAGTTCTTCATCAAGAGAGAAAACCAATGAAGGTGTAATCAGATCTGTTGGGACACAGTCAAAAAACATGAAATTTATCAAGTTCACTGCATGAAATATGGGTTGATATCTGCTGTTATTAGCTAAGATGTCAGGAGCTGGTGTACACTGAGGAAGAGTTTCATCATGACATCTACTGTTGTTCATGACAGTAGAGCGTTCACTGGCTGAATGGGAGCAGTGAGAGTAACGAGCTTGTGAGTGCAGAGGGCTGTGTGCCTCCTCCATGCGCAGGGCACTGGGGACATAGCAGTGAGCACCACTGACCAGCATCTCTTGAGGAGCTTATGTTCCAGTTGGGGAAGACAGATGATAAACAAGATGGACAAAGGAAATATGTAGTGTTAGGTGGCAATATATACTAGGAGAAAAATAAAGCGGGAAAAGGGGTGGTAAGAATTGGGCAAAGAGTCTTTAATTTTTAGTTGAGGTGGCCATGTCAGGCATCAGTGAGAAGGAACTGTTGGAGTAACTAACTGGAGGGAGTGAGTGAAGGAACCGTGTGGCCATGTGGCAGAAGAGCATTCAAAACACACACATGCACACACACATGCATACACACACACACACAAACACACACATGTGCACACAGAGCAACTGGTAAGACCCTAAGGTGGAGATGTGCCTGGAAGGTTAAAGAACGAGGAGACCAGTATGACTGGAGCCTAGGGAACAGGGAGTGATGAGAGATGAAGTGGGGAGACAAAGGAGAGGGTGCCAATGTGTCGGCACGTCCCTGTAGCTACACATGGGTTTCATGCTGTGAGTGGGATGGGAAGGCACTGGAGGGTGTGAGCCAAGAAGTGACATGATCTGGCTCATGTTTCTAGAGGATATTAAGGCTGCTGTGTTGACATACATTGTAGGGAAGTAAGGGCAGAAGCCAGGAGACCAGCTGGAAGGCCTAGGGCAGTTTTCCAGATGAGCCTGGACCAGAGTATTAGCTATGGAGGTGAGAAGGGGCTGGATGCTGTATATAATTTGATGGGAGAACCAACAGGATTTACTGATGCATTCGAAGTCAGCTGTGAGAGAGAGACTAATAGTACCTATGCATTACACAGAAAACACTTCCATTCAAGATAAGTGCTTAAAACCTTTTACTTCTAGAGATGCATGATGGAGTGTGAGGGCTGCTAGAATAGACAAAAAAGAGTCTACAGGGATTCTGAGGAGAGAGGCCACTTAGGGGAGGACAGTCAGGCCTGGACTTGGTTGGACCTTGAAGAATAGGTAGGATCCAGAGAGTTGGAAAGGCCCAGGCAGAGTATGGTGAGGTCAGCAAAGGAAGGGACCTGGTTCCACCTAGGCCTGTGCTGAGCATGGGGCCTGGAGTACAGGCTTTAGATCTTACAGTTTTAAGATAGAATGGTAGCAGGAGGCCGGTTTGTCCTGCACTTGAACTCCAGGTAGGACAGTTTAGACCTTTACCTTCAGTCAGTAGGAAGGACTGAGAGTTTTCGACTGGAAGAGTTGAGTGGTACGGGTTTGCTTCAACAATTTACTTCTCTTATAAGCTCTGAATGAGAACCATTGGTTAATCCACTAATGTTAGTGCAGTAGCCAGAAAGGCTTCTTCTAGCCAGAAATATTTCTTCCCAGAGAATGACTTATTTACTAAATGGGACCAGGTCAAGAATTATATATGTATATGTGCCTCTGTGTGTGTGTGTGTGTGTATATATATATATATAAATACTCATACAGAGTAATATACATATACACACATTCTTATATAACTGTAATATACCGTCATATATGTACATGTATACATATATAATTGCAATATACTGTAATATATACACATATACACATATATGTAGTTGTATATGTGTGTATATGTGTGCCATTGTGTGTGTGTGTATATATATATGTATCTGTATACACACAGGCACACATATACATACATATACATACACAGGCACACGTATACATACATATATATACACACAGGCACACAGATATATATGGGAGTGATTCCACTGGACTTGCTTGCTATATAATAGAAATAAATGTTTCTGGTTACTTTTCCAAATTTTAAAAAGCTTTATCTATATTTTAGGGAGTAGTTAAGGGTTTTTTTGGTGAATGCTATTTAATGAATTTTCCTCTTACTGGATATTGTGTGTCTGGCCTGTACACATCCTGCACAATCCCGCTTGCCACTCCAAGATGTTGCAGTCAGGTGCACCTGGCATAAACACTATGGCGGAAATACCCTTTTCCCTGTCTGTGTGTGTAAGATAGCTTCTTTCATGCCAGAGGAACTATTTTGGGAGAATGATTCATGTCACATTTTGGCCTCATTACAGTTTTAAGTTGTTAATGATGCCGGTTTGTCTGGAGGTGGAAACATAAGTGTTGTCTTCATATGCGTATGGGAATACCTATAACAGAAAAAGTACTTTCTATTCTTGAGTTACAGTCTAGACTATAAACAAAGAGATTAACAAGATCTTTATCAAAATTCTAATTTTATTGATGAGAAGCATGCTTCTGAAAAAGTACGAATTACTTGTGGCTCTGCCTCCATTCTCCATTTCCAAACACAGATGGAGAGTCAAAGAACTTAATGTCTTATTGTTACAAGCAGATGATTCTATAAAATAAACACTGTGCTTTCTCTTTTGAAATAGTGTGAAAAGTGAGAGCAGGTGTTAAATTACTGTCTTGCTGTTTGTGGTTAAAAGTAACAGGAGGTACAAAATCATTCAAAGTGTATTTAGGTGTGAATGATAAAGTAAGGTGAAGCCATTCTAATTATTCCACTTTGCTTTCTGGTAACTTTAAAGGATATGGCAAAGCTTCCTTATTTACTCAGTGGTTAACAATGTATGCTGACATTGGAAATGAGGAACTCTTAACATCTGAGTTTGTTACCAGGCCTTGTACACAACAGTGCCATAAAAGTGTTTATTGGCTGGGTGTGGTGACTCACGTCTGTAATCTCAGCACTTTGGGAGGCCGAAGTGGGTGGATCACGAGGTCAGGAGTTCGCGACCAGTATGGCCAACGTGGTAAAACCCTGTCTCTACTAAAAATACAAAAATTAGCCCGGTGCGATGGCAGGTGCCTGTAATCCCAGCTACTGGGGAGGCTGAGGCAAGAGAATCGCTTGAACCGGGGCAGCAGAGGTTGCAGTGAGCCAAGATCACACCACTGTACTCCAGCCTGGGCGACAGAGAATCCGTCTCAAAAAAAAAAGTGTTTATTGATTTGTCCCAAAATAACTGAGTTCAAATAGGAAAAAATTAGGTTTGGAATGTGGCTAGATTTTTCTATGATTCTCAAGGAATTCCATATCCTATCTTAAAATTTTAAAATTGACAAAATATTACTTATTTTATAATTTTAAATTATAAAAGTGAAAATTGAAAAATAAAAAATTAAAGGAATGCTAATGAATTTGTTGTTGTTTGCTATACACCCTTTTTTTTTTTTTTTTTTTTTTTTTTTTTTTTTTTTTGGAGTCTTGCTCTGTTTCCTAGCCTGGAGTGCAGTGGTGTGATCATGCCTCACAGCAATCTCTGCCTACCAGGTTCAAGTGATTTTCCCACCTCAGCCTCCCACCCAGCATAGCTGGGATTACAGGTATGCATCACCATGCCTGGCTGATTTTTGTATTTTTGGTAGAAATGGGGTTTCACCATGTTGGCCAGGCTGGTCTCGAACTCCTGACCTCAAGTGATCCACCTGCCTCAGCCTCCCAAAGTTCTGGGATTATAGGCATGAGCCACTGCGCCTGGCCTGTTTTTCTTTTTTTTTTTTCTGAGATGGAGTTTTTGCTCTTGTTGCCCAGACTGGAGCGCGATGGCGTTATCTTGGCTCTCTGCAACCTCCATCTCCCAGGTTCAAGCGATTCTCCTGCCTCAGCTTCCCAAGTAGCTAGGATTACAGGCACGTGCCACCACACCCAGCTAATTTTGTATTTTTAGTAGAGACGAGGTTTCACCATGTTGGCCAGGCTGCTCTTAAATTCCTGACCTCAGGTGATCCACCAGCCTTGGCCTCCCAAAGTGTTGGGATTACAGGCGTGACCCACCGTGCCTGGCCTATATGCCCATTTTGATGGCAAGATTTTTGGATACAGTGACAACCTTTTTGATACACTGGCAGTGAGACATACTCTCCCCACCCCCTTTGGGCATGTGCTTTAAAAAATTATTTTCTGGTTCATCTGTGGTTGGTGCTTTCCATTTGGAACTTTTGACCCATGCCATTTAGGTAGATTTATTCATATTTGAGTAAGATACTTCAATTAACAGTAAACCAAATGCATTGTAACATCTTATTTAATTCTAACATGGTGGTTTGAAAAAATATTAGCAATGTGAGGACACTTAAGCAGTTTTGTCAATTCAGCTGAATCCAGCCTCATAGCAAAATCTGGTCTTAAATTCCCTCATCGTGCTAGAATCTTCTAGCTATGATGAGTGAAACCTACTTTTTCCTTTTTTTTTCCTTATCTTAGACATAAAAAAAATCTTCTCTTGGTTATTCAGTGACTGCCTCATTAACTAGCCTGGGTCTCTATTTCTAGAAATTAGAATTTAGTGGTTCTGGAGTGGGGTCTGAACACTTATATTAAAAAACAGGGCCGGGTGCTGTGGCTCATGCCTGTAATCCCAGCACTTTGGGAGGCCGAGGCAGGTGGATCATGAGGTCAGGAGATCGAGACCATCCTGGCTGACATGGTGAAACCCCATCTCTATTAAAAATACAAAAAATTAGCTGGGTGTGGTGGCGGGCGCCTGTAGTCGCAGCTACTCAGGAGGCTGAGGCAGGAGAATGGCATGAACCTGGGAGGTGGAGCTTGCAGTGAGCTGAGATCACGCCACTGCACTCCAACCTGGGTGACAGAGCAAGACTCTGTCTCAAAAAAGAAAGAAAGAAAGAAAGAAAGAAAGAAAGAAAGAAAGAAAGAAAGAAAGAAAGAAAGAAAGAAAGAAAGAAAGAAAGAAAACAAAACAAAAGCCACCAAAAAGCTCTCCCAATGATTCTTACGCTCTAAGAGGACAATAGGTTAACAAAGGGCAAGCTTCAAAACCAAGATGTAGACATGGACACAAATCTCCAAAGGTCTCCGTTTTTGGAAGTTAACTGGATTGAACTGTGAGATGTCTGTGGTATGAGAGTGAAATGAGAGAACTCCTAACATGTAATAAAACGTCGCTGTATTTCACATTTCCCCTTCTGTCTTCTCAGCCATCATGTATGTCATGGGAGCACTTGGCCCTGCAGTGGGATATTTATTAGGTGGACTTCTTATTGGTTTTTATGTTGATCCCAGAAATCCTGTTCACCTTGACCAGAATGACCCTCGTTTCATTGGAAACTGGTAAGTTCTGTTTTCTAATTTTTAAATTTCAGTTCTTACTAATAATAGTTAAAGTCATGGTACACTTGTATTTAAAATTTTTCCAATGGGGAGACAAAAAATAGCTGAAAGGTGCCTGGGAAGGGGTGACAGGCAGGTTAATAACATCCCAAAGAAAGCTACGTCCTAATCCCCAGAACCTATGAATATGTTATCTTACATGGCAAGAGGGACTTTGCAGATGTGATTAAGGACTCTGATATTATTTTAGATGACCTGGGTGGGCCCAGTGTAATCAAAGGAAAGACGGAAGCAGGAGGGCAAGAATCAAAGAAGGAGATTCGATGATTAAAGCACAGGTTGGAGTGTTGTGCCTTGAAGATGGAGGAAGGGGCTGCGAGCAAAGAATGCAGGTGGACTCTAGAAGCTGGAAAAGCAAGGAAATGGGTTCTTCCCCAGCCTCCAGCCCTTTCAACCATTTTACACTTCTGACCTCCAGAACTGTGACATGAATCAGATTGTGTTGCCTGAAGCCACGAAGTGTGTGGTAACTTCTTATAGCAGAGAGCTTATACAGAGGGTTTGGGGACACTGGCTTAATCCACATTCTTTAGGATTGGGGTGCTTCCTTTATAGCAGAGTGAAGGAAAAGGACTGCTGTGGCTGCGTGGGGACTTTCCTGCTGACTTTAATCATACCTTTCAGTATCTTTTCTGTGCCTTAAAAAAATACATTGTTTTCACTTTCTTATTGTATTTGGTGTCTGCTTTACAACCCTCTCCCACTGCCTGGAATGCCAGTCCTGCTTTTCCATTGTCACACTCTCAGTGACCCTTTTTTCTTGCTAATATTTTGTTTCCTCATGTGTGCTAGAGATTTAGCTGCTTTCTCGCTTGCTAGGACTTAATTGTCCTGGAAAATAAGTAATGCTTAGGACTCAGAATGAGAACTTCAACTTTGGATGTTATGTTATTTATCCAAATAACAGAGTTGCGTTTGAGTTCTTGCAGTCCTCAACTTGAACATGATAAGTTATTTTTCACAATTGCAAGCACTAACTGAAAATATTGGTGTCCTGAATTCATTTCATGTGGATTAGCAATATATATACATTGATAAGGCATTTTCACTTTATAGTTAAGAGAATACTTCAGTATTAGAAAAGATATGTGCCAAGTAATTACTCACTCACTTTTTTTTGGAACATAGACACACATGGAGAAAGTAATTACTTTCTAAAAAATGTCTTAGAGTACTTTATTCTCTCTGTGTTTCATTACATGATAATAACATCATAACTCCGAGGTTGGTAGGAATAATGTTTAACACTATTGATTTTCAAAGCAGCTAACAGATATTAATTGTTATACACACTTCCTATTTTCATAAGTAATGCTCTTTGAAGCTGGAAGTGTTATGTCTGGTAGAATTTTTAAATCATACAGAAAGGAGTTCCCCTGTCAGCATTAGGGAAATAACACAGGAGTTTTAAGTTCTTGACTCATAGTGAAATTTTTGGTCTTGTCTGTTTTCTTTCCAGTTCTGAAATTAATCAGAGTAGAGATGTTTTTCATTGTCAGAAAACCAGATTAATTAACTCTATTTATGAACATCCAGCATATGTTCTGTGTTCTATTTAGAGGTCCTTAAGGAGGGCACAGTGACAGGGAAACATCTGGAGGGAAAGATGGGGAGAACCAACTCAGGTAGGGAGAAGGAGGGAAGGCAGGAGCTTTAGTCTTACCAGTGCTTTATGCCATCTTTTGAACTGTTTTTAGGAGATGTTAGTCCAGTTGGCAGCAAAATTGAGAGATGAGGGCCGGGTAAGGTGGCTCATGCCTGTAATCCCAACTTTGGGAGGCTGAGGCAGGTGGATCACTTGAAGGTCAGGAGTTCGAGATAACCCTGGCTAACGTGGCGAGCCTCCATCTCTACTAAAAATACAAAAAAATTAGCCGAGTGTGGTGGCGCATGCCTGTAGTCCCAGCTACTTGAGAGGCTGAGGCAGGAGAATCACTTGAACCTGGCAGGTGGAGGTTGCAGTGAGCTGAGTTGGCACCATTGCACTCCAGCCTGAGTGACAGAGCGAGACTCTATCTCAAAATAAATAAATAAATAAATAAAATTGAGAGATGAAGAGTATAGACCCTGAATCCATATTCCCCTGGGTTTAAACCCTAGTCTGCCACCTAATACCTATGTGAGCTTGGGGAAGTTACTCTGTGCCTCAGTTTTTATAATCCATAAAAGAAGGTAGTTATGGTACTTATTATCATAGGGTCATTGTGAGGAATGAATGAGTTTACATGTCTAGCACTCTAAGTTGTTCCTGCTGTACAGTATGTGTTAGCTATTCAGTCCTTTGAATTTAATCAGTGCTCAAGTAATTTTATCCATTTTTAATGGCTCAATGTTAGTTCTATACATGATAAAGATTGTCAATATAGAAATATATAATGAGGGTCTATTTAAACATGAATTTGAATTTTATTGAGTAACTGCTTGTAACACACTTCTACCTTGAACAAAGACATAGTTATTTGATGCAATGTTATTTTATACGATGTCTAGCAGCAGTGATAAGTTTTCAATGGGCACATGCTGAAAGGGAGAAGGAAGGAAGGAAGGAATGAATAATGCTAAAATGTATTGGGTGCTTATTTTGTGTCAAGCATTATACTAAGCTCTACAGACATTCTCATTTAAGCCTTGGAACTACCTTGGAACAACCATAGGTAGTCACTGGTATGTGCATTTTGCAGCTGAGGAAATTGATGCTCAGGGAGTTCAATAATTTTCCATTAGCCTCAGAGTCAGTGAGAGCTGGGAAAAGAAACTGACTCCGGAGCACAGCTCTCAGTTCACTCTCTTAACTGGCCCCCTTAGTGAATGGTCTCTGAGTCATGGTTCATGAAAGGGATTTAGGTAGCTTGGCTTTTCAAGTGTAGCTGTTATTGATGTGTCTTTTTCCAACAGGTACTGCACACTTTCTTGTCTCAGCTTTTCTCAGAGTCCTCTTTAGCATCATTATTATATGATGTGTTGTATCGATGTTATTTGAGACTGTTGAATAATGTGAGTTGGTTTGCTCTGCTTTGAAGTGACCCCACACTTTAATATTATTTTTGTATTTTTTTGTTTATTTGCTGTATTTCTCCCCTTCCTGTTATGCACCTTCACTTTGGGCTATTATGAGTAAATTTTTAATGTTTGCATATAATCTTAAGTTAATGGCTGGGGCTGGGATGGGCAGGGAGGTTGAGTGCAATGCTATGTAAAAAGCATGCCGGGTGCGGTGGCTCACGCTTATAATCCCAGCACTTTGGGAAGCTGAGGCGGGCAGATCACTTGAGCCCAGGAGTTCAAGACCAACCTGGGCAACATAGTGAGACCCCCCACTTCTCTACAAAACAGTAAAAAATTAGCCACTGCGCCTGTAGTCCCAGCTATTTGGTAGGCTGAGGTGGGAGGATCACTTGAGCTCGGGAGGTCAAGGCTGCAGTTAGCCATGATCGTGCCACTGCACTCCAGCCTGGGTGACAGAGTGAGGCACTGTCTCTAAAGAAAAAAATCAAGATAAATAAATAATTAATTAAAAAGCAAACCAGACACACAAAACTAGCTATCATGAACTGATTGTTAATTTGGGGACAGATGTTTTATGACATCCATCATAACACTGTCTTATTTAATTTTGATGATCCCCAAACATACTTAATACCCCACTTGTAGATAAGAAGGCTGATTTGGAAAAGCAAAATAATTTTCACAGGATCCTATAGTAAGCAAGTGGTAAAGACAGGATACAAACCCAGGTCTGCCTGAAGCCACAGCCCATGAGTTGTCCCCTACACTACACTGCCTGCCGTCTTCTGGAGAGAGTGTGAGAGCTCAGGGAGCTGCAGGGATTCAGGGGACTGGAATGGAGAGTTCGTGGAGAGAGGCTCCAGAGGCAAGTGAGCAGTGCCTGATAGTGCCTGATGGGTAAGGACCTCGTAAGCAGCCAAGTACTAAGAGGGCCAGGCATTATCATAGCTATGTTCTCTATAGACAGATGACCTTTTTAGTTATTTTTATTTTTTTTGAGACAGAGTTTCACTCTTGTTGCCCAAGCTAGAGTGCAGTGGCAAGGTCTCAGCTCACTGCAACCTCTGCCTCCTGGGTTCAAGCCATTCTCCTGCCTCAGCCTCCCGAGTAGCTGGGATTACAGGCACTTGCCACCATGCCTGGCTAATTTTTGTATTTTTAGTTGAGATGGGGTTTCACTATGTTGGGCAGGCTGGTCTTAAACTCCTGACCTCAGGTGATCCACCCATCTCGGTGCTGGGATTACACCTCAGGTGATCCACCCAAAGTGCTGGGATTACAGGCATGAGCCACCGTAACCAGCTGACATTTTTAAAATTAAAACTGTCTCTTTCAATTTATTTATTCAGCATGTTTTTTTGAGTACCTAATCTGTGTCAGGCACTGGGCTGGTGATTACATTCTGAATAACTGAGATTGCTGGAAGTCTGCCCCGAACAAACTTCTCAAAATAAAGCCCTTTACTGACTATCTTAAAATCTTCATTTGATGTAACTTTAAATATCTTTGAAAATAGCACACTAAATTATTAATGACTAATTGTAGGAATCATTCTCTCAACTGTGACCTTTAGCAGCTGATAACAGCACTTTAATAGAAACATTATTTTAAAAAATGAATTTTCACTTTGCAATGGATCTATAGTCTTACCTGATTGAATTCAGCGTTAATACTTATGATGCTGCTTGCATTCTGGTTACAGTTGATGGGAATGTGTTGAGCATTTATGAACTTGGAAGCTTGAATGGCAGAGTTTGGAGGTGAGGAATCATAGTTAGAACGTGGCTACCCTGTTAGGGAGTGCCAGGGACCTCTGATTGCTAAGGAAATGTTGAAAGGGAACTGAGAAATTGCCCCACGGGGCATCATGCAGTCAAGAAGCCCAGGGCTCTAATACTACAATTTCATTCTACTCCCTGTGTTTGCTTCCTAGTGCTCTGCAACGTGGCAATCTCAGGTGAATTTCACGACAGAATTCTGAGTCTAATAGCTCCTGTTCTACTTCTTTTAGGAAGCTTTCCGATACACATTAATTTCCCCTCTCTGAATTTTGGTAGCACTCATAATCTGTACCATATAACCTAATATTTAATTATATACATTTTGCATTTCTTAGAGGTTTCTTATATTTTTGGCTTGCTTATGAACAGGTTGTAGGTTCTTGAAGGCAAGGACTAAGTTTAAATGTCTTTGTTGGTAACCCTCATACTTGGTGAAGTATTGTGAAGGCCAGCTAAGTGGGAGGCAATACATTCTCTTTTTATTTTTTTTAAGTTTTGCTCTGTCACCCAGGCTGGAGTGTGGAGTGCAGTGGCCTGATCTCTGCTCACTGCAACATCCGCCTCCCAAGTTCAAGTGATTCTCCTGCCTCAGCCTCCCGAGTAGCTGGGATTACAGGTGCCCACCACCACACCTGGCTAATTTTTGTATTTCTAGTAGAGACAGGGTTTCACCATGTTGGCCAGGCTGGTCTCAAACTCCTGTTTCAGCCTCCCAACGTGCTGGGATTATAGGTGTGAGTCACCGCGCCCAGCTGGGTCAATACATTCTTAAGTGTTTGCAGAAAAATATTTGAATATTCTCAATAATTTAAAACATATTTCACATGGGATATTAATGCTTTTCTTATGACAAAAAAAAGTCTATATTGGTCCACATAACATGCTATTGTCTACATTATTTTTCTATTGAATTTATAATTTAGGGATTTATCATAAAATACACATTGTAGAAGGTTAGCAATGCTAGCAGAACTAACTCATTGGTGCTCAAAAATACTTGAATGAAATTCGAATCAGGTTGCTGATTATAATATTCAGTATAACACTGGTATAATTATTGAGTAGATTTCTCATTTATATCACAGAAAGAGAGAATTCCTTCATTTTCTTAGTTTGCTCAACTTCCTACTGCTTTACAGTTGATTACAAAAAGTTTTCTTCAAAATTTTTTCACCACAAACTTCTGCTTTACTAATTTGTTCTCACTCACAAAAGAAAAGACGTAAATGCTATTCACATTTTCCAATTTTTTAGGTGGAGTGGATTCCTCCTTTGTGCCATTGCAATGTTTCTTGTGATATTCCCAATGTTTACTTTCCCAAAAAAGCTTCCACCTCGACACAAGAAAAAGAAAAAGAAAAAATTTTCTGTTGATGCTGTTAGTGATGACGATGTTCTGAAGGAGAAATCAAACAACAGTGAACAAGCGGACAAAAAAGTTTCTTCGATGGGATTTGGAAAGGATGTCAGAGGTAAAGTATACCTCTTGAATAAATACATGCATGGCACTTTGATCAGTGCTACTCATAGTGTGGTCCCAGGCCCATGCTGTCTACCCACTGTCTGTGGCCAGATAAGTACTAAGATTGAGAGTAAGTGTTGCAAAACTCTTAGAAACTTGACAGAGTAATTTTTTTGCCTGTTGCATCTAAGAATAATTTAAAAATTAAGGTTATATTTTGTATGTTATTTAAAAATTAATTTTTAAATAATTCATCATTTGTGTATTTTGCAAAAGTATTAGTAGATGACAGACTAGAAATAATAATTTAAAAAAATGGTTTTTCCTCACACACAGTTTGAGAAGCACTGATTTAGATCATAAAGAAACAGATGTCTATATATGTTATTTACTATAATTAGAGATGTCTGATTTTTAAAATATTAAAAATCAAGTGCATTGTGCCATGGAGGGTTTATTTCAGGGGAATAGTGGCTTTGGCAGTGTGGTTTGATGCCTACATAAGTATAATACCTACCACTAGAAAGGGATCTCACTTAGCAGCTCTGTCAAATGCTTGCATGTGGCCCCAGAGAAGGGTGGCCAGGGGATGGACCTCCAAATGCAGTGTAAAAGCATCCAGAAGGTCTTGGTGATATATGGTTTATTTTTTTTCATTTTTATTTCTCTTAAAAATACTGATTATATTAAACTAGATTAGGCAATCTATAACCTAAACAATTTGAAGTGATCATGACCAGACAATATTTGTTCAGTATTTCATATATCTGTTGAATGACAATAAGTCCCTTTAATTCCAGAAACCTATAATGTGACACTCCCATTAGTTTTAGTTTTGTTTCCAACATTCTCTGAATTGATTTTTTTGATATAAATTATGAAGCATAATATTTATCAAGTACTTTCATCAGTCAAGGTTGTGTTAGGTAAAATTTACCTAGGCACATTATCATCTCGTTTTGACTGTGTACACAGTGTGGCCAAAGAGGAACATTTCCAGCCTGGAATAAAGTTACTCATATGTTACAGACATGTCGCTATGGCCTAAGAACAATAATAGTTAGATTGGACCATTTTTAAAGACTGTAATTTTTGAAAGCAAATGAAGTGCTATTTCATTGAAAATGCCTCTTTCCAGTTACATTTTAGATGTGGCCCTCTCCCTTCCCATGATTTTGTGACAGTGTGCACTTTTGGAACTGTACATGACTTCTTATGCTCTAATAACATAAAGCATTCTCTGGATGCTGGCATGGCCTGATCTCTTCCCATGTGCACCAGCCCAACATTTTTGTGAACCTATTGTAGACCATTATGGCTACTATCAAAAGAGTGATTTTTTTTCACAACTCAATTGAGATAAGGTTGATGTCAAAGAATTTAAAACATAGCAATAATCTTTGATTCTTTTTTTTTTTTTTTTTTTTTTGAGATAGGTCACCCAGGCTGGAGTGCAGTGGTGTGATCTCCACTTACTGCAATCTCTGCCTCCCAGGTTCAAGCAATTCTCCTGCCTCAGCCTCCCGAACAGCTGGCATTACAGGCGCCCGCCCACGGCCAGCTAATTTTTGTATTTTTTTTTTTTAGCAGAGATGGTATTCCACCATGTTGGCCAGGCTGGTCTCGAGCTCCTGACCTCAGGTGATCCACCCTCCTCGGCCTCTCAAAGTGCTGGGATTACAGGCGTGAGCCACCATGCCTGGCCAGCCTTTGAGTCTTCATTTATGGAGACTATAAAGTAGACTCAAAGGGAGAAATAAAGTCATATGTAAGATAAAATTATATGTTTTATAGCTTAGGGTTAGGTGACTTGAATATGAAATATATGATCTATTGGACAGTAGAAAAAAGCGGGGAGAAGATTGATATCAAATACCAACAGCAGATACAACTGTTGCTGAGAATGAAGTTCTTTTGGAAGATGCAGTGTAGACAATGCTATCAATGCCCTGTCCACATTTTTGGACCCTACTGTTTTCATGGCAGAGGTCCACCAACTGCCAGGACTGAAATCATTTACCTGAAGGTTTTTCTTTGTGGGCTGAGAAAACTGCTTGGCTCCTGCTTGAGGCGGTTTTCAGGTACCAAGGAATGAACCCCCTGGCCTCCCATGCCCCAGAGAAGTCTTAACCAGATGACTGGATGAACACCGCAGCTCCTGCCCCTCTTGGGGTAGGCAATTCTGAGGTGTGTTTCTGTGTCTTTCGTGGGCTCTCCTCCCTTCCAGTGCACTTCGACCACACTCTCCACCCAGTGTTCCCTGAGTTGCCCCAATAAATTACTTAGATGCGAACTCTTGTCTCAGGGCCTTCTCCTGGGGAACCCATACTTAGATATGCAAGTTCAAAAGCGATCAGGGCCATTGAGAATTCAAAAATGATTTTTGGAAATTGAATGTATACACTATTTTATGGGATAACTTCTTGTACTGCCAGGGGTTGCTTTTCTCTGTCTTCTCTATGCTCAGTTTGATGGTTCAAGATATTTTCTTTTAAAAACGAGAATAAGAGGAGTCCTTGAATGGTGATGGGTAGTTGGTTTATAAAATCTGTTTATGTTCTGATTTTCTTGTTAGTATTTTTGATAAAGTCTCCTTTTTTTACCCTATGCCTTGATTATCATGACTGATCCTACTTCTGCAGCCAAACCTCCTGACTGGGACACACAGCTGATTCATTTTATTATTTCCACTTGTACTGGATTCTCTAATCATATCAAGACTGGAACTTCAAGAGACACATTATCTTGTTAGAAAGAAATACTGTTTTAATTGAATTACACTGAAAATGTTTTTGCTAAAAATGCCATTGATGATATAAAATGATGTTCAATTAGAATATTTAAAATTAATTCATTTTTATCTTGTATACATTGATTTCCTTTAGTGTATCTAATACATATCACCTGAAGAAAGTGACTCATATTTAATATAATTTTCCAAAGGACAAATTAAATCTCCAGGAATCATTCTGCTATTGACATCACTTTTTTTTTTTTAACAAAGCTGAGATTTATTATTGAGGTTACTTTTTAACAAAGCTGAGATTTATTATTGAGGTCTTGCCTTAAAAAATGATTCATAGAAAAGTCCATTTTGAGTTAAATCTGAGTTTGAGTCCCAGATCCTTTTTTCCCTTCTATTTTCTGGAGTAGGGCTTCTTTTGGTCTTAATTTTTAAAATTTTTATTCTATTTTAGTTTATTGAGACAGAGTCTCTCTCTGTCACCCAGGCTGGAGTGCAGTGGTGTGATCTTGGCTCGCTGCAGCCTCAACCTCCCAGGCTCAAGTGATCCTTCCTGGCTCAGCTCCCCAGTAGCTGGGGCTACAGGCCTGTGCCACCACACCTAGGTAATTTTTGCATCTTTTGTACAGATGGGGTTTTACCATGTTTCACAGGCTGATCTAGAACTCCTGGACCCAAGGGATCTGCCTGCCTCAGCCTCCCAACGTGCTGGGATTACAGGTGTGAGCCACCACGCTTGGCTTTTTGGTCTTTACTTTATATTTGAAATTTGGATACCAATATTAGTACCTTCAAAGAGGAGGTAGAAGTTGGTAACTTATACTTCCTTAAACAGAAAACTATTGGCCAGGTGCAGTGGCTTATGCCTGTAATCCCAGAACTTTAGGAGGCCAAGGTGGGCGGATTACCTGAGGTCAGGAGTTCGAGACCAACCTGGCCAACATGGCAAAACCGAGTCTCTACTTAAAATAAAAAAATTAGATGGGCGTTGTGGTGAGCACCTGTAATCCCAGCTACTTTGGAGGCTGAGACAGGAGAATCGCTTGAACCGGGAGGTGGAGGTTGCAGTGAGCCAAGATTGTGCCACTGCACTCAAGCCTGAGTGACAGAGGCAAGACTGCGTCTCACGAAAAAAAAAAAAAAGAAAATTATTTGAGCCATACAGAATGGCGCCCTTTTGGGAAGTTCTATTGTAGAGAATGATAGAAGAAAATATACTCCACCTCCACATTTTAATGACAGACATTGAGAAAATCTGACTCAGTGTTTTCATACTCTTATTATAAATTATGCAGGAATAACACTGATTTAAGACACCGCAAAGGGGAAAGTAGAATTCTCAGTATATCTGCATTACATTCCACAAAGAAATTAGCATTGATTCCATCAAAAATCTTACCAATAAAAATAAACACTTAAAATATTTAAGTGAATCCATTTTCCTGAGGTTTGAGGTCCAGCATTTTAAAGCATTCCAAATTTAACTGGGCAGCCTTCTATCTAAAAAACTTTTGGTGGCAGTTAATCATAAGAATGATTTTACTTTCTATGTCCACTTTTTAATCTTTGAAGCTTAATTGCTTAGTATTATTTATTAAGCATAAAATGTAACAGAGATTTCTCTGCTAGGATTTTGTCTGTTAGAGTGCAATATATTTAAAATCCTAACTAAATAAAATAGTTACCCTGAGGTGATAAACTGATTTAAAGAGGCTACTGAAAGTTGGAGAATTTTGCTCATGGAAGGATAATGTTGGCATCATTGAATTCACTGAATGTTCACTCTATAGAGGGTGCTGTACTCCATGCTTTAGTTATACAGTTGAGTGAGCCATGGTTTACCCTCCAAGAGCTTAGAGTCCACTGAGGGAGCCAGGACAAATACAGATGGAAATGTATTAAAGGCCATAAGAAGAGAACAGGTGCAAAGCTGTGGAGGTTCAAGGCTGCAGAAGGAGCATCCAGTTGAGGGATCAGGAAAAGTTATATGGAGGAGGTGGCATTTGAGATGAACCTTGAAAGACTGGGAGGATTTCAGTAGGTGGAGGCGGGTGTCAGGAATGTTCAGGCAGAGAGAGCAAAGGCCAGAAAACTGGGACTGTGTAGATGTATTTGAATGTGCTGAACAAGCGTTTTGTGGTTGGTCTGTTGGACATATGTGGCAGAGGCCTGGGAGATGAGGTTGGGAAGGTCAAGCAGGGCACATGGTGGAGAGCGTGAGTTCTAGTGTGAGTTCTTCGATTTCTTTTCTAACGGGGAATGGGGAGGTTTGAGTCGGTGTTTGGTAGCACTCAAAGAGGTAGATTAGGGAGGAGGAGGAGCAGATTGTCAGGAAGGGGCACAGGTAGACAGCTGCAGACAGAGCCCAGTGGAGAGGTTTCGACTAGTAGAGAAGGAAAGGACAGCAGCCTGCTAAACTGGCCCTGCTGCATCGACCCTTGCCCCCTTTCTACCTGCCTTCCCTTCAGCAGCCAGAAATGTTAAAATGCCAATCCTTTGCTCAAAGCTCTGTGGTCTCCCAGCTCATTCATAGAAAAGTCCACTCCTTTATGACCTATGATTTAACCCCTGGTTACCTCTTCGACTTTATCTCCTTTCAGTCCCACTTGTTTATTGTGTGTTCTGCTTCAGCCCCACTGGGCTCATTGTTGGTCCTCAAACGTGCCAGAGAGTCTCACCCCAGGACTTTTACACTTGCCACGCTTGTGCTGGGAATGTTCTCTCACTTCCCTCAGTGCACTTCTCACGTGGCCCCTTATCAGTGAGCCCTTCCTTAGCCACCCTGTTAAAAATCTCTGACCTCTCCTTCAAGGCTTCTTACCTCCATCCTGCCTTTAGTGTTCTCCTTAGCACCCATCACTCACTCACCTACCATGGATTTTACTTACTTATTTATTGTCTCCCCAATGAGAAAGTAAGCTCCATGAAGACAGGAATGTTTTTTTTTTTTTGTCCATTACATTTCCTGCTAAGTTTACACCACCTAGTAGGTACATAGTAAATATTTGATGAATGAATTATTGAATGAGAAAAAGAGGTCATTTCTTTTTCTTTTTCTTTTTTTTTTGAGACTGTCTTGCTTTGTCTCACTCTGTCTTGCTCTGGAGTGCAGTGGCGTGATCTCTGCTCACTGCAACCTCCGCCTCCAAGGCTCAAGTGATTCTCCTGCCTCAGCCTCCTGAGTAGTTGGGATTACAGGCACCCACCCCCACACCTGGCTAATTTTTGTATTTTTAGTAAAGATGGGGTTTCACCATGTTGGCCAGGCTGGTCTTGAACTCCTGACCTCAGATGATCCATTGCCTCGGCCTCCCAAAATGTTGGGATTACAGGTGTGAGCCACTGCGCCCGGTGAAACAGGTCATTTCTTTAGGGTGTGACAACTGATATGGGAATGATGGAGAGAGATACCAGAGGTGATTATAGGGTTTGAACCTCAGATAATGGGGAGAGGAACTAGTTGAGAGAAGCAGAAGGAATAGATTCTGAACTTGAGCTGCCTAAGAACACCCAGAACCATTGCATATGCTCCTTTGCTAGGTGTTTTGGAACAAGTATAGTATGAATGTGTCCAGGTCAGTTTTTGACGCAGCAAAGAGGGATCACTAAAAGCTACATGCCTGGGCCCTGTGCTCTTAGTCTTCTTGCATACTGCCTTTGCTAAATAGCACTTTAATTTTGTGTTTGCAGTTTTATTGAAAGCTGCTGCTTGAATTCCCCATACTTGCCATAGGATGGTTGCTCAGTGCCCTTTATATAAAACCCCTTTCTTTGGATCATTGGTTCTCAAACCCAGCCTACAACAGCATCACCACAAAGGCTCCCTAAAACCCAGGTCTTTAGGCCCCAGTCCACAGTCTCCGATTCAGTAGGTCTGGAGTGCGGCCTGAGAATGAGCATTTTTTAACAATTTCCCAGATGATACTGAAGCTGTTGGTCCAGGAACTGCACTGTGAAAACCACAGCTCCAGAACATAGTTAGGAAAAACTTTGTTTTCCAGGAAGAAAGTAGAATGTTTCTGTGTTTCTGATAATGATGATTATATAGCTTTTTGCTTTGATGGCCAGGAAAGTCAGAGTCAAATCTAAAACCCAGGAAAAGTCTTATGGCCACATTTAATTCTTTCTCCCGGTTTGGATGCTCTGCTCTATTTATGTTTTCTGTGTATCGAATTATTTGTTTCTTTCCTGTCTATTATTTTATTGTATGTATGATTTCTGGTAGTAAGCCACATCTTTAGATTTGGACTTGCAGCTTAGGAGGTGAAAGGTAAATGGTAACAGTCCAGGCAGAGAAACCCTGAAAAAGAAAGCTCTTTCTCTATACTCAGCAAAATAACTGTGGGGTGACTCATCAAAGTAGCATCTCCTTAGAAAGATATGTGAACATACTCATGAGTGCTGATTTAAACAAGCAAGGTAGTACTGTGGCCAGGAGCCACTAATGATGTATTTTAGGCCCTGGCAGCCATGTGTACCCCCTTGTCGTAGGCAAGTGTCTCAGGCTCAATGTGCTAAGCTGCCAGGTGACTGTGGCGTGCTAGTGTCATCTAGCTCCTGTCTTTTCCAGGCAAGCAGCAAATGCCATTTGCTGGTGTGTTTTGGAGGGGAGGGAGGACTTAGAGTACCTTCATGGGGCCTTATGATTGGGAAACCCGTGGGATCATTTCTTTCAAAGAAAATGAGCAGGAAATGAGGGCACATAGGTCCTGTGTTGGCCATGTTGCATATGATAAGCAGTCTTGGTTTTGCTTTTACAGAAAACCCTGACTAAAAATAGTTTGATTCTTCTGGATAACAGCATGGAAAAGTTGTATCTGCCAAATGCTCAAGAACATACAGGATCATGCAAGATTCACAGGCCATAGAAGTTACTAAGGTTTTCACTGCAGGACGATCATATTTTTTCACCAGCTTTTTGACGCACCAGAAGGCTTTAAAGAATAAAAATGACAGGAACTGCAAGATTAGAGATAATGGAACATTTAAATACAGTCATCCCTTGGTATCCACGGGGGATGGGTTCCAGAACTCCTTGGTGGATACCAAAATCCACGATGCTCAAGTCTCTGATATAAAAATGGTGCAGTATTTGCATATAAGCTACGCACATCCTCTGGTATACTTTAAATCATCTCTTGTTACTTATAATACCTAATACAATGTTAATGCTATGTAAATAGTTGTTATATGGTCTTGATTAGGGAATAAGGATAATAAAAAAGTCTGATGTGTTCAATACAGATGCACCCATTCATTTTTTTTTTCTGAGTATTTTCAATCTGTGGTTGGTTGAATCCATGGATGCAGAATCCATGGATGCAGAATCCATGGATATAGAGGACCAACTGCACTTTAAGTACTCATAAAAGAAGAGGATCAAGAAGTTTCATGAGATGTTAAAGGCTGTTCAATAATTTGCACCCATGGGATTTTAACTTATAGAGATGTCTGAGTGATGATATGACGAGGTTAATACCGCTGGTAGAATAAATTACTTACACTTCCTAAGAGAAGGGGGCATGCCTTGCCATGCAGGGCCACAGGGGGAGCATCAGGTTGGTCAGGAGGCAGAATCGGAGCAAGGCCAGAGTCTAGGCCACAGCCTTTGTTGGGATATCCTTGGGAAAGAGCTTAGGATTGGCTAGTTTGAATAATGTCCACAGGCTGTGGGCTATAAGGATGATCTCCAGTTGTCTGGTACCTGACCCTGGGTGATTTAGGACAGGTGAAGTGTGTGTGAGTTAGATAAGGAGGTGGTTGGGGCTACCAACTTGGGATTGGTTGGTTTGCTTATGAAAGGTATGCTCGCAGTGGCAGCTGAGCCCAATGCTATCTCTAAGAAGTGGCTATAGTCCTGGGAGGGCAGTCTCTCGCTGGCTGGCAAGCTTTTTAAGAAGTCAAAGCATTATAAAATATAGAAATTTATAAACATGATTAATATGGAAGCTTATGTGTTCTAGCTGGAGTATCTGCTCACTGGCCTCCTTCGGCCATAATTATCACGTGGTGTTCCCTCTGCCTTTCTTTATTACACCACTTTTCATCCTCCCCCTTGAGGAGGCCTTTCCTATGCCCTCAAGGCAAAGGCCTTGGTACTGCCCATGTGCTTTGCAAAGCACCCTGTATTTTGGCAGTATCACATTATTTTAAAATTTATCAATAAAAATCCCCATCTTTTATATAACTATGACCTTCTACTCTGGTTGCTTTCATCTTCACTCTTGGTCTCTGTGCCCAATGTGAATTTTATGCCTTGTTTGACTTTAGTCCCTTTAAGCTGCCTTTGTCTGCTTGTTCGATCACTCTTCTCTCAAAATGTACTTTTATATAAGAAATGGGTGTTATTTAAGACTTTTAGGAAAGGACTAGATGGGTTTCCAAATGGAGCCCAATAATTTAAGTATTGAGATAAATGCCTGGCAATATCTATCCTAAGGAAATTTCTTTTTTTATTTTTCTTTCTTTTTCACAAATATCTTTATTGGACAATCACTACAGGACTAAGAACTCAGGATGCATACATGAAAAGTTACAGACCTTGCCCTCAAAGGGAGGCAGAAAAGAAAGTAGACACAATATTAATATGTTAAGTCCTAAAATGGAGATATGCACATTCTAAGAAGGTGGAAGGAAGAGGAGGAAGGAATCCATGTTGGCTGCCTGAGTCAGGGAGGACGTTCAGGGTTGACACATTTCTGCATCCTTTTAAAATTGCAGCTTTTAAAACAAGATCCTAAAAGTAATACATGTTCATGACAGAAAATTTAGAGAATAAAATAAAAGTGAATTCCAATCCCATTTCTGAAAATAAAATGCTTAACTTTTTTTAATAGTAAGAAAGTATTTATATTTTGAAACTAGATAGATGTGGTGGTTGCACAACATCGTGACTGTACTAAATTCCACTAACATTTTTACTTTAAAATAGTTAATTTTATATTCTGTGAATTTTGGCACAATAAATTATTTTTTTAAAAGGGTATGTATTTTAGTGGAATTTAAACATTAGGAAAATAAACTGCCTGGGCTACTAAATTTTAGATAAATGTTAGTATGTGTGGATATATCCATGTCAAAAATTATGAAAAGCATTAAGAGGGGCCAGTATGTTTGTTTGGTATTTAATACTCATAATTTATACCTGGGTAGAAATGTACATTTTGGGGTAATAAAATTTAGTCAACTGCTTCATAGTAATACTAACTTATCTATTTTGTATAATAATAAAACAAGCAGTAGTCCTCATCCCACCCCCAGTTTAAATTTTAAAAAAAGATGTAAAAGGAACAAAATTAATAGCTTATGTTTACTTTTAGAAGGGCTCTTTAGAAGAACATAAAAGAAATGTTGGTGTGGATGCACAATGTCGGTGGGTAAAAACAAACACACAAACAACACATCCTGGGGAAGGAATTTTCTTGCAACCAGAAAAAAAAACTAATCAGAAAATTAATGAAGGTTAAAAAAGATGGTGAAAAACTAATTAGCACACAGAAATTAGTATTCCTAATTATGATTTTGAATCTTGAAGAAAATGTCAGATTATGCTATGCATTCACTAGTATTACCAGTTAATACAACAAAAATATTTAAAGCTTTGTTGCTTAAAGAGGCAATCACTCAGAAATCTGAAAAATTAAGCATATCTCTTTCCCAGATATGCTGGATAAAGGACAATATTGTATATTTTCTGTTTCTCCTGTTAGTATTTTAATTCTTCTTTAATGGACATTTTAGTTTATAATCTTATCTGATGCCATTAAGGATTCTTTAGCATTAAAGAACCATACTTTTAAAAGGAGCATAATTTTCTATTTTCAGTGAGTTCACCACTGTGGACCACCTTTCATCTTATGACTTATGCTTTCTTAGCTCTTAACCTGCTCCCCAGGAGGAAATTATGTCTCTTTGGAATGGACTCCATTTTTTCACAAGTATATGGCTATTGCTTTAGTACAAATTATTGCAGTGATATAATAAAGAATGTTAATAAATGCATTCCAAGTATATTTTTTGAGTGCCTCCTATAGGCCAGATGAATGCTGGGAGCTGAAGATGTACAGATACCCCAAGGTCCTGCAGTCATAGCTTTTATAGTCTCCTGAAAGGAACAGACAGGTAAACACATGCAGCTACCTAAGAATTGATGACTAGAGCTATGGACCAAGTACATGGGAGCACAGAGAGGGAGCCCCCTAGACTGTCTAGAGAAGCTGTGGATGCTTCCTACAGGGGCAGATGCCAATCCTGAAAGTTGATGGATGAGTTTGACATTTGCCAAGGAGATAGGTGGGGAATACCACAAATAGTACAGAGATGAAGAAGACCATGCCATGGATGAAGCTTGGGGCAGGGCAACCGTAGGACTACAGAGTGGAAGGGCAGGCAGCAGCCCGCTCTCACAGGCCTGGCGCACTCAGTGGTGTTCATGGTAGCTGGGCCGCCTTCTTATGCTTCTTATGCTTGGTCAATCCCTTTGTTGGCATACATTTTTCAAATATATCATTAAAACAAAGTTTGTTTCAGTAATCTAACACAACAGCAAAAAGACATGATATAGATCCTTTCAGGTTGTAAAGAGCAGAAGCCAGTTCCAGCCACCTGAGATACTGGGGTTCTGGTGCAAGGCTCCAGGGGAGAGGAGAAGCCCCAGCAGCTGGGCCCCTGGCAGATAGGGATGTGCCCATTGCCATTGAGCTCCACAGTCACTCTGCAGACTCCACTGTGGCTCCAGGTTCAGTTTTTCTTACTTTTGTCTCTCACTCAAATCTTCATACTCCCTGCCTAATTAGCCCTTTATAGTCTCCAATGCAAACACTCCAAGGGAAACAAAGCCAAGGGGTTTTTGGCCAGTCTTTGCTCACATAGGGTGCCTTAGGCTTCTGGTGGCTGTTGGGTTGCCTGTAGATAGCACCTCTGAGTCCCGCCTCCTTCCCTGGTCTAATCAGCTCATTTGGGGATATCAGGTCCTATGGTAAAAACCTTGCAGCTTCTGTATAAGGAGCCACAGAGGATGGGTCTTGCAGTGTGACAGGGACTTGCAGAGCCCTCTCCAGCCTGGGATATATTTCTTATCAAACTAAATAAACTTCCAGGAAGTTCGTCTCTCTGCCCACTTGAAAAGATGATTGCACCTTTCAGGTTCACCGAAGTTGGTGCTTGTTTAAGCTTTGCTCATCCAAATAAAGACCTTTTGTAGTACTAGTTACTCGGGAGGCTGATGTGGGAGGATTGCTTGAGCCCTGAGTTTGAGGTTGCAGTGAGCTATGATCACTTCATTGCATACTGGTCTGGGCAAAAGAGGGAGACCCTATCTAAAACAAACAAACAAACAAACAAAAATAAAGACCTTCATCAAATACAGACTTTAAATTATGACTTATTTAACAAATGAGCATAAAATATTCACACATGCTGGAACCCACTTGGCTAATGGTCAAAAAATTACAAACATATCAATACCTTCTGCCTTATATCATGCTGTGATCAGTAGGTTTGGAGAATAAATTACGGCCTCTGCCCTCAGTGAGACTGATCCAGTCTCTCCTAAACACCATCCCTTATCAGCTTCCATAAGAATCTGGTCACAGCCAAGCACAGTGGCTCACGCCTGTAATCCCAGCACTTTGGGAGGCCGAGGCGGGCAGATCACAAGGTCAGGAGATCGAGACCATCCTGGCTAACATGGTGAAACTCCGTCTCTACTAAAAATATAAAACATTAGCCAGGCATGGTGGCAAGTGTCTGTAATCCCAGCTACTTGGGAGGCTGAGGCAGGAGAATCACTTGAACCCTGGGGGCAGAGGTTACAGTCAGCTGAGATCACGCCACTGCACTCCAGCCTGGGCAACAGAGCGAGACTCAGTCTCAAAAAAAAAAAAAAAAAAAAAAAAGAATCCACTCACACCACCTATCTCAGATTTTCTGAATTTTGACCAAAGGCTTTGGAGGCCCCTGGGTGCACCAGATTTATTGCAGCATAGCTCTGTTGTGATTGGAGTACAATTTAACACCAGGTCCGTGTGCACGTGATGATGGGGCCGCCTATACTGTCATCGATATGCACCTGGAAGGAGCAAATGATCTGCCAATGCTATTAACACTTCTTTTAAAAGTGATTTCAGAGTATAGACCACCTTAAATTATAACCTCTTGAATTTTGGTGCTTTGTGTTGAATTTTATTCCTACTTTACTACTGTTTAAGGCATCTCCTGGTTTTAGTGCCAGCCTGAATTTGTAAGATTTCCTAGCATTAAATGATCAAAAATTGATAATCACTGTCATTATTTCATCATCTCTCCTTCATCATGCTTTTTACTGCATCTTTGGTTTTACAATGACACAGTTATAAATGACACCAAGAAACTGATCTAAAATATATTCTGTAGCATAAAAATTAAGTATTTGGTTGCAAATTTAGGAAGGTTTAACAACTTCTTTGCTAACTTAGTCTTCTAAATTTTGTGTTTTTGAAATAATTTTGAATTTACATGAAAGCTATAGAAATAGCACAGGGCACCAGTGTACCCTACATCCTGATTCCCCAATTGTTAACATTTCTGAGAAATTGAGGGTGTGGTACTCTACTGTCCCTAATACTTCAGTGTATGTTTCCTAAGTACAAGAACACTCTCCTATATAACCACAGGACAGCCATAAGAATCAGGCAATTCACATTGATCTGGTGCTATCATCTAAACCATAGGCCCCAGTCAAATTTTGCTGATTATCCCAATAATGCCCATGATGTCCAAGATTCAATCCAGGATCACATGCGTTTAGTTTTTGTGCCCTTTAGTCTCCTTCAACCTAAATCAGTTACTCATCCTTTTTTGTTTCTCATGACCTTGGTCTTTTAAAAAAGGTACAAGCAAGTAACTTTGTATATCCATTAACTTTGAATATCCATTAACTTTGAATATCCTTCAATTTGGATTTGGTGATATTTCCTGATTTATGCATGTTTGCAGGCACACCACTGAAATGATGCTATGCTCAGTACATAGGAGCAGAGACATATAGTGTTAATTTGCCCTATCACTAATAGGCTTTTATCACTGGGATAAGATAGTATTTGCCAGGTTCCTTCATTCTAAAGTTAATAAGTATAATGTATTATTAATCAATGAGTAATTAAAAAGAACTTTGTGGGGAAATATTTTGAGGCTATGTAAATACATTTGACACCTATTATTTGTGGCAGCTATGTTCTATAAAGTCACTGTGAACACTGGATTAGCCTGGACTGAACTTCACTCCTACGGAGGGTACAGGGTTGGGTTCCTATTACAACATAATCGTCAACCAGTCAATCAATACATGACCTCGCTTTATGTATCTTTCTGTTTAAAGACTCCTTATTTAATATATAGGGTTGATTCATTATCATTGAACTTATGGTCAATTGCACTGTAACTCATGCCTGAAGGAAGCTTATCTAACATGAGTATTTTCTCCGTAAGGCACATCATAGTCTTTTGCACTTTAGGAACCCTAGACAGCACTGCAGCACAAGGGATTTTAAACAATGAGATCACCAACAAAAAGTACAAAAATGCAAAGCATGTGAGACAATGTATTATGGAAAGGACACGAGTTTACAATATGACAGCAGAAACAAGAAAGCAGAGTGTCACCTTGTTCCACCTCAGCTGGGAATGTGTGCATTGGACGACTCAAATTTTTCTCTGGTCTGCATGTGACTGTGAAAGTGCTGTGAGTGTTAATTTTTGGGGTTACAAATAAATTTTAGCAAGTAGATGTCTTTGGAAATATGGAATCTGTGAATAATAAAAACCGACTATATCTCATTCCTATTAGATTTTTGCTTACTGGTTTAGCATCTACAGAGGTCAAATTGTCCCAGATTGGGCTATTGAGAATCCTTCAAGCTGTCTTCTGTGTCCTTATGACATGTCCTCACCATTCCATGAGCACATTTTTGCTTTCTTGTTCAACAAGATTTTCTAGGCTTATCTTGTATTATCTCTGCTCCAGTTGTAAAGTTAGACATTTTTCCAGGGAACTCTTGTTCCTTTTATTAGAAGATGGTTTTTAGAAATCAAGAATTGGTTGCTAGGTGGATGCATTCCTACCAGGGTGTCATTACTTCTAAGCCTTGTGAGCAGACGGAGAAGGACCTATATTTATACCCACATACAAACACACACACAGTCTATCATCCATGTATCTATCTTCTTCTAATCTATTTATCTATCTGTCTATCTGAACCATGAATTCATACCAGTACCTCCAGTTCCAATCTGATGTAGAACGATCCCCCTTTCCATATTTGTAACTCTCTTCTTTGGCAGTTAGAAAACTGATTTCCATTATTTTCAATGTATTTATAACTTTCTAAGTCTCCTTTGATGTAAAAAATCACCCAGTCCCACCAACCAAAGGTACAACCCTGTATACTGTTCTCCCACCCCAACTCCTGGAGGGCTGTAGGCTGAAAGCTCAGCCCCAGTAAAGGAGAATGAGAAAGGTAGAAGAAAGGAACTTAGAGTCGTTGAAGGTCTGAACTTCTGCTAATTCTTCTTAGATAACAGCAGACTTTTTTAATAAAAGAAGAGAGAACCATCATGCATGTTTTTAGTTACCCTTGAAATTAGAAGGCTATTTTATCATGCCAAATGGCTATAGAAGAAAAACCCGTTCAATATAACCAGTATTTCTTAAAACAGTCATGTGATAGTATGTTACTTTCTTATGTTAAAAATTTATTTTATATTTCTCCCAGATGTTTTAGAGTCAACACATTGGCTTTTAATATGCTGCTAAACTTAATTTGAATCTTTAAATGTTGATAGGTAATCTTAACTTTCTAAGTTCTAAATTTTGGATATGACATTTTAATTTACAGTGTTTACAAGAGGCTGTAGGATGATTTTATGAAGCACTTTATGTTTTTCTCTGGTGTGTTTATCCATGTAAAAAAATAAAGCATGCATCTTAATTTTTATTTTAAATTGTTAATTTAAACTTTAGAAATTAAATTAAAATATAGAACATTAAATTTAGTTTAAATTTTAAAATGATGACAGTGAGCAGTCTTAACTTTCTAAGTTTCAAATTTTGGTCAACAGGAGGCTATGAATTATAGCTTTAATACAAATTCTAGGCTAATTTTAATGAAATGACTTTATTATGTTGAAAGAGATAACCGTTCTGAGATGACTGTATTGCCAAAAATAATACAGCTTACCTTTTCTATGAAGATACATAAAGATTACATAAATGTACATTAATTCAGAGAACACAAAACCTTAATAGTCTGGTGTTATATATTTTTCCCAGATGTTTAAGAGTTAACACATAGGCTTTTAATATACTGCTAAGCTTAATTTGAATCTTTAAATGTGGATAGGTAATCTTAACTTTCTAAGTTCTAAATTTTGGATATGACGTTTTAATTTACAGTGTTTACAAGAGGCTGTAGGATGAGTATGATTGAGAAGTATATATTTGACCATATAAAATACATTGTTTTGGTTTGTTTGATTTTTAATTAAATAGAATTACACACATATATGTACATCTATTTTTGCAGCTTGCTTTACACATTAATACAAATATTTCTTGGAGTTCTTTTATGCCAGTACATACAGCTCTATTTTGTTTTTAACTACTGTCTAGTTTTCCATTATATGGCTGTGCCATCATTTATTTAAACATTTCCCACTGATGGAAATGTAGATTCCCCCCTCCTACATTTTTGGTATTATAAATTATGCTCCAATGAAAATACTTGCACATATACCTTGAAGCACATAGATGGCAGGTTCTGTGAAATAAATGCCTAGACTCAAGGGTGAGGCTTTACTTTCTTTCTTGGAGGCAGCTCAGCAGGTGCTAAACCCCCACCTTTCAGCTCTCCTTCCTCTTTGGAGATCTTTGTTCCCCAATTCAAGCACCTCAGAGTGTCTGACCTGATGGCCTCATTCTTTTAGCTTTTTAAACTGTGACTATTTCCTGTTTCATAATGAGCCTTGACAATCAGAAGTATAACATCATGTAGATGCCCACAGAAGCAGAATAGCTACATAATAATATTACTTGGGAGAAGTGGAAATTGTAATTTAAGGCTGCATTGCAGGCACTTTACACATCTAGTGGACTTTAAGGCCTTAACAATAAATAGCATTGCCTTAATTACTGAAGAAATGCAAATAATTCTAACAGTTTTTGAAACAGGAACTATCAGTTGGGTACTGCTTATAAGGATATTTGTGTATGGGTATGTTTTTAGGTACTTTACTTAATTTCCATATCCTGGTTGAAAGTTAAAAAAAAAAAACAAAAGAAAATCTATTTAAAGAGGATGGTTTCTAATCGTCATCAGATCTTTCTATTTTTATTCCTTGGTGGCAAATGTTGCTGAATGGCTATTTCCAGTTCATTTCAAAAACAATTCAGTTTTATTTTGTTTTCCATCCATTGTTTATAACATTCATTTGTCATTTTTGTCATTTTGTAGACCTACCAAGAGCAGCTGTCAGGATCTTAAGCAACATGACATTCCTTTTTGTGAGTTTGTCATACACAGCTGAGAGTGCCATTGTAACTGCTTTCATTACCTTCATTCCCAAGTTCATCGAGTCACAGTTTGGTATCCCAGCCTCCAATGCCAGCATCTACACTGGTAAGGCACTGCCGCTAGGGCTGCTTGAAAACATGATCATTTTGACCATGAAATGGAATGGGTAAAGAGAAAGTTCAATCTAACATCGAAGTGTTAAGCTAGTTCATTAACAGCTACCTTTCCCCCCAGATTTTAGGAGGAGGAAATCCTGGAAAGTGTTCTCTTTGATTCAGATTGTATTACCATGTGACACATTTCCCAACTGTGTTTTGGGAAGGGAGAGAATTTTGCATATTTATATTTCTATGGTTCTCAGTTTAAAAAATGAAATAGGCAATGACATTCAAATTTAAATCTAAATAGATCTTTTTATGGGTTGGCATGGGTTTTAAAGTGTTAAGTTAAAAAAAATTGATAACCTGAAATATAGATCAGTTTCATGGTAGCAGGATTTCCCCTTCAGAAATGTGAACAGATTTTATTTGAATTACTGGAGATGTGTGAAGTTGAAAAGGAAATGTATGAATTTTATTTTAGATGTTTGATGTCTGGGAAACTGATTTTTAGGAGACTTTGATGCATATACCCATAGTACTTAGTGCTTAAAATCTTCTTTCATAATAAATTGGATGCTTAGAAATGTGGAAACATTAATTCTCAGATATTGGAGGAATTTTCAGTATATTATATAATGTAATATTGTAGATATTTTCTTAGTGATATCAAAGATGGCTGATTGGCCATATCTTCCTAAAGGCTTAATTTATTTAATAAGGTATATTTCAGTAGTTGAAGTGTATTTAAATAGTGTAGAATTATGATAACTTTTCAAGTGACTTAGGCTCCTACGTTCTCCAATTCCACATTCAAATCCAGTAAACTTGAATTATCTGAAAATGAACAAGCATCACTGTAGAAAGAGAAATTGATTTGAAATATCTGGGTAATCACTTTGTTCTTTACTTCATCTTATACATATAAAGACATACAACATTGGGTTGTGGGCCCAGGATAGCACATGTTTTTATAAAGAATACACTGCTGTGGACTATTGTAATTGTGACTTAAAATATGTTTTTCTTGATCTTGGTTGCAAAAATATATGATTTCCTATATTAAGGTAAAATTTCCAGATTATTTTATAGTTTGGTTGTGAGAAAATCTAAACCTTCTACTTGTAGTTTAACTCTTCCACTAACCCTTTGTTGAGCAATGATTTTTGGACAGGGAAAACAAAAGTTGTCTTGAAGTTAGATTCAAAGCCACACAGCTGTTAATTATAGGGTAGTCTCCAGCATTTCCCAAACTAAGTTTCAATATTCAAAGGTGTTAGTGGGAAGACAGTTCATAATAAAATAAATTTGGAACTTGCTGAGTTAAACAAAGTATCGTAGGATTCTTTACTGCAGGCCCTTTCATTTCCTTTAATATGCCGATATGCATCGTGAAACTCCCAGAAGACGACTCAGACTACAGCCTTTTCCAAAGTCATTTGACCATGAAACCTGATTTTTTTAGAGGCATCTTTTTCATAAACAGTGTTCCCCAGGATACACATAGGGAAGCCATACTGTGTGCCCCAGTTCCAGCCAGACTAGGGAGCAGAGCTGCCTAGATCATCCCACTTCTCTACAGATGCACCATTTTCACCCCAGGGTTAGTGGGAGAGTAGTGCAGTGCTGAGCCGGGTAGGCATTAATGCACCTTGAATGCATATGGCTAAAGCCATCTCTTAGTTACTGGTAGAGGCCAAGGCTAGACAGACAACTTGTGGAAAATAAAGGGTTCAGCTGGAGCTGGGGTGTCGGCTACAGAATAAAGGGTTCAGTTGGAGCTGGGGTGACGGCTGCAGACTTCCACAGCAGTGTGGTTGAGGCAGTGGCCACTAAATGTGTCCCACTTGGCCAGGAAAGTGCAGGATTGAATAAGGCTAACTCACAGTGTTCATCCCATGCTCCAATGTCAGAGTTAAAGAAGCAATATCTCAAAAATGCGACTTCCATTCTGATTTTGTCATCAGCAACTTTTGTTTGTTTTGATCATAGCCAATGCAGTTTATACAATGTTTGCTATTCCACTTCTTCTGATAAAAAGCTTTTTATTTCCAGGTCACATATTTTTTCTTCCTTTATAGATAGGCAGCAAATAATAATAGTCAAGAGATATTAAGATTGATTAAGAGTAGAGGGGGGCCTGTCAAATTGCAGTAAGATTAAACAGAGATGATAATTATTTTTAAAACTACTCTTGGTTTTTCTTTTCTTTTTTAAAAAATTTTAAGTTCTGGGATACATGTGCAGTATGTGCAGGATTGTTACATAGGTAAACGTGTGCCATGGTGGTTTGCTGCACCTACCAACCCATCACCTGGGTATTAAGCCCCACATGCATTAGCTATTTTCCCTGATGCTCTCTTTCTCCCCTCAATCCCACAACAGACCCCAGTGTGTGTTGTTCCCCTCCATGTATCTATGTGTTCTTACCATTCAGCTCCTACTTATAAGTGAGAACATGCGAGTTTGGTTTTCTGTTCCTGTGTTAGTTTGCTGAGGATAATGGCTTCAAGTTCCATCCATGCCCCTGCATATGACATGATTTTGTTCCGTTTTATGGCTGCATAGAATTCCATGGTGCATATGTACCACATTTTCTTTACCCAGTCTATCATTGATGGGCATTTGAGTTGATTCCATGTCTTTGCTATTGTAAATAATGCTGCAATGAACATACGTGTGCACGCATTTTATAATATAATTATTTATATTCCTTTGGGTATATCCCCAGTAATGGGATCGCTGGGCCAAATGGTGTTTCTGGTTCCAGGTCTTTGAGGAATCGCCATACTGTCTTCCACAATGGCTGAACTAATTTACATTTGCACCAACAGTGTAAAAGCGTTCCTATTTCTCTACAGCCTTGGCAGCATCTGTTGTTTCTTGACTTTTTAATAATCGCCATCCTGACTGGCATGAGATGGCATCTCACTGTGATTTTGATTTGCATTTCTCTAATAATCAGTGATGTTGAGCTTTTTTCATATGTTTCTTGGCTGCATGTATGTCTTCTTTTGAGAAGTGTCTGTTCATGTCCTTTGCCCACTTTTCAATGGGGTTGTTTGTTTTCTTCTTGTAAATTTGTTAAAACTCCTCTTGGTTTTTTGAATTGTTATCAGTTTAATCATTCTTACTCTCTGGGCATAGATTTCATTTTTCAAAGAAATTTTAAAATTTGAGCTCTTTTGTTCTCTGAATCCCTTTTTTTAATGCATGTAGACTGAAATGGGGAATTGAGAAATATATCTGAAAAAGAATTTATCATCTGACAAAGTTTTTGAGTTCAAATTCTCTTTTCACTTAAAAAAATTATTTAGATACATACCCTGACCTTCACTGCAATTTGTTTGCGTTGTGTTATGGATAGAGAGGAAGCACCAAACACCTACAGAAGGACTGACCTTCTATTGCTCGCTTGTTCACATTGCCATTGAATGCCAGCTCTGTGCACAGCACTGTGCCTGGTGTGTGGCTGGGGAAATCTAAAGACTCACACCAGGGCCTTAAGTTGCTTACACATCTAAGAGGAGAGAGAAAACTTATGAAATACATTAGAAAAAGCTGTCTAAATAAATAAACAGAAAATTTGGATCACAGAGATTATTTTCGCTGATGGGGCAGTGTGGTTGAGTTTCATTTCATGGACAATGGCTTTTAACTAGGTTTTTAAGGGAAAGTAGAATCTGCCCATTTGGAGTTTGGAGAAAAGGTGTTTATTTCCTGTGGAGGACCAGCTTGAGCAAAGGCAAAGCAGCAGGGGTGGATAAAGCTTACTCTAGTGGCAAAGGAGGGTGGAGGGGAGAGTTTATCCCTAGGTCAGAAATAGAGCTCCAAAGGCAAGCAGGTGCAGGGTGGGAAATCTGCTCAGGGACCTTCAGCTCCACTTCTCTCATGCTGTAATCACTTGAGGACACTTGTGCCTGGCGGGAGGTGGTGACACCAATGTCTGACGAGGGCATCATCGCAATACCAGAGTCAACCCCACTTCACTCCTCTGGTATAGTGTGTTTCTACTGAACAGTGGGGTCTGTGTCACAGTGCTCTCCCTGCTCATGGTCTTTCTGCTGACCCACTTGGGGTCACATCTATCTCTTGAAAGTAGTTAAATATTATGAAGTTGGTATTTTGGAGAAGCCTGAAATGATGGGACGACCCCTTGTATTAGTCTGTTCTCATACTGCGATAAAGACATATCCAAGACTGGGTAATTTATAAAGAAAAGTGGTTTATTTGACTTACAGTTCTGCATGGCTGGGGAAGCCTCAGGAAACTTACAGTCAGGGCGAAAGGGGAAGAGGCACGTCTTACATAGTGGCAGGTGAAAGAGAGTGAGGAAGAGCAGGAAAAACTGCCTTATAAAACCATCACGTCTCGTGAGAACTCTCACCATCATGAGACTAGCATGGGGGAACCACCACCACGATCACATCACCTCCCACCTGGCACCTCCCTTGATACATGGAGATTACGGGGATTACAATTTGAGATGAGATTTGAGTGGGGACACAGGGCCAAACCGTATCAACCCTGAAGGAGCAGTTATACAGGGTGCCCGTGGAATCCATTCACTGCCGGTAACTAGTTGCATGGCTTTGGTCAAGTCACTTTCCTCCCTAAATTTCAGCTGAAACTGGAGTTTATCTGTAACTTGAGGATAGTCTCTCCCCTGTCTCTCTCTATGTCAGCATTGTTGTGAGGATCAAATGAAGTAGTGAATAGTGATTTGTTTTGAAGCTTACTTAACTTCAAATAGGTACAACAATATAAATGGAAAAATACAACCCGATCATATCACAGTAAAGAAAATTATTATTTATGATGATAGCACCTTACATCTGAAGTTGTGCACTTTGAATAGGTCTGAGAATAAAATTTCTGTAATAATAACGATGATAATAAAAACACTGCTGACATGTACTGAGTGTTTACTAAGTCCAAGGCTCTACCTAAGCAATTTTATGTGGGTAACATCATTTAATCTATGTAACTAATGCCTATGAAGTAGATATTATTAATTATGCCAGTTTTCTAGATGAGAAAAAAAGGGCCAGAAGGGTTTAAGTAACTTGCTGAAAGGCAAATAGTAAGTGTTAGAACTGGATGCTAGAGTCTTGTACTCCTTGGAGTATATAAATATTTCTATGTGATTTTTTTTTTTTTAGACGGAGTCTCGCTCTGTCGCCAGGCTGGAGTGCTGTGCCGTGAACTCGGCTCACTGCAACCTCTGCCTCTTGGGTTCAAGTGATTCTCCTCCCTCAGCCTCCCAAGTAGCTGGGACTACAGGCATGCGCCACCATGCCTAGCTAATTTTTGTATTTTTAGTAGAGATGGGATTTCACCATGTTGGCCAGGCTGGTCTCAATCTCTTGACCTTGTGATCTGCCCGCCTCTCCCTGCTCATGGTCTTTCTGCTGACCCACTTGGGGTCACAGTGCTGAGATTACAGATGTGAGCCACTGTACTCGGCCTCGCTATGTGATTTTTACTGAAATATTATAATACGTATATGCTGTTGTCATCATTTCGATTTATTTTTTTCACTATTTCCAAAAAGACAATATTCCAAAGGATTTAGGATTCCACTTCCATCCACTCAGCCATGGTCCACAACGTCTGTTTTCAGAGCACTGTGATCTTTCAGCATTGCCTTTGCTTGGGCTCTTGCCCTTTGATGTGTACAATTATAGAGTTAGAGCTATTGGTTTGTCTTTACAAGGGAAGTAGCCTTGGAAAATTCCATTTTGTTTTTCACTGTAGAATAATTGAGATACTTACTTCTGCGGTAAAAGAATTAGGTTGGGGTGTAATTTTTAAAATTACTGTAATTTTTATTGTTGTCTAAATAACCAAATATTTGCCATCCATCTTCAGCCACTGAATTGGGATTTGGTTGAAGTGATTTACAGCAGTGCCACTGAACTTAAATTGCAGCCTTTGGGAATCACTTCATCTTTAGATGCAAGAGATATATGAATGGGCTTTGATTTGTTTCATTCTTCTAAGGGCATCAACAGCTTTTATATAAGTTTATGAGCAGTTTTTAAAATTTTTGTACTAGTTTTGTAAATGTATACACAGATTTTTCTCTTTAATGTTGAGATTAAGCATTTAAATACAAATCTAAGTGTTTTAGGTGTAGATGTCCACTATCACTGGCCATTTCCAAGGTCAGGTGATGACACTTGCCCCTGAGACGTGTGCTGACACTACTCAAGCATGGTGGCTCTGAGAGAGGAGAAAGGTACTTGCAAACCAACATTTTGTAGCAGGTGCTAAAGTCTTCCCACTTATATCATTTTAATCATTATTGAGATGAATAGACGCTATTAGGAACAAAAAGTGAAAATTATAGGCTCTTTGTCTTTTGGGGAGAGAGGTATGTATTAATATCATGCTGAATTACATTTGTTTCTCTTCAGTGCTAATGAGAACTTTTGTAAGAGCTCATAGTGGACAAAAAGTCAGAACACTCAGCTTCTCTTTATCAATCAACTAATTTAAGGAATGTTTGGGTGTCTACCATGTGGCAGGTTCTTAGCCAGTGCTCTAATGGCAGTTAAACAGGGTTCAATTGCTCTTTAACAATGTTTTTAAGACTCAGATGACCCAAAATGATAAGAAACACATTGGCATTTCTTGCAGGAAAGGATACTACATGGCATCAGCATTAAAGTAAAGATGATTAGGTTGGTGCAAAAGTAATTGCGGTTTTTGCTGTTGAAAGTAATGACAAAAACTGCAATTACTGGCTGGGTGTGGTAGCTCATGCCTGTAATCCCAGCACTTTGGGTAGCTGAGGCAGGTGGATCACTTGAGGTCAGAAGTTTGAGACTAGCCTGGCCAGCATGGCGAAACCCCGTCTCTACAAAAAATACAAAAATTAGCCAGGCGTGGTGACACGTGCCTATAATCCCAGCTACTTGGGAGGCTGAGAGGCATGAGAATCACTTGAACCTGGGAGGCAGAGGTTGTAGTGAGCCGAGATTGTGCTACTGCACTCCAGCCTGGGCAATAGAGCCAGACTTCATCTCAAAAAAAAAAAAAATTGCAATTACTTTTGCACCAACCTAATACTTTGCAGCCACAGGCCATCTCACATGCTTGAATATTTTTATATTCAAGCCATCTCACATGCTTGAATATTTTTAGTATTTTCTTGGCCCCATAGATTCCTGCTATGTAACCAGTTTCAACAGCCGAGCTCTCCAGGGGTCTTAGTGAGACTGGTTACAATAAACATGAAATGAGCATGTTTGGAAAAATGATTTAATCTAAGATTTTAGAGAAGGAAGAAATTACAGAGTTCATGCTCATTTTTGTCAATAAACAATGCTGACAAGCTGGTACAAACCATCCTCAACCACTTAGGACCCATAGTTATAAGGCAACACTGTTCATGAACATGTTTTGTGCCTTGACTAGGAGTCAGTGCCCTACAGATGCACGTTGATGATTTGGCAAGACAGCTCAGGCTAATTCCAGGCCTGTGTAGTTACTCCTCGCAGGGACTCCCAGGGCTTTCGCAGTACATAAGGTGGACAGTGTTTTTCTCTCCAGGTCTGTTTTCTAGTCTAGAAAACAATAACTTGAACTGAAATGAACTCTATAATTCTTCCTTCCCTAAAATCTTAGATTAAATAACTTTCCCAAAACCCTGTGTACCAAATACACATTTATTCTTACCTTCCCTATAGAGTTATATTGTTTTCTTAAAAGGGACTAGTTACTAACCAATTCATCACTCTGGTATTTGTAGTAATGTTGCATCCCCACAAACTCTGGCCATGTCCAGAATCAATATTATCTGTTTTGTTTTGCTGTGGGCAGCCTAATGTAGTACACAGACCTCTCTGAATCCCAGATCTGTGACTTAACTAGATGTAGGCTTTTAGCCAAGTTGCTTACCCACTCAGAGTCTCAGTTTCTCATTTGTAAAATGTGAGTGATCATTCCCCAGGGCTACTGTAAAATATTAAGTGAGCTAATTAGATCTTAAAGCATTTGGTATACAGTAGATAATCAAGAAAAATCAGTTTCTCCTCTTTTTCTTTTATGAAACTGTGCTAAATTTAAATTTCCTTTAGGAAATCTTGTTAGGTTTTCTGATTTTAAAACAAATTGTATTGGTCTACTTTACAGTGGTAATTGGAAGGCTTTTTGTTAAATCCCACCCGCGAAGAGAGGTAATACAGTCATATAAAATGGTAAGAGGTGACTATTTTCATCTTGATCATAGGAGTAAAGTAGTGGAAACTTTCTGGGGCGGGAGACAGTAAGGAGTCTTAGGGAGGGATGTCCATGCTTGCAGCATATTACGAATCTCTCTCTCACACACACACACGCTCTCTCTCTCTCTCTTTGAATTATTCCAAATCAGTTCGCCAAATGACCAGCTTCTTGTTTGGCCAGTTCCCCCAATGACCGTAATTTCTTATATGATTCTTTCTCTTTATTTACTAGTTTTCAGAGTAAAAATTTATATTCTAGCAAATTTATATAGTGGCCAATAATTTGTTAAAAGTATTATTAACTCATTTTTAGGTGTTTGATGTGCTTTACTCCATTGCAGTTATCTTTTTTTTTTTTTTTTTTTTTTTTTTGTTGGGACGGAGTCTCGCTCTTTCGCCCAGGCCGGACTGCAGTGGCACGATCTCGGCTCACTGCAAGTTCCGCCTCCCGGGTTGATGCCATTCTCCTGCCTCAGCCTCCCAAGTAGCTGGGACTACAGGCGCCCTCCACCTCGCCCGGCTAATGTTTTGTATTTTTAGTAGAGACGGGGTTTCATCATGTTAGCCAGGATGGTCTCCATCTCCTGACCTCGTGATCCGCCTGCCTCGGCCTCCCAAAGTGCTGGGATTACAGGCGTGAGCCACTGCACCGGGCGCAGTTATCATTCTTTTTGATGCTCCAGTTGCCCAATCTTTGGCCATTGGGAGCCCCTTAAAGTCAGTACCTGTGTCCTTTGGCTCTACCTCAGTAGTCTTTGTGGTTTCTGTCATGACAAAAGGTGACTCACTTACCTTCCACATTTCCTGCCCTGGACCTCGGATCAGTCGTATATCTGCAAGGAATCTTGGTTTCTTTGACAGGAAAATGGTACTTGGACACCATCATCTGGACACTCGGGTTGCCCATTGCTCATTGCTACAAGATCGTCATTGTTTCTGGACTTTTTCTAATTAAAAAAAGTCATGAGATTATACTGATGTTTGCACTTCAAATGTTAATATCACAGTTATTACTTACCTTTTCTGATATTATATTTTATCTCTTTTGTTTAATGATAAAAATCTTTTTTCTAATGACTTTAACATAATTATTTTATTCAAGTGTGTGTGTGTTTGTATGTATGTATAATAATTTCAAACCAATTCTCAGTATTATTTATTAACCATAAACCATAAGACATATAGCACAGAAGTTAATCGTAAAATACTAAATACAGCTTTAGACTTTTGTAGTTTGTTTTGTTCAAAGGCCATTTCTTACTGCAGATGTGCAAAATACTGTTCTGAAGTTATCTGAAGTAATTCTTCTCTGTTTGGTTATATCTGATATATTGTGATGTTTGTTTTAATTTGTTTTTGGTTTTTAATTTTAGAATTACCTTTTTAAAATTTTAAAGTTAAATTTGTATTTAAAATTATATAAAACATTTATATGGTTTGAAGGTCAAAACTATAAACAAAGTACATTCAGAGAGGCCTCAGTTCCATTCCAGTTTCTTCCAATTCTCTTCCTCTCTCTATAGGAAGCCATTTAAAACATTAGTTTATCCTTTTTTATTTCTTTTTAAATACATAAGTAAATACATGTATTACGTATGCAATATATATAATATATACATCGGTATTTTACATTAGTGTTTTTCACCTTTCTTTCCAAAGGTTGGCATGCTATATGCCCTGTTCTGTACCATACAGTCTAGAGACCTTGCTCATTTCTGGATAGCTGCACGGTACTCTATTGTGTGAAGTCTATTCAGTCCCCTAATGATGGGCGTTTGGTTGTTTCCATTCTTCTGCTATGACATGATAGTGATAGGTATAAGTCACTTCATACTAAATAACCCATTTTTCTAATACATTATACTTGTTCCTTTTAAACTATCTGATTGCCCAGCATGTAGTTTGCGTTTGCGCTGGCAGAGAAGCTGATTCCAGAAAGGGAAAAGAGACTGAGAGACTGTGAATATTTTTGTCACATAATACTCAGGCCTCATCCTTCCCACGCTCTTTCCTGCCCAAGATTTAGCATTTACCCTCAGATTCTTATAAAGATCAAAAGAATGAATCTTTGTGAAAATACTTTAAAAAGCCTATACAGCTTTTGGGAATCCAAAGCAAATTGACATCTTTCCTTCAGTGGAGCCTGTGCTATGATGGTGAAAACCGGTGAACTTTATTAGGCTTCCACTCTGAGCCAGGCATGGCATTAGCGAGGTGCCTTCCATGCATGCTTTGCAGTCTTCACCACAGTACTGCAGTGGGAGGGAGTCCTCTCTCCAGTGAAGAGTTGATGAAAATGAGGCAGGCAGAGCAGTTTTTGCAAGAACACACCTCACAATCCATTATAGGTCCATATTATACAGATTGAACTGTATAATATGTAACTGTATAATCTGTAACTCAGAGAAGCTGCTTACAATTTGGAATTTTTATTGTGTCAATTTTTTCTTCTCCAACTTTCATGTACTAGGTAAGACATATAGCATACAAGTTAAAAGGGTCAGTTTAGGAGACAGATCTTGTTGAAATTCTTACTCTGTTTTTTCATCCACCCATCCATCCAGCCATCCCTTCGCCCATTCATCCATCTATCCACTCACCCACCCACCCATCCATGCACAACTATTTATAAAGCTTTTGCTATGGGCCTGGCACTATGCACAGGGAAGCCATATGAGAACACGGAGGGGTCCCACCTTCAAGGCCTCACAGTCTAGTGAACCTTGTAGGCTGCCTGTGACCCTGGACCAACTCATTAACCTCTATGGGTAGCAAAGGCTCTGAGGATTAAATGAGATAAAGTATGTTGTGGGCTTCACACAGTGCCTGGAAAGTAGCTATTAGTAATAAATGTATTGCACATTTATTAGTAATAAATGAGATCTTCCAGGAAGAGGAATCTAAGGCAGAAGAGTAAATGCAGGACTTATGACATGTGGAAAACATTCATAAGAAAGATTATCTGGAGGGAATGGATTTTAAGAGGAAGAAGAAAAATTATGGCTAATAGGAGGTAGAGGCCGGGCATGGTGGCTCATGCATGTAATCCCAGCACTTTGGGAGGCCAAGGCGGGCAGATCACTTGTGGCCAGGAGTTCGAGACCAGCCTGACCAACATGACAAAACCCCATTCTCTACTAAAAGTATAAAAGTTAGCTGGGCATGGTGGCACACGCCTGTAATCCCAGCTACTCAGGAGGCTGAGGTGGGAGGATCGCTTGTACACAAAAGACAGAGGTTGCAGTGAGCCGAGATCGCACCACTGCACTCCAGCCTGGGCAACAGAGTGAGACTCTGTCCCCCCAAAAAAAAAAAAAAAAAAGGAGGTAGGAAAATGAAAGAGAAAGCAAGAGACTTGATACTGAAGTGAAAGGCTGAGGAATAATCTCATCTGAACTGAAGGAGGCTAGGAGATATAATATCAATGATAAAAATACAATTGCTTTAAACGTGTATCAGCTGAATCGGTGTAGGGTCAGGGTCAAATGTTTATATCTCTGATTTATTTACTCTGCATTTATTTTTCCAATATAAATGGCTACTTTTCACAACTCTTAGTGGGAAAAAAGAAATTTTAAGTGTTTTAATTTTATATATTTGGGCACAGTGCAGGAAAATGTCTGTTGACTAAATCTTTCAATTAACTAAAATGTTTTTTGCTTCACTTACCTTTGATGATTAATAGCACAGTCCGTATGTCTGGGATTTGTTTCCCAAGCACATGTGTGCACGCTCACACTGAAAAACAAAGACAAACATGACCTACTTATGTGGATATATTCTGGGCTCTGAGGACATTCACCTCGGTGCTCTCCACATTACCACCTCTATGTTCACAGCACGGTGTTCTGAATAGCCCAGATCCCCTCGAGAGCCTTAGTCATAAAAAATATTATATGTTGTTCACAGAGCAGGATTTTTTGTGAATAGAAGTCAGGTTGAGAAAGATTAGAGAGCTTTTCAAAAAGACTGAAAATCCAGAGGAAACAAGGAAGTGTCAGAAGCAGACGTAGGAGCGTTTCTGCTACTGAGTGCATCTTATCCTTGGTTCAATCAACAAAGATATGCCCAATAGATTTGATGAAGGAATGAATAAAAACTTTCTTCTTCCTGACCCTTAGGGTTTGCATCTCTACAATGAGGATTTGAATTAGACAATGTTTCACTAAAGGGCAACTAACAAACATCCCACCATCCCCCACGACTTACAAAATCCTCTGATTTTTATGAATAGCTTCTTTTTCCAGGCATTCAAGTTAATCACTATCTTACCACTTTACTTTGGATCTATACCTTTTCCTGGCAGTTAAAATTTCTTCTGTGTATACATACATACATACATACATACATACATACATCTTTATTCTTTTTCTCCCTTGGTACATGAGATGGAACTGAGGTTGAATTGCTTCACTTTTTGCCTTTCTGGGGGTACTTTACAGAAATAAGGTAGCTCGATGTTTAAATTTCTGCCTTTGAGAACCCAGAAACTTCTTACTGGGCATGTTAGCAGGCCCATACCTGCTAAAATGAGTGATCCCTACCTGCTCTGTACTGAACCAATATGGTATAGGAGAAAGGTTGTGGGTTTTGGCATCGGAAGTTCTGGGTTCAAGATCTGCCTCTGCCCCTTACAAGCTGTGTAGCCTTGAGTGAGTCAACTAATTTGGCCTCAGTTTTACTGGCTGTGAAATGCTATAACTGTATCCATTTTAGAGGGTTTTTGAAGTTTTAAAAATTAAAATTTACTTAAGTGTAAAGAACAACACAAATATTAATTATTAATGAGAATGACCCTGGCTTTTCTCCCTATTTATCAAATAGACCATCCTCCATATAAATGACAGGAGAACCAGGATTATTATTGAAAGAGATGAGGGAAGGGGAAAAGTAAGAGGCAGGGTAGATAATTAATAAAGACACAGGTGTGAATTCAAGCATCCATTGCCTCACAGTTAGTGGCACACTGCGGCTAGTGACAAACTGTTCTGACTCCCAGCTCCTGCTGCGGCCTCTTATTTCCCCAGAGATGCTTTCTGTTTACTCATAAAGATCACATCCTGAGCTAATGAATATCCTGGCCCTTAAATATGGCCAGGATAGAGTTATTAACACAAGGCAGGAAATACCTTACTCTTTTTTCTAAAGAATGAAACGTGCTTAGACATTATTAGAAGTGGAAGTAATGTCCTTTTGCTGAACCGTCTCACAATGGACCTCAGCAAATTAGCTTTGCTGCCAGGCTCAGCTTCCTGGTGAGGCATCTTTCCATTGTCCAGAAGGTAGAACTTGGGTTTATTTGGATATGTTACTGTTAGTCTGATTAGATTTCAGGCTAATAGTTAATTTTTTCAAGTCATCGTACTGAAATTCTTCTCCTATCTCTATTTGCAATAAAGATGAATATAATTTATGTTTGATTTTTGATTAAAGTGGTTATTTAGAAATGTAGGTGCACACTTCCCTTATTACCTGTGCAAGGGACAATTTGTGTATGCTAATTTTATATAGAGTAGTTCAGTGATATTATTATTCAGTGATACATTATTCAGTAGTTCAGAAGATATTATTTAGCAATATCTTCCTTAAATTTGTTTGAAATAGGTACTGTATAAATACCAAACCCTTTTGAAAATGTAAAAAATTGAATAGGTATTTATATATTAAATGCAAAAATTGAATGCTTACATATTGTAGTATCCTTTTAGTCAATTGGCATATACTGCTGTTACTAAAAAGCATACTAGGCCCGGCATGGTGGTTCACACCTGTAATGCCAGCACTTTGGAAGGCTGAGGCAGGCAAATCACCTGAAGTCAGGAGTTCGAGACCAGCCTGGCCAACATGGGGAAACCCCATTTTTACTAAAAATACAAAAAATTAGCTGGATATGTGGTGCACACCTGTAGCTTCAGCTACTCAGAAGGCTGAGACAGGAGAATCGCTTGAACCCGGGAGGCGGAGGTTGCAGTGAGCCGAGATTGCGCCATTGCACCCTGTCCTGGATGACAGAGTAAAACTCAGTCTCCAAAAAAAAAAAAAAAAGCATACTAAAATTGTTGTTAAACGAATGAGCACCTATCCTATTTCTTGGGGAAAAACTTCAAGGAAAGAGATTTTACAACTCTCCTTGGCTTCCTTTTCTATCAGTTAATAAACCTGTTCATATTTTTTAAAGTATGAACCTTTTCCTCTCACCTCAAATTTTTTTTCTTTTGAGGGATATAAAGGATAAGTGAATTTTGATTTTGAGAAAGATGTTAACTTGGGATGGGCATGGTGGCTCATGTTTGTAATCCTAGCACCTTGGGAGGCCGAGACTGGAGTATGGCTTGAGCCCAGGAGTTTGAGCCTGGGCAACATAGTGAGACCTCATCTCTACAAAAAATAAAAAAAAAAATTAGGTGGGCATGGTGGCTTGTGCCTGTGGTCCCAGCTACTCAGGAGGCTGAGGTGGGAGGATTGCTTGAACCCAAAATGCAGAGGTTGCAGTAAGCCAAGATCGCACCACTGCACTCCAGCCTCGGTGACAGAGTGAGACCTTGTCTAAAAAAATAAATAAAATAAAAAAAGAAATGTGTTTAATTTGTATTCAAACATTCATCATGCACAACATTAAAATTATTAACAAAATAACCTTATAGACAGAATAAAAAATAGTTTTAATGTTATGCAAAACAAATACATCTTTACAAATACTTCAATATAGCTGAAAATAAAAGCTATGGTCTTGTGCTATGCTTTTCATGTTGTGGTCAACATAAAATCTAGATTCTTCAGTAGGTTTGTTTTGTTGTGTCTTATACTAACATGAGTAAACGTAAAATGCCAATAACTTGCCAAAGAATATATATTTACTATAGTCTCATATATTGTGGCTAAATTATGCATCAAGAATAGTCAGTCACTGCCTCATCTCTGTATCAGCCAAATTCATTGATGCGTATGTATGTTCCTACATATGTATGTATATATTCACACACAATACGTACACGCATACACACAAATATTCACACACACACACACACACACACACACACACCATGCATGTGTTAACAAATCTCATCATTTTTGTCTTGAAGATCTGAGTTTGTTTTAGGAGACAGTGTAACTAACTGAAAAAATGAGTAAGAGTTAAGAGACTAGGTTTCAGTTTTAGAAGGAACAATGGACCTGGAACTTAGGCAACAGATTTCTCATGTCAGACCTGAAAGAGCTCTGCCTTTGAAATCAGATTTTTGTCCTGTCTTTGTTTTGTTCGCTTGTGATCTTGGACAAGGTGTGTCATTCATGTATCTTAGTTTCCTTATACAAAAAATGGGAATAAATAATAATCCATAAGATTAAATAATATTAAGTGTAAGTACTTCAAGACTTGAAGTACTCCACATATTTATTATGATTATTACATTGTCATTTCATTTTCTCAGTCTGTTTTCTTATCTGTATAAGGAGATAATACCTGTTTATAGAGCTGTTGTATTGATCAATTAAATAATTGATGTGAATGTGCTTTGAAAAAGTCATAAGGGCTTATTTCCCTCCATGAGTTTAGGTTGTTGTTGGTAATCTTGGTTAAAGTTGAAGTCAGCTCACTCTAACATAAACGCATTTATTATTTTATTTTATTTATTTGTTTGTTTTTTTGAGACGGAGTCTTTGCTCTGTCACCCAGGCTGCAGAGCAGTGGTAGATCTCAGCTCACTGCAACCTCCGCCTCCTGGTCTCAGGCGATTCTCCTGTCTCAGCCTCCCAAGTAGCTGGGACTATAGGTATATGCCACCATGCCTGGCTAGTTTTTGTAGTTTTAGTACAGATGAGGTTTTGCTATGTTGGCTAGGCTGGTCTTCAACTCCTGACCTGAGGTGATCTGCCCGCCTCAGCCTCCCAAAGTTCTGGGATTACAGGCATAAGCTATCGTGCCTGGCTTATAAATACATTTCATCTTTTAATCATAGCACTTATTTTTTTGGTGTGTACCTCAGGATCGAAGACAATAAGGGGGTAAACCCTTTGAAAGGAATTTTGAGTTTCCTGCTGTTTTAGGTGGAAAATTAGTCTAAAATATCTTCCTTTCTGAAATAAATAGGATTTGAAAGAAATGATCCTGAAGTAAGTTTCTATAAATAAAAACATTTTTTTCTTCATTTTTAGAATAAAACTGAGCACCTGCTCCTTCAAAAATGAAGTGGCTTAAATGACTGAAAAGATCTCACAAAGAAAATAACAAACATTTGTAATTTAAGTGTATGTTTATGGGAGCACTAGCCTCATATAAATCTAGAAAAAGCATTGGATTTAGAATCAGATAACAGTCTAGGCCTTGCTCTGGCATTAATTAGCCAATGATTCGAGGTGAATCACTCATCTTTCCAGAGTCTCACTTTTATTTTATATCTATAACACGAGGTAGTTAAATACATGATCTCTGGGCTCTTGTGTTAATTTAGGATTATATACTTTTTGAGAATATCAGAGACTCAAAGGAACAGAGGCTTGAACAAAAGAGATCATTATTTCTCTGTCACATAAAATTCTGGACATAACTCAGGGCTGGTATAGGGACTGTAATCACCCACAGTGCTTCCAATTTCTTCTCCATCACAGACTCCTGTCCTCATAGTCCAAAGTGGCAGTCCAGTTATTATGTCTGCATTTCAAGTAGCAAAATGGAAGGAGGAAGGAGGAAGAGCATGGATGTACTACTTTTGCTTACATCACATTGGCCAGGACTTGCCACATGGCCACACCTAGTTGCAAGGGAGGCTGGGAAATGTAGTCTATTCCAAGCAGCCATAAGTCAAGCTGTTACTCTAGAATAGGGATCTTGGGCCAAAGTTAGCCTGCTTCCTGTTTTTGTAAATAAAACTTTATTGGAACCCAATCACACCCATTTGTTTACACATGTCCATTACACTACAACAACAGAGGTGACTAGTGTAATAGACACTGTCTGGCTCACAAATTAGAAAATATTTACTATCTAGCCCTTAATAGAAAAACTTGTCAACTCTTGCTTTAGGAAAAAAAAGAGTAGTCATTGGAGAGTAAGTAGCAATCTCTGCTCTAGCGCCCTTCCAAATTCTATGATTTTGTGATAACACACAAACAAATAAAAAGCCCAAACACTTTATTTCATGAGGTAGTAATATATTTTAAAATGTTAGTAAATACTAAAACATGACGTTTTCTCTTGTTCCAATGGGTTGAAACTTGAGTTGTGCCTATTAAATTGTCCTGTTTTTGTTCTGTCCACTTCCTGATTTTATATGGCCACTCTCAGTTCCCATCTAATTATCTAAGATGTTAGCTACTCTCCTGCAACTTTGAGTACAGAAATATTAACACTTTATTTGGCATGTGCCTTGCATAGTCTTCATTTTGGTGAAAATAAAAATGTGAAAAGATTCAGGGCTACCTTTGGTCCTGGTGAAGACTTCCTAGTATAATATCTGGGGTCGTTGGTGAACCAGGAACCATCACGCCATTAAAGAAGCCCGTGGTTGTCAGTGGGAGGTACATTACATTCGCACTTGCTACATTGTATTTTCTTCCTTTGCTGGTTCACATGTATCTTTGGGGTTAAATTTTAAATATTTATTGCATTTACTTCTTATAGCTTTTCAAGTTATATTGTTGTCTTCCAAAGAGAAGTTTTATCTGAAAATATGTGATTTTGTTATTAAAAACCAAGAATAAATAAGGTCTGAGCAATAAGGGGAGAAGATTAGATGATTTGCTGAAAGATTTAGAGATGGGTCTAATAAAATTTAAATTTTTGTAGGCACACAGGAACCATGTCATCTGTTTCCTTTCTAGTAATTTCTACCCAATTGTTGCGGGAAATTAAGGAATTGGAGAGACTGAACGGAGTGCAAGAAAGTGTTTATTTAATGTGTACACCGGCTCAGCGGACATGTGTCCTGAGAGTCTGAGCCTAGAACAAATAAAACGAGTTTAAGCACTTTGAGGCGGGCACTACGTGAAGCAGGAAGCAGGCTTACAGAAGCGAGAACAAAGGCTGCTGTGACACTTTTGCAACATGTCTTACATGTCTGGGAAAACTTGGTTTGCAGGTTATGCGTCTCTGTCTTGTGATCTTGCAGCTGTGCAGGGAAGAAACGAACAGGAGTTTACAGAGCCTACAAAATATGAGGAGGGTAGATATGGTTAATGTTTCTTGGGAGAGACAGTTAATATTCTCTTCCAATTTTAACTTCGGGGGGGCTACTTAAATTCTTTTTAGCCTTGGTTAATACAGCAATTCATTCTATGAGCTATTGTTATTTGTCTTACTATTACTTTAATCTTTACTATTATTACTTATGCTATTATTCTGTTATTTTCTTAACTTCCTACTTCACAATGACTAGTTTCTATAAGGTTGATTAATTAATGGATTTTTGAAACCTAAGTTCTCATAGACAGTAGGGTTGATGTTCTCCACAGATGCTCCGACCATTAGATTCCTAGAGTATGTTTGCGCTTGTAAAACTTATTTTGTGGATTTCATTATCTGGTGGAATTGTGCATGTCTTTTGAAACAAACAAACAAAATCTTCAGGTTAAAAGTGCAGTATTTAGCATACTGGTTAAGATTTTCAACCCGTCTGTCACTGTCTTGTCCAAAGTGGTTATTTTTTTCTGGCTTAAGCTATCTTATTCAGAGAGCAAGGTGAACTGATTAATTTTTGAAGTTTCTTCTTGTTACAAAATGTTTTGATTTTTATTATCCTGGACTCCTGGTAAACTTTCTTTACTGAATAGATGGGGACAGTGTACAACTGGAGTATCATTTAATCCCCCTAATGCTGTGTTCACGTTGCTCCTTCAGGTTTTTGCTCAAATGGCCCCTTGTCAATGAGACTTTATCCAGGATCCCTCAGTTAAAAATGGAACTCCTCTCCCTACTCCTCATTTTCCTTTCTCCGCTGAGCATTTTTCTCTGTAGTATTTTTTACCTTCTAACATTCTGTACAATTTGCTTAATTATTGGTTTGTCTGTTTCCCACGTTAGATTGTAAACTCAATCTGGGCAGGAATTTTAGTTACTTTTATTCCCTACATGTCTCCAGAGTTTAGAACAGGCCTTGGCACAGAGTGGATGCTCAATAATGTTTTCCGTTAAATTAAATATATACTTTAAAAATTACATATTTTTGTAAGTTTTCTGAAAGTTGTTTTAAAAAACATGTTTGTCAATAACCCAAAAATGAATTTATGAATTTTAGCTCAACTACCATTTAAGTAATTGAAGATTAAAAACACAATGTGATAAGGGGCATCTATGGAAAACCCACAGCTAACATCATACTTAATGGTGACAGACTGGATTGTTTCTCCCTAAGATCAGAACAAGGAAAGGATGTCTGCTCTTGCTACTTTTATTCTTTGTTACACTGGAGATTATGCCCAGGGAAGTTAAGGAAGAAAATGAAATAAAAGGCATTCAGATAGGAAAGGAGGAAGTAAAGCTATTTATATTTACAGATTATGTGATCTTCTATGGAGAAAATCTTAAGGAATCAATTATAAAAACTATTAGAACTAATAAATATGTTCAACAAGGTTGCAAGATCTTACAAGATCAATATACAAAAATCTATTGTATTTCTATACACTAGCAATGAATCAAAAATCAAATTAAGGAAACAATTTCATTTACATTAGCATCAAAAGAATGAGTTATTTAGGAGCAGATTTAACAAAAGAAATGTAAAACTTATATTCTGAAAACCACAAAACATTGCTTAAAAGTAAAAGAAAATGTTGGTCACAAGACACAAAATTTCAGTTATGTAGGAGGAATAAATTCAAAAGATCTACTGTACAACATGGTGACTATAGTTAATAACAATGCAGTGCATTCCTGAAAATTAAGAGTAGATTTTGTGTGTTCTCACTACAAAAAAGATAAGTATGTGAAGTTATGTATATTTTAATTAGCTCAATGTAGCTGTCCACAATGTATCCTCATTTCAAAATGACATGCTGTACCTGATAAATGTATACAGTTTTTATTTATCAATTAAAAAATTAAATGTTAAAAAATTAAAGAAAATGTAAATAAATGAAAAGACATTGCATGTTCATGGATTGGAAGACTTAATATTATTAGGATGTCAATATTTCCTAAATTGATCTATCTGCAGATTCAATACAATCCTCATCAAAATTCCAACTGGCTTCTTTGCAAAAATTGGCAAGCTGCTTCTAAAATTCAGATAGAAATGTAAGGTACTGAGTATAGCCAAAACAATCTTGACAAAGAACAAAGTTGGAGGACTCATAATTCCTAATTTCAAAACTTACTGAAAAGTAACAGTAATCAAGACAGTGTGGTGTGGGATTAAAGCAGACAAAAACATCAGTAAAATAGGGTAGAGACCCCAGAAATAACCTTATATATTTATTGTCAACTGATTTTTGACAAGAGTGCCAAGGCTATTCAATGAGGAACAAATAGTATTTTCAACAAATGGTGCTGGGACAACTGAATAGCCGCATGCAAAAGAATGAAGTTGGACCCCCTACCTCATACCACATACAAAAAGCAACTGAAAATAAATCGAAAGCCTTAATGTAAGAGCTTAAATTATAATACTCTCAGAAATAAACATAGGCATAACTCTTTGTGACCTTGTATTAGACAACATAACCAAAGAAAAAATAGATGAGTTGGAGTTCGTCAAAATGTAAAACTATTGTTCATCAAAGGACACCATCAAAAAAGTAAAAATGGGCCAGGCATGGTGGCTCATATCTGTAATTCCAACATTGGGAGGCCAAGACAGGAGGGTTGCTTGAGCCCAGGAGTTTGAGAGCAGCCTGGGCAACACAGGGATACCTCATCTCCATAAAAAATACAAAAATTAGCTGGGGGTGGTGGCGTGTGCCTGTAGTCCCAGCTATTTGGGAGGCTGAGGAGGGAGAATTGCTTGGACCTGGGAGATTGCGACTACAGTGAGCCATGGCTGTGCCACTGTACTCCAGCCTGGGTGACAGAGCAAGGCCCTGTCTTAAAAAAAAAAAAAAAGGAAAAACACAGCTTGCAGAATGGGAGAAAATATTTGCAAATCATATATCTGCTAAGGCAGTTATATCTAGAACACATAAAGAACTCTTACAACTCAATAATAAAAAGAAAAATAAGCCAATTAAAATGGGCAAAGTATCTAAGTAGACATTTCTCCAAAAAAGATGTACCAATGTCCAACAATAAGCACATGGAAAGATGCTCAACCTTGTTAGTTATCACGGATATGCAAATCAAAACCACAATGAGGTACCACCTCACACTCAGATGGCTAAAATCAACTATTATCTGTGATAATAACAAGAGTTGGTGAAGATGTGTAGAAATTGGAATCCTTACACTGCTGCTGAGAATGTGAAATGGTGCAGCCACTTTGGAAAACAGTTTGGTACTTCCTCAAACACAGAGTTAACATATGATCCAGTAATTCCATTTCTAGGCATGTATCCAAGAGAAACAAAAACATATGCTCACACAAAACTTGTACATGAATGTTCATAGCAGCATTATTCATAATAACCAAAAAGTAGAAACAACCCAAATGTCCATCCACCAATGCATGGGTAAATATTATTAATAAAATGTGATCTAGAAATGCAATGAAATGTTATTTGGTCATAAATAGGAATGAAGAACTCACACATGCTTTAACACAGAGGAACCTTGAAAACATACTAAGTGACAGAAGCCAGGCACACATATTGTATGACTCCATTTATATGAAAGGTCTCAAACAGGCACACTTATGGAGGTAGAAATTAGGTGGTGATTGTCTCGGGCTGGAGCAGTGCGGGGCAAGGGAGGGCTGGGTGTGATAGCTAATGGGTGTGGTGTTTCTTTTTAGGGCGATGAAAATGTTCTAAAATTTTAGTGATGATTGCATGTTTCTGTGAATATACTAAAAACATTAAACTGTACACTTTAAGTAGGCAAATTGTGTAGTATGTGAATTATAGCTCAGAGAAGCTGTCAATTAAAAAAAAGAAACACAATATGTCTAATTAGTGATGTGACTATATTTATGAAATGTCTGCTCTGGTCTTCCCTATTCACTCGGCAGAATTAATATGGTTTCTCAAGAGCAAAATTTCCACCTGGCCTTAGTGGGGCAAGGGCACTCTAATAGGTATAGTTCAGATGTGCAGACTTTTGTCTCAATTTTTTTTCCATATACAGAGTTTGAAAAATCTGCTTACTTCTCCTAGGGGAAGGGTAGCTTTGTCAGGGTTTTGCAGTTCTGCTATTAGTGGGCGTCATGACGATGAACTGTCTCGATGGAAAAGCTCCGAGGACTGCTGGATTTGGACAACAATGGACAGAGGAGAAGTTGAAAGTTGCTGACAGAAAATGGATCTTGCCCAGAGGACCTCCAAAGAGGGTTTTGTACTTGGCATGGGCCACATCTGTGGGCTTTACTTGTATGAATGGAAACCCAGTACAGAAAATTGATACCAACGTCGTTTGAGGCTTATTTTGATAGCTGAAAAAGTTAATAAGGTGCTCTTATTCTCCTGTGAAATTTCCTCTGCAAAGGCTCCCTACCCACCTTTCCAGTAGTTTGCTTAGCGGTTTTCACCTTCAGTTTCCCAGCACTAGGGAAAACGGAAGTAAATACTGTGATTTTTGCATTTCATCGTTTCAAGTGGTTTTTGCCCTCTGTGGGTTTATCGCGTGGATGCAGAAAATTCTTTTAGGTTTGTAAGCCATCAAAGATGAAATATTAATTTGATTTGATTTTTGAATCCCTTTCATAAAACAGCTCAGCATTCTCTTTTATGCATTATTTCAGCCAGAGCTTTACAGAAACCTGAAATGAAAAGCATGGTTGTTTTCACTGTTGAATGTTCCTTTTTATTACCTTTCCTTCAGTGATCCCCAGACCTTGAATCCTGAGATTGGGGTTCTCATATTTCTCTCCTACTGCACAGTGTCTCCCTGTGTTGGTAAAGAGTTGAAGAAAGTGTTATTATGAGTGAATGAGATCCGTCTGGCCTAAGAGGAGTTAAATATGGGCTTTATATAAATATCTCCCTGTTGAAGTCATTGAGGCTAAGGTTTTTAGAAGTGTGTAATTCCTTTGAAAGCCTTTACTAAAAATTTCAGCAAGGCTACGCTAGAAATTCAAGGACATTCTCTTTTGGTTAGCTGTAAGTGGTCCCATGGGAGCCACACTATGATTGTCACGGGGAACCTGACAGAGGAAACTGAGGCTGATGAAGTCTACTTCTGTCTCCTCTAACTGAAGTTATAGAGGGGCAAAACTTGAGACAGCTGGGGTGCAGCAGCTTTGAGCCAGGCGAGCTATCCCCCCAGCTTATCTGCCTCAAGAGAACTCCTAAAAGAACTTACTGTAAGTTCTTCTACTCTGCCTAAAGGCTTCTTCAGGTACTGGCAGCTTTGACTGCAACAAATGCTCAACGCATGCAGGCTGCCTTTCCTAATCCTAAGTCCAAATAGGGATTTGCTACCCCTCCTTTAAGTTTTGGCTTGAAGCTATGCTGTGAAATATTATGGCTTTAGAGAAAAAGTTTGTTCTCTGCCTTAAACAGCCACTGAGTTCAAAGAAAAAGGTACCTTAAATTAATTCTAATGATACATCTTGTTCATTGTTTATGAAGGGATTGCTGAAATTTTTTACAACAGTAAGATTGAGATATATGAAAGAGAAAGAGATATACTGTGCTTTTAAACTTTGTGGAGTCATTTATAGTTTGTGAGAATGTATACTTATCGCGCTGTCTCTTCTCAGATCAGTTAAAATTTGCTAGCTTCAAGGTTTGGGTTTTTTAAATAATCTTTTTAGTAGTTTGCTTCTGACAGTAGTTGATACTTATTTCCTACAAGAAAATGTTTGCAAGAGAAAATGGAAGCTCAAAAGGGTAAAATTATTTATTCTGAGCAAGAGGAAAAGATGTCTTTTGAATCATCGGGTTAGAAGCTTAGGCTTTAGAAAAGTGAAATAACCTTGAGTCAGTTTCCTTGCTCTAGAACTCTTTAGGTGTTTCTTCCTCTGTGATGTGGAGAGAATGCTGTATTCCTTCCAATCTGTCACACTTTTGCTGGCAAGATGCACCATGATTTTGAGTTATTATGAAAGAAAAATGCTTCTAATTAGATTATGACATAAGGCTTGCATACTATTGATTGTAAGACACACTTTGGGTTCAGAGCATAAAAATCTGTAACATTTGAGAATTAAATGAGATACTGTATTTAGATCAGTTATCACAGTACCTGGCATGTAATCAACATCTGTGTGTGTATGCAGTTGTTTGTGGGTGTGTGGGTGTGCACTTGCACACACACAAAAAAGGGAGGAGGGAGGGAGAGAGAGAGAGAATGAATGAGTGAATAAATGGTACTTTCTTCTTTTCTAGGTACTCATTCTGCTTTCTTGTCCGTCCCATGTGCCCAGCCAGGCAACAGCAGAATCCACATGTCATGATGGCTTACAATGATATTCCTTAATTATTGATAGTCTCATGTTTGCAAGCCATTTATTTTCAACAGAACTTAAGAAAACTTTGGACATGGAAAACACAGAAAGGGCAGTGAAACTAGAGCAAAGAAATGACAATGTCTAAGATTCTAAGAGCCTGTCTTTATTAATTTAAGTCACCATGGTTGGATATTCTGTACCACTGTAATTTCACAACAGATAAGAGGTTTCAGAGACTGATATCGTACTCTGCATTTCCTTTGGTGGCTTGGCAGTTTAAGCTTTTGCTAATAATGTTCAATTCAGAATCTTGGTAAAAGTGAGATTTTTCAGGCACCATCTAGATATTTAGTGCTTATCAGTTTTAAACTGATTTTAGCAATTTATTTTAACCTCAAATTAGATCTTAGATTATCTATTTGTAAAATGGGATACAACCTAGTTCCAGGAATAATTGAAAATGGAAATTAATGAGCAAATCACTTAAAGATTTTATATAATAAATTCAAAGTTATATAAGATTTTATATAATAAGTTCAAAATGAATGTTTGTTCTTTCATCCAAACACACACTAGGCGTTGGTCAGTGCTAAATAAATAGGAGGATACTGAAAATATAGACAAGAACCTTAAAGAAAGATAACAGAAAGATAGAGAATAAACACAATAGGAGTGACAGGTGTGATGAGAGGGGCTAGCGCTGGGTACCATAAAAGCACATTGTTGTTGTCTTAACAATAGCAACAATAGCACAATTGAAGCTCCCTGAACCTATAATACATTCTTGATAATGAATGGGTTGCCTAATTTTGTTCTCTCCTTTGGTTCAGGTTTTCCTGTGCTCCAAATCATGCTTTAAGCTCCCGTATATTTTCTGTGTCTATTTACAATACAAATTGGCAAAAATTGGAGCGAAAGAGGAAAAATTCAGTCATTAGCTTTTATATTTGGTAATTAAATAAATATTAATTTTTCATAAAGACCCTTTGGCTCCATGCAGCCACAAAATTGGGGTCCAGAATAAAAACGTCAAAATCGAATGTTGTGGCATAATAGTGCTTGACAGAGAAAGAAAGAAAGTAGGACAATTAATGTCTATTTGCTTGGATAAATGACTAGATAAAAGATTTCCAGCTGGAAAGCAGCAGGATATTCCCAGACCTTTTATGAGCAAAGCAGAATCTTCTGCATTGTCAGCACTTAATGTTGCAGTGAGTTCTTTAGATTCAGATAAAAGACATGCTGCTAAATATCTAAGAGTTTTATGTGTTAAGAACACATAGTAAGTAAATATCAAAGGTTTGTATATTTAAAGAACACATAGAGGTTTATGTTGGGCCACTAATAGATTGCTTAAATTCAATTCTATAGATTAAATAGCATATAGGAATTTGCCTAATTATAATTCCAATATATATGTGCAAATTTAAACTCATAATATTAGGCAGATAATGAAATTCATGCTTGTTAAAATGATGATGATGATGGCCAGCATTTATTGAGTGTATGCTGTTGGTCAGACACTGTTCGAAGCCTTTCACAGGTCTTAATTCATTTAATCCTAACAATCCTATGAAGAATATACTATTATAATCCACATTTCAGAGAGGAGAAAATCCGAGGCCTGGAAATGTTCAGTAATTTGCCTGAAGACATGCAGCTTGTAAGTGGCTGAGCTGAGATTTGAACTTAGGGGATCTGGCTACATAGCCCAGACTCTTACCTGGATCTGCCTCTTGAACATATGGAATTGCGTTGGGTTCTCTCCTCTACGGCTGGCACCTCGGGCCTCGGGTGCCTGGGCTTGGTGCATCTTCCCACGCTCTGCCCCCCTTGCCCTCCCCACCGAACATATGGAAGTGTCCTTGGGTATCCATCCATTGATGGCCTTTTCCCCACCTGCTTTTCTCCTGCGCTCCCCAGGTCTTGGCCATTAGAGGGCGCTGGAGCAGGAACTCGGGGGTCCCTCCGAGGCTGGGAACGCGGCAGGGTCGGGGCAGAGGCGCAGAGAGGTGAGGTGCGCAGTGGTGAGAGGCGCAACGGAGCGGCGAGCTGACTCTTTGGGACCTGGGGACAGAGGGAAGGGAAAGAGGGCACCAGCCAGGGACGTGAATTTGAGCTCAGAGAGGGCTAGCGGCAGGACCGTAACTTCTGCCGGGAGAACCCATCTTTTCTATTTATCTTTTCCACCCCCAATAGGGAGTGGGCAGGCGGGGAGGCCTGGATGGCGCGTGGTGGTGGGTGGAGAAACTGACTCGCAGCCGCTCCATAAGCTCACCCGGAACTACTAGAGCTGCTGTACCTGGAGCCAGGGGCTTTGAGTGGGGGGGACAGTATGAAGGCTCTGAACTGTCCGACCCCATCCCTGCTGCTCGTCCCAAGACGCGTATAATTCCCCAAAGCAAACTTCGGATCTTTCTCTGATCGGAGATCCAAGCAATGTCCATATTCGCGTAAATGAGTGGTCAGACCTTTCTGTTTTGATAGTGCAGCGAGATACAGATGATGGGGGCGCCGAAGAACATTTTCATGGGTCTTCACTCTGTTTGGTGTGCCCTCATATTTACTGATGACACGTGTTCTATTTTTGAGAGCCTAATGCTAATTAGGATGCATAATCAAATAAATTATGCTGCTGTTTAATTATGACTCAGCTACCAGCACGGAGATTTGTTATCCTGAGGCTGTAGTACAGTATCCGCGGCTCCATAATTGCTTAGTTGAAATTGAAATTTTATGAATAAAACGTTTTCATTCTAAAGGTAAATTAATCACATTGATAGCATGTATACGTTTTCTTGGTGAGGAGGGTACTTTATTCTCCAGCTCATCTCACCCTAGAGCTCTGGGTGAGATTCCAGGGACCTATTGGGTGTAAGAGGTCGCTGTGATAATTAGGGCCCAGCTTGGGGCTGGGAACAGAAAATGTCAGTTTCTATCCAAACTTCCCTTTTTGTGCTGTGCACTATAGAGCAGGCCACTTCCCTGAGCCTTCAGTCTCCTCATCTGTAAAAGGGCCATTGCCGGTCGGGCGCGGTGGCTCACTCCTGTAATCCCAGCACTTTGGAAGGACGAGGTGGGTGGATCACCTGAGGTCAGGAGTTCGAGAACAGCCTGGGCAATATGGTGAAACGCCATCTCTACTAAAAATACAAAAATTAGCCGGTCGTGGTTGCCAGCGCCTGCAATCCTAGCTGCTTGAGAGGCTGAGGTAGGGGAATCACTTGAACCTGGGAGGCGGAGGTTTCTGTGAGCCGAGCTCACACCACTGCACTCTAGCCTGGGCGACAAGAGTGAAACTCTGTCTAAAAAAAAAAAAAAAAAGCTGTTGCCGATTTCACAGGACTCTGGTGAGGATTACAGGATGAACACTAGCTACCAGGCAAAACTGACTTTAAGTTAATCTCAGTCTTCCTCTGCTTCTCTTTGTGGGTTGTTGAACATGCCGGAGCATGCAACCGTGCAAGTGAATGCAGCTGCAAGCTTCTGGTGTCCAATATTGTCTGGACCCATATTACCCTCTATTACATATTCTTAGTAGTGCCGACTTCACTTTCCCATCACGGTTTTTCCAACCCTTGGCCACAATTAAAATTCTCAATATCTCTTCCTTCTAAGAGGTGGTTTTGTTTTCAATTATACAGAAAAGAAACCAACAAAAATCAAAGGTATAAAAAATGAATCTACAGCATGTTATGAATTCTCGGAGGAAAAACGTCTGCAATGAAATATGCCAGAATGCAATCAGTGTATATTTGTTCCTTCCTACTTTTCTGTTTTCCTTCCTACTTTTCTGTGTTTTTCAACTGTTTTGTTACAATATGTATTACATTATGTTTACAGAATAATGGAAAAATAAAACAGAAAAACTAACATTGTAAAGCTACTACTCACCCACGGATTTATCCTCTGTTCTAGCCCAGAGAAAGGAGTTTCTCTCCCCCTATTCAGGGCTAAGTTGATTATCTGTGCTATTAATTCTATGTTATCCTGACTTCTCAAGGATCTTGCATTGTCATTAGCTGAAATTTCCCCTCCACATTCAACCATTCATTCCCTTTTTAGTTTATTTTCCTCAGTATATAAATGTGTTTAAGTCCTCTCTGCATCCTAGCAAACAGATAAAACCCTCCAAACCTCAACCCTGCCTTGTTCCCAGTCTAATTCTAGACCCATATCCCTTCTTCCTTTTATATGCAAAGTTCTAGAAAGAGCTGACTGGATTCTCAAACTCTAGGGACTCATGACTGACTACTCAACCCATCGCAGTCTGGTTTCTACCTGCATGACACTCTTAAAATTGCTCTTGTCAGAGGTCCAGTGACACATTGTCTCACTTCAGTCTTTCTTACTGGACTTCTCTAAGGCACTTGATACTGTTGTCTATTTTCTCCTTGAAACTCTCTCCTTGGTTTCTTGGTTTTCTTCTTTTTTTTTGAGATGGAGTCTCACTCTGTCACCCAGGCTGGAGTGCAGTGATGCAGTCTCAGCTCACTGCAACCTCTGCCTTTTGGGATCAAGCAATAATTCTCCTGCCTCAGTCTCCGGAGTAACTGAGATTACAGGCATATGCCACCAAGCCCTACTGATTTTTGTGTTTTTAGTAGTGACGGGGTTTCTCCATGTTGATCAGGCTGGTCTCGAACTCCTGACCTCAAATGATCTGCCCGCCTCGGCCTCCCAAAGTGCTGGGATTACAGGCATGAGCCCCATGCCTGTCCTCTCTCCTTGGTTTTCTATGGCACAGTTGTAATGGTAATAACTACAATTTTTTTTTTTTTTTGAAACAGTGTCTTGCTCTTGTTACCCAGTCTGGAGTGCAATGGCACATCTTGGCTCACTGCAACTTCTGCCTCCTGGGTTCAAGCCATTCTCCTGCCTCAGCTTCCCAAGTAGCTGGGATTACAGGCACCCAACATCTTGCCTGGCTAATTAATAACTACAATTTATATTATATACCGAATACTATATACTGTATCTACTTATAGATAGTGCCTGTAATCTTCATTCTAAGGCTAAGGTAAAAGGAAGACATCTCCATGACGAGGCAAAGAAGTCTGAGTTAGAAAGTTTAGGAAGCCTGCATGATTACATGGCTACAAAAGATGGAGTGAGGATTTGAACTCCAGTCTTTCTGAATCCAAAGCCCAAGTTTTTCCTGCTTCCGACATTTTTGTTTCCCACATTTCCTCTGGCCTCTGTGGCTGTTCATTTTCAACTTGTTCTGTGGACTCACCTTTTTATGATACCCCATTAACATTGGCACTCATCCGAATGTTGTAGTTTTGGCCCTTTTGTTTTACTCTGCACCGTCTTGTTGGAACATCTCATTTATGCCATGAATTCATCTCCTGGCTATAAATCCCCCAGCCAGCTCTTTGTTGATCTTGCAGCCCACAGACACAACTGGGTGGGGCATTTCACCTGATTGTTCCTCAGGCCCTTCACAATCAACAAGTCTACAATGGGGGCCATTGAGCTGCTCCGCACACACATTTCTTCCTCATGTTCCAGATTTCTTCCTTCATCTGGTGTCATGCAGTCATCCTTCCTCTCTCCCTGTCCTTATCTAATTTATTGGGCCATCTTTGTGGGGCCCTACTGTGGCTCACAAGGACCTTTGCGGTCATCCTCCTGACCACTTCTCTGACTTGAGTTTTGACCACATCTAAGCTGTCTTGCATGTCATTTCAAGATTGACCTTTGTAATACACAGCTTCCATCCTGTCAGCCGCAGCTCAGAATTCTTCAGCGCCCTCCATTATCAGAAATACAACCTGAGCTCCTTTTCATGGTCTTTCATGGTCTCTGTTTTCCCTACCTCTCTTCTCCAGGTCTTTCCACCTCCCAGCTGCTTCCTTTCCATAATCAATATTTTGGATTGCATTGAATCCTCAATTTCGTTATTTCATGCCTCTGTGCATGTATTTTCTTTGTGCAGACATTTTCTTTGTGTAGGATATTCTCTGTGCTGGTCCATTGGGCAGATTCTGTCTCATCTATTGAGATTCACCTCAAATACTGCCACTTGTGTAAAACCCTCCCAGATTTCATCCAGGGAAGACTCTCTCCCTGCACTTTGTATAATTATTTTATTGTATTCTAATTTCTATTAAGTTGTTTGTTTCTCTTTCAGATTGTAAGGTTCTTGGGGGCAGGCACCATGATGATTTCTTTATTTTATTTTTTTGAGGTGTGGAGTCTCACTCTGTCAACCAGGCTGGAGTGCAGCGGCACGATCTTGGCTTACTGCAACCTCTGCCTCTAGGGTTCAATCAAGCGATTCTCCTGTCTCAGTCTCCTGAGTAGCTGGGATTACAGGCGCACGCCACCACCCCTAGCTAATTTTTGAACTTTTAATAGAGACATGGTTTTGCCATTTTAGCCAGGCTGGTCTCGAACTCCTGACCTCAACTGATCCGCCAGCCTCGGCCTCCCAAAGTGCTGGGATTACAGATGTGAGCCACTGCATCTGGCCAATTTCTTTATTTTTTTACAGTGAAAAATAACATACCCAGAAGTACATTAAACATAATTTAAAGATAATTATAAAGTTAACACTGTGTAACTGTCTTAGTTCATTCAGGTGGCTGTAACAAAATTACCATAGACTGGGTGGATTATAAACAACAGAAATTTATTTCTCACAGTTCTGGAGGTTGGGAAGTCCAACAACAAGGCCCTGGCCCCGTGTGGTGAAGGAGGGCCCAATTTCTCATAGAAGGCTGTCTTCTCACATGTGACCTCCCACCATGTAACTTCACATGGAAAGGTGAGGTAGCTCTTTCAGGCCTCTTTTATAAGGGCATGAATCCCATTCATTAGGCCTCCCACTCTTGTGACTTAATCACCTTCCAAAGGCCCCACCTCCTAATCACTCTGGGGATTAGGATTTCATCATGTGAACCTTTTGGGGACACAAACATTCAGACCACAGCAGTAACTATTACCCAGGTCATGGCATGAAGTATTTTTCAGCACCAGAGGAACCTCCTGCATCCCTTCCTTATACCATGAATCCCTCTACTATCTTGGCTTTTATGTTAATTACTCCTGGGTTTTCTTCATAGTTGTACTACCTGTTTGTGCATTCCCAGACAATGCTGTTTAGTTTTATAAGTTGTTGAACTTCATACCAACGTAGTGATGTCTTGTGCATTCTGCTGCATGTGGTTCCTTCCATTCATCATTGTCTTTGTATAATTCTTCATACGAAGTTGTGTGTAGCTATGTTTCTTTCCATTTAATGAGTGTATAGAAGCAATCCTTTATATAGACATACCATATATGATATATTTATTAATGGACATTTGGTTTATTTCCAGTTTTTTACAATTATAATGCTTCAAATATCTTGTCCACTTCTTTTGGTACCCATGTGCACAAGTTTCTTCAGGGTATAGATCCAAGAATGGAATTGATTGCCACAGGGCATGTATATCTTCAACTCTACCAGATAATGCCAAACTGTTTTTCAAAGTGAGTGTTGAGATTTACATCCTGCCAACATGTTGAGAGTTCCCAGTACGTTACATCTTTAACGTGTGGTATTTTCAGACTTTACAATTTTCACAAACGTGATTGGTAGGTAGTGGTATTTCACTGTGGTTTTTAAATTAAAAAAATTTTATACATTACATTCGTACATATTTATGAGGTACATGTGGAATGTTGTGACATGCATAGAATGTGTAATGATCAAATTGGGGTATTTAGGGTAACTGTCACCTGAGTATTTATCATTTCTATGTGTTAAGTGCATCACCTGTATTTCCTTCTGTGTAATGAGGTTGACCCCCTTTCACGTGTTTATTGTTTGTCTGGATTTTGTCTTTGGTGAAGAACTTATTCAAGTTTTACTCACTTTTGTAATGGATTGCTTGTCTTTATTTTATTGCTTTATGAAAGTTTTTATTGAAATCTGGATGTGAGTCCGTTGTTGATTGTATGTGTTGAAAATAATATTATACTATAAAATCACACACAATGAAGATGTATTGATTATAGTAACTTTTGATTTTTTACCTCAGTACTACTGAGCAAGAGACAGAATAGATAAGATGAATAATAGTGTACATGAGTTCAAATTAATCCTCTCCTTCTCTTCTCCCCAGGGGTTATTATCGTCCCCAGTGCTGGTGTTGGTATTGTCCTCGGAGGCTACATTATAAAAAAATTGAAACTTGGTGCCAGAGAATCTGCAAAACTAGCAATGATCTGCAGTGGTGTGTCTTTACTATGTTTTTCAACCCTATTTATTGTTGGATGTGAAAGCATTAATCTAGGGGGCATAAACATCCCTTATACAACAGGGTAAGTACCTCTTAAGAGCCGTGTCGTGTCTGCACGATGGAGGTGCAAAGCCCTGTGGTGTTTGTGCATCTGCAGTCAGCCTCATACCCCTCCCTCCAAGCTGTTCTCCCTGTGTGTGCTCTGTGTGCTCTGCCTCTCCAAGTGGAGCATGCACTCCTGCAGGGCAGAAGCCAGGGTCTCGTCTTCCTCTGTGCCCCTTCTGACCCCACAGAGGGACTTTCATAGCATTTTAATTACATCAGATGAGGATGAAATGCTTATTGGATTAATGAAAATTGTTTGGTTTTTATTATAATGTTTTAATAGGGAATATGTGTTTCTGTAGCTCAAAAACATAAAATTCAATGAAAATACAAGGTACAGTGAAACCTCTTGCTCTTACCCAAGTCCTCCATCCACCTAGCTCTTCCCATTCCTGCAAGCAAAGATGAAACAGGTAACCCCTTTCATTCATTTTTTTGCATATCCTTCCAAGGCTTCTTTATTTAAGACATTGTGGATATGTATTTTCAATTGTCCCTCTTTTGTATCTAAAATAGAGCATTCATACATGCTTTGCTGAGCTTTTAAAAAATGGAACAATATAGCTTGGAGATCTTTCAGTACTGGTAGTAACAATCTGAAGCATAACTCCCCCTTACCATGACTGTATTGCAGGCTGAGCATTCTCTTAAGTGCTTTACATATGTTAATCCATGAATCCTCTCAATAACCTATCAAATAGGTGCTGTTATCATCCTGAGTTTACAGATAGCAAAACGGAGGTACTGATCACATGTAACCAATGGACTGCTGACAAATGTTTAAATGGCTCTCTAAAAAAGGCTCATGGCTGGTGCAGTGGCCCAGACCTGTAACCCCAGCACTTGGGGGAGGCTGACGCAGGAGAATAACTTGAGACTGGGAGTTCAAGACCAGCCTGCGCAACATAGTGGTAACCCATTTATACAAAAAGTAAAAAGTAAAAAAAAGCCCTGATTTGTGGCATTTGGCAATTCTGAGATGTAAATACACCTCTGTGGCTGATTTCATGTCACCAACTTGTCGACCCTGAACACCGAATTGGGAGGAGGTGCTAAGTCACACACCATTGTATAATGTTTCTATCATACAGGTAGAATAGACTTAAATAGCCTAGGCAAGAGCATTGATAATAGTAAAATAATTAGAAGATGATGAGTTTTACGTATTTATTATCCTTGTCTTTAATACCATTTAATTGTATGTTTATATCATTTAATTTTTAAAAATAGTTGTGTTAAACAAACAATTGACAAAATCCCTTAGAATTTCGCAGTAGAATCTTGTCATCCAGGGTGGCTGCCTCCAGTGCACCACTGTCCAGAACCCAAGACTTAACCTCAGGCAATTTGGCTACAGTGTCTGTGCCCATAAGCACTGCCTTTAACCACTGCATAGCATTCCATTGTATTCCACTTTGTATTTAACCTGCCCCCATTTGGTGGGCAGTGGGTTGTTCCTAATCTTTAATTGTATTTATTTATTTATGTATTTATAGACATCGTCTCACTATGTTGCCCAGGTTGGTCTTGAACTCCCGGTCACAAGTGAGTCTCCTGTCTCAGCCTCCCAAGTAGCTGGGATTATGGGCATATGGCACCGTGCCCAGTTAATTTTTAGTTGTTAAAAGCAATGCTGCAATAAATAACTTCAAGGCATTTATCACTTCTCTTGTGTGCTCTGTATGTGCAGGATAAATTCTCAGAAGTGAGATTGAATAAATAGTACCAAATTACCTCCACAGGTATTGTACCAATACCTCACCAGCAATGGATATGAGTGCTGTTTTCCCCACACCCTCACCAAAAGGAGGTGGAAAGCTCTTCTGTGAGAGTTATGAAAACCTTAACTTTTATTTCTTTTTCTTTTCTTTTTTTCTTTTTTCTTTTTTTTTTTTTTGAAACAGAGTCTCTCTCTGTCCCCCAGGCTGGAGTGCAATGGTGCAGTCATGGCTCACTGCAGCCTCAACCTCCCAGGTTCCAGGGATCCTGTATCCTCAGCCTCCCAAGTAGGGAGAGTCTACAGGCATGCACCACCATGTCTGGCTAATTTTTTGTATTTTTTGTAGAGACGAGGTCTTACTTTGTTGCCCAGGCTGGTCTCAAACTCCTGAGCTCAAATGATCCTCCTGCCCCCACTTCCCAAAGTGCTGGGATTACAGGCATGAGCCACTGTGCCCAGCCAACCTTTACTTCTTAACCACATGTAGTTTTGTTAGGATCTGCTCATTTAACAGAGCTTCATTGTCCAAGTTTTGGTGCTTGGTGCCAAGAAACACTTCTGTTTCCTTTTGTTTCTCAGTGGAGTTTTATGTTCTAAAATGTTCCACTTTGCATTTGAATAACAAAAGCTTTGATTTCATCTAGCCAATTTAGAATGTTTGGGAGTGAGGAGAAGGAATAACAAATCAGAGTTTATTTAGATTACAGAATACTGTGCCATCTTTTGTCCTGGGAGTTATTTTTCTACCAGAAGACATTGGTGTGTGTGTGTGTGTGTGTGTGTAAGATGTGTGTACCGGGTATGTGGCTTCTTGATAGTGCCTAATAGGATGGCACAAACAATAAAGTCTCTAAAAATGAAAAAGCAGTATAGAATAAGAACTCAGGCTCTGGAGTGGAATTAGAATTTGGATCTTGACTCTGCTTGGCTGGTTGCTTAATGCCAAACCTCAATATCTACTTCTGTAAATTGGGGTGATGTTAGCAGCAATCTCAGAAGGTTGTGGGCAAGGGTTATGTGTGTAACACATGTAAAGCTCTCAGCTCAGTGTGAGGCACTGAAGGCTAGCTCTTGTCATTAGTCATCACTAATAAATTAAGAATAATTTTTATTTCTATCAAATTATGTTTTATTAAAATTAGAGAACATAAATAGAATTAAAAAGTTCATAACAAAAACCCAGCAGTCTTATGACTAGCTCTGATTTGCAGGGGCAATAATTTTAAATTCTTTTTAGCTGTTTCTTCTACAATGTGACTCTGTATTTTTCAGAAATACTATATAAATTAATCAAACTAAGGTATTATTTGTGACTTCCTAGCTTGGCAAATGAGGAGCTTCACTTTACCTTTACAAATTGTGGTCAAATCCTTTTTTTGTATTTTCATGTTAAATTTATGACATGTGTATTGTCAATGGAAAGAGTCGAACTCTGTAAAATATTTGAAGACATTTATTCTGAGCCAAATATGAATGACTATGGCCTGGGACACAGCCCTCAGGAGGTCCTGAGAACATGTGCCCAAGGTGGTCGGGGTGCAGCTTGGTTTTATACATTTTAGGGAGAAATGAGACTTCAATCAAATACATTTAAGAAGTACATTGGTTTGGTCCAGAAAGGCGGGACAACTCGAAGCAGGGGCCTCCAGCTTTTAGGTAGATTAAAAAATTTCCTGGATGACAATTGGTTGAGTTTATCTAAAGACCTGGGATCCATAGGAAGGAATGTCTGGGTTAGGATAAAGGACTGTGGAGACCCAAGTTCTTACTTGCAGAGGAAGTCTTCCAGTAGCAGGCTTCAGAGAGAATAGACTGTAAAATGTTTCTTATCAGATTTCAAGTCTGTGTTGATGTTAATGTTGGAGAGGTATAATGAGTCATGCCAGACTCCCCACTTCCCATCCTGGTCTGAACTAATATCTCAGGTTAAATTTTAAATAGCCCTGGCTGAGAAGGAAGTCCATTGAGTTGGTTGGGGGGCCTTAGAATTTTATTTTTGGTTTACAGTATCATGATTAGATTTCCTTATTTGTGTAACACTGATTTTCCTGGAATTAATAATTGCCTTATTTTCATTTACTTTGCTTTCTTTGAATCTGCATCCAGTTTCCCACACCCTCTGAGAGCTCAAAAAGTATCTCAACATGACCTTCCACTTATCTGATGAGCTCAGAGTTCCATTTCCCCACTCCTTGGAGTCATCTGTGCAGGGCCCACAGTCCCCCTACTCTCATCTGGACACAATGTTTCTAGGCTGGCTGCCCGGCTGTCATCCTGAGAATTCCTGTGCCTCTCTCTGTATTGATCCTTTGTTTTTTGGACTCTGTGGAGTCCTCTTTTTTGATTTACTCCCTCATTTTGATGGAGCACATCCTCCAGTAGCTACAAAAAGGTTGTGTAGGCTGTAACTTTGGTTTCTTGGGAGACTTTTTATTATATATATTGATAAATATTATATATAAATATATACACACACATACACACCGTTACATTTGATTGCCAAGGTGGCTGAAATTTTGGATGAGTCATTTTTACTCAGAGTTTTGAAGTTTTTGCCCCATTGTCATCTAATTTCTAATGCTCTTTTTGGAAGTCTGGCTTTTCTTTTTCCCAATGCTTTGTATGAGATGTATTTTTCCTTCCTGGGAGCTTCCTTTTATTACTAGTATTTCAGAATTTTACTATGATGTGTTTTGAGATGGATCATTTTGATTTTTTGCTAGGCACATGGTGAGCTCTTTCTGACTGGAGACTATTATTTTTCAGGTCTGTTTTTAATTTCTTTTTTCTCCTTGCCATTTTTTCTCGTTCTCCCCTTCATTGATCTCTCCTTTTCTTGTTCTTGTTTGGGGATACTGGCAACTTTTTGCATGCCTTTGACCAAAGAATGATCCTCCTCTGTCAGAGAAGGTTGCCCTCTTTGACCAAGTGTGCAGCTTCAGGAGGGACGCAGGTGGAGCAGTGAGGGAGGCAGGGGCACACCCGTCTATTCAGCCAGATCAGCTGAATCAACCCTGACAATCAATGCGGTGGCAGGTGTCACAGCCAAATTACTCTCATATCCTCCTTTCCTTATTATTTATCACCATTTCATATGTCCTTTTCTGTTCTACTTTTAAAAAAGATTTCTTGCATTTTATCTTCTAAGTCCTCTGTTGAATTCTTTATTTTGGCTGTCATCTTTATTTTTTTGAAACAGGGTCTTGCTCTGTCATTCAGGCTGGAGTGCCGTGGCACGATCATGGCTCACTGCAATCTCTGCCTCCTGGTCTGAAGTGATCCTCCCACCTCATCCACTGCAAGTGTCCACCACTACACTGGGATAATTTTTTGTAGAGATGCGGTCACTCTATGTTGCCCAGGCTGGTCTTGAGCTTCTGAGCTCAAGCAGTCTGCCCACCTTGGCCTCCTAAAGTGCTGGGATTACAGGCGTGAGCCACCTCACCCAGCCTATCATATTTTTAATTGCAAAATTCTTGCTGGATTTCAGAATGTCCCTTGTTTCTAACCATCTTGCTTTATGAGTGGAATATTTTCTCTTACTTTTCCAACATTATTTAGACTTCCTTTTCTTTCCTAATTTGTCTCTGTGTCCTATAAGTGCCTAACTTTCTGTTTATTTTGCCGTCTTGATTGTGTTAGCAGCTCTGCTCAAATTTCTGGTGATCCTTAGCTTGCTCATGGTATTGAAGAATGAGAACTTAAAAAGCTGAGCAGTTTGCTGTGTGTGTGTGTGAGGGTAGGTCTTGTCATCTGGTGGGTCTCGCTGTGGGAGGTGGATACAACTGGAGTTTTCATCAGGGTGCTGCAGTGTCAGAACCCAAGGGCTTACCTCTGAGGTGCTTCAGTTCCTCAAGAGATGGATGCTCCTTTCTCTCCTGCTAGGGCCCTGCTGGGGAGGACTACAGGCTTGTAAGCCTTGCTGCTGGCATCCTAGAGCTGAGAGTTGGGGGAACGGGCCTGGGTCCTCACTGTTCATTTTGCAGGCTTTTACCTAACTTCCCTGTCATCATTCTAGCATCTCACCGAACTTCTCCTTTATGTGTGGTGCTCTTATGCCAGAGCCTTTGGTGCATTTTCTCCAGAAAACAGGGAGTATGAGGGAAGGAGCAGTTACCTAAGTAGAGAAGGGATGGGAATTTGCTTAAAATTGTGTCGTAGATGGACTATATCTTTCTTGTGTTACTGTCCTCAAGGTCTAAGGGCCTCTTCTTTCTCTTGCTACTTGCCTTGATCATGTCCATATGTTTTCCTAAGTTCTCATTCACGCTTTCTGTTTTACTGAATCTTCCTCTTTCCCTGAACTCCATCCTCCTGCTTCACATTGGACTGCTTGCTCAGTTGACATAACTTACATCCTGGGACCTCCTTTCAGAAGTTTCGTCAGTTGTATCCACTAGTTTTTGTTTGTTTATTTATTTGGTAACTCCTCATTTTGCCAGAAAAAAACCTCAGATAACTTCCGTGGAAAGGGAACATGGGAAGAAAGTATTTCTGAGCCTGTGAGCATATTAAAGCATCTTTGTTCTTTCACATTGAAGTGATAGTTTAAGCAGGCGTAGAATTCTAGGTTAAAAAATTATCAGCCCCATTAAAAAGTGGGCAAAGGACATGAGAAGGTACTTTTCAAAAGAAGACATACACACAGCCAACAAGCATATGAAAAAATGCTCAACATCACTAGTCATTAGAGAAATGCAAATCAAATCCACAGTGACATGCCATCTCACATCAGTCAGAATGGCTATTACTAAAAAGTAATAAAATAACAGATGCTGTCAAGGTTGTGGAGAAGAGGAAATGCTTATACACTGCTGGTGGGAGTGTAAATTAGTTTAGCCATTGTAGAAAGCACTTTGATGGTTTCTCGAAGAACTTAAAACAGAATTACCATTCAACCCAGCAATCCCATTACTGGTTATATATCCAAAGGAATATGAATAATTCTACCATAAAGACACATGCACACATATGTTCATTGCAGTATTATTCACAATAGCAAATACATGGAATCAATCTAAATGGCCATCAATAAGAGACTACATAAAGAAAATGTGGCATATACACACCACGAAATACTATGCAGCCATAAAAAAGAATGAGACCGTTCCCTTTGCAGCAACATGGATGGAGCTGGTGGCCATCATCCTAAGCAAACTAACACAGGAACAGAAAACCAAATACCGCATGTTCCCACTTACAAGCTAAACACTGAGTACACATGGACACAAAGAAGGGAACAACAGACCCTGGGGTCAACACTGGAGGGTGGGAAGAGGGAGAGGTTGGAAAAACTGCCCATTGAGTACTGTGCTGATTACCTGAGTGATGAAATGATCTGTCCACCAAACCCGCTTAACACATAATTTACCTGTATAATAAACTTGCACATGTACTCCTGAACCTAAAATAAGTTTAAAAAAATTGAAACAAACAAACAAGTAAAAATAAAAAAAATTATCTTTCTGGGGACTTGGAAACCATTGCTTTATTTGTCATCTAGCATGTTCTGTTGCTGATAAGAAATGTAATTTCAGCCTTAGTTCTCATTTCTCTGTGGCTAACTTTATTTGGAAGTTTTCAGAATACTTTTTTTCAAGGTGTTGTGAAATTTCTTAAGGAATGATTTACCCTCAGATTTTGTCATGGATGGAGCCTTCTTATAATCCTAATGCCACCTTCTCAGAGAGGCTTTCCATCTCTGCCCAATCTAGGGGAGCCCGCTGTCCCCCCACTCTTGATTACATTATTTCTCCTTAGTTTCCTCATGGCACTTAACATTATCTGAAATTATCTCATTTAATGATTTGCTTTGCTTTTGTCCCCTCTGTCTAAAATATGAGCTCTTTGGGCACTGTTCGTAGAGCTGTGTGTGTATATATATATAATTTTTTTTTGGAAACAGAATCTCGCTCTGTCGCCCAGGCAGGAGTGCAGTGGCACAATCTCGGCTCACTGCAACCTCCACCTCCCGGGTTCAAGCGATTCTCCTGCCTCAGCCTCCCGAGTAGCTGGGATTATAGGCATGAGCCACCATGCCTGGCCCAGCTATCTATATAACAGTTGCATCCTCACCATCTAAAATATGTATGATATTTGTTGTGTGAATGAATGAATGAACGAATGAATGAGTGCCTCGGCACAGGGCTTTGTTCATTCATTGTACTAGGCACTTTCTGACCCTTTTAATGCAACATATGTCTTTTTTTTTAAACTCATTTTCTCTTTTCCCTGTGTTCTCTAGTACTGTTGTTAGTCAGATGTTGGAACGTATGGACTGGTTGCCTGTGTGTTTAATTTATTCTCTCATATTGCATGCTTTTGTCTTTTGCTATGAGAGATTTTTTTAAGCCTTGTTTTCTATCTTTATGTACATTTTTTATTTTGAGGATTTTTTTCTTTGCTGGATTCTGAGTGTTCCCTTTTCATAGCATTCTGGTGTTGTTTTATGGAGTAATGTCTTCTCAGATCTCTCTGCACATATAATTAGGATCTTTCTTTTAACTTTGTTTTTATGCCTTGCATTTTATCATTTTGTTTTAAAGAATCAGTTTTTCTGTTTGTTTATTCTGGGCTTTGCAGATGACAATACTCAGCCTAACATATCTCAGATCGTGTCTTTTCTCTCCCTCTACCTCAAATACAAGAATGAGGGGATTTTATTCAGAGTTCTCAACATCTAGAGTAGAAGTTTAGCTTTTTAAATTTCTTCCAGGTTCCTTAGAGAAGCACTTCCTGATGAATTTCTGGGCCGTAAATTGGAGATGGGAGGCAACGGATAAATGAGAATGGAAGGGCTCACTGATACAATTTGTCTTCCTTAGATCTCCAGGGAGGCCCACAGTTTTTTCTCCACATCTCACTTTTGCCTTCTGTCACATCTGCTCACTTTGAGCTCAGAACCCATGGAGATTCGATCGGGCAGGCTGGCTCCTCTTTCTCCAAGGCGGCCTCTGCCTGTCTCACATAAACCCATGCCTATCTACTTGCCATTTTTGTGGAGTTTGGTGTCATGCTTTCCTTTTAACCCTACTCTGCTTTTATTTCAAGTGTGTTCTCAGAAGGGAACGGAAAGCACAGTCCACGTCTTACCTGCTTTTAAACAGCAAGTTTCCTCAAGACTCTTAAAGCCCCTGCTTAACACCACACCTACCTCACCCATCCTGAATCAACTGCTGCTGGGCTTGCCCAGCACTGCTGGGAAAAAATTACATAATGTGCTGATTGGCTCCATTACAAATGTATGAGTTCCAATCTTAGCAGGACCTCATATTTGCTGAGCAATCCATTTACTTCATCCCAGTCAGCTTTCTTTCTCATGCCCATGATGGTGGCTCTGTTTTTATTTTTAAACCCATTTCTTCAAGTCCTTTATCATACCCTGGTCTTGTTTTTCTTAGCAGACAACCTAGTAGCCCATATTAGTTACAGGTGAAGTTATGAAGAATGAACTTTCTGAACTTCTTTCTTCCATCCCCTCAAACTCATCTGTCTAACACAGTATTGTTTTCAAAGGCAAGTACTGGCTCCATCATTTCCTAACTGTGTGACCTTGCAAAAAAATTACATACCATTGTTGAGTCTTGGGTTTCTCATATATAAAATTGGTGATAATGTCAATCTCTCCTGGTTACAAGCATAATTAAAGTTCATCTCTCCTGGTTACCAGCATAATTACTTATACATTTGGTTGAAAACATTAAAATAGTGCGGAAGGGTTAAAAAAAAAAAGAGAGAAGTCAATGTCTCCTTTTCTCATCCTCAACCTTTCTTTTTTTTATTTTTTATTTTTGAGACGGAATCTCGCTCTGTCATCCAGGCTAAAGTGCAGTGGCACAATCTCGGCTCACTGCAACCTCCGCCCCCTGGGTTCAAGCAATTATCCCTGCCTCAGCCTCCTGAGTAGCTGAGATTACAGGTCCCGCCAACATGCCCGGCTAATTTTCGTATTTTTTAGTAGAGATGGGGTTTTACCATGTTGGCCAGGCTGGTCTTGAACTCCTGACCTTACGTGATCCGCCTGCCTCTGCCTCCCAAAGTGCTGGGATTACAGATGTGAGCCACGATGCCTGGCAACCTTTAGTTTAAATCATGTGAATATTTTAAACAAACATTTGTAGTTTTGATAATGAGGATGATACAGGGAAGTTTCTCATATTTCCTAGCACAGAATCTAGCACTTTGTATATGCTGAAAAAAGTTAGTTTCTTATCTCTACTCCCTTCCTTTCTGGATCATGCAGAGCAATTCCATTTTCTTCTTTAACAGATGAATGAATGTCTGGCACCTACCTCTGCTCAGGGATGTTACTCATATAGTGAGGCTGCAACTCTTATGAACTCGACGGAAATTTACATCTTTATTATCTAATCCATGAATTACAGTACACCTTTTCTCACTTAGTTGTATTCAATCTAGAACAAGTAACCTGACTAAGAGTGCTGGAAGCTGCTGCAAGGACCCAATTGTTTTAGTATTTGCAGTCTGACTTTAAAGGAACTTTATAAATTGTAGCAAAGGAATAACTCAGTTTCCATGGAGAATTTTTCTGGTTTCTCAAGTCCTAGGAATACAGTCTAGAATGACTTAATGAAAACACTACTGGGTGGTGCGGCTGTATAGGCGTGCCACTTTTAGAGTAGCAGATACCTTTGCGTGAACAAAAATGGAATCCTTTCTCCAAGCAGGGTGTGAGCTACATTTCAGCTTTGCTCCCTTGGCTGGGTGCCCTTGTGCAGTGTACAACCTGCTCAACAGTATGTGGCTGGCCTGCCTAGTAAAAACTGTTTCTTGTTCTGCATGATTTTAAGACTTGCATGTGGCTTTTTTCCCTTTCAAGTCAATAAAGAGAAAGATGAAGGGAGTGGCAGTGAAGAGAGGAGTCTTTGTAAGGTACATGTTTGGTTCAGTGTGATTGGCACTTACACATGTCTTATGCTTACAACATCCCTCTACTGTTTATATTATTATCTATGTTTTAGTTAAAGAACCTGAGGCTTAGAAATGAAGTGATTTATCCAAACTCATCAGTTAATAAGGAGTGGAGCTGAATCAGATCTAGATGATTTATGTCAGAGTTTGCATTCTTTCTGAGCACCTCACTGAGGTGCTGTTTTAAATTGTGTATTTCATGCACGTACGCACCTGCATGCACACACAACCTTCTTGCTGAATGAGCTATTGGGGATGTATCTACTTCTCAATACTGCATGGCTTTCTGATATTTCAAAGCAGCTGAGTTACAGGCATCGTGCTACATGCTGTGCATGCCTACAGCATTTGCTCTGTGGCTCTCACATCAGCCAGTCTAGATTTTCACCTGAGCCTTGCCACATACTGGCTGTCTGAGTATGGGCAAATTATTTGACTTTTCTGGGCTTGGTTTCTACATCTTTAAGGTGAGACTACAGATAGTATCTATCTAGTCGGATTGATGTGAGGATTGAGTAAGATACTTGGCCAATTCTTTAACCTTTCTGTGCCTCAATTTCTTCAACATTAAGATGTGATCAATTATAGTACTCATCTCTTAGGATTATAGGGAGGATAAAATGGGATAAAATTCATAAATTGTAAGCAATTGATAAATAACTATTTAATGGTATTTTTCTCCTTATTAATGAGGATAAAGTCTCAGAGAGGTTAAATAACTTGCTTGAAGTCAAACAGCTAGAAAATGGCTGAGCTAGGGTTTGAAATTAGGTTTCTTTGGTTCTGGATGCAATGCTGCAATACTTTTGATTATTACACTATTTTGACAGAAGAAAAAAATACAAAGAAGAAAGCATGCTATATAAGCCAGTTCCATTCATTAAAGTTTATGTGAAGGGCTTCAGGTTTACAGGCATGGTGAAAAGACTTAATGACTGACCCATCTTTGATTAGTATCAAATACTCATAAGTCACCTAAGTGCCTGAGATGGGGTTGGGATGTTTTAGGAGAATGAGCTTTTCCTGTGAAGCCAAAATGGAATCACAGTCTTTTTGTAGAATGAACCTGATGTGTTATTAGTGGTTTTCTTAGAAAATTCAGATTTGATAGCCAAGATATGGAAGCAACTTAAATGTCCATAGACAGATGAATGGACAAAGAAAATGTGGTATGTTCATGCATCACATAACAATGTTTCAGTCAATGATGGACATATACAATGGTCATCCTGTAAGATTGTAATGGAGCTGAAAAATTCCTATTGCCTAATGATATTGTAGTCATAAGGTCGAAGTGCAATGCGTTGGTCATGAGTTTGGAGTGATGCTGGTGTAAAGAAACCTACTGTGCTGGCAGTCCTTCAATAGTACAGCACATGTAGTTGTGTAGAGTACATAGAACTTGATAATAAGCACCTGTGTTATTGGTTTATGCATTTACTATACTATACTTTTAATCATTATTTTAATGCATACTCTTTCTACGTATTAAAAAAGTCAACTGGGAAACAGCCTCTGGCAGGTCCTTCAGGAGGTATTCCGAAAGAAGGCATTGTTATCTTAGGAGATGACAGCTCCATGCATGTTATGGTCCGTGAAGATCTTGAGACAAGATATGGGGGTGGGAGACAGTGATACTGATGATCCTGACCCTGTGTAGGTGTAGGCTAATGTGTGTGTTTGTGTCATAGTTTTTAAGAAAAAGTTTAAAACGGCAAAAAAAGAAAACAGTTTATAGAATAAGGATATGAAGAAAAAATACTTTTGCACCACAGTTCAATGTGTGCTTTAAGCTAAGTGCTATTACAAAAGAGTCAAAAAGCTAAAAAATAATTACAAAGTGTATAAAGTAAAAAAATTATAGTAAGCTAAGGCTAATTTATTATTGAAGAAAGAACTGTGGTTTTTAATGGATTTAGCGTAGCCTAAGTGTACAGTGCTTATGAAGACTACAGCAGTGCACAGTCATGTCCTAGGCCTTCACATTCACTCACCACTCACTCACTCATTCACTCACCCAGAGCAAATTCCAGTCCTGCAGGCTCCATTCATGATAAATGCCCTATACAGGTGTATCATTTTTTATTTTTTATACTTTTTTATTTTTTGAGATGGAGTCTCACTCTGTTGCCCACGCTGGAGTGCAGTGGCACGATCTTGGCTCACTGCAAGCTCCGCCTCCCGGGTTCATGCCATTCTCCTGCCTCAGCCTCCCAAGTAGCTTAGATTACAGGCGCCCGCCACCACACCTAGCTAATTTTCTTGTATTTTTAGCAGAGACAGGGTTTCACTGTGTTAGCCAGGATGGTCTTGATCTCCTGACCTTGTGATCTGCCCACCTCGGCCTCCCAAAGTGCTGGGATTACAGGCGTGAGCCACCGCGTCCGGCCTTATACTTTATTTTTATTGTACTTTTCCTATGTTTAGACACACAACTCCTTGCCATTGTGTTGTAATTGCCTATGGTATTCAGTACACAAATATGCCGTACAGGTTTGTAGCCCAGGAGCAATAGTCTATACTGTATAGCCTAGGAGTATAGTAGGCTAGACCACTTAGGTTTGTGTAAGTGCATTCTATGACATTTGTACAGTGATGAAACCACCTGATGATGCATTTCTCAGAATGTGTCCCTGTCATTAAGTGACACATGACTATATACATACAATGGAACACTATTCAGCCTTAAAAAAGAAGGAAATTCTGCAATATGCAACAACATAGATGAACCTTGAGGACATCATGCTGAGTGAAAAAAGCTGGTCACAGATTTCACTTACATGAGGTATCTAAAAGAGTCAAGTTCATAGACTCAAAGAGCTAGAATGGTGGTCATCAAGGCTGGGGCGATTGGGAAAAGGGTTGTTACTAATCAGGAGCCATATAGTTTTAATCAAGCAAGATGAATAAGCTCTAGGGATCTGGTGTTCAACATCATGTCTAGAGTCAACAATACTGTATTGTACACTTAAAACTTTGTTAAGAAGGTAGATTTCATGTTAGGTATTCTAACCACCGTAAAATAAAACAGAAACTTCAGACTTAAAAATCTGATGAGTTTTCATTTTGAAAGATCGTGAGAGCTCTAGCAAAATCCTGGCCCATTTCCAACTCACATAATTACATTCCCAGCACTCACAATTTTCCTCCAGTTTTAATTAAGAAATGTGTTTTGCTTCCTCTCTGTGGCTGCCAGACTGTACTTCATACAGGTGTGTCCTAATCACCTTGGACCCGAAAGAGCTGGCATTGACCATGAAAACTTTGGTTAAGTGATGCTTTACATAAATCCATTGTGTAATGTGAGTTATTGCCCCTCACTCTGCCTTTTCTTCAAATAATTTTTTAAATGGGGTTAAGTCTGATGTCTGTATAAAGACTTTTTAACCAGTGCTATGTGCTGATGAATCACTTAGTACTTACTTACTGTCTATGACTATCTTTCATTTATCAATTGTCATCTTTTTGAACTTAAAGCAAAATCTATTATATTATCTGGGTTTGTGACTTGAGCTACTGAGCTGAAACTTCTCCAGGGGTGATTCTTGAGCTACCAAATGACCAGGAAGAGTTTTCTCAGTTTTCTGCTCTTGGCCGAGACTGTTGGACAGGATGATTCACTCAGTTCCACCCAGCTCCGAAATATTTCCCTAAAGTATCTTCTCTGAATATAGCTTTATTGCCCCATCGTATTCAGACTATAGAAATTAAATAAATACAGTCTGTTAATTCAGACCTTTGCCACATGCACAACTCAGCTTCCTCTTCACCACACTTGATTTTACCGTAGGACAACATGGTGTCTTTAGATAGTTGACCAGCCCTCCCAGTTGACTGGCATTTCTGGCCATGTCATTCCTAAATCCTTCAATTATATCATTCAAACCATTCATCTCCTTGCCTGTGTCTCATGGGTAGCTTAATCTACTTAAGAGTTTTTTCTCCATTGTTTAAATATTTTAGCACCATTCCACAAAGGCCCGCGGCGGGTGTTGACGCGATGTGATTTCTGCCCAGTGCTCTGAATGTCAAATTGAAGAAATTCAATGAAGCACAGGTAAATGGTGGGAGTAACTATGACTCTCTTAAGGTAGCCAAATGCCTCGTCATCTAATTAGTGACGCGCATGAATGGATGAACGAGATTCCCACTGTCCCTACCTACTATCCAGCGAAACCACAGCCAAGGGAACGGGCTTGGCGGAATCAGCGGGGAAAGAAGACCCTGTTGAGCTTGACTCTAGTCTGGCATGGTGAAGAGACATGAGAGGTGTAGAATAAGTGGGAGGCCCCTGGCGCCCCCCCGTACCCGCAAAGGGGCGGGGCGGGGTCCACCGGCCTTGCTGAAATAAAAGAGGATACAAACAAATGGAAGAACATTCCATGCTCATGAGTAGGAAGAATCAATATCGTGAAAATGGCCATACTGCCCAAGGTAATTTATAGATTCAATGCCATCCCCATCAAGCTACCAATGACTTTCTTCACAGAATTGGAAAAAACTACTTTAAAGTTCATATAGAACCAAAAAAGAGCCCGCATCACCAAGTCAATCCTAAGCCAAAAGAACAAAGCTGGAGGCATCACACTACCTGACTTCAAACTATACTACAAGCCTACAGTAACCAAAACAGCATGGTACTGGTACCAAAACAGAGATATAGATCAATGGAACAGAACAGAGCCCTCAGAAATAACGCCGCATATCTACAACTATCTGATCTTTGACAAACCTGACAAAAACAAGCAATGGGGAAAGGATTCCCTATTTAATAAATGGTGCTGGGAAAACTGGCTAGCCATATGTAGAAAGCTGAAACTGGATCCCTTCCTTACACCTTATACAAAAATTAATTCAAGATGGATTAAAGACTTATATGTTAGACCTAAAACCATAAAAACCCTAGAAGAAAACCTAGGCATTACCATTCAGGACATAGCCATGGGCAAGGACTTCATGTCTAAAACACCAAAAGCAATGGCAACAAAAGCCAAAATTGACAAATGGGATCTAATTAAACTAAAGAGCTTCTGCACAGCAAAAGAAACTACCATCAGAGTGAACAGGCAACCTACAAAATGGGAGAAAATTTTCGCAAGCTACTCATCTGACAAAGGGCTAATATCCAGAATCTACAATGAACTCCAACAAATTTACAAGAAAAAAACAAACAACCCCATCAAAAAGTGGGCAAAGGATATGAACAGACACTTCTCAAAAGAAGACATTTATGCAGCCAAAAGACACATGAAAAAATGCTCATCATCACTGGCCATCAGAGAAATGCAAATCAAAACCACAATGAGATACCATCTCACACCAGTTAGAATGGCAATCATTAAAAAGTCAGGAAACAACAGGTGCTGGAGAGGATGTGGAGAAATAGGAACACTTTTACACTGTTGGTGGGACTGTAAACTAGTTCAACCATGGTGGAAGTCAGTGTGGCAATTCCTCAGGGACCTAGAACTAGAAATACCATTAGACCCAGCCATCCCATTACTGGGTATATACCCAAAGGACTATAAATCATGCTGTTATAAAGACACATGCACACGTATGTTTATTGCGGGACTATTCACAATAGCAAAGACTTGGAACCAACCCAAATGTCCAACAATGATAGACTGGATTAAGAAAATGTGGCACATATACACCATGGAATACTGTACAGCCATAAAAAATGATGAGTTCATGTCCTTTGTAGGGACATGGATGAAATTGGAAATCATCATTCTCAGTAAACTATCGCAAGGACAAAAAAACCAAACACCGCATGTTCTCACTCATAGATGGGAATTGAACAATGAGAACACATGGACACAGGAAGGGGAACATCACACTCTGGGGCCTGTTGTGGGGTGGGGGGAGCGGGGAGGGATAGCATTGGGAGATATACCTAATGCTAAATGACGAGTTAATGGGTGCAGCACACCAGCATGGCACATGTATACATATGTAACTAACCTGCACATTGTGCACATGTACCCTAAAACTTAAAGTATAATAATAATAAAAAAAAAATTTTAGCACCATTCAAAATCATTTATTGTAGATATTACTAATTTTAACGGAAGTTTCTGAGAATTAGAGGGGAAAGAAGTTTGCTTAAAAGAGCATAGACATACATGTTTTTGGATTATCCTAGCTCCTTCTATTTATAGTCTTAGAGTTCATTTCTAGATGTAAATATATGAGTTCGTCTTTTTTTTGGCTCTATTTGGAGACACAATGTTTGTTTTACTTCGTTTTAGGAGTATCAGGGGGATAAAAACTATAAGCAAATTTTCTTTCTGCCAAGTTTGAAATTTTGTAACCAAGATCTAAACAAATCAACATGAAGTCTGTAAGGTATCATGTTTTAAGATATATACCCTTAAAACATGATAAGTTTTTATTTCAAAAATGCCTATGAGTATCATTAAACTTAGGACCAAGTTTACCTTTCTATACCCTTATATTAACATATGTTATGTTATATTATGATTATGTATATGTTAAAATTATATATATGTTAAAATATGTTATATTAACATATTAACATAACAATATAATGTAATGTTAGGAGGAGACAAAACAGAATTTAAAACTTTACATACAATCTTGGTAGCAATATGTTATTAATGTTAATCTATACGTACATTGAGAAAAGACCAGAACAAAATATACTAAAAGCATTAAAAGTGGATATCGCTGGGTGTTAGCACTATGCATGAGTTTAATTTTTTTGTCTTTGTGTATTTTAAAAAATTTCTACAATGAGTATGTATTACTTTAATAATAAATAAAGATATTTTGAAAAGCCATATAAGTGACACATTATTTTATTTGAAATGATTTTGGACTTAAAGAGATAGTTTGTACATATTGTGGGTTATTACATGTAAGTTTCAAGTTACACCTGATTTAAATTTCTTGTCTACAAAGCTGAAGGGAGCTTTAATGATAAAAATAACAATTAGACGCAGTAATCACAATTTCCTTGAATATAGTCCTCTTCTAAACCTATGCTAGCACATATGCTATGACATACTGCGCTTTGTTGATTAGTCTTACTCTCCTTCGTGTAGTCAGGAGGGGTATTTAATAGCCATAGACGAAAAGATTTGGCCCAAGGTCACATAGCTACTAAATGGCAGGCCTGAAACTAGATCTCCATCTAGTTCTTTTCCCACCATTCTCTGTAGGAGTAAATTTAAAAGCTATTTTATCCTTTTTGAAAGGAAAAATGTCATGGTAGCCTTTTGCACTCCTCACGTTTGTGATTGTGTTACTGCTATTCATTCATGCTTCTGTTAAGTGCGGAAAGATACCAATATCTTAGCGCGTGTTATGTCCCAGGCACAATGCTGGACACTGGCCATACATTCACCCGCCTAATCCCCCACAACGACTGTGTGATACTGACATTTTGATAACTGTTTACAAATATAAAATCTGAAATTCACAGCACTTGTGAATTGTGGATATGAAATTGAACCCAGCTCTTTCCGACTCACACTCAGGAACACTGAAAGCAGAGTGCGAGAAAAACTGCATTAGAGCTTTCTCCAGGAAGAAGAAAGCGAAATAAGCCACCCAGAAGACCTGTGCTAGAGGAGTAAAACTAGGGACAGTTACACAAAGCTTCCCTGCCAGTGTTGGGGCTTACAGATGCACACTGTGGTGAAAGATAAAATTGGGTTTAAATCCATTTCTGACCCTTACTAGCTGTGTGACTTTGGCAGTGCCTATCCTCTCAAATCTTCAATTTCTTCGTCTGAAAGATGGAAGTGTGGCAATAATAATGACAATTCTCATGGGGAATGAATGAGACAACTTATGCTGAGATCTCAGGGTGCAATACATGGAACAAAAATAGGGTTCTGCTGATGTTAGTTTTAAATGATAATGATGATTATGACGATGATAATAATATTTATAAACCTGAAGTTGCATAGCTCTGTATAGCCAAAGAAGGGTTCTCATATGAAGCCAAAAATTTAAGTGGCATTGAAAAGAAACATTCTCATTGAAGTCTTCTTGAAGACTGAGATAAATTGATGAAGATTAAGAAATTATGAGAAAGATACTGTTCTAGTTTATTAGTATATTTTGCTAAAGAGGTCTTCTCTCTCTTTTTTTTGCTGTGTGAAGCATGTTCTTTTAGTCCACGTGGCATGAGCATAGTATGTATGGATTTCTACTTGTCACATCTTTTAATAGAGAGGAACTCAAAAGGAGGCAGAAGTCCCTTAAAAAAGTTAGGGGACTTCTCTTTGATTTACAGAGACCAGTAGAAGTATGTAGTAGAAGTATGTTTAGATGGGGAAGTTGAAGTGTTCTTTAGATCTTGGGGTAGGGTGATGGGACACAATTGCTGTGGTGTGAATGTGATTTTTGAGGGCCACTGTGTTCTTACATACTTAGCTGTAATGACCCTATAGCAGAAAGTGTTTGAATTATGTTTAACAATCATCTGTCTTGCTGTTATATATTACTTTACATAAGCATCGATCCCTGAGTGATTGATTTCACAAAGATTGGATAACAAGGTTGTTGTTTTTACTTGTTTTCTCTTTTGCTGTCTCCCCAGGGCTGGTTTTCTTGAGGCCTCAATGATTGTGGGGCTTGCCATGATACCTCTTATAGTTTCCCATTCTTTAAAGTTAGCAAATTTGCCAGATAATCTCAGAGATCCCTCCATCTCTCTAGCTCTGTAATTCCATGATTTTTATAGTAAGATGAAATGTGTGACTCTCAGGCTTACATTGTGGACCACCCAGTTATAAGGTATTGCTATCGAGGCCCCGTGCCTCACTCAAAATTAACACTTACATTGATTCTTGAGTTAACACGATTCTCTTATCTGGAGGACTACCTTCAGTAAGAAGCCCTTGTGCATTTTATGTCTTGCCAGAAATGCTTTTTGTTTGTTGGGAAGGTGCTGCACAGTCCTTTTGCACAAGGATGAGGGCAGCCTTCAGTAAATAGTCCTTGTGCATTTTGTGCTCTCATGATGGGTTCTCTTCAGGCTAATGAGAGATTGCTTAGTGTTACTCAGGTTTAAACATTTGTGCTATTATTAGAATCCAGTATGTTTTCTGGAGAGTGAATGACAATCAGACAGGACATGATTATTCTTAAAAATGATTTTCAGCACAGTGTAAAGGATGAACCACGTCAGCAGCTTTTTGTGTGTGTACCATGATCACCTTCTCTCCTAATAACTTTTTCATGAATGCCCACTTCCTTTCATTGCTATTTATATTTGTTGCATGTATTGATTTTCTTAGAGCCTTTCATTTCATAGCATTTATTTGTATCAGACACCATGATCTCATAAGAAAAGCAAACATACCCCAGGGTGACCTGGGTCTGTGCTCGTTTCCTAAACTCAGGAAAGCTTTTTGCCTCCTTGAACAGTGTGAAAGTTGGTCTAGAACAGAGTGTCTCATCCTCAGCACTATTGACATTTGGGCCAGATAATTCCTTATAATGGGAGGTGGTGGGGGCCTTCCTGTGCATTGTAGTGATGCAGGCAAAACCTCAAAATTGGGTCTCAGCTAGGAGGAGTTCTTGGCTTTGCACAGGAAAGAATTCAAGAGCAAGCTGGCAGTGAAAGAAAACAAGTTTATTAGAGAAGCAGTGTACAGCAAAATGGCTCCTTCATAGAGCATAGGTGGAGTGGCCCAGAGAAGCACTTGTGGATTGCTGGCTGGCTATATTTATACCCACTATTAATTATATACAAAATAAGGGGCAGGTTATTCACAAACTTTCTGGAAAAGGGGCAGAGAGTTCCCAGAACCATATAAGGTAACTTTTGGGCCATTTGCCATGGCATCATTTATAAACTGCCATGGTGGTGGTGGGAGTGTCTTATGCAAATGTATTATAATTAGCATATAATTAGCAAAGCAACTAGAGGTCGCTTTGGTTGCCATCTTGGTTCTCCTGGATTTGGCCAGTTTCTTTGCTACATCCTGTTTTGATCAGCAGGGTTGTGACCAGGGCTCAGAAAGCAGGTCCCGCTGATCTCCTACCTCAGTAGGAACTACTGGCCCATTAGATGCCCGTAGCACCCCCTCAGTTGTGAGAACTAAAATTGTCTCCTGACGTTGCCAAAGGTCCCCTGGGGGGGCAAAATTGACCCAGTGGAGACCCACTAGTCTAGAATAATATTTTTTTAGGTATATACAAACTTTAAGATGATATGACACTAGGAGTTTGTGAATGTAATGATTATTAGAGTCTTGTCATACTTTTTTTCTATGGAGCGACATGAATGAAAAACAGAATTTATTTGCCTTTTGCATTGTTAGGAGGATTTCTTGATAAGACTTTAATATTGTTTTGAATTTGTTTCCCCCATTAAAATTTAAGGACTCATTATCAAAGTTTGAAAGAGGCCACAGGAGAAAAACCTTTGAACAAACACCAATTAACACGCATGATTGGGATGGGCTATGCTACTGTATAAGTGGTACCAGCATAGTCATTAAAGATAAGTCTTGGCCAGGCATGGTTGCTCACGCTTGTAATCCTAGCACTTTGGGAGGCCAAGGGGGAGTGGATCACGAGGTTAGGAGTTCGAGACCAGCCTGGCCAACATGGTGAAACCCCATCTCTACTGAAAATACAAAAATTAGCCGGGCATGGTGGCAGGTGCCTGTAATCCCAGCCACTCGGGAGGCTGAGGCAGGCGAATTGCTTGAACCTGGGAGGTGGAGGGTGCAGTGAGTGGAGATCACGCCACTGCACTCCAGCCTGGGCGACAGAGTGAGACTCCTTCTCAAAAAAAAAAAAAGATAAGTCTTGGTGGCGAGGGAGGGAGTTGAGGGGCGAGAAATTACCTATTGAGTGCAATGTACATCAGTCAGGTGATGGGTTCACTAAAAGCCCAAACTTCGCTACTACACAATATATCCACATGACAAAACTGTTCTTTCACCCCCTCTAAATCTATTTCAAAAAAGATAAGACCTGGTACGTAACAGACATTCCAAAATATTTGTTAAATGGGTAGATACTGGAAAAATGGATGGTTGGATGAAGGATCTGCTATTGCTAACTCATCTAGTCTTGGGAACAACATTTCATCAGTGATACACAAAACTGGTGGTCACAAAAGCAAAAGCGGTCATGGGGTACGAGCAGTACAGAGCGCCTTTCCTTTTCCTGTGGATCCCCCAGGTGCTCCTCTGCTCTTCCACCGCTGTTTGTTTACACTCTTCTCCCCAGGCCTATATCCTTACCTGCCTTTCCTTCCCTCTATATTTGTTGCCTGAATTTATTTTCTTCAAGCCTTTCATATGGTATCATTTCTTTGTATCAGACACCATGATCTCAAGAAAAGAAACCCACCATATTTGATTGTGGATCCACACCGGGGCAATCCTGAGTGAAGAACTGCTTAATCTTTATTCTCTGGTTGTTTAAATCAAACTAGCAATGTGATTCCTAATCATCTTTGAAAATACTTCATTTTGATTGTCTAGAGCCCCAATGCCTTTCTTTGATAATTTATTCTAGAATACAAGTTTTTGGTCGAAGGAACGTATATTAATAACTGGGATAGATGGATTTTAACAGTGATCATGTGCTCACAGTGATGTTATTGATTCAATACTAAAAAGTATTTTCTCCATTTTATAAAGAAATTGAGGTACAGATTTGTTAAGATGTAGAGCCTGGCGCCTACAGTAAGTGAGTAGTTATATTAGGGTTGGAATTGCAGAGCCCAGATGTTGAGACCAGGTTCATAGCACCAAGAGGGAGGGTGAAATTGATGTGGGGCAGTAATTTGATAAAAAGCATTGAATCTGTAATACCAGTAAGTTGAAACATTTTTCTTTATGTTTTGTTTTAAAGTCACAAAATAATTGTTGAGGATGACTACTTTGGGTATCATGGCTTTGATTCAATGGGAAGAATATTTTCTCTAAAATGGACAAATTATTAATTTCAAGACCTTTCCTATGAGTTTTATTTTGGTAAGTGTTGCTCATGATCTGCTTCTCTTCTCTCTTAGACCTTCTCTCACCATGCCCCATAGGAATCTGACAGGAAGCTGCAACGTTAATTGTGGTTGTAAAATACACGAGTATGAGCCAGTCTGTGGATCAGATGGAATTACATACTTTAACCCTTGTCTGGCTGGCTGTGTTAATAGTGGTAATCTTAGCACTGGGGTGAGTATATTTCACAAGTTCCTCTTCTGTTAGTCCAACATCCTGTGACAAGGATGTGATGAAATTCCTATGCAGCTACAATGACTTCAGTCTTTCTTTTCAAGAGGCTCCAAGTAACCTACAAAATACCTCTGATGAAAACCTAGAGGAAAGAAAATTATGCATTGCTATTATTTTTTTTTCCAGGGATGACTGGAACATTTGGGTGCAGGGATTTTGTTCCATATCAGCCTTCTCCTACTTTATATTCTGCGCCAAGTCAGTGAAACTTGATAAGGTTGAGCTCTAGGCCTGCCATTTGTTTCTCTGACAGGGCCCTTGTGATGGATTTGAAGGTCAAGATGACCACATTTGGTGCTGATAAAAAAGTATAGGAAAGCACCTCCCCTGACTGGAGTCTGTGAAGATGGGTGATGGCCATTTTTCATAGACTATATCAGTTCAGTTCCGGCTTAAAAAAAAACTTTCAAAGTAAAGATATTTCTGACAGTTCAAGAATAGGCTATTTTGAGAATTCCCTTTCCTGTAAATTATAAATGGGCTGTAATACTGTGGGAGAAGGTTTTCATATTCTACTGTTTCTTTTTTTTGAGATGGAGTTTTGCTCTTGTTGCCCAGGCTGGAGTGCAATGGCATGATCTCGGCTCACCTCAACCTCCGCCTCCCAGGTTGAAGTGATTCTCCTGCCTCAGCCTCCCTAGTAGTTGGGATTATAGGCATGTGCCACCATGCCTGGCTAATTTTGTATTTTTAGTAGAGACGGGGTTTCTCCATGTTGGTCAGGCTGGTTTCGAACTCCCGACCTCAGGTGATCTGCCTGCCTTGGCCTTCCAAAGTGCTGGGATTACAGGTGTGAGCCACTGTGCCCGGCCTCTACACAGTTACTTATTGAGCCCAGTTTGATTCTTTGTGAAGAACAGATTGTACGAAGTTGCTTTCACTAAAAGGTTAAAATGCATGTGCTTGTTCTGTGCAGGTGATAAGGGATTATACCATCCACTGAATGTTTTGGGGATATTGTTTTTGATGTCTGAGTTTTAAACTGCAATGATAAATTGAGAATTCCTGTTGTTTGTTCCCCATTATATAATTGGTGAACTCCACTGTGTCGCCATGTTGAAAGGGTGAGATCTGTTCTCTTGGTGGCGAAGTCCTTTCTTGAGAGTGAGTGTTCATCCTTTAAAATATGCCAGCAGTCTTTTGAGCATGACAGCCAAACAGTGCCCCATCTTCATACTTTTTCTTATGACTGCTTCAAGTATTCAAAGGTTGCAATGAAGGCCAGCTGATGTCCATTTAGTCTGACTCTGTCACAGTCCAGGAGCAGTACTGGGTGGGGGCTGTAGTAGCCAAGTTACATCCATGGAGCTGGTTGCTCTTCTATAGGGTGTAGGGCACCAGCTAACTAAAGGGACTTCAAAGATGTTTAAAAATGGAAGCACCAGAATGTATATTAACTTAGACACCGTGGAAAGCAGTTTGGAGATTTCTCAAAGAACTTAAAACGACCACTCAACCCAGCAATCTCATTCCTGTGTATGTATCCAAAAGAAAACAAATTGTTCTACCAGAAAGACACATGCACTTGTATGTTCATCGCAGCACTGTTCACAATAGTAAAGACATGGAATCAAGCTAGGTGCTCATCAGTGATGAATTCCATAAAGAAAATGTGATAATATACACCATGGAGTACTACACAGCCATAAAAAAGAATAAAATCATGACCTTGGCAGCAACATGGATGCAGCTGGAGGCCATTATCCTAAGTGAATTAATGCAGGATTAGAAAACCAAATACCGCATGTTCTCACTTATAAGTGGGAGCTAAACATTGGGTACTCATGGACACAAAAATGGAAACAATAGACACTGGAGACTACTAGAGGGTGGAGATGGGGAGGGAGGTGTGAAAAACTACCTGTTGGGAACTATGCTCATGATTTGGGTGATGGGATCATCTGTACACCAAACCTCAGCATCACACAATAGACCCGTGTAACAAACCTGCACATGTACTCCCTGCATCTAAAATAAAAGTTGAAAAAGAAAAGAAAACGGAACACCAATGAGATGTTCACTATTATTGGCGCTAAAGTCATCACGATTGCACTATAAATTCTCTGCATTTAATAGATGTTTACTTTAGGGCCCACTGTGTGCCCAGAGTTGTGCTAGGTGCTCTGTGAGCACAAAGAAAAATAAGGTTTGGATCTGTTTTTTGAGGGGCTTCTCTAATTGGAGAGCCCAAGAGTTAACAGCAATGGAGGCAGAATATAATGATGACAAAAATGAGCCTGCAGAACGTGAATGGTATTGAATGTTGAAAGCTTCTTAGAAAAGTTTAGGTTTAAACAATTTTGACCAGCAGACTTTGATTCTGTTAGACACACACTTGAGATCCTTACTGTTACCAATGAGGAAGGTACTTTCAATGAAATATTTTGTGTTTGAAAAAATATTTGAGCTATTTTAGAGTACTTTTACTTAACTTTGTCTTAATATTCTTATGCCACAGTTAGCTTTTGAGGGGCACACAACTCATCTTTATTTTGCTCACTTAGATACGGAATTATACAGAATGCACCTGTGTCCAAAGTCGCCAAGTGATCACTCCACCCACCGTGGGACAGCGAAGTCAGCTCCGTGTGGTTATTGTCAAGACTTATCTCAATGAGAACGGCTATGCTGTGTCTGGGAAATGTAAACGGACCTGCAATACTCTTATCCCATTCTTAGTTTTTCTTTTCATAGTCACCTTCATCACAGCATGTGCCCAACCATCAGCTATCATAGTAACACTCAGGTGAGAACAGCATTCAACTTCTGGGGTGGGTTCTGTACTTATAATTTCCAGAGCACATAATCCAGGACAAGGGGCTTATGTGGTAAATCAGAGAGCAAAGCAAAATTAGCATGTGCAGGAGGGCGCTCAGATATTTGCCTGGTGAACTTAGGAGGGATTTTTCCCTGTTGGGAAGGGAAAGAAAGGTTGTAACATTTCATACTTTGGAAAGTTCTTTATTCAGTTGGGTTATATTCTTACTGTATAATGAAACGTCTTTTGATGTTTTTGATTCCTGAAGTCTCTGCCCTACGAGGTTCAACTTCAGGAGTTGAAAGTCATCACTCTGTCAGCTGTGAGAAGCTGGACCCCAGAGGAGGGCAGGAAGTAATTTGAGAAAGTTGCTAAATCGTGCATACAGCAAAGGCTATTATCTTCAACCTTATAGATAGTTACTGCCTTCAGGATCAGTGGTGATTTATGCTGGGCCTGCAATTTGAAATGCTGAGTTCATTAATTTTACTATCATATAAAATTTCAGAGTTGAGTCAAGAAAAGGGCATATTGGGGAATGTGATTTCTCCCTTTTTTTTTTTTTCAGTTTTTCAGGCTGTGCTTTCTTTGCCATATCTTGTTTGGATTTTTTGTTTATAAGAGGACATGGAAGCTACTTTTGTCCTATTAAAAATGTTGGCACTGGTGTTCCTGGACCAAAATGATGGTCGGGCTGCTATTTTTTTGCACTGCAATAACGTGATACAGATGAACAGGGGAGGAAGAGGGTTTTTATTTCTGTAACCAGTTACAGGGAGAAGGCCTGGAAATAAACACCAGACCAACTCAAAATTACAAAGTTTATTAGAGCTTATATACATTCTAAGCTATCTGTCTACGTGTAAGTGTGCATTCATCTAAAGACATAAGTGATTAATTTCTTTTAATTTATAACTAAGATCTGAATCTTGAAGACCTTCTTCTGGAGCCTCAGTAAGTTTACTTAATCTAAATGGGTCCAGGTGCTGGGGTGATTACCCTTATCTTGTCTCCTGCTAAATCACGGAGGTTTGGGGAGTTCCTTCAGACCCCCAATAAACCTGTTTATGGAGGCCTAGGGAGTTTTTTCAGACCCCCAATAAAACTTGTTTAATCCTAAATGGATCCTGTTAAGAATTTGTTCATTATTTTGTCGTGCTTTAAGGCCCAGGAAAGACTTAGGCAAAATTCTTGGTGGACTTTTGTTACATTCCAGCATTTGTATAAGGGCACTGGCTTTTAATATTTAACTTAAACACTCAGTCTGTACTGAAACAGTTGTTATGGAGGCCTGCCACGCTGATACATTCACATCGGTGTGTTGATATTTACAGTAAGGACTGCAGTGGACAAAGGAACTGGGCAGCGTGGTGAAGCCAGAAGAGCTCACCCATGGGTCTGGGCAGCTTCTGCCCAGATTAGGGGGTGCAGTGCAGGGAAGGGGATTAGGGGGGATTAGGGGGTGCAGTGCAGGGAAGGAATGAAGAAAGGGAGTCAGTTCTTACTCTTTCTCCAGGCTCCTCAGATGCCACAATGCTGGGCACCTTGCAGGAAGCACCTGCTGAGATGTCATTGCTTAGCAAGGGCAGTTGGCTGCACCAGATGTATTCTGGCTTCCTTCCCACTTGGTGCTGAATCAGGCATTTCCCAGCAAAGCTGTTCCTTGACAGCCAGATAGTAGTGCATGAAAGGCCCACTGGTTTGTTTACTCAGTTCTTCCAGCAGCAGATATTTATGGAATAACAACCTGTGTGCAGCACTTTGCAAATTGCTCTGAGAAATAAAGAAATTGGGGAAAAGGTGACAAGGGCACTGGTCTTGGGAAAGTTCCTATTATATACCATACTCTCATGGGTATGTGATGGAGAGGTTAAGGTACTGCAGCATTAAAAAGACATGAATCATTCATAAATTTACTCAAATAATCTTATTCTTTGCACTTTAATTCCTCAAGAGATGTTAAATAACCCATTGGCTACTTTTTCTTTTGGTGTTCATAAATGGCAAATCGCCAGTTGGCTTCTAACCTAAAATTTCAGAAAAGGAGCCCTTTAATCTTTGCTAATTACAGAACCAGTTGACTCCAATCTTCCTGTCACA